>NC_000001.11:38928835-39553835 GCF_000001405.40 Homo sapiens
GGATTGCTTGAGGCCAGGAGTTTGAGACCAGCCTGGGCAACACAGCGAAAGCCTTTCTCTACAAAAAAAAATTAAAAATTAAAGTTTGCCAGGTGCAGTGGTGTGCACACCTGCACTTCCAGGTACTCGGGAGGCTGAGGCAGGAGGATCACTTGAAACGGGGAGTTCAAGATTGCAGTGAGCTACAATGGTGCCACTTGCACTCCAGCCTGGGTGACAGAGCGAAACCCTGTCTCCAAAACCTAAATAAATAAAAATAAAAATAAAAATTTAAACAAAAGAAGTGTGAATCTTCTTTTTGGTTATTTTCATCCCATCCTTTCCTGTACTCTTAGCTCCCTCTTTTTCCTCCAGCTGCCTAGACAGTCCCAGACTAGACCCTGTGAATTCCCGAACGGAAGCTGTAGAGGAAGTGGCAGGTCACTACCCCTGGGAGAAGATGGGGCTGGGAATTCCCACCATCCCCACTGCTACGACGAGGACTCTAGGTGGACACAAGCGTCCAGGACGGGAAAAGGATTTGCCTCTTTGAGAAGCCAGAGGACTAAATCAGGCTCACCTTCCCTTCTTCGCCTCACCCAGGAAGGCCCTGGCAAGGCCAACACCCTTATGACAACTCCTTTTCCATGGCAGACACTTTTAGTTGTGAGCTTGTGCCGCTTGCCTAGCTGCATTCAAACAGGGAGGTTTTAAATATCTGAATTGTTTTTTCTAAACAGCTGGCCCCACCCATTCATTGGTACCAGGCAGGCCCCTGCCGGGGCTGAGACCCGCCTTGATGTGGCTGGGGAGCTCAGGAGGCTGGGCAGCGGGCTGTGCTGGGTGTAGCCAATTGCTGCCCAGCTGGGGCTGCCAGGGAGACTTTCGGTGGTGTTGCTAGGCGCCTGGGTAATTGGAGAGGCCAGGATTGGACTTCTGGGCCACAGAGCTTAGCAGCCTCCTTCATCACACTGCAAACCATCATTATGCCAGAGGCCTGCAGCAATCTCTCTGTGGTTACAGCCTGAAAGGATGCTTTTTTAGCTACAGAAATTAAGAACTGGCTTTTCAATATTACAGGTTTGTGGTTGTGGTTGTTTTCTTTTGGCTGCATTTCTGAGGATACACTTGGAATAAATAGGCAAAAGATTTGAAAACAAAAAATGCCTTCACAAACCCCCGTTTCCAAAAGCTTTGCTTTTTGCTGAAGCAAAGCACACTTGACATCAGCAGTAAGGGCAGCTAAGGTAGAGAACTCTGCTTCCTGAGCTCTCTCCATGGTCCACTCTGCGTCAAAAGTTTCTTCCTTGAAACTTCACAGGTGGGCTATGGTTCAGGGTAGGGGGACCAGAGCCCCAGTCACATGCAGGGCCTCTCGGCGGAATAATGTCTTCAAGTCCTTCCCATTCAAAGACCATCATAATACTCAGCCTTCTCACTCTACAGAACCACTTTCGCTTTTATTATTTTCTGGATCCTCCCGTCTGCTCTGTGAAGACCTCTTTATTATTCCCATTTTACAGGTAAATAACTAGGGCAAAAAAGAGGCATCCATGATTACATACCTAGGTACAGCAAAGCTGGGGCACAAACCTGGGAATCTCAGACCAGAGTCTGGGCCGCCCCACAGCTATTTAACATATTACATATATTTGTGTACCCTATTATAGTATTTGTAATAGTAATAATAATACACAATGGTGCAGAAGACATAGGAATTTCATCCTGTATCTTGTATTATCCTAAACACATCATCTTTGTTGATGGTGATTGGGCTTTCAAAGCTGTGGTGTGCGCACTAAGGGATATAGTCTGAAAGAATTCCCAAAGACAGACACACTATTTACATGAGTTAACAGACCTAGCACACCAGAGCACAGGGCTGAAGGAAAACAGTGACCCTGAGCCACTTCCCCCTTAATTCAAGGACAGTTGGCCCAGGCCCTTAAGTAAGGAGACAAAATCATGGCTTTCAGTAGATATTTGTGGGCATTTCTCAAAAAAGGCTTTCACTGCTTCGTGTAGAATTTTTTTTTCAATAGTGGTCCACTGATAATGACCAACTGTCTGGTTTGCACAGGACTAGGAGTTTCTTGGGATGTGAGACTTTTAGTGCTAAAATCAGGGCAAGCCAAGGGTGTTGGTCACCCTGTCATGGACCACCTGCATCAGAATCATCTGGGGAGGTTAGCAGAGATGGCTGCTTCTAATCCTAGGGCACTGGTTCTTCACCCTGGCCTCACATCAGAATCATCTGAAGAGACTTAAATGTGTTTGAGTTCACCCCGGATCAACAGAAACTGGGTCTCTGGGGTGAAGGCCTGGCACTTGTATCTTTTCATGTACAGCCAAGACTGAAAACTTCTGCCCTAGAGATTTGGATTCAGAGGGTCTGGGCTCAGGTCTTGTTCAGAAATCTGCAGGCGGCCAGGCACTATGGCTCACGCCTGTAATCCTAGTACTTTGGGAGGCCGAGGTGGGCAGATCACGAGGTCAGGAGATCGAGACCATCCTGGCTAACACAGTGAAACCCCGTCTCTACTAAAAATACAAAAAATTAGCTGGGCGTGTTGGCGGGCGCCTGTAGTCACAGCTACTCGGAAGGCTGAGGCAGGAGAATGGTGTGAACCCAGGAAGGCAGAGCTTGCAGTAAGCCGAGATCACGCCACTGCACTCCAGCCTGGGTGACAGAGCGAGACTCCGTCTCAAAAAAAAAAAAGAAAAGAAAAAAGAAAAAAGAAATCTGCATGCCTTTTTAACAGCTCCCAGGGGATTCTTATATACATCATGTTTCAACTACCAGTGAATGCTTATGTGATGTGTGCATCCAGTGGTAGCATTCCCTGAATGCCTTGTATGTGTTAGGCTCTGGAAACACATGGGAAAAAAAAAAAAGAAAGAAAGAAAAGGAAACCACCTCCTGTTCTCCAGTCCCTCTCTATTCACTGGGGAATAAAGACCTATAAATTGTTCCAACATAGTATACTGTGGTTTAGATTTAAAAGTGGGTCAGCACCATCAGCATGGTTAGGGCTATTCAGTTCCCAGAAGCCAAGGATGGTAGACTAAAGACGGAGCATATAATTTGCCATTCCTCTCACTGAGAGATATGGTTTGGGTTTGTTTCTCCTCTCCTTAAGTCTGGGCCAGCCCTGTGACTGGTTTTGACCAATACTACGTGGCAGAAGCTATGCTGGATACTTTGCAGGGCCGGGCCTTAACAGCTATGTGGTCCCCACTTTTGCTCCTTTGGGAATGCTTCCTCTTTGAAGCCTAACACCATATAACCTAACACTACCTGGAGGCCACCATTCTATGAGAAAGCCCAAGGTGCCCACATGGAAAGAGAGGCCATGTAGAAGAGCACAAAAGTAGGAGTCTCTCTGAGCCTGGTCTGGCTCAGGAGGTTGCCTGATTTAAAAAAAAAAAAAGAAAAAGTCATGTGAAAATGAAATAAAGAAAAGCACCAAGGTGCCAGACCTATGAATGGAACCTTCTTGACCTACCAGCCCAGCTCATCCACCAGTTGAATACAGCTGTGAATGACCCTAGCTGATGACTACATGGAGAAGAACTGCTCAGCTGAACCCTGCCCAAATCCCTGACTTGCATAATTATGAAGAAATAAAATGGCTCTTGGTTTTTCTGTTATTTGTTTGTTTTGAGACAAGGTCTGACTCTGTCGCCCAGGCTGGAGTGCAGTGGTACGAACTCAGCTCACTGTAAGCTCCACCTCCCCAGTTCAAGGGACTCTTGTGCCTCAGCCTCCCAAGTAGCTGGGACTACAGGTGAGCGCCACCATGCCCAACTAATTTTCGCATTTTTTGTAGAGATGGGGTTTTGCCATGTTGCCGAAGCTGGTCTTGAACTCCTGAGCTCACGCGATCCACCCACCTTGGCCTCCTGAAGTGCTGGAATTACAGGCGTGAGCCACCACACCTATTCTTGTTTTGAGTCACTAAATTTTGGGGTGATCTGTTACACAGTAATAGCTACCAGCATGCCTCATCAGAACCAGAAGACAGAATGACATCTCACACCATTCTGCCTTTCTTTCCATTCACATTGTTCATCTTTGTATTCTTCCATTGAGTAGATTACTGATGTCTGACCCGAAATTACCCTCCCAAATTAGTCTTCACTCTGTTTCCACTCCTGCCTCCCTCCAACAATGAAGCAAAACAAAACCGTAAATCAGAGTGTATTAACTCTCGGCTTAAAAATCCTTCAATGGTTTCCCATTGTCTTTGGGATAGATATAGGATCCTAATGGCAAATGATAAGATCCTATATGACCTAGCTCCTACCTTCTTTGTGGAATTCACTTTCTACTACTTTCTCCCAACGACTCAGTGCTGCAGCCACAGGGACGTCTTTCTGTTCCTGGAATACACCAAATCTTCTCCTGTCTCAAGGTCTTTGTACTTGCTGTTCCTTCTACCTAGCCCTCTCCCTTCCCTACAACTCATACACACAAGGTTGGTCTTGATCCTTCATAACCTGTAGCACGTCCCTAGGAAGTCTCCCCTGCCCATGCCTTCCCGCACCCCTATATGCTCTACTACATTTCCCCACTTATATTCTCCCAGCACTTATCATTATCTAAAAATAGTTAGTTTATTTATTGTCTGTCTCTTTCTGCTAGAATATGACCTCCACAAAAGTGGAAAATATTTCTCAGCAAGTATTTGCTGAATTAACAATCCCATGAATGGAGAAGGAAGGAAAAGGGAAGTATCATGGAAAGAGCTCTGACATTGCAGGAGTCAGAAAATCCTGGTCCTTGCTCCAATTCTGCCCCTGCTTACCTACGGATAAGCTACTTCCCCTCACCTAACCAGAAACTTCATCCCCACCAGCAAACACATGGCCGGCGATGTTTATCAGTGTCATACCTCACAGGTCTTCACAATTTTTTTTTTTTTTTTTTTTGAGACAGAGTCTCGCTCTGTTGCCCAGGCTGGAGTGCAGTGGTACAATCTTGGCTCACTGCAACATCTGCCTTCTAGGTTCAAGCAATTCTCCTGCCTTAGCCTCCCAAGTAGCTGGGATTACAAGTGCCCACCACTATGCCCAGCTAATTTTTGTATTTTTAGTAGAGATGGGCTTTCACTTGTAGGCTGG
The DNA here is from genome assembly GCF_000001405.40 of Homo sapiens. Taxonomy (NCBI): domain Eukaryota; kingdom Metazoa; phylum Chordata; class Mammalia; order Primates; family Hominidae; genus Homo; species Homo sapiens. Next base: position 38,933,939 of record NC_000001.11, read on the forward strand.
GCTGGTCTCAAAATCCTGACCTCAAATGATCCACCCCCTTTGGCCTCCCAAAGAGCTGGGATTACAGGAGTTATCCACCGTGCTGTGTCCACAAGTCTTCATAAATCCCCATAAAAATTTTGAAGAATGTCAGGTGTGGTGGCTGACGCATATAATCCCAGCACTTTGGGAAACTGAGGTGGGTGGATCATTTGAGGCCAGGAGTTCAAGACCAGCCTGCCAATATGGCAAAACCCCATCTCTATGAAAAATGCAAAAAATTAGCCAGGCGTTATGGCGGGTGCCTGTAATCCCAGCTACTCAGGGGGCTGAGGCAAGAGAATCGCTTGAACTTAAGAGGCAGAGGTTGCAGTGAGTCGAGATTGTGCCACTGCACTCCAGCCTGGATGACAGAGCAAGACTGTCTCAAAAATAAATAAATAAATAAAAATAAAATGGCCCGGCAGGGTGGCTCACACTTGTAATCCCAGCACTTTGGGAGGACGAAGCCAGAAGATCGTGAGGTCAGGAGTTCGAGACCAGCCTGGCCAACATAGTGAAACCCCGTCTCTACTAAAAATACAAAAAAATTAGCCAGGAGGGGTGATGGGCACCTGTAATCCCAGCTACTCGGAGGTGGAGGTAGGAGAATCGCTTGAACCCGGGAGGTGGAGGTTGCAGTGAGCAATGCAGAGATCGCGCCACTGCATTCCAGCCTGAGTGACAGAGCAAGACTGTCTCAAAAAAAAAAAAAAAATGGCTGGGCGCGGTGGCTCACACTTATAATCCCAGCATTTTGGGGGGCCGAGGCGGGCAGATCACGAGGTCAAGAGTTTGAGACCAGCCTGGCCAACACAGTCAAACCCCGTCTCTACTAAAAATACAAAAAAATTAGCTGGGTGTGGTGGCAGGCACCTGTAATCCCAGCTATTTGAGAGACTGAGGCAGGAGAATCACTTGAACCCAGGAGACAGAAGTTGCAGTGAGCTGAGATCATGCCACTGCACTCCAGCCTGGGTGACAAAGCTAGGCTCAGTCGCAAAAAAAAAAAAAATTTTTTTAAAGAAGCTCTGTTCTGTCTCATACATTTTTAAGTTAATAACTACAATTATTTTTTACAAGTTAAAATCGGCTCCAAGATCAAATTTTTTGTCATAGTCTTTGTTAGAGACATGTTTTAAATACATTTTCATCCAAACCTTAGAGCTACAGATTTCACTTGTTCAGTTTATGGAAAATGTCTACCACATAATCCAGTTGGCAAAGCCTGTCCTCACTGTCAAACCAATTAGCCAAATCAAAGAGATTTTCTGTCCATAAGAAAATCTACCTTTATTTTTAAAAGGTTCCATAAATGCATTAATTTGCATCCCCATGACAACTGGCTCATGTCTCAATTCTAATTTTATAACACATAAATAAAGAGCTAAAGCTCTTAAGTTTAATATAGCATAATGGCTAAAACACAAATTCTAGAGGAATTCAAAGGTGTCTGAATTCAAATTCTGATTTCACCACTTGACACCTCTGTGACCTTGGGCAACTTATTAAACCTCTTTGTGCCTTGGGAGCATCATCTGTAAAAGGAGGGTGGTAAATATCTACTTTATAGATTCGGTATCAGTATTGAATTAGTTTATTATCTGTAAAATTCTTAGAAGAGTGTCTGGCACATAATTAGCATTGAGCAAATTTTTCGTTTTGTTTTGTTTTGAGACAGGGTCTCACTCTGTTACCCAGGCTGGAGTATAGTGGCATGATCTCAGCTCACTGCAACCTCTGCCTCCCGGGTTCAAGCTATCCTTCCACCTTAGCCTCCCAAGTAGCTGGGACTACAGGTGTGTACCACCACACCTGGCTAACTTTTGTATTTTTTTGTAGAGACAGGGTTTAGCCATGTCGCCCATGCTGGTCTCGAACTCCTGAGCTCAAGCGATCTGCCCACCTTGGCCCCCTGAAGTATTGAGATGACAGGTATGAGCCACCACACCCGGCCCTATTTGGGTGTTTTTTGAGACAGGGTCTTGCTTTGTTGCCCAGGCTGGAGTGCAGTGATGCAAACCCAACTCACTGAAGCCTCGACCTCTTGGGCTCAAGATATCCTCCCACCTCAGCCTCCCAAATAGCTAGGACCACAGGCACATGCCACCACGCCCAGCAAATCTTGTAGAGACGAGGTCTTGTCACATTACCCAGGCTGGATTCAAACTCCTGGGCTCAAGTGATCCTCTCACTTCGACCTTCCTAAGTGCTGGGATTGGAGGAATGAGCCACTGTGCCCAGCCTAAACAAATATTTTTATTTCTTTATTTTTATTTTATGTTTTATTTTCTGGCTTTACTTAATCAGCTTCCTCAGGTTGAATAAACAAGTATTCTTTTTTGTTTGTTGGTTTTTGGGGGTTTTTTTGAGATGGAGTCTCACTCTGTTGCCCAGGCTGGAATGCAGTGGCATGACCTTGGCTCACTCCAACCTCTGTCTCCCAGGTTCAAGCAATTCTCCTGCCTCAGCCTCCTGAGTAGCTGGGATTACAGCAGGCACATGCAACCATACCCATCTAATTTTTGGTTTTTTGCTTTTTGGGTTTTTTTTTTTTTTTCAAGATGGAGTTTTGCTCTTGTCACCCAGTTGGAGTGCAATGGCGCGATCTCAGCTCACTGCAACCTCCGCCTCCTAGGTTCAAGCAATTCTCCTGCCTCAGCCTCCCGAATAGCCGGGATTACAGATGCTGGCCACCACCCCCAGCTAATTTTTGCATTTTTAGTAGAGATGGGGTTTCACCATGTTGGCCAGGCTGGTCTGGAACTCCTGACCTCAGGTGATCCACCCACCTCAGCCTCCCAAAGTGCTGGGATTACAAGTGTGAGCCACCGTGCCCAGCAATTTTTGTATTTTTAGTAGAGACGAGGTTTCACCATGTTGGCCAGGCTGGTCTTGAACTCCTGACCTCAAGTCATCCACCCAACTCGGCCTCCCAAAGTGCTGGGATTACAGGTGTGAGCCACCATGCCTGGCCGAGTATTCTCGAGTGTTCTTTTTTTTTTTTTTGAGACAGAGTCTCACCCTGTCACCCAGGCTGGAGTGCAGTGGCACAGTCTCGGCTCACTGCATGCTCCGCCTCCCGGGTTCACACCATTCTCCTGCCTCAGCCTCCCAAGTAGCTGAGACTACAGGCACCCGCCACCACACCCAGCTAATTTTTTGTATTTTTAGTAGAGACAGGGTTTCACCATATTAGCCAGGATGTCTCAATCTCCTGACCTTGTGATCCACCCGCCTCGGCCTCTCAAAGTGCTGGGATTACAGGCGTGAGCCACCGCGCCTGGCCCCTGGCCGAGTATTCTTAAATAAAACAAATACTACGAGTCTGTAGTAGAGGCACAGCACCCTTTAGTTTCTCCTGCCTAATCTCTCTTTACTTGCTATCTCTCAGGAACACAGCATTCTCTAACTGTCCTTTTGAACAATGGACCTTGTTCAATGAATTTGGGATGGACAGAGGTGTAACTTTCTTATAAAGCCAAAGAAGAGAAACAATGAAAACAGAGTTGAAAAGGAGAACTTAAAAGAATCCAGACAAGCAGATGACTTTTAGGCAAGAGTCCCTGCAGAAGCTGAGAATCTGGAAATGGACTCTTTTAATGTTATCTGTGCCCCCGCATCCCCAGTTCCAGGACCACTGGCTAGTTTGACACACCCTCACTGGGCACACTCAGAGCTAGATATAATTCCTGGAAACCCTTCTACACCTCCATCTCTAGCTCTCTGGCATAAGAAAGCACAAGGTATTGCAAGTAGTATCCTTGAACTTATTCCAGATTATACAAAAGGAAACTATTTATAAATTTCCAAACTTTTATTAGGAGGAACAGATTCACTGTGACCCAGTATACAGCTGAGGGCAAAGTACCAGTCATCAGGAACAGGCCAACTCAAGAGATCCTTCATGAACAAACCATGCTGAAGTCTTAAAAAGGAAGACTAATTTTCATAGATAGGTGGGGACCCATCAGGCCTGAAAACCTTGGCGTCTTCATATCCTAGGCCCCTACACATCAGCCTCACTTCTGAAATGCAAATCAGGTAGTGTCATTCTCATTGCTAATTTTTTTTTTTTTGAGACAGTGTCTCACTCTGTTGCCCAGGCTGGAGTGCAGCGGCACAATCTTGACTCACTACAACCTCTGCCTCCTGGGTTCAAGCGATTCTCCTCCCTCAACCTCCAGAGTGGCTGGGACTACAGGTGCACGCCACCATGCCCAGCTAATTTTTTTTTTTTAGTAGAGGTGGGGTTTCACCATATTGGTCAGGCTGGTCTCGAACTCCTGACCTTGTGATCCGCCCGCCTCGGCCTCCCAAAGTGCTGGGATTAGAGGCGTGAGCCACCGCGCCCAGCCAAAATCTTTTCAATGGGTATCCAATGTCTTTGGTTTAAAGCCTAGATTCCTTAACGAGGCACAGAAAGACCTCATGACCTGAACCCTGCCTATTTATCCACCTTCATTTCTTTCCATTTCCCCAAATATACCCTATGCCCCAGCCACACTGAGCCCCTAGCAGTTCCAGCTCCCACTCTCCATGAGGTCTTTTCATGAGCTCCTCCCTCTGCTAGAACATCCTCCCACACTCCCCATTTGTTGTCCCAGGGAAGTATTAACACCCCCTTTAAGACTCTGTTCCTTACTATCACATTTGGGATTAAGTTAAAGAAAAGAAAAGAAAATTTTTTAATTAAAGAAAAACAAAACTAAAAGACTCTGTCCTTTACAACTCCTCTGCAAAGCCTTACTGAGCATCTACCACATGCTTAGCATTGTGTTAGGCACCGAGGATGCATGGTAGAATTAAATGCCCTTCTTAGTTCCATCAGCAACCTCTGTTTGCATCTAGAGCATCAATGTCTTCTTTGTATTATAACTGTCTCCTCTACAAGGCTGTGAGCATTCTGAGGACAGGGCTTCCGCATTATTCATCTTTGACTCCCTATTACCTAGTCCATGGAATGCATCAGTAAATATTTGTCAAATTCATTTACTCACAAAGAATTCATTGAAAATTTTTGTATCAGGAATGAATGAGGTGCTGAACGAACAGGATTATAAAACTGAATGAACAGGATCATGCTTATGATCCCTGCCCTCTTGAAACTTTGTAGTCTCAGGGGATAAACAGAGCACTTGATTTAATGAATGATGTAGGAATGAGTGAATGAGTTAACGAATCAGGGAAGGAGTCTGGATGCAGCAGCCCAGAGCAGATCTACAGGAAGTGAAAGGCCAGTGTCTAGAGAGGTAGTTGGGGAATGCTGATGCCCTTTTGGTCTTTCTTTTTTCTTTTCCTTGAGAGACAGTCTTGCTCTGTCACCCAGGCTGGAGTGCAGCGGCCTGATCTCAGCTCACGGCAGCCTTGGCGTCTCAGGCTCAAATGATCCTCCCATCTCAGCCTACAAAGTAGCTGAGATGGGCCAGGCATGGTGGCTCATGCCTGTAATCCCCACACTTTGGGAGGCCAAGGCAGGTGGATCACTCGAGTCCAGGAGTTCAAGACCATCCTGGGCAACATGATGAAACCTTGTCTCTACCAAAAATACAACAACAACAACAACAAAAGTTAGCTGGGCATGATGGTGTGCACCTATAGTCCCAGCTATTCAGGAGGCTGAGGTGAGAGAATCAACTGAGATGGGGATGCCGCCACTGCACTCCAGCCTGGGCCACAGAGTGAGGCTCCACCTCAAAAAAAAAACCAAGTAGCTGAGACTACAGGTGCACACCACCACACCAGGCTAATTTTGTTTTATTTTTTGTAGAGAAGAGGTCTCACTGTGTTGCCCAGGCCAGTCTCAAAGTCCTGGACTCAAGCAATTCTCCCACCTTGGCCTCCTAAAGTGCTGGGATTACTACGGCTGGCGTGAGCCACCGTGCCAGGACTTCTTTTTTTTTTGAGACAGGGTCTCGCTTGTTGCCCAGGCTGGCTTTGAACTCCTGGCTTCAAGCAATCCTCCTACCTCAGCCTCCCAAAATGTTGGGACTACAGGCATGAGTCACCGCCCCCAGCCTGGTCTTTCTAATACAGAGAAACTTGAAAGACAGCAAGCACCAGAGCAAAAAGCATGGAGTTTAGAGTCTGACCTAGACTTGAATTCTGGATCCATTACTTATTAGCCATGTGACCTTAGGCAAATCCCTTAACCTGTTTGTATCTTCATTTCCCCATCTATAAAATAGGGTTAATAATAATATCATAAGAGGATTATGATTAAATAAGAGAATGCATTTAAAAGCCCTTAGCCTGCATCCATAGTTTAGGAATTGGTGGTTCCCATCACTTGCTCAGTGTTGAGTGTGCAAATTCAGAAACACAGCATGTCTGGACTCAGCCCTGGTCCAGTATTTTTACCACAAACCAGCACCTGACACCTTCCCTAATCCCATGCCTATGTGGCTCTCCCTTCTTTTTTATTTTATTTTTTAAAGACAAGGCCTCACTTTATTGCCCAGGCTGGTCTCGAACTCCTGGACTCAAGGAATCCTCCCGCCTCGGCCTCCCAAATCACTGGGAGCGAGCCATGGAACCCAACCTTCCCTCTCCCTTCACCACTCCACCCGTCACTGGCCAGTTCTGTTTACACGCTGCCTACGTGCTTTCAAGGCCAGGGGTTGTCTAGCATATCTTTACAAGCCTAAGGTGAGGGAGTTGCTGGTTAGGGAGAGGCATGGCAAGAAGGCAGTCAAAGAGGAAGGGAAAAGCACAGGTGTTTAGGAAGGCTCCACAATGAGCCTGGCACCCAGCTTGGTATTCAACATGCATTGTTCCCTGTCATCTTCATAAAAATATCATTTTGAGCTGGCCGCCGTGCCTCAGTTAACTCAGGAAGCTGAGGCAAGAAGACTGCTTGAGCACAGGAGTTTGAAGTTGTAGTAAGCTATGATCAGCCACTGCACTGCAGCCTGGGCAAGGTAGCAAGACCCTGTCTCTTTAAAAAAAAATTATAGCTGAGGAAACTGAGGCTCAGGAGGTAAACAGGAGATATGGGATAAAAAGCCAAGTGTCTTTGTGACTCCAAAATAATTTTCTGCTCTGCCATGCTGCCCACCAGCTTGTAGATGACCATCAAATGTTTGAGCAATAAGTTTCAGTTTTCTTATTCCCAAGAGGAGCAGAAATTGCGCAGCCCTCCCTCCAGAGAATCCAGGTATATGCTCAAACAGTGATGAATAAACAAATGAACACTAATGAATAAATGAAAGATTGAGTGAAATCTCTCTGATACCCACACCAGGAAGAAGGAAACAAATAACTCTGGAGGAGCCGCCTTGCGGGTAGAAGTGGAGACTGTCTCCCTGGCTGTGGTCTCCAGTGTCCAGGTCAGCAAAGGGCTAGGAACTGGCTTAGTTGGAGTTAGAAAAACTTAGGAGGGTAGGGGGTGCTGGGGAGAACGTGATGGCTGGAGGGAAAGCCAGTGTGAAGGGCAGGGAAGAGGAATGGAATTACTCTGTCCTCATCCTCAGCCCTTCCCTGCCATTTCCCTCGGGAAGATAGCCCCTGACTCCTGGCCCAACATGCTGCCAACTTTTAAAATGAAAGTAGCAGGATCCAAAGCGGCCACACCAGGAGGTCACTCCAGAAGGGGGGTTACCAGCGAAGCACCCCACATGTCCCTCCTCCTTCCTGCACAGCACCCCTCGGCCCTGCACTTCCTGCTGCCGCCCCCTTGTCCTGACATAGGACTCCCTCCACTCCCTCCCAGCTCCCACATCTTACCCTGAAAGACCAAGGTAGGGGCGTCCCAGCCCACGCCCTCCGGTCCTTGCGTTCCAGGCTTCCTGGGCCAAGGGGTTGCCCGCTGCCCTGAAGATCCCGCTCTGCCAGGCGCTCCTCCGTCCCTCCCCAAACAAAAATCCTCCAGACAGGTTCCAAAGCTGCCCAGCCCAGGAGGAGGGAGGCTGAGGAAATCCCCTCCCAGCTGGGCTGGGCCGGCCTGCTTGGCAGTCTTGCTCCTGGGCTGGCCCTGGATGAATGAGTCCTCCTCTTCGCCTGCTTGGGTCTTAGCCAGGGAGCCGGTGGCAGCCTCTGCTCTTTCTCCAGGACACTGAGCTCCATTCCTCCTCCAAGTCCTGCCCTCCTGCTTCATGCCTGGGTCCCCTGCTCTCCACTCTCAGCTCTCTGACGCCTCAACCGGGTGGTCTCTATCACTCTGCATTTGGTTATGCTCCAGTCTGAAGCCAGGCCTGTACTGGGCACCAGGGTGGGTGACTTGACGATCCTCAGCAGAGATTTAGTCCACAGAAGAATTGGTGACACCATGGCCCCTGGTGAAATAGCTTTGCCAGCTCTGATTATTCATTCAAAGCATTTTGAGAATAACTGGCCTTGTGTGAGGCCCTGAGGATGAAGAGGTAGATTAACGGGGTCCCTGACCTCCTACTCTACTAGGAAGACAAAGAATGAAGCTCTAAGTAGACGCTGCTCAAGATTCAGGCAGAAGGTGGCCAGGCATGGTGTCTCACGCCTGTAATCCCAGCACTTTGGGAGGTTGAGGTGGGTGGATCACCTGAAGTCGGGAGTTCGAGACCAGCCTGATCAACATGGAGAAACCTCATCTCTACTAAAAATACAAAATTAGCTGGGCATGGTGGTGCATGCCTGTAATCCCAGCCACTCGGGAGGCTGAGGCAGGAGAATCGCTTGAACCCGGGAGGCGGAGGTTGCAGTGAGCCAAGATCACGCCATTGCACTCCAGCCTGGGCAACAACAGCGAAACTCGGTCTCAAAAAAAAAAAAAAAAAAAAATTCAGGCAGAAGGGACCAGAGAGGAATCCCCCTGTGTGGAAGTGTTCTGGAAAAGCTCCTAGATGACATGACATACAAGATGGGTTTTGAAAGGTGAACAGGGGTTTTCCAGAATTGTAAGCGGGGAGCACACAGAAGGGGAGCACAGGCTGACAGAAAAGGCCATGGGAAGGGACGGAATTCAGCAGGAACTACTCAAAGTTCAGAATTGTGAGCAGGGAGTGTCAGATCATGAAGGGCCTTGTGTGCCTTGGTAAACAGTTTGGACTGTGTCCTATAGGTTCTGGGGAGTCATAGAAAGATTGTTTGTTTGTTTGTTCGTTTGTTTGTTGCAATACAGGGTCTCTCTGGGAGGCAGAGGTTGCAGTGAGCCGAGATTGCGCCACTGCACTCTAGCCTGGGCAACAGAGTGAGACTCCATCTCAAAAAAAAAGAAAAAAGAAAAAATAGGATCTCTCTCAGTTACCCAGGCTAGAGTGCAGTGGTGCACTCATAGCTTGAAGCAGCCTTGAACTCCTGGACTCAAGTGATCCTCCCACTTCAGCTGCCTGTGTAGCTGGGACTACAGGCACCCACCACCATGGTCAGCCAGTTTTTAAATTTTTTGTAGAGATGGAATTTCACTCTGTTGCCCAGGGTGATCACGAACTCCTGGCCTCAAGAGATCCTCCCGCCTTGACTTCCCAGAGCGCTGGGATTACAGGTGGTACACCACACCCTGCTAGCTCACAGATAGGCCTTAAACAAGGGACACAAACTATCAGACTGCATTTAAAATAGATCACTGGAGCCAGGTGTGGTGGCTCACACCTGTAATCCCAGCAATTTGGGAGGTCAAGGCTGGAGGATTGCTTAGGCCCAGGAGTTCGAGACCAGCCTGAGCAACATAGTGGCACCTGTCTCTACAAAACAAATTTTTTTTAATTATCCGGGCAATGGTAGTGTGCACATGTAGTCCCAGCTATACTCCAGAGGCCGAAGTGAGAGGACAGCTTGAGCCCAAGAGGTTGAGGCTGCAATGAGCTATGATCACACCACAGCACTCTAGCCTGGATGACAGAGTGAGACCCTGTCTTAAAAAAAAAAAAATTCACTGAGACCTGCAGTGTAAAGAAGGGTTTGAAGGAGGCAAGACTAGAGGCAAGAAAACCAGTCAGGGTTGCATGAGTCAGGGCAAGTGATAATGTAGGCCTTATCAAGGCATTGGCTAGGGAGTGGGGGTGGGAGTGAGAGAAAGAGATTCAAGAGATGCTAAGGGAGTACCATTGATGGGACTTAAAGAGTAAGGGAGGAATCTAGGATGACTCGAAGATTTCCAGCTGGAATAACTAACTAGGTTGATAGTGGTGACCACAAACAAGATTGAGAAATCAGGAAGAATGGCCAGGCGCGGTGGCTCACGCCTGTAATCCCAATACTTTGGGAGGCCGAGATGGGTGGATCACTTGAGGTCAGGAGTTTGAGACAAGCCTGGCCAACATGGTGAAACCCTGTCTCTACTAAAAATACAAAAATTAGCTGGGCATGGTGGCGAATGCTTGTAATCCCAGCTACTCAGGAGGCTGAGACAGGAGAATCACTTGAACCCAGGAGGCGGAGGTTGCAGTGAGCAGAGATCACATCACTGCAGACTAGCGTGGATGACAGAGCGAGACTCTGTCTCAAAAGAAAAAGAGTTGGGTGAGGTGGCTCACGTCTGTAATCCCAGCACTTTGGGAGGCCAAGGCGGGAGGATCACAATGTCAGGAGATCAAGACCATCCTGGCTAACACGGTGAAACCCCGTCTTTACTAAAAATACAAAAATTTAGCCAGGCATGTTGGCACATGCCTGTAGTCCCAACTACTCGGGGGGCTGAGGCACTAGAATTGCTTGAACCTGGAAGGCGGAGGTTGCATTGAGCTGAGATGGCACCACTACATTACAGCCTGGGCATCAGAGCAAGACTCCGTCTCAAAAAAAAAAAAAAAATTTCAGGATCAGGAAGAAAAGCAATTTGGGGGGAAATGAATTCTGTTCTGGACCTGTTGAGTCAGAGGCACCTGCGGAGATGTTCAAGGAGTAGTTGCTCCAGGGATAGACAGGAGTTATGTATCAGTCAGGGTACCAGCAGGAAGGAGAAGGCATCTTCAGCTAGATTTGAAGATCTGGGAAGGGTAAAGGAAGTCATTAAGAGATGTTGAATATCCAGGGATGAATGACAGTGGGAAGCCTTAGGCCTGAAGGGACAAGGAGAAGATGTAACATTCACTGAATCCAGCGGGAGCTGGAGCTGTGGATAAGGGCCCCTGGCAGAGCCACAGTTGTGGAGAAGGCAGCCCCCACTGGAGCAGAATGGAAACAGAGGAAGGAATATCCCAATTACTTTAGTCTCCAGCTTCCTATTCCTGATTCCTCTCATTAGCTAAACTCAACCAGAAGCCAGAGGCCAAGGTGCCCCAAGGCACAGAACAAGGCAGAGAATGGATGGGGGGGTTGGGGGAGGAGTCAGCAAACAGTTGGAAAAAAGAGATTTAGGAGTTGCACAGAAATGACAACTCAAGCCATGGGAGTGGGTGAGGTCACTCAGGGAGAGAAATTAGAGAGAAAGAAGAGGACCTAAGACAAGACTTGAGGGAATGCTGTATGGGCAGAATGGGTGAGCTCTTCCCTCCCCATTATAAAGGGTCACAGAGAAAAGCATAACAGATTCATTACTGCACACCTGTGCAAGGGAGTCATACAAGATATTAACTCAAAGGAGGGCCAGAGGGTTGAGGTTTAAATATTCTCTTCACTGGGGAAAAGATGGATGGAGGGCTGGTTGTTGGAGTCAATTATTTTCAGGATAAATGAATAAGCCCAAAGAACAATGGTCTGGGACCAAGTTTCTCCAGGCTCTGAGGGAGGTGGCCACACAGAGTGATGGGAGAGTGAAAGAAGAAAGCAAGAAAAGGTTATCTTATTCTGCAGATGAAAATATATCAGGTCAGCTGGGCGCGGTGGCTCACACCTATAATTCCAGCAATTTGGGAGGCCAAGGCGGGCGGATTGCCTGAGCTCAAGAGTTCGAGACCAGCCTGGGCAACATGGCGAAATTCCATCTCTACTAAAAATACAAAAAAAGTTAGCCAGGCTTGGTGGCACACACCTGTAGTCCCAGCTACTTGGGAGGCTGAGGTAGGAGAATTGCTTGAACCCAGGAGGCAGAGGTTTTGGTTAGCTGAGATCACACCATTGCACTCCAGCCTGGGCAACGAGAGCGAAACTCCATCTCAAAAATAAATAATAAAAATAAATAAATTTTCATTTAGAATTTGTACACGAGGTTCATGTAAATTTCATTAATGTGAATCAGTATCCACAAATTGTATCAGTTCTGAGATATTGACAAGTTCACATTTCTTTTCTTTTTTTTTTTTTTTTTCTGTGAGACGGAGTCTCACTCTGTAGCCCAGGCTGGGGTTCAGTGGCCCAATCTCGGCTCACCGTAACCTCCACCTCCCAGGTTCAAGTGATTCTCCTGCCTCAGCCTCCCGAGTAACTGGGATTACAGGCACCCACCACCACGCCTGGCTAATTTTTGTATTTTTAGTAGAGATGAGGTTTCACTATGTTGGCCAGGCTGGTCTCGAACTCCTGACCTCAGGTGATCCACCTGCCTTGGCCTCCCAAAGTGCTGGGATTTGAGCCACCATGGCCAGCCACAAATTCACATTTCTAAGCCTGCAAAATTCGGACCTTGACCCTGAACTGTGGTGAATTCATCAAGATCATGACTCTCTGGGGCCAGAGAACCAGTCTTCTTCCTTTTCTCTTCTTTTTTTTTTTTTTTTTTGAGACGGAATCTCACTCTGTCACCCAGGCTGGAGTGCAGTAGCATGATCTCGGCTCACTGCAACCTCCACCTCCCAGGTTCAAGCAATTCTCCAGCCTCAGCCTCCCGAGTAGCTGGGATTACAGGCACATGCCACCACGCCCAGCTAATTTTTGTATTTTTTAGTAGAGACGGGGTTTTGTCATGTTGGCCAGGCTGATCTCCAACTCCTGACCTCAGGTGATCTGCCCACTTCGGCCTCCCAGAGTGCTGAGATTACAGGCGTGAGCCACCGCACCCAGCCCAGTCCTTTGCAATGCTACCCCACCCAGCACCATCCCTGTCCATCCAACCAACATCATGGCTTTTCTCATTTAAAATTTGCATTTGAAAATTCTGTAGATGGTTGTTTGGCTTTCCCCCACCCCTCCAGCAGCTCTTGGCTGCTCAGGCAAAGAACAGGAGAGTGGTAGGATTGACTTAGGTTTGGGTGCTACAGAAAGACAAGGATCAGGTATATTTCCAGCTCATCACAACCCCCTCTCTTGGAAAGCTTTCCCTACCCCATATCATCCCTCAGGACTTTACCTGCCATATATGCATTCAATGACCAGCATTGGTCACAGTGATTGGACCAAAGCAGGACATTTGACCCAGGTTAGGCCAATTAGTTTCCCTTTCCTAAAAATTTGCAACTGGGGCAGAAAAACCCTACTCTGTCTCTTCTTTTTGGTGAAACTAAAAGTAGTAAACCTGGGAACTCCATAGAGTTCTGAAACTGCTTTTGCAAAAATTATAACAGTGAGAAAATTATGACAGTGAAAGAGAACTGACCTAAACAATTTCATCTTGCCTTTAACCTCCAAACTGCTCTTGGTCATTCCTGGACATGGGCCAAACTAACTTTGGGAGAAATGTATAGTTTAAATGTTAACAGCTCTTGCCAAAACTAAAATGAAAGGCCACCAGGTTAGGAGGATGAGGGGGCCTGAATTCCATTAAGATATAGGCTTCCTTAAAGGATTACTAGCCATTGTTCCAGAGGTCCCAAGATTTATAACTTCCCCAATTACTCTTGTAAATAACGTCACTATTGTAGAACCTAGGATTGGCCTTTTAAGATGCTTTTCAGACTTTCGTATTTCTGACCAGAAGATGATTCCAGCAGGATCAGACCCTCTGTGGCCTCCACCTGGAAGCGAATTCGGCACAAGAAGACTGGTTTCCACACAGTTATGATTGCATCCCCAAACAATCAGCAGCACCCATTCCCTAGCCCCCTGCCTGCCAAATTATCCTTGAAAAACTCTAGCCTATGAATTTTCAGGGAGATTGATCTGAGTAATAATAAAACTCCAGACTTCCATTTAGTCAGCTCTATGTGTATTAAACTCTTTCCCTATTGCAATTCCCGTCTTTTATTTTATTTATTTCTTCAGCCACCACACCTGGCCAAAGATAGGGCCTTTAAAGAAGTAATTAGGCTGGGTGCAGTGGCTCATGCCTGTAATCCTGGCACTTTCAGAGGCCGAGGCGGGCAGATTGCCTCAGCTCAGGAGTTCGAGACCAGCCTGGACAACATGGTGAAACCCTGTCTCTACTAAAATACAAAAAAAAAAAATTAGCCGGGCATGGTGGCATGCGCCTGTAGTCCCAGCTACTCAGGAGGCTGAGGCAGGAGAGTTGCTTGAACCCGGGAGGCGGAGGTTGCAGTGAGCTAAGATCGTGCCACTGCACTCCAGCCTGGCGACAGAGTGAGACTGCGTCAGAAAGAAAGAGAGAAGGGAACGGAAGGGGAGGGGAGGGGAGGGGAGGGGAAGGGAGGGGAGGGGAGGGAAAAAGAAATTAAGGTTAAATAAAGTCATAAGGGTGGGGGACTAGGACTGGTGTCCTTGTAAGAAGAAGAGACGGCCAGGCACCGTGGCTCACGCCTGTAATCCCAACACATTGGGAGGCCAAGGCAAGCAGATCACCTGATGTCAGGAGTTGGAGACCAGTCTGGTCAACATGGTGAAACCATCTCTACTAAAAATACAAAAATTAGCCGGTCGTGGTTGTGGGCACCTGTAATCCTAGCTACTCAGGAGGCTGAGGCAGGAGAATTGCCTGAACCTGGGAGGCAGAGGTTGCAGTGAGCCAAGATCATGCCATTGCACTCCAGCCTGGGTGACAGAGAGAGACTCCATCTCAAAAAATAAATAAATAAATAAATACAAAAATAAGCTGCTCTTGGTGGCACACCTGTAATCCCATCTACTCGGGAGGCTGAGGCAAGAGAATCGCTTGAACCCAGGAGGCAGAGGTTGCAGTAAGCCAAGATCGCACCACTGCACTCCAGCCTGGGTGACAAAGTAAGACACTGTTTCAAAAAAAAAAGAAGGAAAGAAGGAAAGGAGGGAAGGAGGATAAAAGACGCTGCCAGGTTGCTTTCCAAAAAAGCTTAAAAAATTTGCCTTTACATCAGCAATATGAGAGGTTCCTTTTTCTCCACAGCCCCTCCAGTGATAGGTACTACAGATCTTCTTAATATCTGCAGGTCTACCCAAATGTCCATCAATCAGCAAGTGGATAAGGAAACTGTGGTATATATAGATATAGATACGATGGAATACTACTCAGCAATAAAAAGGAATGAATTAATGGCATTCACAGCGACCTGGAGGAGACTGGAGACTATTATTCTAAGTGAAGTAACTCAGGAATGGAAAACCAAACGTCGTATGTTCTCACATATAAGTGGGAGCTAAGCTATGAGGATGCAAAAGCATAAGAATGACACAGTGGACTTTAGGGACTCAAGGGGAAAGGCTGGGAAGTGGGTGAGGGATAAAAGACAAATTGTGTGCAGTGTTTACTGCTCAGGTAATGGGTGCACCAAAATCTCACAAATCACCACTAAAGAACTTATTCATGTAACCAAACACTTGTTCCTCCTTAACTTATGTAAATAAAACATTTAAAAAAAATCTGGCTGGGCGTGGTGGCTCACACCTGTAACCCCAGCACTTTAGGAGGCCAAGGCAGGTGGATCACAAGGTTGGGAGATCGAGACCATCCTGGCTAACACGGTGAAACCCCGTCTCTACTAAAAATACAAAAAAAAATTAGCCAGGAGTGGTGGCGAGTGGCTGTCGTCCCAGCTACTCTGGAGGCTGAGGCAGCAGAATGGTGTGAACCCGGGAGGCGGAGCTTTCAGTGAGCCGAGATGGCGCCACTGCACTCCAGCCTGGGTGACAGAGCGAGACTCCGTCTCAAAAAAAAAATCTGCATGTCTGATGGGTGTAAAGTAGAATCACATTGAAGTTTTCTTGGTTTTGTGGGGTTTTTGTTGTTGTTGTTGTTTTAGAATTGAGATCTTGCTCTATCACCCAGGCTGAAGGGAGATATACCATCATGGATCACTGCAGACTCAGTCTCCTGGGTTCAAGTGATTCTCCTGAGTAGCTGGGACTAAACGCTTATGGCACCATGCCTGGCTAATTTTTTTAAAAAATTTTAAGATCACTTGAGGCCAGGAGCTCGAGACCAGCCTAGCCAACATTGTGAAACGCCATCTTTACCAAAAACATAAAAATTAGCTAGACAGGCCGGGCACTGTGGCTCACGCCTGTAATCCCAGCACTTTGGGAGGCTGAGGTGGGTGAATCATGAGATCAGGAGCTCAAGACCAGCCTGGCCAACATGGTGAAACCCTGTCTGTACTAAAATACAAACATTAGCTGGGCGTGGTGGTGTGCGCCTATAATCCCAGCTACTTAGGAGGCTGAGGCAGGAGAACCGCTTGAACCCGGGAGGCAGAGGTTGCAGTGAGCTGAGATCGCACCACTGCACTCCTGCCTGGGCGACAGAGCAAGACTCCATCTCAAAAAAAAAAAAAAATTTAGCCAGGCATGGTGGCACACGCCTGTAATCCCAGCTACTTGGGATGCTGAGGCAGGAGAATTGCTTGAACCTGGGAGGTAGAGTCTGCAATGAGCTGAGATAGCAGCAAGGCACTCCAGCCTGGGCAACGGAGTAAGATTCTGTCTCAAAAATATAAATAAATAAATAATTTTTTTGTTTTTGAGATGGGGTCTCACTTTGTTGCCCAGGCTGGTCTCAAACTCCTGACTTCAAGGAATCCCCCCCACTGGGCCTCTCAATGTGCTGGGATTACAGGTGTGAGCCACAGTGCCTTGCCTCAACGAATTTTAATTTACATTTCTCTGACTAATGTGAGAGTTTGAACACCTCCTCAAATGGTTGCAAGCCATTACAAGTTTTCACAATTTTATGTTTATACCTGCCTTTGATTTACAACTTGATTTTTCAAATTTGTGTAAGGCTAGTGAAGTGAAGCGGTGGGAGTGGAAAAGGACAAGTAAATCTATAACTGGTTGTGATCAATTAGTTGTGAACACCACTTCACTCACACCAGCCTCAATTTGATACAATGTTTTATTCTGTTTGTTCTAAGTGGGGAGCAGAGATTATTATCACTGAGTGATAAGACTGATGGGGTACTAGGGAATTATTCTGCACTGGGAAGATTTTACTCCATGGGTCATTTCTCTTAGTTCAAGTAGTCCAAGTATATTCCACAAATTCTAGTCTCATTAGCTAATCTTTGAAAGCAAGGTTCTTGTTTGAGTAACTATAGAAAATGCTGTATATCATAACGCTGCCTTATAAAATCACAGCACATGTCAGCGTCATGAAGTCTCTAACCTTCTAAGAAGTCCTTCAACAAACAAGTCTGTTCAATGTTGCTTCACCTAGCACTTCCCAAACTTGTCTGACTTCTTTTCTTTTCTTTTTTTTTTTTTGAGACAGAGTCTCGCTCTGTCGCCCAGGCTGGAGTGCAGTGGCGCGATCTCGGCTCACTGCAAGCTCAGCCTCGCAGTCTCACGCCATTCTCCTGCCTCAGCCTCCCAAGTAGCCTGGGATTACAGGCTCCCACCGCCACGCCCGGCTAATTTTTTTTGTATTTTTAGTAGAGACGGGTTTCACCGTGTTAGCCAGGATGTTCTCAATCTCCTGACCTCAGATGATCCGCCCACCTTGGCCTCCCAAAGTGCTGGGATTACAGGCATGGGCTACCACGCCCGGCCAACTTCTTTCTTGCACACTTGCTGTAATGCCTGGTGACTGGTTCATCCCACAAAATTAGGAGTGCCTTCTCACAATAGCTTTGGAAACTAAATAGGATATTTCTTGCCAAATTTACTTTAAAAATAAATGTACCGTTGTTTAAGAAAATCATACCAGGCCGGTGCGTTGGCTCACAGCTGTAATCCTAGCACTTTGGGAGGCCGAGGTGGGCAGATCACCAGGTCAGGAGTTCAAGACCAGCCTGGCCAACATAGTGAAACCCTATCTCTACTGAAAATACAAAAAATTAGCTGGACCTGGTGGCGGGCGCCTGTAATCCCAGCTACTCAGGAGGCTGAGGCAGGAGAATCGCTTGAACCCAGGAGGCGGAAGTTGCAGTGAGCCAAAATCGCGCCATTGCACTCCAGCCCAGGCGACAGTGCGAGACTCTGTCTCAAAAAAAAAAAGAGAGACTGGGCACAGTAGCTCACTCCTGTAATCCGAGCACTTTTGGAGGCCAAGGCGGGTGGATCACCTTAGGTCAGGAATTCCAGATCAGCCTGGCCAACATGGTGAAATCCCATCTCTACTAAAAATACAAAAAATTAGCCGGCATGGTGGCAGGCATCTGTAATCCCAGCTACTCAGGAGGGTGAGGCAGGAGAATTGCTTGAACCCGGGAGGCAGAGGTTGCAGTGAGCCGAGATTGCACCACTACACTCTCCAGCCTGGGTGACAGAGCGAGACTCTTGTCTCAAAAATAAATAAATACATACATACATACATACATACATACATACATACATACATACATAAAAATTTTTTTAAAAAATAAAAAAAATCTTACCAGTTAAATTTGGAAAAGGCAGTTTTGTTACAATTATATAGACCATATTACAGTTAGCCTTTCCCTGTTACCATTATTACTATTATTATTATTATTATTTGAGATGGGGTCTCGCTCTGTTGCCCAGGCTGGAGTGCAGTGGTGCAATCTCAGCTCACTGCAACCTTCGCCTCCCAGGTTCAAGCAATTCTCCCATCTCAGCCTCCCAAGTAGCTGGGATTACAGGCATCTGCCACCACACCTGGCTAATTTTTGTATTTTTAGTGGAGACAAAGTTTCACCATGTTGGCCAGGCTGGTCTTGAACTCCTGACCTCAGGTGATCCGCCTGCCTACTGAAAATACAAAAATTAGCCAAGTGTGGTGGCACACACCTGTAATTCCAGCTACTCAGGAGCCTGAGGCAGGAGAATTGCTTGTACCAGGGAGGTGGAGGTTGCAGTGAGAGATCGCACCACTTCACTCCAGCCTGGGAGACAGAGCGAGACTGTCTCAAAAAAAAAAAAAAAAGAAAAAAAGACTGAGATACAACAAGGTCTCTTAAATGTTCTTGGCAATCTACTATTGTCTAAGAATTTTTATTTTTTTGTACCGACGGGGGTCTTGCTTTGTTGCCCAGGCTGGTCTCAAACTCCTGGCCTCAAGAGATCCTTATGCCTCAGCCTCAGAAACCACCTTTGCAAAATTATGACTCAGATAGTGAAAGAGATCTAACTTAACTGATTCCATCTTACTTCTAACCTCCAAGCTGTCCTTGTTCATTCCTGGGCATAGGCTGAACTAACTTTGAGATAAACTTAGTTTATAGTTTAAACAAAGGTGGTAACAGCCCTTTCCCGAAGCAGACCTCCTTCTTGCCTGGGCACTACATTGCCTTTGTAGGATTAATATTAGCCACAAGATTAGAAATGATAGTTTAGGAGTCATGCAGCTGGAAGCTACAAGATTCTGACCTTCCCTAAACTGCTCCTAAGGTCAGTGCTTGAGATATTTTGCAGACCCCACAATTGATGGATCAGCTGGCACCACCCAGCTCAATAAACTGGCTCATCTGATCTTGTGGCCCCCACCCAGGAACTGACTCAGCACAAGAAAAGAGCTTCGACTCCCTGTGATTTCATCTCTGACCAATTAGCACTCCTAGCTCACTGGCTTCCCCCTACCTGCCAAGATATCCTTGAAAACTCTGCTCCCTGAGTGCTAGGGGAGATTGATTTGAATAATAATAAAACTCCAGTCTCCCTCACAGCCGGCTCTGCGTGAACTACTCTTTCTCTGTGGCAATACCCCTGTCTTAATGAGTTGGCTCTGTCTAGGCAGCAGGCAAGGTGAACCCCTTGGGCAGTTACATCTCCCAAAGTGCTGAGATTACAGGCATAAGCCATGGCACGTGGCCTCTAAGAATTTGTTGAAGCTCTGTCTTTTTTTGTTGTTGTTAATAACATTTTTATTTAATAAGAGGAGTCTTGCTCTGTTGGCCGGGCTGGTCTCGAACTCCTGGCCTCAAGCAATCTTCCCAAAGTGCTAGGATTACAGGTATAAGCCACCACACCTACCCTGAAACTCTGCCTTGATTATATCTTGAAAGGAGACACTGCCCTTATCTTCTATCAACAGATTGTTCAAAAATTAAATGATTTCTATTCTATATTTGGGCAAGCTTGTGTTTGAAGAAGCAAAAAAAAAAAAAAAAAAAAAACTCCACTGGCCGGTAGTGGTGGCTCACGCCTCTAATCCCAGCACTTTGGGGGGATCACCTTAGGTGGAGAGTTCGAGACCAGCCTGACCAACATGGAGAAACCCCGTCTCTACTAAAAATACAAAATTAGCCAGGCATGGTGGCACATGCCTGTAATCCCAGCTACTCGGGAGGCTGAGGCAGAAGAATCGCTTGAACCCGAGAGGCGGAGGTTGCAGTGAGCTGAGATCGCACCATTGCACTCCAGCCTGGGCAACAAGAGTGAAACTCCGTCTCAAAAACAAAACAAAACAAAAAAACTCTACTAGAGTCATTGCATGCAAGTTACATGCAAAATAGAACACAAAAGAAGTTCCAGTAATCCCAGCACTTTGGGAGGCTGAGGCAGGAGAACTGCCTGAGCCTAGTTCAAGACCAGTCTGGGCAACATAGCGAGAACCTGTCTGTATAAAAAATAATAATAATAAATAAATAAATAAAACTTGTCAGCATCTTAGTGTCCTCAAATAAATTAAGCCTAATAATCTAATAATTTTTCTTTGCATGAGACTCTGGGCTTGTGTGTTTTTATATGTCAAGTTCAATTGCAATTATTTTATTTTATTTATTTTTTGAGGTAAAGTCTTGCTCTGCCTCCCAGGCTGGAGTGCAGTGGTACAATCACGGCTCACTGCAGCCTTGACCTCCCAGGTTCAAAGTGATCCTCCCACCTCAGCCTCCTGGGTAGCTGGAACCTCATGTGCACTCCACCACACACCTGGCTAATTTTTTTTTTTTTTTTTTTTTTTTTTTTTTTTGTAGAGACAGGGCCTCCCTGTATTACCCTGGTCTAGAACTCCTGGGCTCAAGCAATCCTCCTGCCTTGGCCTCCCCAAGTGCTAGGATTACAGGCATGAGCCACCATGCCTGGTCTTGTTTTATTTTTCATTTACTGTAAAGACAGGGTTGTTTTTTGTTTTTTTGTTTTTTTTTTTTTTTGAGACGGAGTCTCGCTCTGTCACCCAGGCTGGAGTGCAGTGGCGCAATCCTGGCTCACTGCAAGCTCCGCCTCCCGCGTTGACGCCATTCTCCTGCCTCAGCCTTTCAAGTAGCGCCACCGCTCCCGGCTAATTTTTTTTGTATTTTTTTTTTAGTAGAGACGGGATTTCACCGTGTTAGCCAGGATGGTCTTGATCTCCTGACCTCGTGATCCACCCACCTCTGCCTCCCAAAGTGCTGGGATTACAGGCGTGAGCCACCGCACCCGGCTTAAGACAGGGTCTCACTATGTTGCCTAGGCTGGACTCGAATTCCTGGACTCAAGGGATCCTCCTGCTCATCCTCCTGATTACCTGTGACTACAAGCATGTGTCCCCACAGCCAGCTAAATTGCAATGATTTTTGTTAACTGTGAATTCCATATTCTCTGAAGAAGAAATTGATAATTATTGTTCATTTGTTTAAACATTTTAATTAAAGAACTAAGGAACATTGAGCTGCAGAACATTCCTATTCTGCCTGATGTACTCTCATTCTTGCCCACCTATTCACTTTAATTCCCTAGATATTCTCTCACCTGAATGAGCTTGAAATTTAATCTATCTCACCTTCAAAAAGAGAAGCTTTTTTTCCAAACCATAGACCTGTTTGATATTTTTTCCACCTCAAGGTCATTTAGGTTCCTCCTTAACAATAGCAAGCACTAGGCCAGGCGCGGTGGCTCACGCACATAATCCCAATATTTTGGGAGGCTGAGGCAGGCAGATCACCTGAGGTCAGGAGTTCGAGACCAGCCTGGCCAACATGGTGAAACCCTGTCTCTACAAAAATACAAAAATTAGCCGGGCATAATGTAATCCCAGCTACTCGGAAGGCTGAGGCAGGAGAATCGCTTGAACCCAATAGGTAGATATTGCAGTGAGCTGAGATCGTGCCATTGCACTCCAGCCTGGGCAACAGCGCCAGACTCTGTCTAAAAAAAAAAAAACAAACACAACAGCAAGGACTCACACAGTATATACTTTGTGGCAGTGGCTGTACCAAGTGTTTTACATGTATATTAATTTATGAATCCTAACATATAGAGAGATTAAGTAATTCTAGCTAATGGGTGCACAGTTTGGCTTTGAACTCAGGTAATCTGGTACCAGATTCTGCCTCTCCTCTCTGTCACCCACGCTGGAGTGCAGTAGCATGATCTCAGCTCACTGCAACCTCCACCTCCTGGGCTCCAGGTATCTTCCCGCATAGCCTCACGAGTAGCTGGGACTACAGGTGCGTGCCACCACGGGGCTTTTTGTGTGTGTGTGTGTGACGGAGTCTCGCTCTGTCGCCCAGGCTGGAGTGCAGTGGCACTGATCTTGGCTCACTGCAAGCTCCACCTCCCAAGTTCATGCCGTTCTCCTTCCTCAGCCTCCTGAGTAACTGGGACTACAGGCACCCGCCACCACGCCCGGCTAATTTTTTTTTTTTTTTTTTTTTTTTTGTATTTTTAGTAGAGACGAGTTTTCACAGTGTTAGCAAGGATGGTCTCGATCTCCTGACCTTGTGATCCGCCAGCCTCAGCCTCCCAAAGTGCCGGGATTACAGACGTGAGCCACCACGCCCAGCCAATTTTTGTATTTTTTTTTTAGAGACTGGATTTCGCCATGTCACCCAGGCTAGGTACAGCTTGCTTTTTTTTTTTTTTTCCCCAAAATGGAGTCTTGCTCTGTCGCCCAGAGGTGGAGTGCAATGGCGCAATCTCAGCTCCCTGCAACCTCCACCTCACGGGTTCAAGAGATTCTTGTGCCTCAGCCTCCTGAATAGCTGGAATTACAGGCACCCGCCACCAGGCCCATCTAACTTTTGTATTTTTAGTAGAGATGGGGTTTCGCCATGTTGAGCAGGCTGGTCTCAAACTCCTGACCTCAGGTGATATGCCTGCCTCAGCCTCCCAAAGTGCTGGAATTACAAGCTTCAGCCACTGAGCCTGGCCTGGTTCTCTTCTTATAAAGACACCAGTCAAGTCTGTGCACATTGGCTCATGCTTGTAATCCCAGCACTTTGGGAGGCCGAGGCAGGCGGATCACCTGAAGTCAGGGGTTTGAGACCAGCCTGACCAGCAGAGTGAAACCCAGTCTCTACTAAAAATACAAAAATTAGCTGGGTGTGGTGGCAGGTGCCTGTAATCCCAGCTACTCGGGAGGCTGAGGCAGGAGAATCATTTGATCCCAGGAGGCAGAGGTTTCAGTGAGCCAAAATATCATGCCACTGCACTCCAGCCTGGGTGACAAAGCTAGACTCAGTCTCAGAAAAAAAAAAAAAGAAAAAAAAAAGACACCAATCATATTGAGCTATGGCCCACCCTAATGAACTCACTTTGCCTTAATTACCCCCTTAAATGCCATACGTTCAAATGTAGTCACATTCTGAGACACTAAGGGTTAGGATTTCAACACACAAATTTTGGAGGGACATATTAAGCCCATGAAAAGATTATCCTCTTCTTCCTCTACGGTTGTACATATGATACGTGCTATTGTTTAAATATGTTCCCCAAAGAACATGTGTTGAAAACTTAATCTCAGGCCTGGGTGCGGTGGCTCATGCCTGTAATCCCAGCACTTTGTGAGGCCGACGCAGGCAGATCACAAGGTCAGGAGATTGAGACCATCCTGGCTAACACGGTGAAACCCCGTCTCTACTAAAAATACAAAAAATTAGCCGGGTGTGGTGGTGGGCTCCTGTAGTCCCAGCTATTCGGGAGGCTGAGGCAGGAGAATGGCATGAACCCGGGAGGTGGAGCTTACAGTGAGCCAAGATTGCGCCACTGCACTCCAGCCTGGGCGACAGAGTGAGACTCCGTCTCAGAAAAAAAAAAAAAAAGAAAGAAAAGAAAACTTAATCTCTAGTGCAATAGTTTTGGAAAATGGGACCTAATAGAAGATGTTTATGTCATGAACGCTCCACCCTCATGAATGGATTAATGCCAGTTATGAAGGGACTTTTTTTTTGTCTGTGTGGCTCTTTTCAGTTTATTACATGAAGGAGTTACACTAGTCCAAGCTAAGAGCAGACCCCAAATAGTTACTTCATACACATTGTGAGGTTTTTAAACCTGTGACAAAGACAGAAGGGAAATTCTACTCATTGCAAGAAAATCCTCACTTAAGCTTCAGTGAGCCACAGACACTTAGAACCCATGAACCTTCAGCTGATTGTCCTTGGCCAGTGCGATCTCTGCAAGGAACTGGCATAGGTTCTTGCACGGGTCAGTCTGTAGCTTAATTAGTTCTCCATATTCTGGATGCTCTATTGCAGTACCAGGCAAATTTCTTCTTGAATGCCTTCACTAGTTTCTTTTTTTTTTTTTTTTTTTTTTGAGACAGAGTCTCGCTCTGTCACCCAGGCTGGAGTGCAGTGACATGATATCTCAGCTCACTGCAACTTCCGTCTCCCAGGTTCAAGCGATTCTCCTGCCTCAGCCTCCCAAGTAGCTAGGACTACAGGCATGAACCACCACAACCAGCCAGTTTTTGTATTTTTAGTAAAGATGGGGTTTCAGCATGTTGGCCAGGCTGGTCTTGAACTCCTGACCTCATGTGATCTGCCCACCTAGGCCTCCCAAAGTGCTGGGATTACAGGCATGAGCCACTGTGCCTGTCATAGTTTCTTTTTATGGTAGTCATCAGCAATTCCTTGGACAGTAGTAATGGTCTTCCTGCCATTTCTTTATTAAATTCTTATATGGATATAATCCTCAGTGTCAGCAGGAAGCAGGTTATCGCCCTTAGTTGCATCCAGCAAAGAGGTCAAAAGAGTAGAAGTTCAGAATAGCAAACATACTATACAATTCCTTTTCCTCAGCAGAAACTGCCTACAGAGGTAGCAGTGGAAGAAGTGGGGGGAAGTGGGCAAAGGTGGGGTATGGAGCATGAGGAAGCAAGGGGGCTCAAAGGGAAAGTTGCTGAGTCCTCAGCGGTAGCTCACGGACTGGGGTCATGAAAAGACTTGAGGTTTTGAGTTCAATTTTCTTATTGTCCCAGACTCTCTTGCCCTTCCACATTCCACCATGAATGACTCAGCAAGAAGGCCTTCAACACACACCAGCACCTTGATATTGGACTTATCTGCCTCCAGAACTGTGAAAAATACATTTCTTTTCTTTGAAACTACCCAGTCAGTGGTGTTCTGTTATAGCAACACAAAATGGACTAAGAGTATGTTGCTAGTAAATATATCATTTTAGCCATGGGTTTTAAGATCTGGAGCTGATTGGAAATATTGGACATCCCCTAGAGATTCTGTACTCAGAGCTGGATGCAGTAACTAGAGGTAATTTTCGATGTGAATGTGCTTGAAGTTGTATGCAGTATAATCCTAACATCAGAGCAAGACCCTATCTCAAAAAAAACAACAAAAAAAGGATATTATGTAGCTTATAAAATAAATGGGTGGGCTGAAGAACCACATTCTGAGCTACATAATGAGAAAGAGCCAAAACCACATTGCAGAACTGGTCTGATGACAAGACACCACTGCCATGATTGAAGAGCTCCAGATATGCCGCTTGTGCCAATGATACCGTGACCATCAGATACTGGACTGATCACTACCCCACAGTCACTGCTTTTCCAGGAAGCGATCCTCCTGAAGCCAACTTTTCCAGCAAGCTTTGAGGCAGATGTGGCTGACTGGCAGAGCCCAGTCCACATGCCAGTGCTCTAGCTGCAAGACAGGTGGAAAAAGTGTACCTAGTACTTTCAGCTTCTGTAGGGGATGGTAAGCCCTGTATCTCTGACTCATCGCCTGATGAAATTCCCTAAATGAACGAAAGAGGGTGGCCGGGCGCCGTGGCTCACGCCTGTAATCCCAACACTTTGGGAGGCCGAGGCGGGTGGATCACGAGGTCAGGAGATCGAGACCATCCTGGCTAACACAGTGAAACCCCGTCTCTACTGAAAATACAAAAAAATTAGCCAGGCGTGGTGGCGGGCTCCTGAAGTCCCAGCTACTCCGGAGGCTGAGGCAGGAGAATGGCGTGAACCCGGGAGGCGGAGCTTGCAGTGAGCCGAGATCGCGCCACACCGCACTCCAGCCTGGGTGACAGAGCGAGACTCCATCTCAAAAAAAAAAAAAAAGAAAGAAAGAAAGAAAGAGGGTTAGAGTGCTATGGACCCAGCATACATGTCGTGTCCCTACACCCATAACCGTCAAGACGACCCCTGTAAGGGACATTAACTTTGGATTAGTGCCAGTGTATCTCACAAAGCCTACTGCAAACAAGTTTTACACATTTTAATAATCTATACTTAGTCGGGGTTATTGAATGAAGGTTGGTTTAAGATAGGCATAAGTTCTCACCAAGAAAACTGTTGCCTCTGCCACATCGGAAAACTGGGAAATTAGTAAGCTATTGTTCCAACTGTTGGCTCCAGGAACACATTAACTTAGCCAGGATCTGGGCAACAAGAAGCCACTGCCAGAGCTTTTGGTACCAGAGCTGTGACTTACTGAATCCTCCCATGCAACTTCATTTTATCCCCCACTTTAACTCAGTTCCAGATCAAGCCCCTTAGGCCTGTATCTGATTGGGAAACTTAAAACACATCCAGAGACTAAGTTTAAAGGAAGTCTAAGTTCCAGGCGGTGGCTTATACCTGTAATCCCAGCACTTTGGGAGCCCAAGCTGGGGGGATCACCTGAGGTCAGGAGTTCAAGATGAACCTGACCAACATGGCAAGACCTCTACTGAAATACAAAAATCTCTACTAAAAATACAAAAATTAGCCAGGCTTAGTGCCTGGCACCTGTAATCCCAGCTATTCGGGAGGCTGAGGTGGGAGAATCGCTTGAACCCAGGAGGCAGAGGTTGCAGTGAGCCGAGATTGCACCATTGCACTCCAGCCTGGGCAACAAAGCAAGACTCTGTCTCAAAAAAAAAAAAAAAAAAAAAGGCAAAGAATTTGAACAGATATTTGTACAAAGAAAATATGCCAATGGCCAATAAGCACATAAAAAGATGTTCAACATTATTCATCATTGGTTATTAGAGAAATGCAAATCAAAACCACAATGAGATGCCACTTCACACCACTGACTTCTGGGGAAGGAAGGGGGTATAGTACATTGAGTTCAACCAGTGACTGATACCCAGCCAATGGCCAATGATTCAATCAATCATGCTTCCATAATGAAGTCCCAATAAAAACGCTGGACAGGCCAGGCATGGTGGCTCACGCCTGTAACTCCAGCACTTTGGGAGGCCGAGGGGGTGGATCACAAGGTCAGGAGATTGAGACCATCTTGGCCAACATGGTAAAACCCCATCTCTACTAAAATACAAAAAAAAAAAAATTAGCCGGGCGTGGTGGCAAGCGCCTGTAGTCCCAGCTACTCAGGAGGCTGAGGCAGGGGAATCGCTTGAACCCAGGAGGTGGAGGTTGCAGTGAGCCAAGATTGCGCCACTGCACTCCAGCCTGGTGACAGAGCAAGACTCTGTCTCAAAAAAAAAAAAAAAAAAAAAGCTTTGGACAATAAGGTTTGGTGGAATTTCCTGGCTGGTAAACAGATCAATGTGTCACCAGGCTGATATGCCCTGATTCCACAGGGAGAAGGCAATTCTCAAAGTTCTGCTCTTGAGACTCTCCCAGACCTTACCCTGTCTCCTCATTTGGCTGGTCCTGACTTGTATTCTTTATAATAAAACTGTGATTGTAAGTATATCACTTTCCTGAGTTCTGTGAGTCATTCTAGTGAATTATCAAACCTGAGTGGATATGGGAACCCCCAGATTTGTAGCCAGTTGGTCAGAAATGTGGGTGGCCTAGGGATGCCTAATGTGTGGCTGGCATCCGAAATGAGGGCAGTCTTACTGGGGACCATGACCTGTAATTTGTGGGTTCTATGCTAACTTCAAGTGGTTACTGCTAGAACTTTATTGTAGCACACCAGTTAGTATAAGAATATTAACTTCTGTGGCAAAAGATGTAATTTAATTAAGGATCTTGAGATGGAGTGTTTATCCTGAATTATCCGAGTGAGTCTTAAATACAATCACAGTATCTTTATGAGGGAGGCAGAGGGAGATTTGATACAGACAGAGGAGGAAGAGGCAATGTGACCACAGAGGCATTGAGGAAGACGCAACGTGACTACCATCTCTGGCTGAACAACTAAGTTGTGTGGAACTCAATGGTGGATCCTTGCCAATCAGGATACAGTAACAGCTCTAGTGTCTGAATAGCAATTGCCATCATCATTCCCCACCCCAACCCATAGGTGCTTATCCATTACTCCCTGCCAAAACCACTGCTTCAGTGTCCTGACATAGTTCATCTCTGTCCTTGCCCCTACTTTTACCTCTTGCATCTACTTGTAGCTTCTCTCTCTATTTTCCTTCTAAATTCCTCTTGATCTCTTCTTTTGTCTAGATGCAACTATCTCATGGCTTCTGCTTACTACCTTTTCTTTCTGTGTCTCTACTGCTATTTCATTGACAGTCAAATACGTTAAAAAAAGGGTATGTTTAGTTTGGTCAAGCACTTCCTTTTGTTTTTTGAAATGAGGTCTCACTCTGTCACCCAGGCTGGAGTGCAGTGTCGCAATCACGACTCACTGCAACCTCTGCCTCCTGGGTTCTCGGGTGGAGCCATGTTGCCCAGGCTGGTCTTGAACTCCTGGGCCCAAGCGACCCACCCACCTTGGTCTCCCAAAGTGCTGGGATTGCAGGCGTGAGCCACCACACCCAGCCTCTCAAGCACTTTCTGATATGGTGTCCTTGTTGGTCAGAGCGCTCATTCTAGACCACCTTATACTGTTTAGATTCCATTTAATGAATTCAAAAGAGTTATGTAATACTTACTTATTTTAAAATGTTGATGTTTACAATATGCTGGAAATTCTATTCTTTGTAATATTTAATCTTAAGGTTGAAAAATTTAAATGTCAACTTAAAAATATGCAAGGGAGTACACAATTTTTCAGAATTGTTTTAGAGGATATGCAACCAAAACAGTTGGCTCCTTGCCCAACCTCTTTCTTTGCTAGAGTGAAAAATGAGGAGCAGGCCAGGCATGGTGGCGCACACCTGTGATCCCAGCACTTTGCGGGGCCGAGGCGGGTGGATCCCTTGAGATCAGGAGTTCATGAAGAGCCTGGCCAACATGGTGAAACCCTGTGTCTACTAAAAATACAAAAATTAGCCGAGCGTGGTGGTGCGCTCCTATAATCCCAGGTACTTGGGAGGCTGAGGCAGGAGAATTGCTTGAACCTGGGAGGTGGAGGTTGCAGTGAGCCAAGATCGCGCCACTCACTGCACTCCATCCTGGGTGACAGAGCGAGACTCAAAAAACGTCTCAAAAAAAAAGACTCAAAAAACGTCTCAAAAAAAAAAAACGAAAATGGAGAGCAAATGTTATAGTAAATAATGGGGAGAGAAAGACTTTGAGCTGCACAGCAAAGGAAACAGGCCAGGTGAGGTGGCTCACACCTGTAATTCCAGCACTTTGGGAGGCCAAGGCAGGTGGATCACCTGAGGTCAGGAGTTCAAGACCAGCTTGGCCAACATGGCAAAACCCTGTCTCTACTAAAAATACAAAAATTAGCCAGGCATGGTGGCACGTGCCTGTAATCCCAGCTACTCGGGAGGCTAAGGCAGGAGAATGGCTTAAACCTGGGAGGCAGAGGTTGCAGTGAGTCAAGATCGCACCATTGCACTCCAGCCTGGATGACAGAATGAGTGAGACTCCATCTCAAAAAAAAAAAAAGAGGTAAAGGAAAGCTAACTGAATACAAGCACCAGCACTGGGGGAAACATTCTGACTTTATTCATAAGAAGAGTTATGCTAAGCAGTTGAAATGCAGTATCTTGGTTAATTCTGACAATTAACCTGTGATGCAGGTTCATTTTACAGGTGAGGAAACTGAGGCTTAGAGAGGTTGTGAATAGATTAGGGTTACACAATGCTGGGCATAACAGAGCTGAGATTTGAACCTGCATCTGCCTGATCCCATGTCTGTGTTTTAACTGTATCATTGTGCTATTTGGCAGAGAGAAGAAAGGCTTCCTGTCTCTCATCTCTGGGACTGGCAGTGGCTGCACCAGCGACAGCCAGCAGCAGTGGCTGGCAGATCCACACCAGCAGAGACGAAGCTGAGCAACAGCTCTGGAGTGATGGCAAGAAGACCCAAGGCACTGTGGTACCTGTTGTCAACACTCAGATTCTGTAACCTGTATCAGAGGAAGATGGAGTGACCTCTGGTGGCCTAAGAAAAGCCACCACCATGCCCATACCATGTGGAGAGCTAGGAAGGGAGGTCTCTACTGTCTTGTCCTGTCTTAGTGGGTACAACTGTGGTTTGTCAGGAAAAGGTGGCTGGCAGGGGGAACAGTTGCTACTACCTCGTTGTTCTGCCTTTGCTCTGTGATCCTTTGACACTCATGGCATTCAGTTATACCTCTCTTTTTCTACCTTTAATTTGTCATCCTCTGCCAACTCTCTATTCACGCTCCCTCAAAAGTAACACAGTATATTGGCTAAGTTCATGGACTCCAAAGTTGGACTTTTTTTTTTTTTTTGAGACAGAGTCTCACTCTGTCGCCTAAGCTGGAGTGCAATGGCGCAATCTCGGCTCACTGCAACCTGCCTCCACCTCCTAGGTTCAAGCGATTCTCCTGCTTCAGCCTCCCGAGTACCTGGGACTACAGGCATGTGCCACCACACCCGGCTAATTTTTTATTTTTAGTAGAGACGGAGTTTCACCATGTCGGTCAGGCTGGTCTCGAACTCCTGACCCCAGGTGATCCGTCTGCCTCGGTCTCCCAAAGTGCTGGGATTACAGGCGTGAGCCACAGTGCCCGGCCCAAACTTGGACTTTTTTAATCCTCACCCCATTCCTTACTACTGTATAGTCTTGGATGAATTACAGAAACTCCCCATTCCTTAGTTTTCTCTTTCAAATTCTACCATGCAAATCTGCATGACTCGCCGGGCGCGGTGACTCAAGCCTGTAATCCCAGCACTTTGGGAGGCCGAGGCGGGAGGATCACGAGGTCAGGAGATCAAGACCATCCTGGCTAACACGGTGAAACCCCATCTCTACTAAAAATACAAAAAATTAGCCGGGCATGGTGGCGGGCTCCTGTAGTCCCAGCTACTCAGGAGGCTGAGGCAGGAGAATGGCGTGAACCCGGGAGCTGGAGCTTGCAGTGAGCCGAGATCATGCCACTGTACTCCAGCCTGGGCAACAGAACGAGACTCCGCCTCAAAAAAAAAAAATATTCATGACTTTAATCCATTCTTGTTAATAGCTGCATAAAATATACCATAATTCATGAAATCACTACTTGAATAATGAAATTCTCTTTAATCTC
This sequence comes from Homo sapiens, assembly GCF_000001405.40. Classification (NCBI taxonomy): domain Eukaryota; kingdom Metazoa; phylum Chordata; class Mammalia; order Primates; family Hominidae; genus Homo; species Homo sapiens. The sequence goes on from NC_000001.11 coordinate 38,965,457, forward strand.
AGTGTTCAGCTACTGCGAATGATAGCTAATAAACATGCTTATAGATATATTCCAGCACTTTTCTTTTATAGGATACCTGCCCTGAAGTGGGATTTGTAGATGAAACAATATATTTTCATTTTTAATAACTGATGCTGGAGTGTACTCCCAAAAGGCTGTAACAGTTTACAGCAATATATAATAAGATCTCTTTTTGTGCAATTTCACCAGTAATAAATGTTATCTGAACTTTTAAACTTTCACAGGCTGATAAGTAAAAGCGATGTTTCATTGTTACTTTAACTTGAATTTAGTCCCCTTCTTGTCAGTTTGTAGGAATTCCTTCTGTGATAAATGTTAACAGTCTGTTGTCTCTATTGCATATTTTTTTCTTTTATTTTTATTTATTTATTTATTTTTTTGAGATGGAGTCTTGCTCTGTCACCAGGCTGCAGTGCAGTGGCTCGATCTTGGCTCACTTCAACCTCTGCCTCCTGGGTTCGAGCGATTCTCATGCCTCAGCCTCCTGAGTAGCTGGGATTATAGGCTTGCGCCGCTGCACCCAGCTAATTTTTGTATTTTTAGTAGAGACGGGGTTTCACCACGTTGGCCAGGATGGTCTCGATCTCCTGACCTCGTGATCCGCCCACCTCAGCCTCCCAAAGTGCTGGGATTATAGGTGTGAGCCACTGCACCTGGCCTCTATTGCATTTTTACCTCAGAGATGTTGTTTGTTTACAAATTTATTTAAAAGGTTTTATTTCATCAAGTACAGTTGATGCTTAAACGAGAACATCAGGAGTGCCAATCCCCCATGCAGTGGAAAATCCACATATAACTTCTGACTGCCCAAAGCCTTAACTGCTATTAGCCTACAGTTGATGGAAGCTTTACCAATATCTTAAACACTGATTAATACATATTTTGTATGTTATATGTATTATATACTGTATTTTTTTTTTTTTTGAGATGGAGTTTTGCTCTTGTTGCCCAGGCTAGAGTACAATGGTGCAATCTCTGGCTCACTGCAACCTCTGCCTCCCGGGTTAAGTGATTCTCCTGCCGCAGCCTCCTGAGTAGCTGGGATTACAGGCGTGTGCCACTATGCCCAGCTAATTTTGGTATTTTTAGTAGAGATGGGATTTCACCATGTTGGTCAGACAGGCCTCAAACTCCTGATCTTGTGATCTGCCCGCCTCGGCCTCCCAAAGTGCTGGGATTACAGGCATGAGCCACCACACCCGGCCTATATACTGTATTCTTACAATAAAGTAAGCTAGAGAAAAGAAAATGTTATTAAGAAAATTATGGGCCAGGCTCAGTGGCTCAGGCCTGTAATCCCAGCACTTTGGGAGGCCGAGGCGGGCGGATCACCTGAGGTAGTGAGTTTGAGACCAGCCTGACCAACATGGAGAAACCCCATCTCTACTAAAAATACAAAATTAGCCGGGTGTGGTGGCACATGCCTGTAATCTCAGCCACTCAGGAGGCTGAGGCAGGAGAATCGCTTGAACCTGGGAGGCAGAGGTTGTGGTGAGCTGAGATCATGCTATTGCACTCCAGCCTGGGCAACAAGAGCGAAACCATCTCAAAAAAAAAAAAAAAAAAAAAGAAAGAAAGAAAAAGAAAATTATGGACAGGTGCAGTGGCTCTCACCTGTAAGCCCACTACTTTGGGAGGTCAAGGTGGGCAGATCATCTGAGGTCAGGGGTTCACAACCAGCCTGACCAACATGGTGAAACCCTGTCTCTACTAAAAAGACAAAAAATTAGCCTGGCGTGGTGGTGCACGCCTGTAATCCCAGCTACTTGGGAGGCTGAGGCAGGAGAAACACTTGGACCTGGGAGATGGAGGTTCCAGTGAGCCAAGATCGTGCCATTGCACTCCAGCCTGGGCAACAAGAGCGAAACTCTGTCTCAAAAAAAAAAAAAAGGAAATAATGAGGAAAAAATACATTTACTGTATATTAAGTGGAAGTGGACCATCATAAAGATTTTTATCTTCATCATTTTCAAGTTGAAAGGCTGAAGAGGAAAAGGAGGAGTTGGTATTGCTGTTCAAGGGTGACAGAGGGAGAAGAGATGGAGGAGGTGGAAGGGGAGGCAGGAGATGCAAGCACACCCATTGTAACTTTCTGGAAATACATTTTAATATATGTCTGTCTGACTTTTTTGCTTTTCATTTCTCTGACATTTTTTCTATATGGTACCAATCCTTTTTCCACCATTTGCTTTCATTTCAGTGACCATATTATGGAAGAGTCCATGTCATAAAAGTCCTAGCTATTCAGGAGGCTGGGGCCAGAGAATCCCTTCAGGAGGCTAGGAGTTTGAGGTTGCAGTGAGCTCTGATTGTGCCACTGCACTCCAGCCTGGATGATGACAGAGTAAGACCCTGTTTCTAAAAGTAAAAAAAAAAAAACAAAAAAAAAACACACACACACACACAAACCAACCAACCCAGAAGCCAAAGGCAGTCTCCCTTCTTCCAGACTGTCTAATGTCAACTTGTTTTCTGGTATTATTTCTTTTTTTCATTTTTTCTTTTTGGAGACAGTTTCACTCTTGTTGCCCAGGCTGGAGTGCAATGGAGCTATCTTGGCTCATTGCAACTTCCACCTCCCGGGTTCAAGCAATTCTCCTGCCTCAGCTTCCCGAGTAGCTGGGATTACAGGCATGCACCACCACGCCCGGCTAATTTTGTATTTTTAGTAGAGATGAGGTTTCACCATGTTGGTCAGGCTGGTCTCGAACCCCTGACCTCAGGTGATCTGCCCACCTCGGCCTCCCAAAGTGGTGAGATTACAGGCATGAGCCACCATGCCTGGCCCTGGAATTACTTCTTCTATCTTCTTCTCTTTTTTTTTTTTTTTTGTTTTTTTTTTTATGGAGTCTCTCTCTGTTGCCCAGGCTGGAGTGCAGTGCTGCCAGCTCGGCTCACTGCAACCTCCACCTCCCAGGTTCAAGCGATTCTCCTGCCTCAGCCTCCTGAGTAGCTGGGATTACAGGTGCCTGCCACCATACCCAGATAATTTTTCTATTTTTTTTAGTAGAGCTGGGGTTTCACCATATTGGCCAGGCTGGTCTCCAACTCCTGAACTTGTGATCCACCTGCCTCGGCCTCCCAAAGTGCTGGGGTTACAGGCGTGAGCCACCGTGCCCGGCCTTCTATTTCTTTCTCATTGTCTAGCACTGGTTCAGAAGCACTCATCTCCATCAAATCTCCTGTTAATTCCTCTGGTATGGTGTCTATTAGCTTTTGAATTTCTCCAAGATCTATATCTTGGAATCCTTTATGTTTCACCTTTTTTGCCATATGCACAATTTCTTTCATTATTTCCTTGATTGTTTCTGTTATAAATCCTGTAAAGTCATGTAGAACATCTTGACACAATTTTTTTCTAGCAGGAATTTATTGTTTCAGGCCTGATGGCTTTCATGTTTTTTTTCTGTAATAACGATGATATCTTCAATGGTGGGATCCTTCCAGACTTTCATGATGTTCTCTCTAGCCGTGTTCTCTTCCACGGCATTGACAATACTTTCCATAGAGTACTGCTTGTAATGACCCTTCAGGGTCCTTATGACCTCTTATCTAAAAGCTGAATTACGACATTATGCTTGAGGGCAAGTAGAACCCCTGGACCCCTTTGGTGTTGAACTCATGGGGTCTGGGTGGCCAGGAGCATTGTCCAATATGAAAAGAATTTTAAAAGGCAGTACCTTACTGGCAAATTACTTCCTGACTTCACAGCAAAGCATCAATGGAATCAATCTAGAAAAAGGGTTCTTGTTGTGTAACCAAAAGACCGGCAGCTGGTGTTTACTTTTTCCCTTCAAGGCGTGGGGATTAGCAGCTTTATAGATAAGGGCGGTCCTGATCATAAACCCAGAAGTGTTTGCACAAAACAGTAGAGTTAGCCTATCTCTTCCTGCCTTAAATCCTGCTACTCACTTCTCTTACTTACTAATAAATGTACTTTGTAGCATTTTTTTTTCCCAGAATAGGGCACTTTCATCTGTATTCAAAACCTGTTCAGGCAGATGTCTTTTCTGCTCAATTATTTTTTTTTTTTCTTTGAGAGAGAGACAGGGTCTTGCTGTCACCCAGGCTGGAGTGCAGTGGTGCAATCATAGCTCACTGCAGCCTCAAACTCCTGGGCTCACGATATCCTCCCGCTTCAGCCTCTTGACTAGCTGGGACTACATGTGTGTGCCACCACACCCTGTTAATTTTTTAATTTTTTTTCGTAGATACAGGGTCTCATTATATTGCTCAGGCTGCCCTCAAGCTCTTGGGCTCAAGTGATACTCCCACCTTGGCCTCGCAAAGTGCTGAGATTACAGACCTGAGCCAGTGTACTTGGCCAGTGATTTTAGTAATGGCATCTGGAAACACATCTACTGGTTCTTCATTGGCAGAAGTTGCTTCTCATGTTATCTTGATTTTTTTTTTGAGACGGAATCTTGCTCTGTTACCCAGGCTGAAGTAAAATGGCGTGATTTTGGCTCACTGAAACCTCCGCCTCCTGGGTTCAAGCAATTCTTCTGCCTCAGCCTCCCGAGTAGCTGGGATTACAGGTGCCTGTTACCATGCCTGCCTAATTCTTTTGTATTTTCAGTAGAGAGGGGGTTTCACCATGTTGGTCAGGCTGGTCTTGAACTCCTGACCTCAGGTGATCCGCCCACTTCGGCCTCCCAAAGTGTTGGGATTACAGGCATGAGCCACTGCGCCCAGCCATTTGTTAAGCCAAAACTCTTTCTAAAATTGCCAAACCATTTTTGGTTGGCATTAAATTCTCCAGTGGTAGATCCTTCACCTTCCTTTTGCTTTAAATTGTCATATAATAACTTTGCTTTTTCTAGAATCACATTAGTCTATAGGTATGCCTTTCTTTTTCTCTTTCAATTTTTTATATTGTTTTAATTCTAGAGAAAGGGTCTTGCTATGTTGCTCAGGCTGGTCTTGAACTCCTGGCCTCAAGTAATCCTCCTGCCTTGGCCTCCTAAAGTGTTAGGATTACACTTTTCTTTCTTTTTCTTTTTCTTTTTTTCCTTTCTTTGTGTGTGTGTGTGTGTGTGTGTGGCATGAGCCACTGTGCCTAGCCAGTAGGACTTTGATATAGAAATCCTGCACCCATATGAAAGCTGCATTTTCTTTTTTCTTTGTCTTTTCTTTTTCTCTTTCTTTTTTTTTTTTTTTTTTTTTTGAGTTTTTTTGAGTTTCGCTCTTGTTGCCCAGGCTGTATTGTAATGGCGCAATCTTGGCTGACTGCAACCTCCGCCTCCCAGGTTCAAGCGATTCTCCTGCCTCGGCCTCCCAAGTAGTTGGGATTACAGGCATGTGCCATCATGCCCAGCTAATTTTCTTTTATTATTATTTAGTACAGTCGGGGTTTCACCATGTTGGTTAGGCTGGTCTCGAACTCCTGACCTCAGGTGATCGGCCCGCCTCAGCCTCCCAAAGTGCTGGGATTACAGGCGTGAGCCACTGTGTCCGGCCCAAAAGCTGCATTTTCAGTTCGAGATGAAAAGGTATTTCAAAGATAAAAAAAATTAAACAAAAATCAGACAGGCACAGTGGCTCATGCCTGTAATCCCAACATTTTGGGAGGCTGAGGTGGAAGGATCGCTTGAGCACAGGAGTTCAAGATCAGCCTAGGCAACACAGGGAGACTTTGTCTCTATAAATTTTTTGTGTGTGTGTGTGTGTGTGTGTGACAGAGTCTTGCTCTGTCACCCAGGCTGGAGTGCAGTGGCGCAATCTCGGCTCACTGCAAGCTCCACCTCCCAGGTTCACGCCATTCTCCTGCCTCAGCCTCCTCAGCAGCTGGGACTACAGGCGCATGCCACCACGCCCTGCTAATTTTTTTGTGTTTTTAGTAGAGACGGAGTTTCACTGTGTTAGCCAGGATGGTCTTGAGCTCCTGACCTCTTGATCCACCCGCCTCAGCCTCCCAAAGTGCTAGGATTACAGGCATGAGCCACCACTCCCGGCCATCTCTATAAAATTTTTAAAATAAATTTTTTAAAAAAGATATCTCACAAAAAGTATAAGGGGCTGGGCGTGGTGGCTCACGCCTATAATCTCAGCACTTTGGGAGGCTGAGGCGGGCAGATCACCTAAAGTCAGGAGTTTGAGACCAGCCTGGCCAGCATAGTGAAATGCAGTCTCTACTAAAAATACAAAAATTAGCTGGGCGTGGTGTCACGTGCCTGTAGTCCCAGCTACTGGGAAGGCTGAGGCAGGAGAATCGCTTGAAGCTGGGTGGCAGAGGATGCAGTGAACTGAGATGGTGCCACTGCTCTCCAGCCTGGGCAACAGAGCGAGACTCTGTCTCAAAAAAAAAAAAAAAAGAAAAGAAAAGAAAAGAAAAAGGAGGCCGGGCGCGGTGGCTCATGCCTGTAATCCCAGCACTTTAGGAGGCCGAGGCGGGCAGATCATGAGGTCAGGAGATCGAGACCATCCTGGCTAACACGGTGAAGCCCCGTCTCTACTCAAATACAAAAAATTAGCTGGGCATGGTGGCGGGCGCCTGTAGTCCCAGCTACTCGGGAGGCTGAGGCAGAAGAATGGCATGAACCCGGGAGGTGGAGCTTGCAGTGAGCCGAGACCACACCACTGCACTCCAGCCTGGGTGACAGAGCGAGACTCCGTCTAAAAAAAAGAAAAAGAAAAAGAAAAAGAAAGAAAAGTATAAGGTTTTGCACTTGCTGGCAGAGTGGCAGCAATAGTTTCCCAAATTTCCTTTTCCTTTTTTTTTTTTTAACAATCATCCTCACACTGGATTCATTTATCTTGAGGTGGTTACCAACCACATTTGCAGGTGTGGTTGGTACATTGAGGTCGGTACCTCAATCTGTGGTACATATCAAGCAATTCAATTTTTTCTTGTAATGTCATGACTTTTCTCTGCTTCCTGGGAGCACTTCCAGCATTACAAGTCACACTTAATATGGGTCTCATGGTGTTATTCAAGTTACACTTTCACGTTAACACCATTAAAAATACATGAGAACTATGTATTCTGGTTCAGTTAAAAAAAAAAAAAAAAGAGGCCAGTGAGGTGGATCGCACCTGTAAGCCCAGCACTTTGGGAGACCGAGGCAGGCGACTCACCTGAGGTTGGGAGTTTGAGACCAGCCTGACCAACGTGGAGAAACCCTGTCTCTACTAAAAATACAAAATTAGCTGGGCGTGGTGGTGCATGCCTGTAATCCTACCTACTCGGGAGGCTGAGGCAGGAGATTGCTTGAACCCAGGAGGCGGAGGTTGCAGTGAGCCGAGATCATGCCATTGCACTCCAGCCTGGGCAACAGGAGTGAAACTCCATCTCAAAACAATAAAATAAATAAAAACAAAAAAGACATCACATTTTTTAAACTATTTTTTTAATAGAGAGAGAGACGGGGTCTCACTATGTTGCCCACACTGGTCTCCAACTCCTGGCCTCAAGCGATCCTCCCACCTCAGCCTCCCAAAGTGCTGGAATTACAGGCATGAGCCACCACAAGAGAGATCACTTTTTACTGTGATAATGCCATTTACTGAAGAGATGAACTGCTCATGCAGAGATGATTAGTATCACACAGCATTTTAAATGGATACTTGCAACACAAGTTCACCACAATAGCAACAGAAGGTCGCTATGAAATTATTACCATAGTGCAGTATTACTACCATTAATTTTATGCAGTTATGATATAATACTGCATCTTTACATTTTTTACATTTCTCTCCACTGTGAATGGTACCATGTATGGTCTGTGTTTGTGATATGTTAATGCTGGGAAGGGAAGAGCGTGGTCCCTTTAAATGATACAGAAATGAGGGAGGGTGTGGTCCCTGGCTAGGGCTCCACCCCCACAGACCTAGGTGAGGGCAGGCACTCCTACTTTTGCGCCCAAATGTTGCATTTCCCAAGACCACCCTGGCCTGCCACACCCCCATCCTGTGCCTATAAAATCCAGAGACCCAGGCTGGGCGCGGTGGCTCACACCTATAATCCCAGCACTCTGGGAGGCCGAGGTGGGTGGATCACTTGAGGTCAGGAGTTCGAGACCAGCCTGGCTGTAATTTTTGCCCTACTAAAATTACAAAAATTAGCTGGGTGTGGTAGTGCTCACCCGTAGTCCCAGCTACTCAGGAGGCTGAGGCAGAAGAATTGCTTGAACCCAGGAGGCGGAGGTTGCAGTGAGCTGAGATCGCACCACTGCACTCCAGCCTGGGTGACAGAGCGAGACTTTGTCTCAAAAAAAAAAAAAAAAAACCAAGACCCCTACCAAGGCACAGAAGGAGGCACAGAAGGGGCTGGACATTGAGAGGAGCACATCGGTGTCGGAACACACAGGCATCTGGACTTCAAGAGGAATGCACTGGCACTCACATGCCAGCAGGCCACTAACTGGTGTAACATTGTGGCATTTGGCTGGGGTAGTCGGAGGAGAGCCCGGGCCGAGTGGCCCGACTCCAGGGGAAAACCAGTCTCCCTTCTGGCTCCCACATCTGTTAAGAGCTAGTTCCACTCAGTAAAACCTTGCACTCATTCTCCAAGCCCATGTGTGATCTGATTCTTTTGGTACACCAAGGCAAGAAACCCTGGGATACAGAAAGCCCTCTGTCCTTGCAACCAGGTAGAGGGTCTAACTGAGCTGGTTAACACAAGCCGCCTATAGATGACAAACTAAAAAAGCACCCTGTAACACAAGCCCACTGGGGCTTCAGCTGTAAATATTCACCCCTAGACACTGCTGTGGGGTTGGAGTCCCGCAGCCTCCCCGTCTGTACGTTCCCCTAGAGGTTTGAACAGCGGGGCATGGAAGAAGTGAGCCACACCCCCAGCCCACACCCTGTGAAGGGGGACAAGGGAACTTTTCCCGATTAATTTGTATCTGTAAGTTTTGATACATTTTACCTTTTTATAATAGATTTTTGTATATTTTATGATAGTAAATGATAAAGTAGGCTAGTTTGGACACATTTTATGCATTCATGACATACCCACATTTTCTTATTTTTTTGATATTTCTAAACTTGTTCATCTGTAAGTTTTTTCAAATTGTCACAAATGTCTAAAAAATTTTCCAATATGTTTATTTTTTAAAAATCTCAAGTTGATCCATGCAGTTGAAACCTGTGTTGCTCAAGGGTTAACTCAAGTTCTTTTTTTTTTTTTTTTTTTTTATTTGAGGCAGAGTCTCGCTCTGTTGCCCTGGCTGGAGTGCAGTGTCATGATCTTGGCTCATCACAACCTCCATCTCCCAGGTTCAAGCGATTCTCCTGCCTCAGCCTCCCAAGTAGCTGGGACAACAGGCACACGCCACCATGCCTGGCTAATTTTTGTATTTTTAGTAGAGACGGGGTTTCCTCATGTTGGCCAGGATGGTCTCAAACTCCTGACCAAAGGTAATCCACTGGCCTCGGCCTCCCAAAGTGCTGGGATTACAAGCGTGAGCCACCACGCCCAGCCCTGAAGTTCTTTCTTTTATAACAGCTGGGTTTGCTGCTGTGGTTAAGAAGGTCTATTTCATACCTACATTGTACATGTGGTCTCTTCTATTTTATTCTAAGATTTTTGTTCTTTAATTTTATGTTTTCATTTAAATGTAAAAGTTTAAACCATCTTTTTTTTTTGTTTTGAAACTGAGTCTCCCTCTGTTGCCCAGGCTGGAATGCAATGGCGTGCTCTCAGCTCACTGCAACCTCCGTCTCCCTGGTTCAAGCCATCCTCAGGCCTCAGCCTCCCAAGTAGCTGGAACTACAGGCGTGCACCACCACATCCAGCTAATTTTTGTATTTTTATTAGAGACAGGGTTTCACCATGTTGGTCAGGCTGGTCTCGAACTCCTGACCTCAGGTGATCTGCTCACCTTGGCCTCCCAAAGTGCTGGGATTACAGGCATGAGCCACCGCACCTGGTCTAAACCATCTTTTGAAATGGTATGACATAGGGGTCAAATTATCTTTCATAATTATTTTTCTTTCATATAGAGAAACAGTTCAATATCATTTACTAAATGAACCATTTTTTTTTGCCTGGCTGTAACAAATAACACTATTGTCATATGCTGAACTCTCTTCCATACTGGGATCTAGTTCTAGATTTTCTTTTTTTTTTTCTTTTTTTCTTTTTCTTTTTTTTTTTTGAGACAGGGTCTCATTCTGTTGCCCAGGCTGGAGTTCAGTGGCACAATCTCAGCTCACTGCAACCTCTGCCTCCCAGATTCAAGGGATTCTCCTGCCTCAGCCTCCCGAGTAGCTGGCATTACAGACATGCCACCACGCCCGGCTAATTTTTGTATTTTTTGGTAGAGACAGGGTTTCACCCTGTTGGCCAGGCTGGTCTCAAACTCCTGACCTCAAGTGATCCACCCGCCTTGGCCTCCCAAAGTGCTGGGATTACGGGCGTGAGCCACTGTGCCCAGCCTCTAGATTTTCTATTCTTTTCCAGTATTCTATTCCTATGCCAATATTATACTAATTTGATTAAAGTAGGTTTGTGGATGTTCTGGTATCTGGTTAAGCAAGTAGTTCCCCTTCACTGTACTCCATGTTCATACTTTCCTAGTTTATTCTAGGGTATAAATTCTTCCATATGGATTTAAGGTTATTTTAATGATTTCTTAAAAACTGCCTGCCTGGCCAGGTGCGGTGGCTCACGCTTGTAATCCCAGCACTTTGGTAAGCCGAGGCAGGTGGATCACTTGAGATCAGGAGTTCAAGGTCAGGAGTTCGAGACCAGCCTAGCCAACATGGAGAAACCCCATCTCTACTAAAAATACAAAAATTAGCTGGGCATGGTGGTGGATGCCTGTAATCCCAGCTACTTGGGAGGCTGAGGCAGGAGAATTGCTTGAACAGAGGCAGAGGTTGCAGTGAGCCGAGATTGCACCACTGCACTCCAGCCTAGGTGACAAACCGAGACTCCGTCTCAAACAAACAAACAAAAAACCTGCCTGCCAGAATTCTAATTGGAATTGCATTAAATATAAGTATTTTTAAATATTTTTGTTGTTACAACGTTAAGTTTTCTTATCCAAGAACAAATAACTTTCTACTTGTCTAGCTTTGAACTTTATGTTGTTCAGTAACATTTTTATTATATTCTTCATATACATCCTGTGACTTTGTTCAGCTTATTTATAGGTATTTGAAAAAACTTTTTACCAGGCATGGTGGCTAACACTTGTAATCCCAGCACTTTGGGGGCTGCTGAGGCAGGAGGATTGCTTGAGGCCAGGAGTTGGAGACCAGCCTGGGCAACATAGCCAGATCCTGTCTCTACAGTTTTGTCTTATTTTTTTGTTTTGTTTTTATTTATTTATTTTGGCTCTGTCAGCCAGACTGGAGTGCAGTGGCGAGATCTCAGCTTACTGCAACCTGCCTCCTGGTCTCAAGTGATCCTCCCACCTCAGCCTCCCAAGTAGCTAGCACTATAGGCTCATGCCACTACGCCTGGCTTATTTTTGTATTTTTTGTAGAGATAAAGTTTCACCATGTTGCCCAGGCTCCCGGGCTCAAGTGATTCAGCCACCTCGGCCTCCCAAAGTGTTGGGATTACAGGCATGAGCAAAAAAAAAAGTTGTTTTAATTAGCCAGTCATGGTGACATTTGCCTGTAGTCTCAGCTACTCAGGAGGCTGAGGTGGGAGGAAAACTTGAGCTCCGCAGTTCAAGGCTTCAGGGAGTCAAGATTGCACCACAGCACTCCAGGCTGGGTGAGAGAGGGAGGCCGTCTCTACAAAAAAAAATTTTTTTTTTGAGACGGAGTCTCGCTCTAGGCTGGAGTGCAGTAGCACGATCTCAGCTCACTGCAACCTCCGCCTCTTGGGTTCAAGTGATTCTCCTGCCTCAGCCTCCCGAGTAGCTGGGACTACCAGCACGTGCCACCACGCCCAGCTAATTTTTGTATTTTTAGTAGAGACAGGGTTTCACCATGTTGGCCAGGATGGTCTTGGTCTCTTGACCTCGTGATCCACCCACCTCAGTCTCCCAAAGTGCTGGGATTACAGGCATGAGCCACCATGCCTGGCCTATGAAAAATTTTTTAGGATAAAAAATTTAAAAATCTTTTTTTAGAGACAGAGTCTCACTGTGTTACCAGGCTGGCCTTGAACTTCTATGCTCAAACAATCCTGCATCCGCTTCCTAAGTAGCTGGGACTACAGGAAGTCCCACCACACCGGGCCCTGGGTATTTTATATTATTGAGAATTTTTTTTTTTTTTTTTTTTTTTTTTTTTTTTAGTGACAGGTGTGTCTGGAATTGGTTCCTTCCGGTGGGTTTGTGGTCTTGCTGACTTCAGGAGTGAAGCCACAGACCCTCCCGGTGAGTGTTACAGCCCTTAAAGGTGGCATGTCCGCAGTTGTTTGTTCCTCCCGGTGGGTTTGTGGTCTCACTGACTTCAGGAGTGAAGCTGCAGACCTTCGCAATGAGTGTTACAGCTCTTAAAGGTGGTGCTCCTCCTCAAAGAGTGAGGAGCAGCAAGATTTATTGTGAAGAGTGAAAGAACAAAGCTTCCACAGTGTGGAAGGGGACCCGAGTGGGTTGCGGCTGCCATCTTGGGTGGCAGCTTTTAGTCCCTTATTTGGCCCCACCCACATCCTGCTGATCAGTCCATTCTACAGAGTGCTAATTGGTCCATTTTATGGCGTGCTGATTGGTCCATTTTTAGAGAGTGCTGATTGGTGCATTTACAAATCTTTAGCTAGACACAGAGTGCTGATAGGTGCGTTTTTACATAGTGCTGATTGGTGCATTTACAAACCTTTAGCTAGACACAGAGCACTGACTGGTGTGTTTACAATCCTGTAGCTAGACAGAAAAGTTCTCCAAGTCCCCACCCGACCCAGAAGCCCAGCTGGCTTCACCTCTCAATCCCCCCTTTAAACAGGATACCCCAACTACTGTTGGGAATTGGGCGATGACCGTTCTAGCTACTTCCTGCTGGATAGGGGCAAAGAAGGGGCCCTGCAGTTGTAGTGTCCTCCAGAGGGGAATGCTTTAGGCCAAAGGGCCAGTGGATCGGTCCAGCGGTCCTTGATAGAAGTTGTTAGTTGAGCTCATTTGGGGTTCTATTTGTAAGACCATCTGTAGCTTGATGGCCTCGATCCTAGAGGAAACAAATTTGACAAGGAGGTTAAAAATACAGGGCCCGAAGGCAAGTAATAGCAAGACGGCTGTCACGGGACATAGAGAGGGGAGAAGCCAGGTTGCCCAACTCCAGAGGTTGGTATAAGAGTTTGAAAGGCATCGTCTGATTTCAGAAGACTTTTCCTGTAAACGCTGGGTGGCATCTAGTACTATCCCTGACAGGTTAGTGTAAAAGCAACACTCTTCCCCTAAGAAGGTACAAAGTCCTCCTTTCTCAGCAGTGAGGAGGTCTAGGCCTCGGCAGTTTTGGAGAGTCACTGCTGCCAAAGAGTCTATTTGGGATTGTAGTTACTATCCTTACTGGATAGATTTTGCTATTTCTTTTTTTTTTTTTTTTTTTTTTTTGAGACGGAGTCTCGCTCTTTTACCCAGGCTGGACTGCAGTGGCACTAGCTCGGCTCACTGCAACCTCCCCCTCCCGGGTTCACGCCATTCTCCTGCCTCAGCCTCCCGAGTAGCTGGGACTACAGGCGCCTGCCACTTCGCCCGGCTAATTTTTTGTATTTTTAGTAGAGACAGGGTTTCACCGTGTTAGCCAGGATGGTCTCGATCTCCTGACCTAGTGATCCGCCCACCTCGGCCTCCCAAAGTGCTGGGATTACAGGCGTGAGCCACCACGCCTGGTAGATTTTGCTATTTCTTGCAAACTGTCTGAGAAATCCTTTGAGAGTATGTGGTAGTAGGATAATGCATGTTACACTGTTAACTTTTAGCAAACTTTACTTTAGTTAAAAACGTTGTAAATTTGGGATTTTAATTTTCCTTTGCTATTAATAAAACCTCGTTCAGTCCATATTAACTTAGAATTGGTATAGATGGCTCCTTCCTAATTCTGTAAGTACTTTAAGATTTGGCTGAGTGCAAACAACTCACACGTTTGAGCAGACCAATAATTAGGCAATTTTCCTAACTGCTTCTACAAGAGTTCCCTTATCACTTACTGAATACCCACTGTGTCTTTTTTTTTTCCCTTAATTGCCTGGGAGGAACCATCTATCATCCTGTCCTGAAGGGAGTTCCTCCTAGATCTGGTTGGACTTTTGTATGGCAATTAATTAAGATTTAGATCCCCTGTTAGGAAACCTGCTGGGTTAAGGATCTTTGACAGGAAGGCTATGGGTTGTCAGTGGCCTCAGTGCTTTCAGGCTATGCCCTTGTTTGCACTGCCAACAAGGTGGTATTGGAGTGGTACAGGGTCACGGAGAAGACCTTCAATTATCAATTATAGGTTTTAAATTTACCCTGGCTTTTAAAGGAATAGGGTACACTGTTTTTTCTTTACTACTTCCATCTCTCTTTCTCTTTGACTTCTTTGTCTCTCTCTGTCTGTCTCTTCCTCTCTCTGACTCCCTTTTTGTCTCTGTCTCTTGGGGTCTCCCTATGGTGCCCAGGCTGGTGTCAAACTCTTGGGCTCAGGCCAGGAACGGTGGTTCACACCTCTAATCCCAGCACTTTGGGAGGCCAAGGCAGGCAGATCATGAGGTCAGGAGATGGAGACCATCCTGGCTAACATGGTGAAACCCCGTCTCTACTAAAAATACAAAAAATTACCCGGGCTTGGTGGCGGGCGCCTGTAGTCCCAGCTACTCGGGAGGCTGAGGCAGGAGAATGGCATGAACCTGGGAGGCGGAGCTTGCAGTGAGCCGAGATCAGTGCCACTGCACTCCAGCCTGGGTGACAGAGCGAGATTCCATCTAAAAAAAAAACAAAAACAAAAACTAAAAACTTCTGGGCTCAAGTGATCCTCCTGCCTTGACCTCCCAAAAGTGCTGGGATTACAGGTATGAATCACTGCACCCCACCTCTCTTAATTTCTTTTTTTTTTTTTTTTTTTGAGATAGAGTCTCGCTCTGTCACCCAGGCTGGAATGCAGCTGGTGCCATCTTTGCTCACTGCAACCTCCACCTCCTGGGTTCAAGTGATCCTCCTGCCTCAGCCTCCTGAATAGCTGGGACTACAGGCGCACGCCACTACACCTGGCTAATTTTTAAATTTTTAGTAGAGACAGGGTTTGCCACGTTGGACAGGCTGGTCTCAAACTCCTGACATCAGGTGATCTGTCCGCCTTGGCCTCCCAAAGTGCTGGGATTACAGGTGTGAGCCACCACACCTGGCCTTAATTTTTTAACATTACATTTTTTTTTCTTTTCATTATATTTTTTCATAACTGTGGTTCTCAAGTACATTAGAGGACTTGTATTTGCCTGTGCCCCTAAATAATAGGGTAAACATGCTTTTGACATGTGATTAGAGTAAACTGAACATTCTTGAGACTGGTACAGCTGGGTGCAGTGGCTCACACCTGGAATCTCAATGCTTTAGGAGGCTGAGGTGGGACAATCCCTTGAGACCAGGAGTTTGAGACCAGCCTGGGAAATATAGCGAGACTGTCTCCATAAAAATACTTTTTTTTTAAATTAGCCAGTCCTAGCTCCTGTAGTCCCAGCTACTCATGAGGCCGAGAAGGGAGAATCACATGAGTCCAGGAGTTAGAGACTCCCGTGAGCTACGATTCTACCATTGCACTCCAGCCTGGCAATAGAGCAAGACCTGATCCCTGAAAAAAAAAAGAAAAAGACAGAGAAGAAGAGGAAAGGCTATTGAATGTTATTAAAGCCTTTTCAGCATCTATTGATATAATCTTAAGGTCTTTCTTCTTTAATTCATGGAATATATTTATTTATTTATTTATTTTCGAGGCAGAGTTTCGCTTGTGTTGCCCAGACTGGAGTGCAATGGCGCAATCTCAGCTGATTGCAACCTCCGCCTCCCAGGTTCGAGATTCTCCTGCCTCAGCCTCCCCAGTAGCTGGGATTACAGGCGCCCGCCACCATGCCTGACTAATTTTTGTATTTTTAGTAGAGACAGAGTTTCACCGTGTTGGACAGGCTGGTCTTGAACTCCTGACCTCAGGCGATCCACTCTCCTTGGCCTCCCAAAGTGCTGGGATTACAGGCGTGAGCCACAGAGCCCGGCCAATTCATGGAATTTATGAATTATGTTGATATGCTTCCTGATAGTCTAGCCACCCTCATACATTTGGAATGAGCCAGTTTGGTCACCTTGTGGACTTGAATCTGCCTGGGCCCCTAAATGATATGGTAAGCTGGTGTGACTGTGAAACCAACCCAATAGTCCCATAGACAGTTGTTTTTGGATAAACATAGAAATTGACCCTTCTGATCCAAAAGCTTGAAACTTACATTTGTTTTGTTTGTTTGTTTGTTTGTTTGTTTTGAGATGGAGTCTGGCTGTGTCGCCCAGGCTAGAGTGCAGTGGTGCAATCTCGGATCACTGCAAGCTCCGCCTCCCGGGTTCATGCCATTCTTCTGCCTCAGCCTCCCGAGTAGCTGGGACTACAGGCACCTGCCACCATACCCGGCTAATTTTTTGTATTTTTAGTAGCGATGAGGTTTCACCATGTTAGCCAGGATGGTCTCGATCTCCTGACCTCGTGATCCGCCCACCTTGGCCTCCCAAAGTGCTGGAATTA
The DNA here is from genome assembly GCF_000001405.40 of Homo sapiens. NCBI lineage: Eukaryota > Metazoa > Chordata > Mammalia > Primates > Hominidae > Homo > Homo sapiens. The sequence goes on from NC_000001.11 coordinate 38,982,080, forward strand.
CAGGCATGAGCCACCGCGCCCTGCCGGAAACTTAACATTTGTTTTATCTGAGTTTCTTCCTCAAGAAAGGATCTCCAGTCCTCTCAAAACGTATCAAAGAACTGAAACTCACCAGATCATCTCCTCCAGACAATGAGACTCCAGGCCCCCAATTCATCATGATTGCTTCCTTACCCTTCTGAGTTTCTGTTTTCTCATAGATAGTTACATTTCTTCCCTGATATATAAACCCCAAATTTTAGCTGGTCAGGGAGATGGATTTGAGACCAAGCTTCTATCTCCTCAGCTGCAGCACCCAGTTAAAGCCTTCTTCTAGCAATACTCATAGTCTCAGTCACTGGCTTTCTGTGCTGTGAACAGTAGGACCTAGACCGAACCCCTGGTGTTTCGGGAACAACTCTTGTGTACTGCATTCCAGTTGCTAATGTTTTATTTGGAATGTTTGCCTCTGTTCATTAGTAAAGTTGGTCTATAGTTCTTTCTTGGTACTACATTTTTCAAGGTTTGGTTTTAAAATTATGTCAGCAGCATAAAATGAATTGGGGAGCTTCTCAATTTTCGATTGGATCAAATAACTGTAATAGGTCAAATAACTATGGACCTGTGTGTTCTTTAAAGGTTAAATGGAACATAGTTAGAAAGCTATTAGGTTCTGTTCTTTTTATTATCTAAAGGTGGATCTTTAATCACCTTTCAGGTCTCTTTTGTGATGTGTATTAGTTCATTCCCACATTGCTATAAAGAAATACCTGAGACTGGGTAATTAATACAGAAAAGAGGTTTAGGCCAGGCGGGGTGGCTCAAGCCTGTAATCTCAGCATTTTGGGATCCACCGAGGCAGGTGGATCACCTGAAGTCAGGAGTTCGAGACCAGCCTGGCCAACATGGCCAAACCCCATCTCTACTAAAAATACAAAAATTAGCAGGGCATGGTAGCATGCCCCTGTAGTCCCAGCTACTTGGGAGGCTGAGGCAGGAGAATCGCTTAAACCTGGGAGGTGGAGGTTGCAGTGAGCCGAGATCACGCCACTGCACTCCAGCCTGGGTGACAAAACGAGACTCTATTCCCCGCCTCCCCCCACAAAAAAAAAAAGAAAAAGAAAAAAAAAGAGGTTTGGCTGGCCACGGTGGCTCACGCCTATAATCAGAACACTTTGGGAGGCCGAGGCAGCTGGATCATTTGAGGCCAGGAGTTCAAGACCAGCCAGGCTAACATGGTGAAACCCCATCTCTACTAAAAATAAAAAAGTTAGCCAGGCATAGTGGTGTGCGCCTATAAGCCCAGCTACTTGGGAGGCTGAGGCACAAGAATAACTTGAGCCCAGGAGGCAGCGGTTGAAGTGAGCCAAGATCGCATCACTGCACTCCAGATTGGGCGACAGAGTGAGACTGTCTCAAAAGAAATAAAATAAAAAAATGTGTTGCCATCAAGTTGTACGCAGTATTCTCTTACAATTATTTTTCATTTCTAATTTATTTATGATTGTCTCCTTTCTTATTCCCAATCTTAAACATTTTTTTCCTGTCTCCTTAGTGAGATTTTTAAGGAGTTTATTATCCTTTTTAAAAAAAAACCAGCTTTCAGATTTATTCATCCTTTTTACTATTTTTATCTCCTAGTTTACTAATTTCAGCTTTATCTCTTTTAGCTTTTAGTTTTTATTTTTTTCTTAAGATGAGTTTTTAGGTCATGTATTTATGTATATATTTTTTTCTTTTTTCTTTTTTCTTTTTTTTTTCTAAGAGGGAGTTTCACTCTTGTTGCCCAGCTGGAATGCAATGGCACGATCTTGGTTCTCTGCAACCTCTGCCTCTCGGGTTCAAGGAATTCTCCTGCCTCAGCCTCCGGAGTAGCTGGGATTACAGGCGCCCACCACCATGCCCAGCTAATTTTTGTATTTTTAGTAGAGACGGGGTTTCTCTATGTTGGTCAGGCTGGTCTTGAACTCCTGACCTTATGCGATCCGCCCACCTCAGCCTCCCAAAGTGCTAGGATTACAGGTGTGAGCCACCGGCCTCATAAATGATTATTAAATCAACTTTGTTTATTCAGCTCTTAAGTTCCTCTGTGTTTTTGCCTATTAGTCAGTACTAAATCTGTGTAATCACAATATCATTGTATTTTTCTCAAGTTCTCATTGCCTTTCTTCTTTTTTTTTTTTTTTTTTTGAAACGGAGTCTCGCTCTGTCGCCGAGGCTGAAGTGCAGTGGCACAATCTCGGCTCACTGCAAGTTCCACCTCCCGGGTTCACGCCATTCTCCTGCCTCAGCCTCCCAAATAGCTGGGACTACAGGCGCCCGCCATCATGCCCAGCTAATTTTTTTTTGTATTTTTTAGTAGAGATGGGGTTTCACCGTGTTAGCCAGGCTAGTCTCGATCTCCTGACCTTATGATCCGCCCGCCTTGGCCTCCCAAAGTGCTGGGATTACAGGAGTGAGCCACCGTGCCCGGCCTTTTTTTTTTCTTTTTTTGAGATGGAGTTTCGCCCTTGTTGCCCATGCTGGAGTGCAGTGGCACGATCTCGGCTCACCGCAACTTCCACCTCCCGGGTTCAAGCGATTCTCCTGCCTCGGCCTCTTGATAGCTGGGATTACAGGTGTGTGCCACTATATCTGGCTAATTTTGGATTTTTAGTAGAGACGGGGTTTCACCATGTTGGCCAGGCTGGTCTCAAACACTGACCTCAGGTGATCCACATGCCTCGGCCTCCCAAAGTGCTGGGATTGGAGGCATGAGCTACCGTGCCCAGCTGTCTCTTCTATTTCAGTTTTTTTTAGCCTTTTTATCATGTATCTCCAGATAGCCTATCAACATCCAATGAGAAATATATGTATTTCCATAGTCTATCAGTATACAATAGATATCCAATGGATTTTTGTTTGTTTGTTTGTTTGAGACAGTCTCGCTCTGTCGCCCAGGCTGGAGTGCAGTGGCGCAATCTCAGCTCACTGCAACCTCCGCCTCCCAGGTTCAAGCGATTCTCCTGCCTCAGCCTCTGGAGTAGCTGGGATTACAGGCGTGCACCACCACACCCGGCTAATTTTTTTTGTTTTTAGTAGAGAAGGGGTTTCACCATGTTGGCCAGGCTGATCTCAAACTCCTGGCCTCAGGTGATCTGCCCAACTCGGCCTCCCAAAGTGCTGGGATTACAGGCATAAGCCACTGCACCTAGCCTGCAATGGATATTAATGGACTTTCTGAAATTTATTATATATAACATATATTAATACATAAATATATAATTACATAAGCATAAAATATATAAATGAACATAGACATATATATTGTATTATAGCTGTGTTCCTCTGTAATCATATGTGTTTTATTTTTGCACTTAAAAACATTCAGAGAAGGGGTGTATGGCACACAAGGAAAGGCTAAGAACTCCTACCTTTAACAATCCCACCTGCCCTTACAACTTCAGTAACCATTTTTCCACCGATGACTCACCTGAATTTTTTTCTCCAATTCAGATCTCTCTTGAATTCCAGACCCGCGTATTTACATACAAATACCTCCACTTGAGACGCCCAAGTGAGGCTTTAAAGGAACCTCTAACACAACATGTCCAAAACAAAACTCATTTTCCTCTTCAGTCTGATCACTTTCCAATGAAAACTTTCTCAGAATATGGTTCTGGGAAAGCTAGTAGCCTAGTCCATCTCCCTCACCTCCATATCTAATCCTCACCAAGGTCTGTTGATTTAATCTCCTAAACTTTGTTCATTTCTGTCTACTTTCCTCATAATGTGGAGGCGACCTTACTTGTTTTAGTGGAATGGGAAGGGCACAGGTCAGATAGACGTGGGTTAATGAGTAGTGAGTAGGAGGTACAAAAAAGGAGAGCATAAATACAGACAATTCCTTTGGAAACTTTGGACAAAGAATCCTGAAAGATTTTGGAAGATGGTATCTTTCATTCCTTCAATCCAAACAACACTGTTCCCTGGCCAGTAAATAGGCAGAGCCTCAGATCTCTTGCTGAGCTTTTACAAGGTAAACCAGCATAAAAACACCCCCCTCTCCTCAGTGAGGATATGAAAGAATTTGTGTGTGCTTGGAGGTGGGAGGTTCCTGTAATATTACAAAACTAATACTACAAGGAGTGCATCTGGACGGATACAGTAACCTCTTTATTGATTTCCTTCATCCATCCCTGCTCTCCTCCAAACTGTTTTCCATGGGGCAGCCAGGAACTTCAAATGTAATTTCTGATCATATTTAAATTCCTTCCTTTGCCTTCCTCACTAGTTTTTTCTCCCTGACTCTCCAGATTCATACTCTGGACCACAGCCACTGGAGACGTATTTGGATTCCTCACACTATGTCCTCTTCTATCACAGGCCTTCATATGTGCTGTCCCCTCTGCTCTCTCCGCCCTTTCGTTGCTTAATTAACTCCGACTGATTCATCAGCTCTTAGCTGAAATGTCATTTCTTCAGGGAAGTTTTCATTGCCCTCCAGGACAGGCTAGGACTCCTGACTTTAATCACATCCTGTCCTTTTCCTTTATAGTACTTGTCATAGTTTGCAGTTACATATTTGTTGTGATTATTTGATTAACACCTGTCATTTCTAACAGTTGGGACCCCTATGAAGGGAGGAAGGGGCCTCTTTTCATACCATGGTATCCTCAACCATGATACTAAGATAGCATAATGCCTAGCACACTGAAGATACTCAATAATGTGTGTGTATGTGTATACTGGCCAAGGGCCTGGATATGCAAAGCAAAGTAAACATGGACTGTGGTGATCTCATAAGGAGACACTAAACTGAGTGGCTATTTCAGAGCTCCCTGAAGAACATCTCTATGGTTAGTCCTCTGTCATCGGCAGCATATAATAGGATATACCATCTACTTGTTTGGTTTCTGAATCATCTGAATCCACCCACACTCAGCAATGTGGACTCTCAGCTTTCAGAGAGAGACCAACTTTGAGATAATTGCCATTTCTTTTTTTTTTTTTTTTTTGAGACAGAGCCTTGCTCTGTCACTCAAGCTGGAGTGCAGCGGCATGATTTTGGCTCACTACAACCTCCACATCCTGGGTTCAAGTGATTCTCGTGCCTCAGCCTCCTGAGTAGCTGGGATTACAGGCATGCACCACCAGGCCTGCTATTTTGTATTTTTAGTAGAGACAGGGTTTCACCATGTTAGCCAAGCTGGTCTTGAACTCCTGGCCTCATGATTCACCTGCCTTGGCCTCCCAAAGTGCTGGGATTACAGGTGTGAGCCACCATGCCCAGCCCTATTTCTTCATTTGACCAATATTTATTCTGAACCTACCCCTACTGTATTCAAACACTGTACTGGGGGTGGAAAAACACAGATGAATGAGGCCTGGCTATTATTCTCAAGGAATTTATAGTTTGGAAGCATAGTCAGATACACAAATTATAACTTCCTTATTTATTTATTTATTTATTTATTTATTTATTTATTTATTTATTTATTTATTTTGAGATGGGGTCTTGCTCTGTTGCCCAGGCGGGAGTGCAATGGCATGATGTCAGCTCACTGCAGCCTCCACCTCCCAGGTTCAAGCAATCCTCCTACCTCAGCCTCCTGAGTAGCTGGGACTACAGGTGCACACCACCACACCCAGCTAATTTTTGTATTTTTAGTAGAGACGGGGTTTCACCATGTTGGCCAGGTTGGTTTCAATCTCCTGACCTCAGGTGATCCACCTGCCTCAGACTCCCAAAGTGCTGGGATTACAGGCATGAGCCACCGTGCCCAGCCCACACTCCAAAGTTTTAAAGGATCTCAGAGAAGAGAGTGACTATCAAAGCATTTTGCAAAACCCTAGCTTAGCTGGGTGCTGTGGCTCATGCCTGTAATCCCAGCACTTTGGGAGGCCAAGGCGGGTGGATCACGAGGTCAGGAGATCGAGACCATCCTGGCTAACTTGGTGAAACCCCTCCTCTACTAAAAATACAAAAAAAAATTAGCCAGGCATGGTGGCACGCACCTGTAGTCCCAGCTACTTGGGAGACTGAGGCAGGAGAATCACTTGAACCCGGGAGTCGGAGGTTGCAGTCAGGCAAGATCACGCCATTGCACTCTAGCCTGGGCGACAGAGCGAGACTCCATCTCAAAACAAAACAAAACAAAACAAAACAAAAATCCCTAGTTTATGGAAGTCTTGGTCGAGGTGGCTTATGCCTGTAATCCCAGGAGGCCAGGAGGTTGAGACCAGCATGGGCAATATAGTGAGACCTCTGTCTCTACAACAAATTTAGCAAATTTAAATTTAAGTTTAAAAATTAGCCAGGTGGGGCCGGGCACGGTGGCTCACGCCTGTAATCCCAGCACTTTGGGAGGCTGAGGCAGGCGGATCACCTGAGGTCAGGAGTTCGAGACCAGCCTGAGCAACATGGAGAAACCCCATCTCTACTAAAAATACAAAATTAGCCTGGCGTGGTGGCGCATGCCTGTAATCCCAGCTACTCAGGAGGCTGAGGCAGGAGAATCACTTGAACGTGGGACGCGGAGGTTGCAGTGAGCTGAGATTGCACCATTGCACTCCAGCCTGGGCAACAAGAGCAAAATTTCATCTCAAAAAAAAAAAAAAAAAAAAAAAAAGCTGTAGTCCTAACTACTTGGGAGGCTAAGCCCAGGAGTTTTCAGGGCTGCAGTGAGCTATGATTGCACCACTACACTCCAGCCTGGATGACAGAGTAAGACCCTGTCTGTAAAAGAGAAAAAAAAGTGCTATTTAGAATGACTACCCAAGGGGGCATACTTTTCAAACCTTCTAAGCTCTAACTTTGGACCTGTTTACACCATAAGAAGGCAATTTACTTGGCCCACATTAGACAAGCCCCTTAAAAAATAACCATCACTGGGCCGGACACAGTGGCTCACGCCTGTAATCCCAGCACTTTGGGAGGCCGAGGCGGGCGGATTACTTGAGGTCAGGAGTTTGAGATTAGGAGTTCGAGAAACCCCGTCTCTAGTAAAAATACAAAAATTAGCCAGGCATGGTGGCACACGCCTGTAGTCCCAGCTACTGGGGAGGCTGAGGCAGAAAAATTGCTTGAACCCGGGAGGCGGAGGTTGCAGTCAGCTGCAATTAAGCCACTGCACTTCAGCCTGGACAACAGAGCAAAACTCTTTCTCAAAACAAACAAAAAAACCGTCACTAGATTGCTTTTTATGTCCTTGGCTTTCATTAGACATAACAAAAAGTATCCATGTGAATTTTGCTTTAGCATTTGTTGTTAAAATCTTCCTGATTACTTTATTAAATCATTCACTGTTTCCTAATAAAATCACATGAGAAACTACCTTTAGAATTTGGTTATATAGGGAAAAAAAATCTATGATGTCTCCTATGATTAATTCATTCCTTTCAGATGACAAAATCTATTCAATATGTACTGTGTTTTCATTTTTACCCTAGCATCCAGGAAGCTCAGAACTACATTTCTTTCTTTTTTTTTTTTTGAGACAGGGTCTCACTCTGTCTCCCAGGCTGGAGTACAGTGGCACAATCTCAAGGTGGCGAGTCCAAGCAATTCTCCCACCTCAAACTCTCCAGTGGCTGGGATTACAAGTGTGCATCACCACGCCTGGCTAGTTTTTGTATTTTTAGTAGAGGCAGGGTTTTACCATGTTGGCCAAGCTGGTCTTGAACTCCTAGCTTCAAGTGATCCACCCGCCTCGGCCTCCAAAGTGCTGGGATTACAGGCGTGAGCCACCGCACCCAGCCGATAACTACATTTCAAATTCAGTTACAGTCTTGTTTAACCCCATGATAATTGTGATCTCCTTTTTCTCTGGCCCTAATTTTCTATTTCTAGTTTTCTAGCCTATTGTAAAGACCCTTTATGCTCTTATGGACAAGAGAGGAGATAAAATTAACATTTGGTATGCTGATTTTAGAATTATTTCTGCAATTTTTACAAAGATAAATGCAAAGATATATGTCCTATGTTATGATATTTAAAGAATTTGTAGAGGTTACTCCGGGCATACTGCATGCCTATGGGGTAGCTCTGTTCCACAAGGAGCAGAAAAAAAAAAAAAAATTTGTAGTAACTGAAGAGGATCCAGAGAAAAGCAATAGAAAAAGAACAATGAATGGGCACTGGGGTAGTATGCCCATATTCTCCAACTCAAATATTGTGGCACATTGATGTAGCATATGGGCTAATAGAAGTGAATATCTGTAATTCGGACTGTCCTGAAAAATCCTGGAGATATGTTGAAGACAGATCCCAGGAGTCATGGTCATTATTCAGTATATATGAGAAGGTACAGAAAGGCTTTATCCTTTCTTTGGATCAGATTCCTTTGATGATCTGTTGAAAACACCGGAACTGCTCCCCAGAAAAATACAGACGCGCAGAGTTTCAGAAAGCAGAACCCCCCTGTTATCTATTTATTTTTCCACAATATCAAAAGCACTTTACAGCTGGTATTGCTGTAAAGAGTTCAGAAAGATGAGGAAGAACCTGAGCTGCCAAGTCAGATGGGAAGAATGGCAAATCAGCTACCAGCTGAAGTTCTTAACACTCTGAAGCCATTCTTAGACGGTTTAAGCCAGTGGGTGCTTTTTGTAGGTTCTCAACGTTTTAAAGTAACATATCCCTTTGATGAGCTGCTTAAGGTATGGGTCAGCTATCTCAAAAATACTCCCACAAACACCCCCACCCTCGCTCCCACCCCACAAATCTGCAAATAATTTCATGGGGTTCATGGACTTGCTAAAGCCCATCCTCCAATACTCGCTTCTGTTTAAGTGCAGACTTCCCAGGGCTCAGCGGAATGCCCTTGATGACCTTTAACAATCACCCTTTTATCATGGGGACAAGAGCGGCCTAGAAGGAGGTTTTTGGAGTCACCAGACCCCCATGGCCCCTCACCAGGCCCCTTCAAGCTCTCCCCTCCCCCACGCCCGCGCAGCGCAGGTGCGAAAACCTTAGGGGCCACCCGGGCGCGACAGCCCCAAAGCGGGGGGGATGGGACCCTGGGAGGGGCGGGGGTGGGGGTGGGGGCCTTCCCGGTGTTGCTTGGTGACCACGCTCTCCGCCCAGACCGTTCCATTTCTTCAGCAGGGGGCGCCCCGGGCCGGGCCGGCACTGACCAGCCTCGCAGAGCCACCCTCTTCCGGCCTGCCCCCCTCTGCCGGGCGATGGTGTGCGCCCGTGACGTCACAGAAGGCGGGGCCAGCGCCGCTGCCGGGTGCTGGAGGCGCCATTGGAGCCGGCTTGGCTGGCGAGCCCGGCTGAGGAGCCTCTTGGGCCGCACTTACCGCCGCGTCCGCTCCCGGTCCCTGGCCCCTCAGCGGCATGGCGTGCGGGGCGACGCTGAAGCGGCCCATGGAGTTCGAGGCGGCGCTGCTGAGCCCCGGCTCCCCGAAGCGGCGGCGCTGCGCCCCTCTGCCCGGCCCCACTCCGGGCCTCAGGCCCCCGGACGCCGAGCCGCCGCCGCCGTTTCAGACGCAGACCCCACCGCAGAGTCTGCAGCAGCCCGCCCCGCCCGGCAGCGAGCGGCGCCTTCCAACTCCGGGTAACCTGCCCTGCTCTGGGTTTGGCAGGAAGCCAGGCCCAGGCATTTTTTGGGGGGGGTGGTGGGGGAGGGTTGGGAATACCAGGCCAGTTTACCCAGGGACCCCTTCTTTGCCTTGAGAAAAGGGAACTGGGATGCCGCTGGGCCTGGTTGCTTCCGGTGATGGGAGGCATCCGGGAGGGGTAATGGGGCCACAGGGTCGGTTTTAGGTTTTCCTGGGGGAGGAGAGCCTGGAGGGGTGGACACCAAGAGGAAGATGGGAATACCTCTGGCCGCTCCGGGCCCTCCCTGTCGCTGAAGCCCCTCCTTCCTCCGCTGGCCGGGTCTGCACCGAGCAACCCTGCAGATCCAGTGGGCCATGGAAAATTGGATTCTACTCACGAACCTGGCCTGGAGGGCGGGGGTGGGATGGGGGCGGGTTACCGGGAAGGGGCGCGAGTGCGTGCTGTTTAGCCCTGTAGGGAGACATGATTTCCAGAAGTCTTTAGGAACCCAGAGGCCGCCGCAAGAGTCACGGAATCCGATTTCAACCTGATAATTTCTAAGGGACTGGCCACGTTCTTTTATTATATGGCTATTGCCTCGTACCATATATGGCTTGAAATCGGTAGATCATTAGCTAGAATTTGAGAATCCTACGACATACGGAGGTTCTACAGAACTAAGAATGTAACTGTCCTTAACAGGGACTCTCCTTCAGTAAGGCGTTCCACTTTGTCCAAGGAAAAGGACTGGCGTTACAGTAGACACCTCATAGCGCAGGAGTAGAGGGGAGGGTGCTTCAGCATTAATATTCTGCGATTTTAAAGGACTTCCGGAAATGAGGGGGGCGTCTCAATAATGGATTTGGGCAAGTCGTTTCTTTGTGTGTTTTTCTATTCCTCAAGCTTAAGCAAAACCTTAGGCTCACCGTAAAATCATCCTTTCCACCCCTTTTCAGTAGCAGTGCCTTCAGGTTTCATTTCCTCCTTCCTCTGCATATCGATCCACAATGCAAATTGCAGGCCCTCATCCTCACACCAAGATTCCTACACCCAGCTAAAGCTGTCCCAGACTTCATATCCTTAACTCGAGTTCACCTTTTTAATCCTAGAATTCAAAGGACTTATGAACTGTGACCATATCTTACCTAGTCAGTCTCTTACACATTTTTTTCAAACTGTGCCTCTGCTTTTTCCCCCAGACCCACCGCTCTGTGCCCTTATCATGTTTTTCCCTTCTATTTGCTAATCCCAAAAGAGTAATTTCAAGTCTCTTATCCATTAGCTGACTAACCTGCCCATAAAAAACGCTGTTCTACTTAAATTCCCCGGCCATTCAATGTTGTATAACCTTATGTACAGGATGAGATAATGTTTGCAAAAGTCCATTTTAAAGAACCCTCAAAGACAGGCGCCATAGATGGCCACTTGCAGTGATGTTTAGTTCTTCCCTAGCTCCTGCAGATACCTAAAGATAGTCCATAATCTTTTTGGGTCTCACTTCTGCAAATTGGAGTTCATACTTGCGCTATCTTTTGTTGAAGAACCCTCAAGATAGTTGCAAAAAGTATTTTGAAAAGTATAAAGTGATGGGTTTAATGTAAATGTTTTATTCAATACTACTATCCTCTAGACTAATTTGGTTGTAGTTCACATTACAGTAGCTGCTTCGTAAGTGATTTTTGGGCTGGGCGAGGTGGCTTATGCCTGTAATCCCAGCACTTCGGGAGGCCATGGTGGGTGGATCAAGAGACCGAGACCATCCTGGCCAACATGGTGAAAACCCTGTTTCTACTAAAAATAGCCGGGCGAGGTTGCGTTGAGCCAAGATCGCGCCACTGCACTCCAGCCTGGCGACAGAGCGAGACTCCATCTTAAAAAAAAAAAAAGTTATTTTTGTTTTGGGGGCAGTGGTGGCATGCACTTGTAATCCCAGCTACTAGGGAAGCTGAGGCAGGAGAATCGTTTGAAGCCGGGAGGCAGAGGTTGCAGTGAGCGGAGATCACACCATTGCGCTCCAGCCTGGGCCACAAGAGCGAAACTCCATCTCAAAAAAAAAAAAAAAAGAGAATGTGGGCAAGGCGTGGTGGCTCACACCTGCAATCCCAGCACTTTGGGAGGCTGAGGCAGGAGGATTGCTTGAGCCCAGGAATTCGAGACAAGTCTGTGCAACATAATGAGACCTTGTTTCCACAAAAGAATTCTAAGGCCGGGCGCAGTGGCTCACTCCTATAATCCCAGCACTTTGGGAGGCGGAGGCGGGCGGATCACCTGAGGTCGGGAGTTCAAGACCACCCTGACACACATGGAGAAATCCTGTCTCTACTAAAAATACAAAATTAGTGGGGCATGGTGGTGCATGCCTGTAATCCCAGCTACTCGGGAGGTTGAGGCAGGAGAATCGCTTGAACCTGGGAGGCGGAGATTGCGGTAAGCCGAGATCCGGCCATTGCACTCCATCCTGGGTGACAAGAGTGAAACTCCATCTCAAAAAAAAAAAAAAGCTAAAAAATTAGCTGGGCAATTTTTCTGAAATCCGAAATGCTGCAAAGTCTGAACTGATCCAAAAATTGAGTGTCAATATGACACTCAAAGGAAATACTTATTCACTGGAGTTTTTCTCATTTGGGGTAAGGGATGTTCAATTGGTAAGTATAATGCAACTATTCCACAATCCAAAACTTCTGTCTCAAGCATTTTGGATGAGGGATGCTCAATCTGTATGGTACTTTTTGTGGAAAGGTCCTGTAAAACTAAGCCTTTTATTGCTTAAATCTTTATTGAGTGCTAGGTGAATTCCAGACATGGAAGAAGGGGGTTGCTGACCGCAGGAAATATTTGTAAACGTAATGTGCAAAGCAATTAACTGATTATGACTTGAGAGTCTGAGAATAACTTCTGAATTAAGGTAGCATTTTAGCTGAGTCTTTTTTTGTTGTTTTTTGAGACAGAGTCACTCTGTTGCCCAGGCTGGAGTGTAGTGGCACGATCTTGGCTCACTGCAACCGCCGTCTCCCATGTTCAAGCGATTCTCCTGCCTCAGCCTCCCCAGTGGCTGGGATTACAGGCATGTGTCACTACGCTCGGCTAATTTTTTTTTTTTTTTTTTTTTTTTTTTTTTTTTTGAGATGACGTTTCGCTCTTGTTGCCCAGGCTGGAGTGCAGTAGCATGATCTCGGCTCACTGCAACTTCCACCTCCCAGACTCAAGCGATTCTCCTGCCTTAGCCTCCCAGAACGCTGGGATTACAGGCGCATGCCACCATTCTCAGCTAATTTTTGTATTTTTAGTGGAGATAGGGTTTCATCATACTGGTCAGGCTGGTCTCAAACACCTGACCTCAGGTGATCCGCCTGCCTCAGACTCCCAAAGTGCTGGGATTACAGGCATGAGCCACCACACCCGGCCTACTAATTTTTGTATTTTTTTTGTCAAGACAGGGTTTCACTGTATTGGCCAAGCTGGTCTCAAACTCCTGACCTCAGGTGATCTGCCCGCCTCGGCCTCCCAAAGTGCTGGGATTGCATGAGCCACTGCGCCTGGCTAGCTGAGTCTTGATCAAGTTTGAGCAATAGTCCCATTTCGAGCACAGGGAAACCATGAGAGCAAAGTCCAAAAAACCCACAATTTAAGGAGAGAATAATGTAATGTAACTAAATTATAGTGGAATCCAGATGGAACCAGGAAAATAAATTGAGGCCACATCTTGGAAAGTATTGACTGCCATGTTCAAGAGTTTGAATTTTGGTTTGTAGCAGTAGGAACACTGTAGAGTTTGGAGGATGGGCTTAGACCGGAAAAAATCTGGCAGCACAACCTCAAGTAATGGAGGGAAGGATTAAAATTATCCACTGTTAAAAAGAAATTTGAGTTTTTCTTTTTAAAAAAATTTTGTGCTTTATATGGCCTTCTACAGAAGAAAATCATGTCTAACTTTCTTATTTTTCTCCCATGGATACCGTGTTTAGATTCTTGGACTTCTTAGTCCTACCACCCTCAAAATTGTATCTTTCCATTTGTTAACATTGCCATACAGGAGGCAGAGGTTTATCAAAGACCTTCTGTTCTCTTAAGCGTTGTCCTCATACTTGTCCTTTCTTGTTTCAAGTATTTGCAGTTCTTATCCTTGTATTGGCTCTGGCTTGAGGAATAAGACATCTTAAAATACAGGGGGCTAGCGGTGGCTCACGCCTGTATTCCCAGCACTTTGGGAGGCCGAGGCGGGCGGATCAGCTGAGGTCAGGAGTTTGAGACCAGCCTGGCCAACATTGTGAAACTCTGTCTCTACTAAAAATACAAAAAATTAGGTGGGTGTGGTGGCGGGCTCCTGAAATCCAAACTACTCTGGAGGCTGAGGCAGGAGAATTGCTTGAACCTGGGAGGTAGAGGTTGCAGTGAACTGAGATTGTGCTATTGCACTACAGCCTGGGCGACAGGGTAAGACTCTCTTAAAAAATAAAGTGAGGTGAAAACTTAATAAATTCAGGAATCTAAAATACAAACTTCATAGCACTGTTTTGTTTTGTTTTTTGAGACAGTGTCTTACTCTGTTGCCCAGGCTGGAGTCCAATGGGGTGATCTCGGCTCACTGCAATCTCCACCTCCTGGGTTGAAGCAATTCTCCTGCCTCAGCCTCCCAAGTAGCTGGGATTACAGGTGCGCACCACCATGCCCAGCTAATTTTTGTATTTTTAGTAGAGATGGTTTCGCCATGTTGGTCAGGCTGGTCTCGAACCTCAGGTGATCCACCTGCCTAGGCCTCCCAAAGTGCTGGGATTACAGGCGTGAGCCACCATGTACAGGCTTTTTTTCTTTTTTTTAATACTGGGTCTCGTTATGTTGCCCAGGCTGGCCTCAAGTGATCCTCCCACCTTGGCCTTCCAAAGTGCTGGATTACAGGCATGAGCCACAGTGCCTGGCCCATAGCACTCTTGTTTTTTTGTTTTGTTTTTCTATTTTTTTTTTGAGGCAGAGTCTTGATTGTGTTTCCCAGGCTGGAGTGCAGTGGCACAATCTCGGCTCAGTGCAACCTCCACCTCCCCGGTTCAAGAGATTCTCCTGCCTCAGCTTCCTGAGTAGCTGGGACTACAGGCACGTGCCACCACGCCTGGCTAAATTTTTTTATTTTTAGTAGAGACGGTGTTTCACCATGTTAGCCAAGATAGTCTCGATTTCATGACCTTGTGATCTGCCTGCCTCAGCCTCCCAAAGTGCTGGGATTACAGGCATAAGCCACCATACCCAGCTGGCCCATAACACTCTTAAAGCATCTCCTACATTGTTCTAGTATTTAGGCTGAAAGTTAGGGACTTTGACTATGTGTGGAACCACTTGAATTCATGTCAGTTCCTGGACTGTACTGTCACTTGTTATGACATTATTGTTACCTTTAGTTTTTATTTTTACAACCTTATCAGGTAGGTATTTAATGTTTACATTGAAGAAGTAAAGATCCTGAATAACTTCTCAAGGTTATAGTCACACAGCTAGTAAGAAGCAAAGTGGCATTGTTAATACCTCCCACCATTAAAAAAAAAAAGGTGGTTATAGCAAAGTATACACTAGAATAATTTGAGTTGTTTGAGATGGATACAGGTATCTCTTTTTTTAAATTAGTAGGTACAAACAAAGAACTTGAAAACCACATCCTTTTAGATTCTTTGTTGTTTCTAGGAGTGTATTTCAAGGTGGTTAGTAATTTGTGTTTCCTGGGCTCCCTTTAATAGTGTTAGCAAATTTGCTTTGTGATTACCTTGACTTATAATCTCCCCACACACTGAGTTGCCTCTTAGGATCAGAAAATTATTTTCTAAGCCCTGACCATCACTTCTAGGCATTAAATCTCAGTTCTTTCCTTGGTCGATGTCCACACTGTAAACATAATGGTTTCTGCTGCCCCCTTTCCCAAAGTTTATTTTGATTTGTTTTTTAGATAAATCACCCAGGCTCCCTTGTGGTTTTTTTTTGAGACGAGATTTTGCTGTGTTGTTCAGGCTAGTCTCCTGGGCTCAAGGGATCCTCCCGCCTCCCCCTGCAGAGTAGCTGGGATTACACCCAGCTTTGGAGCCACCACTTCCAGCTCCAAAGATGCTTTTTTAAAGTCCCATATGGGACAAGAGCTTCCTTGTTAGAAGGTCTTGGGCAGTATGAGACTCACCCCTTAATACCCTAGGTTGTGAAATTGCGAAATTTAAAGGAGATTAAAAAATAATCCCTGTTAGGTAAACAGAGGTTTCTTTTACTGTAAATTGTACTAGTTAACCATCCAGCTAACTGCAGATCTTGTGTTCTTTGCCACAGGAAAACAAGTAAAGGGAACTCTGTCTGGTTTATGCCAAAGTAGCTATTCTTTTATGCATTGTTGAAATAGTGGCAATAAGAACATACTGTCTTTGAAGCCACTGGGGAGTGCTTGGTACGGTATAAACGTTTTGCTTGTTTATGTCGGGGGAGGGGGAGATTGAGACCTACATGCCAAAGGGAGTATCTAAAGTCTAGTCAGAAGATCTTTGTCTCTTCCCACTTCTGAAGAAAGTTTGAAGAAATGAGACAATAAAGTGAAAGCTCAAGTTTGTTTCTTTTTTATTAGAGCAAATTTTTCAGAACATAAAACAAGAATATAGTCGTTATCAGAGGTGGAGACATTTAGAAGTTGTTCTTAATCAGAGTGAAGCTTGTGCTTCGGAAAGTCAACCTCACTCCTCAGCACTCACAGCACCTAGCTCTCCAGGTAAGCCCACTTTGATCTGCAAAATTCGCATTAAGAGTTTGTAAATGGTACTTATAATGATGAATCTAGAATTGGCCTCCTCTAATGTAATAGAATTGCTAACGGGGATGTATTAATATTTACAGATATTTTTAAAACTATACAGTCATGAAATTGGAAGAAACCTCACATTGATTTGATGTGCTTCCATCCACCCAATACAAGAATATCTTCCTGTATAACTGCAATGTGTAATATTGTAGCCAGGGTGCAATAAATAGCCACATGTGGGCTATTTAATTTTAAACTAATTAAAATTAGATAAAATTTTGGCCGGCTGAGGTGGCTCATGCCTGTAATCCTAGCACTTTGGGAGGCTGAGGCAGGCGGATCTCCTGAGGTCAAGAGTTCAAGACCGGCCTGGCCAACATGGCAAAACCTCATCTCTACTAAAAATACAAAAAAATTAGCCAGGCATGGTGGCTCGCAGCTGTAATCCCAGCTACTCGGGAGGCTGAGGTTGCAGTGAGCTGAGATGACACCATTGTACTCCAGCCTGGGTGACAGAGTGAGTCTCTGTCTCAAAAAAAAAAAAAGTTTTTTTAAAATTCTGTTCCTCAGGTTCAGTAGTCACATTTCAGGTACTCATTAGCCACATATGGCTGTTGTATTGTACATGCAGTTACGAGATATTTCCATAATTGCAGAAAGCTCTGTTCAACAGGGGCTGCTCATTATTGACAAATGGTCAAAGAGGATGTGCTAAAAAATAGAATCTCAAGGTTGGAGACAGTCTTCATGGTCATGTAGTGACTCAGTTTTGCCTGCCATATTGCCTCCTGTTGGGGTTCAACAGCCCAGTGTTTGACCATCTCCAGTGGTGGTGAAATCTGTCTCCTTTAACAGTAGAAGAGTCTTATTTCCTCACAAAGTATTCTACTTAACAGTTCTAAAGGTTAAAAGTTACCTTGGTTAAAAAATGTCTCCTTACAAAATATAAACTGGGGTTTGCCCGGAATTAGGGTTAGGGGAGAATGAGGAGATATTGCTTGATGGGTAAGGGGTTTTAGTTTTTGTAGTGATGGAAGTGTTCTGGAACTAGAAGTGGTGGTAGTAGTGTAACATTTTGATTATGCTAAATGCCACTGACTTGTTTGCTTTAAAGTGATTACTTTTATGTTACGTGACTTTTACCTCAACAAATTATTATTTTTTAATCCAGAGTTCCTGGCTCTGGAACTGCACCCTTTCTGATTGCTCTTGCACATACATGATAAACCTGTCAGTGGTTACAACTAGCACTATTCTCTTGAGATTTCAGTAATATAATTTTAAAGTAATGGGATATGTTATGGTTAACAAAACAGTTACAAATAATGACTAGTGAGATGTTTTGGTTAGATTTTATTTGTAGAGAAAAAAATATCCTTGAGTTAGTTTAAGCAAAAAATTGTTTCAGTGTGTTAAATGGCTTACTGGCTAACAAATGGCCAAAGAAACAGATTTTAGCCTGAGCTTTGAGGAACACCTGAGAACAGGGCTGCTGCCCATGTTTTTTTGTTTTGTTTTGTTTTTTTGTTTTTGTTTTTTGTTTTTTGTTTTTTTGGGTTTTTCTTGAGATTTGCTCTGTCGCCCAGGCTGGAGTGCAGTGGCGTCATCTCAGCTCACTGGAACCTTCACCTCCCAGGTTCAAGCAATTCTTCTGTCTCAGCCTCCCGAGTAGCTGGGACTACAGGCGCCCACCAGCATACCCAGCTATTTTTTTGTATTTTTAGTAGAGGCGGGATTTCACCATGTTGGCCGGGCTGGTCTCGAACTCCTGACCTCAAGTGATCAACCCGTCTTGGCCTCCAAAGTGCTGGGATTACAGGCGAGAGCCACCATGCCTGGCCAGGGCTGCTGCTTTTATCATGATCAGAAAGCCACTTGTGGGATTTGTTCACTTGCCAGCTCCAGAACCAGGCTGGTAGAAGCTTATCCCTGTGACTTATCTCTGTACTGAATTCAAATCTTCTGTGAGTGAACCTGATTAGGAGAACCTTTTTTTTCTTTTTCTTTTTTTTTTTTTTTTTGAGTCCGTTTTGCTCTTGTTGCCCCGTTTGGAGTGCATGCAGTTGTGTGATCTCGGCTCACTGCAATCTCCGCCTCTCAGGTTCAAGCGATTCTCCTTTCTCAGCCTCCCAAGTAGCTGGAATTACAGGTGCCCATCACCACGTCCAGCTAATTTTTTGTATTTTAAGTAGAGACAGGGGTTTCTCCATGTTGGTCAGGCTGGTCCCGAACTCCCAACCTCAGGTGATCCGCCCACCTCGACCTCCCAGAGTGCTGGGATTACAGGCATGGCCACTGCGCCCGGCCTTTTTTTCTTTTTTCTTTTTTTTTTGAGATGGCGTTTTACTCTTGTTGCCCAGGCTGGAGTGCAGTGGCACAATCTTGACTCACTGCAACCGCCACCTCTCGGGTTCAAGCAATTCTTCTGCCTCAGCCTCCCGAGTAGCTGGGATAATGGGCATGCCCTACCACGCCCAGCTAATTTTGTATTTTTAGTAGAGACTGGGTTTCTCCACGTTGTCAGGCTGGTCTCCACCTCAGATGATCCGCCTGCCTTGGCCTCCCAAAGTGCTGGGATTATAGGTGTGAACCACCGCACCTGGCCCAAACTCACTTTTTCTTTTGGCCAGGTTCCTCATGGATGAAGAAGGACCAGCCCACATTTACCCTCCGACAAGTTGGCATAATATGTGAGCGCCTCTTAAAAGACTATGAAGATAAAATTCGGGAGGAGTATGAGCAAATCCTCAATACCAAACTAGCAGGTAGGCCCAGGCAGTGACTGCCATTGTCATTAACAGGGTTCAGTTAAAAATTAACACCAGTTAAATAACTTAGAAAAAGAGAGTAGGACCTCATGCAAGGGAGTTTATTGAGTTGCGGGTATGGAAGTTACTCTTTGGTGATTGTAAACACATCATTTATACATTATATGGAAGGACTTTTTTTTTTTTTTTTTTTTGGGACAGAGTTTTGCTCTTATTTTCCAGGCTGACACCACAACCTCCGCCTGCCAGGTTCTAACGATTCTCCTGCCTCAGCCTCCAGAGTAGCTGGGATTACAGGCATGCGCCACCATGCCTGGCTAATTTTTTTGTATTTTTAGCAGAGAGGGGGCTTCTCCATGTTTGTCAGGCTGGTCTCAAACTCCTGACCTCAGGTGATCCGCCCACCTTGACCTCCCAAAATGCTTGGATTACAGGCGTGAGCCACCGCGCCTGGCCAAGACTTTGTTTTTTAAATAGAGGCAAGGTTTTGCTGTGAGCCCAGCTCTAGGAGTCTCCAGCTCCAGGCCTCAAGAAGTACTCCACCTCAGCTTCCCAGAGTGCTGGCATTACAGGAGTGCTACACACCTTGCCCAGTGGGAGGGATTTTTCATTTGCATTTCTGAAAAGAAACAAACCAAGCTCTTGCAAGAATTTTCCATATCAATGAAGGCATTGAGTAGGCCATTTGGGCTAGCTGGCTGGTAAACAGATGGTTGTGATACTGTACTAAACTCTCAACAGGTGTTGTGGAAGAGTTCAGTAACATATTCAAACTTCCTAGTTAAGAAGTCATAGTTATGGATGTGGCGAGTTGGGTGTGATTTGGGAGGAACAGTAGAGTAAAAGCAAGGCTAGGGCAGGTTAGAACAAAGATAGTGATTAATGATGGCAACAATTAAAGCCTTTTGTGAAAGAAAGAGATCTGAATCAGAAATAGGAAATAGTACCTGTTTAGTGAAAGTGGATAATATTCCACATTAAACCACAGTACTCTATGTCAAGCACAAATCTCATCATACTCCTTTTCTGATTAAAGTCCTCAGCTGTACCCTATGGGATATAGGTCAAGATCTGTTGCTTAGGGTGACAGTGTGAGTAATTAAGAAATTTATGGGCAGCTTTCATGCTTTGCTGCTGTGTAATCATCAGAGAGTGAAGAAGCACAACTTTTTCCTGTAACACTATTGTTTCCTAGTCTGGTGACCCATACAACGTGGTTCCTCAGAATATTAATAGATCTGTTTTACATTGGGAGCTGTTGGGTTAAGCAAAGTTAAATGAGTTCCTTTATAGTAGAACTACTTTGATCCTTTAATATGTATTATAAGAAGAAGGTCTAGGCCGGGCGCAGTGGCTCACGCCTGTAATCCCAGCACTTTGGGAGGCCGAGGCGGGCAGATTACAAGGTCAGGAGATCGAGACCATGCTGGCTAACACGGTGAAACCCCGTCTCTACTAAAAATACAAAAAATTAGCCGGGCATGGTGGTGAGCACCTGTAGTCCCAGCTACTCGGGAGGCTGAGGCAGGAGAATGGCGTGAATCGGGGAGGCAGAGGTTGCAGTGAGCCAAGGTTGCGCCACTGCACTCCAGCCTGGGTGACAGAGTGAGACTCCATCTCAAAAAAAAAAAGAAGAAGCTCTAATATATCATTCCCTCTCCCACTCCCACCATAATACTGTTTCAGTCAGCTGGTTCTGAGTCACTTCTTTGTTCACAGATGTCAGGCTACCTTCTTCCTTTCTACTCAGTTTCCCCTTAAAAGGTGGTACTTCTGTGGAACTGTTTGCAGTTAGATGGTATAGATTTTCACTTAGCTTTCTAGCCATCCCACACTTCTTCCACTCATGTTTTTCACTCAATGTGTGTTGAAATTTATAACAAGGAAAGAGTTTCAAAGATTCATGTCCCATGGGAGATGGGCTGAAATTTCCTGGCTATGGTAGTGAGCTATTAATAGGAGATAGAGTTATGTCACGGGGGAGAGGTTATCAGGAAAATACCATTATATACCATCAGTGACCCATTCTAGAAGCCAAGGATTTGGCTCTGGGTTCTAAGAGGAACAGATCTCAGTGACCTTTATATAAGGTCACTGGACTTTAATACAAGGACCTTTATAAAGAGGGCCTGAGAGGGTGAAGAATTCAAACTGGGAAGCTATTTGTGATCCTGACGCTTGATTCTTAAAAATTGAGGGAGAGTTGCTGAGGATAAGTATGTACTGTCTTCTCACAGAACAATATGAATCTTTTGTGAAATTCACACATGATCAGATTATGCGACGGTATGGGACAAGGCCAACAAGCTGTAAGTATTGCCACATTTTCTTTGAATTTTCTAAGTTTCAAGAGCAAAATTTCTACACTGAAACTTCTCTCCTCAGAGTAAAAAGTCCCTGTGAAGTAAAATGTGCCCAGCACTATGCTAAGAGTATTAAATCCACACCAAAGCTTATATAAGCCTCACAGTGACCCTATGAGGGAGTACTATTATTAGCTCCATTTTACTGGTAAAGATAGCATTTAAAGAGGTTAAATAATTTGCCCAAGCTTATACAGCTAGTGGTTCAGCTAGGATTAAAATCTAGGTAGTCTGACTTGAGCACCAATTTGTTACCTGTCTTTTCTCCAGAAAGATAGTTTCAGTTGTTAATTTATGAAAGTTGATTCCTTAAGTTAGTTTATCAAGTGTGGTCAGGATTTCTTATTCTAAATAATTTGCAACTACCAGATATTCAAAGCATAAAATATTAACAGTTGTATATCTAACTGAATTTCAGTCAGGTTCCTTAAATTCTTGATCTTTAGTATCTTTTAAGTGGTGAGTCATCGTTCATGCTATTTCTCACATTTACTGTTAGTGAAAATTTTTAAAGCATGACACTACAGTTTTTAGTATTCTTACCCTTTTTGTTTTTTATTCTTAATTTACAGATGTGTCATGAAGCTTTGTCACATATCTGGGTACCAGGTTTGACCTCAAGAGATGGCTGCTGTACACTTTTTGCAACTGGTTTGATGTCACATTTCAGCTCCAACTTTGCATCCTGAGAACACTTAAACGTTTCTGCAGGTCCATTTTATACAACTTGAAAGACCGTAAAACTTTCTGGTTGCCACAAGCATATCTTTCTTTTCTGCTCATCCAATAAACAGCTGTGCCCTACTGTGATAGATTTTCCAAACAAAAATACCTGGAGCAGCAGTTTAGCAAAATATGCCTTCAGTGGCATTCAACAAATGGAGTTTCCCCAAGCACAGTTCTGTAAGAAGTGCGTGTGAGAGTGTGTGTATATGTGTGTATGTGTATTTTAAGTTATTATTTGTATTGTGCAAAAATTTTTTTTTGATCTTGGGGATTCTGGCTGTGAATTTGGTGCACGACAATTATGGTAAAAAAACATTTGCTTGGTCTAAAGAAGATCATTAATGTTTTGTGACCATACAAGTTGTAACAGTGGATTGTTTTTATGTGTAGGTATTGTTAAATACAGGGACTGTTTCCAGGCACAGAATATGAATCGTAAGTTAGGATGGACATTAGATGTGATTATGATGATAAAGCGAAGGTCTGCGGTCCTATATCTACAGACACGTGGTGAGAAATTAGAACAAACTGGAGACGGGCCATTGACACATGGACTCTGCCTGGGCATGTTAGGTTAATTCTTTGACTCCAAGCCTTAAAATACTCACATGGAGTCAGCGCTCACCTCATTCACACAATTATCATAGAGCTCCCTGGACACTGAACCTCTAAAGGGAAAAGGTCTACCCTGGAGCCAGGAGCATCAGGGTTGGCTTGGGAGCATGAGAGGTGAGCCCAGGGCTAGGCCTGGGCCAGGCCCCGGCAGCACTGCTACTTGGGAGGAGCCACTTCACCTTTGTATTAGTTATTAAAAAATATAATTTGGGCTGGGCGCAGTGGCTCACGCCTGTAATCCCAGCACTTTGGGAGTCCGAGGCATGCGGATCACTTGAGGTCAGGAGTTCGAGACCACCCTGGCCAATATGGTGAAACCCCATCTCTACTAAAAATACAACAAAGTTAGCCGGGCGTGGTGGCAGGCGTCTGTAATCCCAGCTGCTTGGGAGGCTGAGGCAGGAGAATCACTTGAACCCTGGAGGTGGCGGTTGCAGTGAGCACAGATCATGCCACTGCACTCCAGCCTGGGCAACAAAACGAGACTTCGTCTCAAAAAAAAAAAAAAAACATAGAATTTGGATCCTTTGGTCGGGTTCTCCCAAATTCTTTTGAGGTGTCCATGGTCAACTGCTTCAGCTTTGTTTTGGCAACCCCCTGCCCGAAGTCGCATATAGGCTGTTCTTCACCTTGTTTCCAAGGCTGAGGAACAGAAAGTAGCCTCTGTTTTGAGGAGGTGGAAGTTAAGTATACATTTATTTTTTACTGTGACTTGTTCAGGACCACATTTTACAAAATGCCTTGTTTCCTTCATTGTTTCTGGAAAGGAAAGTTCTATTAATATTGTTTTACTTTGAATATAGAATAGTTTTTTTAATTAGGGCTTATTTTGAAAAATTCTGAGTTTAATTCAAATGTATGCCAATACCTTCCAAAGTAAGGTAATATTCAGAGACAGTTGTTGTGATCAGATGGCTTAGAGAAATTTCTGGAATATTCACATTCGAAGATTCCTTATTAATGAATGTCTTTGACTTAAATCTAACCAAAAACTGCAACATTATTCTTTGTACATTTTCATTATATAGTGTTAACAAGCTTAGTTGCAAACAAATAAAATACTTAAGCTATTTGTTTACCTTGCCTTCTTAATACTGTGATAATGTTTATTAATTCAAATAACTTATGTGAGAGCTGCTATAACCATTTCCCCAGTTCAACATTGCATTGAAAATTTATGGACCTTTAAAAAAAAAAGCCCAACAGTGATTTTTTTTTAATAATTAAAGAATGATTTTACTTTGTATTTGAAGGGTGATTTGTTTCATCTCTTCTTTTTTCAGGGTAGTCACTTGTTCCTAAAAGAGGAACATAGCAGTGGCTGTAATGGGAATGGCTCTGCAGTGGGCTAGTCACACCAAAATAAAGAAAGGGCAGCTGTGGGAGCCATCAGAAGCTGTGGAGGCTGGACTGGTAATGGGGAATGCTGCCCCACTGAAGTCTTGTTTTAGAGATCAGTGTGATGTGCTCACTTAACTATAAAGTGTCAGTCCCCATTCCAACTAAGTGGCTCCTGGCTGGGAAGTAGAGTAGGTTTCTCTAAGGAAAATGACACCTGCTCACCACCCGCCCCACTATACCACATTGTTGTTAGGCTATCATATAATGATAAGGTAGCCCTCTGAGGCCACAAGGTAAGACCAAACCACCAGGGCTGGGTTTTGGGATCCCCTCTAAAGAGACCACACATGTTTGTTTAGTGTTTATAATCTAGAGAAAAGACAACTGGGACAGAAAATGGGGACCTGGAAGGTAGGTCTCAGACTGGTGAATGAATTTTTCCCTAGACCTTGATTTCCAGAGCTTGAATTTAAGGGCACTCCCAGGTAGAGAAATGTCTTTGTCCCATGGAAATTATAGACCAAGGAAGACGTCAACCTATAAAAACGTATAAGGGTTTCTCAGGAACAGTGTTTTCAGAATATCTGGTGAGCTAGCTAATTTTTTTCTCTATTTTAATTCCAGTTATTATCCTTGATAAAGTCTTAAGCTTAAGAGGAAAAAGTAAGTGTCCATCCTTGGGTCAGAAGTTAAAAGGAAGATCAGAGCTCCTAAGGCAGTGATAATTGTTAAGATCTTCCAAAGGGGAAGACCATCAGAGAGTACAAGAATTTAAGCCAGCGGGTGGCGCACGCCTGTAATCCCAGCACTTTGGAAGGCTGAGGGGCAGATCACCCGAGGTCTGGAGTTTGAGACCAGCTTGACCAACATGGTGAAACCCCATCTCTACTAAAATACAAAAATTAGCTGGGCGTAGTGGCGGGCGCCTGTAATCTCAGCTACTTGGAAGGCTGAGGCGGGAGAATCAACCTGAAACCATGAGGCGGAGGTTGCAGTGAGCCGAGATTGTGCCATTGCACTCCAGCCTGGCAACAGAGTTAAGACTATGTCTCAAAAAAAAAAAAGGATTTAAGCCAATCTTTCAAACCTGGTGAATCTTCTTACCATGGAGGATTGGTTGGCTAGCATAGTAAAGGACTGACTGCGTGGTTGTAGCTCTGTAGTTTGGTTTCTTCTCTGCCACTAATTTGGTTATGTCAGCCTTGCCAGATTACTAAACTTGCTGAAACATGGCTTGCTTACCTGTAAAATCGAGGTTAATAGTAGGTTCATATTGGGTTTTGTTTTCAAATGCAAGAAATCATCCATGTAAAGAAAGTATTTAGCACAGCTTAGGGCATAGACTATGCACTTTACAATGTTAGAGCAGGTTTCTTTATAGTAGTCTTCGTCAGACCTGGAGACCCAAACTTTTGTGTCCCAAGTAGTGATTCTCAGCTTTCCAATATGAATAGCCCCTTGTTAACATAAAGATCTCACTTTTTCTTATTAGAATTTGTACCTTTGTTTGATTAAGGAAATAAAAGATGAATGACAAATGAATTTGGTAATGCCTTTCTGTGAATCTGTATTCAGTATGTTTTGTATGTTAATATAGCAGGGTCATACAAAAACTGGCCTATTTTTGTAAAGTTTTGTAGAAACACTGCTACACCTATTCATTTGTCTGTGGCAGTTTTCACACTAACTCCAGACTTGAGTAGAGTAGGTGCTACAAAGACCAAAGCATGGGCCACAGAGCTGAAAATACTTACTCTGTGTCCTTTTACAGAAAAGTGTGCTGGCCTTTGCACTAAAGCATGAAGAAACATTTGGGAAAAAGCACACAGGCTGGGCACGGTGGCCCATGCCTGTAATCCCAGCACTTTGGGAGGCCGAGGCGGGCAGATCACCTGAGAATGGGAGTTCAAGACCAGCCTGGCCAACATGGAGAAATCCCATCTCTACTAAAAATGCAAAATTAGCCGGGCGTGGTGGTGCATTCCTGTAATCCCAGCTACTTGGAAGGCTGAGGCAGGAGAATCACTTGAACTTGGGAGGTGGAGGTTGAGGTGAGCCGAGATCACACCATTGCACTCCAGCCTGGGCAACAAGAGCAAAACTCTGTCTCAATTAAAAAAAAGAAAAAAGAGCAACAAACAAGGCAAAGTTACTTCATTTATAATCCTTGTTGCATCATGAGTTGGTCAACACTTACCCTAATTTGTCATTCTTAAGGCTGTTATACCTTAAGTTGAGGTGTGATGAAAATACCCTTTTTGCTTACAAATAAAAACTGATTGCCAAAGTAAGTATGTCACAGAAAAAGCTATTGAACAACTGTTTAGAGCAATGATTCTCAAGGATGGGGACACAGAGCATACTATTTGGGGAGGGAAAAAGATTTGAAATGACCAATTTTATTTCAAGCATTTTTAATTTTGGAATTTTAGGTACAAAAATGGGTGTGAGAATTTTGTTTAACAGAAAATAGCATGGCTTTAAAATAGTTTGTAAAATACTGTTCTTAAGGAACAGAGTGTAATAGTGCCCATGGGCTATTAAAAAGGAACAGAAACTTCTCTACTACTCTGGAGTCCTTTGTTGAAAACAGATTGAGGGAGTGCTGTAGTCTTCCAGAGCTACAGTTAAACTGGATAAGGTTGGACACCTGGAAAAAAGCGTACATTAACCCACCCTAAACCATACTTTTTTTTTTTCTTTTTTTTGAGATGAAGTTTCATTCTTGTTGCCCAGGCTGGAATGCACTGGTGCAATCTCGGCTCACTGCAACTTCCGTCTCCCGGGTTCAAGTGATTCTCCTGCCTCAGCCTCCCAAGTAAGTGGGATTACAGGCATGCACCACCACGCCCAGCTAATTTTGTATTTTTAGTAGAGACGGGGTTTTACCATGTTGGTTGGGTGGGTCTTGAACTTCTGACCTCGTGATCCACTCGCCTTAGCCTCCCAAAGTGCTGGGATTACAGGTGTGAGCCACCGCACCTGGCCACCAAACCATACTTTCAAGTAAATAATTAGCACTTTATTGTACTGAAGGTGTGATATTTTGACAATTTAAAGTTCTGGTCTTCATGGGTCTTTGTTTCGTTTTACTTATTGCTGTATCTAATATCTCCTTTTTTTTTTTCTTTTTTGAGACAGAGTCTCAGTCTGTCACCCAGGCTGGAGTGCAGTGGCGCAATTTCAGCTCACCGCATCCTCCGCCGCCTGGGTTCAAGCAGTTCTGCCTCAGTCTCCTGAATAGCTTGGATTACAGGCGCCCGCCACCACGCCTGGCTATTGTATTTTTCAATAGAGAAGGGGTTTCATCATATTGGCCAGACTGGTCTCAAACTTCTGACCTCGTGATCCACCCGCCTCAACCTCTGAAAGAGCTGGGATTACAGACGTGAGCCACCGCGCCCTGTGTAGTATCTCATTTTATGCCTGGTTATCTGTGAGCTGGACAGTATATTTGAAAAATTACGGTGGGCATGGTGGCTCAGGCTGGGTGCGGTAGCTCACGCCTGTAATCCCAGCACTTTCGGAGGCC
Source organism: Homo sapiens (assembly GCF_000001405.40). Classification (NCBI taxonomy): domain Eukaryota; kingdom Metazoa; phylum Chordata; class Mammalia; order Primates; family Hominidae; genus Homo; species Homo sapiens. Next base: position 39,009,687 of record NC_000001.11, read on the forward strand.
AAGGTGGGCAGATCATGAGGTCAGAAGTTTGAGACCAGCCTGGCCAATATAATGAAACCCCGTCTCTACTAAAAATACAAAAAATCAGCCGGGCGTGGTGGCGGGCGCCTGTAATCCCAGCTACTAGGGAGGCTGAGCCAGGAGAATCACTTGAACCCAGGAGGAGGAGGTTGCAGTGATTCAAGATTGCATACCATTGCACTCCAGCCTAGGCAACAAGCAAATCTCCATCTCAAAAAAAAAAAAAATTATTATTTGCAGGAGTGAACAGGACAAGAATGAGGGTATCTATCTCTAAGAAGGATTTATGTTGCCTGTGGCTGAGGATACTACCAAATCATCTGATGCAGGTTTCAGAAGGCTGAAAGTACCTCAGGTCATCCAGATTAAATATAACCTGGTGGCAAGTCCACTTGAGAACTGGTTTACTTTTTTTGTTTGGTTTTGTTGTTGTTTTTTGAGACGGAGTCTCACTCTTGTCACCCAGGCTGGAGTGCGGTGGCACGATCTCGGCTCACTACAATCTCTGCCTCCCGGGTTCAAAGGATTCCCCTGCCTCAGCCTCCGGAATAGCTAGGATTACAGGCATGTGCCATCAAGCACAGCTAATTTTTGTATTTTTAATAGAGACAGGGTTTCACCATGTTGGCCAGGCTGGTCTTGAACTCCTGACGTCAGGTGATCTGCCTGCCTCGGCCTCCCAAAGTACTGAGATTACAGGAGTGAGCCACCACGCCTGGCCGAGAAATGGTTTACTTTTGATTCACCTTTATCTTAAAGGTGTAATTCTTTGGGATCCCAATTTAAGGTGTCTGTGGTGAGAATTCCCACCATTAGCTAGCCTTAGGTTTTGACTTTTGTCCAGTCCTTTGAGGCTGCTGAAAGACTTCTAAAAGTGCAGCTCAGGTGTCCAAGAACTTCTTCCAGATTGGCAAATGCCTTAAAGGAAAAAGCAGCTCTGACTGTTAGGCTTAGCTCTGCTTTCTCCTCACTTAGACTTTGGTTCAGTTCTTCCTTATTAGCTGGTTAGCTTTTTGATGCCTTTAAGAGAATGACGGGCTGGGCATGGTGGCTCACGCCTGTAATCCCAACACTTTGGGAGGCTGAGGTGGGAGGATCATTTGAGACCAGCCTGGGCAACATCAGAAGAACCTGCCTTTGCAAAAAATAAACTCAAAAAATCAGCCAGGTGTGGTGGCACACACCTGTGGTCTCAGCTTCTCTGGAGGCTGAGGTGGAAGAATCACAAGCCTGGGAGGTTGAGGCTGCTGTGAGCCATGATTGTGCCATAGCACTCCAGCTTGGGTGACAGAGCAAGACTCTTGTCTCAAAAAACTATATATATATATATAATTTTTTTTTAACTGCTTTTTTTTTTGAGGTGGAGTTTTGCTGTTGTCGCCCAGGCTGGAGTGCAGTGGCATGATCTCTGCTCACTGCAACCTCCGCCTCCCGGGTTCAAGTGATTCTCCTGCCTCAGCTTCCCCAAGTAGCTGGGATTACAGGCACCTGCCACCACACCTGGCTAATTTTTGTATTTTTAATAGAGACGACATTTCACCATGTTGGCCAGGCTGGTCTCGAACTCCTGACCTGAGGCGATCCACCCGCCTTGGCCTCCCAAAGTGCTGGGATTACAGGTGTGAGCCATCGCGCCCAGCCATTTTCATTGCTTTTTAGTTGGCTTTGTCAGTAGGTTTTTCTATTTATTTTTTAGAGATGGTCTCGCTCTGTTGCCCTTGTTGGAGTGTGGTGGTGCAATCATAGCTCACTGCAGCTCAAGCGACTCCCCCACCCTTGGCCTCCCAAAGTGCTGAGATTACAGGTGTGATCTCCCAGATTTTATTTTTTTAAATTTAGGGTGACCGTCACCCATGGCATGGCCCTCATGAGGTCATGTGCCCTCAGGTGGATCCAGATTTTCTTTTTCTTTTTTTTTTTTTTTTTTTTTTGAGACGGAGTCTCGCTCTGTCACCCAGGCTGGAGTGCAGTGGCGCAATCTCAGTTCACTGCAAGCTCCACCTCCTGGGTTCACGCCATTCTCCCGCCTCAGCCTCCCCAGTAGCTGGGACTATAGATGCCCGCCACCACGCCTGGCTAATTTTTTTTTGTATTTTTAGTAGAGACGGGGTTTCACCGTGATAGCCAGGATGGTCTCGATCTGGCCTCGTGATCCGCCTGCCTCGGCCTCCCAAAGTGCTAGGATTACAGGCGTGAGCCACCGCGCCCGGCCAAGTGGATCCAGATTTTCTAATGCTCCATTTCTAGGAGTGAAATTACCTATATTTCTTGTCTCATCAGGGCTTTCATTAGTTGATGAAGGCTGTTAACCTGCCAACCTGCCTTGCTACCCAACATGCCTTCTTGTTAGTTAAACATAAGTAGGAAAAGACATGTTTATGTTGGCTTTGAGTGTTAATCATTCAGCAAGTATTACTGGTGTCTTCTGTGTTCTTTATTTCTGGAGGAATGATATTTGAGTTTTTAAAGCCTGACAAGTTCTGTAAATGGCCCTAGCCCTTCTGTCTTATAACGCTAGTACCCAATTTAGAGTTTAACATAAATAAATAGTCAACTGAATCTACTGAGAAGGGACTCGGTCTAGCAAGAGACATAAGCAGGCAAGGTAAAAGTTGGCAAGTGTTGTGTGACTGGTACAGGTAGTAGACTGAGGAGAGGGCGATTCTGATCAGGGAAGGCTTCATTGGAGGAGGTAGGGTTGAAACGTTCAAAGAATGAATGAGGCCGGGTGTGGTGGCTCACACCTGTAATCCCAGCACTTTGGGAGGCCGAGGTGGGCAGATCACAAGGTCAGGAGGTCGAGACCATCCTGGCTAAGATGGTGAAACCCCCATCTCAACTAAAAATACAAAAAATTAGCCAGGCGTGGTGGCGGGCGCCTGTAGTCCCAGCTACTCGGGAGGCTGAGGCAGGAGAATGGCATGAACCCAGGAGGCGGAGCTTGCAGTGAGCCGAGATCACGCCACTGCACTCCAGCCTGGGCGACAGAGCGAGACTCTGTCTCAAAAAAAAAAAAAAAAAAAAGAATGGGCTCAGGTAGGTGAAAGTAGGGATAGTAATGGGAAACCGTGGTGGTATGCAGAGAGGACATTCTCATTTAGCAAGAGTGGAAAACTGTTGTGGATCCCAGGAGAAGTCTGGAGCTAGGTAGTAGGGGCTAGATAATAGAGGGCTTTGACTAATAGGAGTTTGGGCCTTATCCTGTGGAAATCTGAAGGGTTTTGGGAAAATGAATTCAGGGCTAGGTGCAAGACAGAAGGGCAAATACCAGACTAAGACACACAGCCACTAAGAGCCTCTTTTTTTTTTTTTGTCCAGTCAGAGGTAATGAGGCCTATATATTTATTAGGAAGGATGATTAACCATGGCTGTAGCTTCACCTAAGAGGAACGTGGCTCTTGGGCCGGGTGCGGTGGCTCACGCCTGTAATCCCAGCACTTTGGGAGGTAGAGGTGGGCGGATCACCTGAGGTCAGGAGTTCAAGACCAGCCTGACCAACATGGAGAAACCTCTTCTCTACTAAAAATACAAAATTAGCCGGGCGTGGTGGTGCATGCCTGTAATCCCTGTTACTCGGGAGGCTGAGGCAGGAGAATCGCTTGAACCTGGGAGGTGGAGGTTGCGGTGAGCTGAGATCACACCATTGCACTCCAGCCTGGACAACAAGAGCAAAACTCTATCTCAAAAAAAAAGAGAGGAATGTGGCTCTTGAAGAATCTTTCTAGTCTCATCTTCCCTGTCCCCTTAGACACACCTTCAAAGATCCTTTTTCTTTTGGTTTGGCTTGTCTTTCCCCCTCACTTTACCTAATCCAGCCCAATTCCATAGCCACTGCTGGTTCCTTTAATGGAGGAGGGAAGTGGGGTGACATAGATTCTCTTAAACCTACCTATTTAAAGGCATTAATTAGCGTTTGCATGCACTACTTTAAAATTTTCCTCTCAATTGCTTGAGTCCAGGAGTTCGAGGTTACGGTGAACTATGATTTCACCATTGCAGTCCAGCTGAGGCAACAGAGAGAGACCCTCTTAAAGAAAAAAAAAACTTTTTCCTCTCAGACTCTGTCCCTAGCATTGACTCACCCCATCATTTTTTTTTTTTTTCTTGAGATGGAGTTTCAAGAAAAAACTCCAGGCTGGAGGCAGTGGTATGGTCTCGGCTCACTGCAACCTCCGCCTCCCGGGTTCAAGCGATTCTCCCTGCCTCAGCCTCCCAAATAGCTGGGATTACAGGCACCCGCCACCACACCCAGCTAATTTTTTGTATTTTTAGCAGAGACGGGGCTTCTCCATATTAGCCAAGCTGGTCTGGAACTCCTGACTTCAAGTGATCCACCCACCTTGGCCTCCCAAAGTACTGGGATTACAGGCACGAGCCACCGCGCCCGGCCTTCACCTATTATATCTATTCTTGTCTTTTAAATAGTGAGTGACTTCACAGCTCAGTCTCTTTGTTCTGAACTTCCATTCTGAGTCGCAACCCAGGTACACCTTAGGAAGGGCGGGATCCCGTTATCCTGTCCCTGAACATCAACTACTGAGACAGCTGATGAAGCTGGCTCGGTGTGTGACGGAGGCCCCCTCAGAGTCAGCAGAGCCGAGCGTACAGCGCACATCAGGCAGAGCAGACCAGAGGCAGGGAAGACACACTGGGGCAGGGCCAGTGGGCACATCTGGACCACCTGCGAGGGCTCTGCAGGGAACCGTGACTACAGGCCAGTTGTGAGTAGTCCCCTGCAGAGGCTGCCCACCCAAGGTTTGGTTGGGGTGGAACGTGATGACAGCACATACACTAAGAAGGTGGGAACCGGGGGCTGGGTGCAGTGGCTCATGCCAGTAATTCCAGCACTTAGGGAGGCCAAGGCGAGTGGATCACCTGAGGTCAGGAGTTCGAGACCAGCCTGGCCAATATCGTGAAACCCCGTCTCTACTTAAAATTGAATTTAAAAAAACTGGGGGCCAGGCCCGGTGGCTCATGCCTGTAATCCCAGCACTTTGGGAGGCCAAGGCGGGTGGATCATGAGGTCAAGAGATCGAGACCATCCTGGCCAACATGGTGAAATCCCGTCTCTACTAAAAATACAAAAACTAGCCAGACGTGGTGGTGGGCACCTGTAGTCCAGCTACTCAGGAGGCTAAGGCAGGAGAATCGCTTGAACCCGGGAGGCGGAGATCACGGTGAGCAGAGATAGCGCCACTGTACTCCAGCCTGGCGACAGAGCGAGACTGTATCTCAAAAAACAAAACAAAGCAAAACACTGGGAACAGGGTTGTCACCTACCTAGCAGGGCTCTGAGAGAGCTGGGCAGGCCCAAAGTGGCTTGAGAAGGTAAGGGAAAAATCCTAGCCTGCGCTCGGGGTCACAGAGTGGGGGCCCAGGGGGAGTTCCTGCTGAGGGCAGGGCCTTGCCAGGCTTCGGTCTCCATCCAGTGCCAAAGGTGGGAGCTCCCAGGCTGTCAGCATCTCCAGATGAGGGCAGAAGGGAGAGGCTTAAACTCAAGTCACATGTCCAGCGATGGAGTCCTATGGCCACACCGTCTGGGAAGTGAGGAGCGCCTCTGCCCGGCTGCTGTGCAACCCTCCAAGTGTGAAGTGACAGCCTTGTGTGTGATCTTTCTGCCCTCCCCAAGTTTGCATTTTCGACATTAAAGTTTACTTTTTAATTATGTTTTAAATTGGAGAATTTAAAAAAGTGACTTAATGAATTATGTGGCTGCTCTTCCTCTTCCCCAATTTTCAGTATTCTACCTGAAACTCTTTCCTCTTAACTCCCAGATCAAATAATTTTAAGCCTTCTGTAGGCTGTCTCTCTGCAGCCAAAATCAGCGATTCAGCAGTCCTCAACCTAGAGAAGCTCACAATCTAGTGGGCAGGAGACTCCTTACTTTGGTAAGTGTTCTTTGGGTCTGGACAGAGAGAGGGCAGGGTGTTTCCTGGGGAAGGTTATTCAGCTGCCCTGGCAGGTTCCCTCCAGGTAGTGTAATTACCCTCATCTGTGTTCAGGAATCTGACTCACTAATAAAGCTATATTGATCTATAAAACCAGACTCCTGGCCAGGCGCGGTGGCTCACGCCTGTAATCCCAGCACTTTGGGAGGCCGAGACGGGTGATCACGAGGTCAGGAGTTCAAGACCAGCCTGGCCAAAATGGTGAAACCTCATCTCTACTAAAAATACAAAAAAATTAGCGGGGCGTGGTGGCACGCGCCTGTAATCCCAGCTACTCCAGAGGCTGAGGCAGAGAATTGCTTAAACCTGGAGAGGCAGAGGTTGCAGTGAGCTGAGATCACACCACTGCACTCCAGCCTGGGCGACAGAGTGAGACTCCGTCTCAAAAAATAAATAAATAAAAATAAAAAAATAAAAAACCAAACTCCAGTGTGTTAATTTATGATGAAAATATATGTCAGGTAGACTGGTCCTTTGGCCTTACTAGTTTATTTTCTTCATGTAATCATACTGCTTGGGAAGCTTAGTTAAAGTTAAAAGGCAGCTCTATAAATCAAAGTGAGAGGAGTTAGTTGTTCTAGGGATGGGATGTTTACCAAAATCAAGTTACCCCTCCCACCATAAGCCTGGCTCAGTCTCTCCCCAATTCATTTTGACTCAGTGATTCCTGATTGTTTCACCTGTTCAACTTGATATTTCCTCCAGCCCCAAATGGCACAATCTTAGATGTCACTTAGATGATCGCTCTGGTTTCCATTATATTCCAGCCCTTAAGACCCGTTTGTTTTTCACATTACTTTGCTTCTCTGCTCTGTTGTGTCTGTCCTACAGCCGAATTACCAGGTTAGGAGTAGGGAGACTCTCCAAACACCATCTTCCCCAAATGTGCTACCCAGCTTATTCAAATCTGTGTGGCAGTGGTACCAGGATACAGATCTAAATAAAGTTCCCAATGTGCTAAATTATAGATGGCCTATCTGTAGAAGGGTACTGTGAGAGCTTTTCTCAGGTTATGACTAAGAGGTGTGTAAACATGAGGGAACCTTACAGGTCAAGGACAGAAATCCCGTGAATGCAGACCCAGGAAACCTGTAGACGGCTCTGCCTACAACCTTGCAGACACCCTGTGCATGCAGCAGCTGAGGCTTGTTCAGAGGGGTGGGACTCAGGGCCTTGCATTAGCACTTCCAGCCCCGCTTTGTTACCCTGGGAGCAAGGCTATGTTGGGAAGAATAGCTAGTCCTATTCCACTGGGTGTCGGGGCCTCGGGATCCATGAAACGGAAAACAGCAATAGCGTGGGCTTGCCTCTCTACACATGAAGGCCTCCTTTGATTTCAGTATAAAAACACCCATGAAGCAATGGATATGCAGATCCAGGCAAAGAAAAGGTAAAGGTAGGGAAGGGGGGAGGGGACAGCAACATTACCTCGCTTGTGACATAGGGAGCAACAAAATGCAGGCAGCCGCCAGTGGCACGCAGGCTCAGTTCTAGCAGGGGGTACTCTGGGATTTTTAGTTTCTCAGCCTTTGCAGCCAAGGAAGACTGACACCTACATCCTTGCACCCCTATCATGCATACAGCAAGACTGTATGCAGGGCCTGGTGGAGGAGGCTGGGGAATCATCATTTAACAATATCTATAATAGACATTTACAGGGCTGGTGGGATCTCAAAAAGGCCTGTAAATGCCTGAGGAATTCAGGAAGTTTTCACCAGAAAATGATGTGATAAACTGGATCTGAATGGATTAGGCATTCGCCAGGGAGACAGTGGGAAGGTAGCAGCAAGTGGGTGGGATCATTCCAGGCGAAGAAACTGCTCCAACGAGCTTGGAGCGTGAAAGCAATTGTGGATGGCTGAGAACACGAGTTTGAGTGGGGGCAGTAAGCAATGGGATCTGAGGATTTAGAAATGGGTGAATGATCTTGAATGCCAAACCCAAGAATTTTTACCTTTTCTTGAAGCATTGACACACAGCCAGGGCAGAATGAATGGCTCCCTTCTTTGTGTTTCATTCATCTTTCTGTAACAGAAGATCACTGGCTACAACATTTTGATTGTTTCTTCATCCCAAGAACCCAAGGGCCATGGAAGTGTTGCTGTTTTCATAAGTTATTAGGGTACAGGTGGTATTTGGTTACATGAGTAAGTTCTTTAGTGGTGATTTGTGAGATTTTGATGCACCCATCACCCAAGCAGTATACACCGTACCCTATTTGTAGTCTTTTATCCCTCGCCCCCCTCCCGCCCTTTCCTCCAGGTCCCCAAAATCCACTGTATCATCCTTAAGCCTTCGCGTCCTCATAGCTTAGCTCGCACATATCAGTGAGAACATACGATGTTTGATTTTCCATTCCTGAGTTACTTCACTTAGAATATTAGTCTCCAATCTCATCCAGGTCACTGCAAATGCCATTAATTCATTCCTTTTTATGGCTGAGTAGTATTCCATCGTATATATATATACACCACAGATTCTTTTTTTTTTTTCTTTGAGACGGGAGTCTTGCTCTGTTGCCCAGGCTGGAGTGCAGTGGTGTGATCTCAGCTCACTGCAACCTCTAAGCCTCCTGGGTTCAAGCGATTCTCCTGCCTCAGCCTCCTGAGTAGCTGGGATTACAGGCACATGCCACCACGCCCGGCTAATTTTTCATATTTTTAGTAGAGACGGGGTTTCACCGTGTTAGCCAGGGTGGTCTCCATCTCCTGAACTCATGATCCGCCCACCTTGGCCTCCCAAAGTGCTGGGATTACAGGCATGAGCCACTGCGCCCGGACCACAGTTTCTTTATCCACTCGTTGATTGATGGGCATTTGGGTTGGTTCCACATTTTTGCAACTGAGAATTGTGCTGCTATAAACATGTGTGTACAAGTATCTTTTTCGTATAATGACTTCTTTTCCTCTGGATAGATACCCAGTAGTGAGACTGCTGGATCAAATGGTAGTTCTACTTTTAATTCTTTAAGGAATCTCCACATAGTTTTCCATAGTGGCTGTACTAGTTTACATGCCCACCAGCAGTGTAGAATTGTTCCCTGATCACTGCATCCATGCCAACATCTACTGCTTTTTTATTTTATTTATTTTTTTAGAGACAAGAGTCTTGCACTATCCCCCAGGCTGGAGTGCAGTGGCGTGACCTTGGCTCACTGCAACCTCCAACTCCCAGGTTTAAGCGATTCTCATGCTTTAGCTTCCCGAGTAGCTGGGATTACAGGCGCCTGCCACCACGCATAGCTAATTTTTGTACTTTTAGTAGAGACAGGCTTTCATCACGTTGGCCAGGCTGGTCTCAAACTCCTGGCCTCAGGTGATCTGCCTGCCTTGGCCTCCCAAAGTGCTGGGATTACAGGCATGAGCCACCATGCCTGTTTTTTGATTTATTTATTTATTTATTTATTTATTTATTTATTTATTTATTTATTTTTTGAGACGGAGTCTGCCTGTGTAGCCCAGGCTGGAGTGCAGTGGCGCGACTCGGCTCACTGCAAGCTCCGCCTCCCGGGTTGACACCATTCTCCTGCCTCAGCCTCCCCTGTAGCTGTGATTACAGGCGCCCGCCATCACGCCCGGCTAATTTTTTGTATTTTTAGTAGCGACGGGGTTTCACCGTGTTAGCCAGGATGGCCTTGATTTCCTGACCTCGTGATCCACCCGCTTCCGCCTCCCAAAGTGCTGGGATTACAGGCATGAGCCACCGCGCCCGGCCTTTTTTGATTTTTTTACTGCGGCCATTCTTGCAGCAGTATAATGGTATCGCATTGTGGTTTTGATTTGCATTTCCCTGATCATTAGTGATGTTGAGCTTTTTTAAATATGTTTGTTGGTCATTTGTATATCTTCTTTTGAGAATTGTGTATTCATGTCCTTAGCCCACTTTTTGATGGGATTTTTTTTTCTTACTGATTTGTTTGAGTTTGTTTTTGTTATAGATTCTGGATATTAATCCTTTGTCAGATATAGATTGTGAAGATTTTCTCTCACTCTGTGGGTTGTCTGTTTACTCTGCTGGCTGTTACTTTTGCCATGCAAAATCTCTTTAGTTTAATTAAGTCCCAACTATTTGTCTTTGTTTTTATTGCATTTGCTTTTGGCTTCTTCGTCATGAAATTCTTGCCTAAGCCAATGTCTAAGTTATTTTCTAGACTTTTTATAGTTTCAGGTCTTAGATTTAAGTCCTTAATCCATCTTGAGTTGATTTTTATTTAAGGTGAGAGATGAGGATCCAGTTTCATTCTCCTACACATGGCTAGCCAATTGTCCAGGCACCATTTGTTGAAAAGGTGTCCTTTCCTCACTTTATGTTTTTGTTTGCTTTGTCAAAGATCAGTTGGGTGTAAATATTTGGGTTTATTTCTGGGTTCTCTATTCTGTTCCATTGGTCTATGTGCCTATTTATTTATTTTATTATTATTATTATTATTATTATTATTATTTTGAGATGGAGTCTCGCTCCTGTCGAGCAGGCTGGAGTGCAGTGGCGTGATCTTGGCTCGCTGCAACCTCCACCTTCCAGGTTCAAGCAATTCTCCTTCCTCAGCCTCTTGAGTAGCTGGGATTACAGGTGTGCACCACCACGCCGGGCTAATTTTTTTATTTTTAGTAGAGATGGGGTTTGGCCATGTTGGCCAGGCTGGTCTCAAACTCCTGACCTCAGGTGATCCGCCTGTCTCAGCCTCCCAAAGTGCTAGGATTACAGGTGTGAGCCACTGCACCCGGCCTATGTGCCTATTTTTATATCAGTACTATGCTGTTTTGTGACTATGGCCTTATAGTATAGTTTAAAATCAGGTAATGTGATGCCTCCAGATTTGTTCTTTTTGCTTAGCCTTGCTTTGGCTATGCAAGCTCTTTTTTGGTTCCATATAAATTTTATAATTTTTTTTTTTAGAATTGTTTTTTCTAATTCTGTGAAGAATGGTGGTGGTATTTTGATGGGGATTGCGTTGAATTTGTAGATTGCTTTTGGCAGTATGGTCATTTTCACAATATTGATTTCTACCCATCCATGAACATGGGATGTGTTTCCATTTGTTTGTGTCATCTATCATTTCTTTCAGCAGTGTTTTGTAATTTTCCTTGTAGAGGTCTTTTGCCTCCTTGGTTAGGTATATTCCTAAATATTTTATTTTATTTTTTGCAGCTATTGTAAAAGGTGTTGAGTTTTTTTTGTTTGTTTTTGTGGTTTTTTGTCTTTGTTTTGTTTTTGTTTGTTTTGAGACAGAGTCCCACTCCATTGCCCAGGCTGGAGTGCAATGGCGTGATCTTGACTTGCTGCAATTTCCGCCTCCCAGGTTCAAGTGATTCTCCTGCCTCAGCCTCCCAAGTATTTGGGATTACAGGCACCTGCCACCATGCCCAGCAAATTTTTATATTTTTAGTAGAGACGGGGCTTCACCAAGTTGGCCAGGCTGGTTTCAAACTCCTGACCTCAGGTGATCCACCCACCTTGCCTTCCCAAAGTGTTGGGATTACAGGTGTGAGCCACCACACCCAGCCTCCCTCCCTCCCTCCCTCCCTCCCTTCCTTCCTTCCTTCCTTCCTTCCCTCCCTCCCTCCCTCCCTCCTTCCTTCCATTCTCTCTGTCTCTCTGTCTCTCTCTCTTTTTGACAGGGTCTTGCTCTGTCACCCAGACTGGAGTTCAGTAGCTCAATCATGGCTTACTGCAGCCTGGAGTTCAGTAGCTCAATCATGGCTCACTGCAGCCTCAACCTTTTGGGCTCAAGTGATCCTCCTGCCTCAGCCTCCTGAGTAGCTGGGACTACAAGCAACACACCACCATGCCCAGCTAATTTTTTTTTAATTTTTTTTGTTGTTGTTGTATTGACAAGATCTCACTATGTTGCTCAGGCTGGTCTCGAACTCCTGGGCTCAAGCAATCCACTTCAGTCTCCTAAAGTGCTGGGATTACAGGCATGAGCCATCATGCTTAACCCTGCATGGTATTTCTGAGGAATGATATGATGAAATCTGTATTTTAGGATGACCAGTCATGCAGAACAGATTGGAGTGAGGAGTTGGGAGACAAGAAGGAAGAGATAAATTGGAAATTTGTTGAAGGAATATTTGACAGAACTTGTGCTGTAATTAAATACTAAATGAAAGAAAAGGAAAAGGCAGAATACAACTCCAGAGTTTGCTGCCTAAGTGGCTGGGAAGATGACACCATCAACAAACAAGAAAAGGGGCAGGGGACTGGAAAAGGTAGTGATAACTCGCCACTAGCACTTTGTGGGCAAGGGCCATGAGTTACCAGTTATATAATCCTGCAGTATTCAGCTGGACATACAAGAGGTCTTCACAAAGTTTATGAAAAATGTGTATTATGAAAAAACTATGCATAGATTTCAAAAAATTTTTGCACCAAAATAAATTTGTACTAACTTGTTATAACATGTCTGAGCAGGATCTACTTTGAGGCACTATGAAGGATAAGACATTAGTTTGAAAAGAGCCCCTATAAGAGTAACATGAATTCTGCTAAAATTGAAGCAAGAACAAATATCAAGTTTATGGTTAAGCTTGGGTGGAAGAATGGTGAGATCATTGAAGCTTTACGAAAAGCTTATGGGGACAATGCCTCAAAGAAATCAGCAGTTTACAAATAGATAAATTGTTTTTTGTTGTTGTTTTTTGAGAGGGAGTCTCACTCTGTCACCCAGGCTGGAGTGCAGTGGCATGATCTAGGCTCGCTGCAGCCTCTGCCTCCCACGTTCCAGTGATTCTCCTGCCTCAGCCTCCCTGGGTAGCTGGGATTACAGGCGCCTGCCACCACGCCCGGCTAATTTTTGTATTTTTAGTAGAGATGGGGTTTTGCCATGTTGGCCAGGCTGGTCTTGAACTCCTGACCTCAGGTGATACACCTGCCTCGGCCTCCCAAAGTGCTGGGATTACAAGCATGAGCCACCGCACGTGGCCAGATAATTTGTTTTAAGAAGGGATGAGATTAGGCCGGGCTGTGCCTCTACTACAGACTCCTAGTATTTATTTTCTTTAAGAATACTTGGCCAGGCGTGGTGGCTCATGCCTGTAATCTCAGCACTTTGAGATGCTGAGGCAGGCGAATCACCTGAGGTCAGGAGTTCAAGACCAGCCTGGCCAACATGGTGAAACCCCGTCTCCACCAAAAATACAAAAATTAGCTGGGCATTGTGGTGGGCTCTTATAATCCCAGCTACCTGGGAAGGCTGAGGCAGGAGAACTGCTTGAACCCAAGAGGCGGAGGTTGCAGTGAGCCGAGACCACGCCATTGCACTCCAGCCTGGGCGACAGAGCAAGACTCCATCTCCAAAAAGAAACAAAATAAAGAAGGGATGAAATGATGTTGAAGATGAAACCCACAGTGGCAGACCATCCACATCAATTTATGAGAAAAACATTTTGTGTCCTAACTGAAGTGGATTGACAACAGCAGAAATAATAATCAATACCATAGGCATCTCACTTGGTTCGGCTTACATAATTCTGACTGAAAAACTAAAGTTGAGCAAACATTCCACTTGGCAGGTGCCAAACCATCATGCCCAGATCAGCTGCAGAGCTTTCAATGGGAATTTTAAACAAGCAGGATGAAGATCCTGAAGCATTTCTTTGAAGAATTGTAATAGGAGATGAAACATGGCTTTACCAGTACAATCCTAAAGACAATGCACAATCAAAGCAATGGCTACCAAGAGGTGGAAGTGTCTGGTCAAAGCAAAAGTGGACCAGTCAAGAGCAAAGGTCATGTCATTCGTTTTTTTTTTTTTAATGTTCAAGGCATTTTGTTTATTGACTTTCTGGAGGGCCAAAGAACAATAACATCTGCTTATTATGAGAGTGTTTTGAGAAAACTAGCAAAAGTTTTAGCAGAAAAATGCCTGGGAAAGCTTCACCAGAGTCATTCTCCGCTATAACAATGTTCCTGCTCATTTCTCTCAGCAAACAAGGGCAATTTTGCAAGAGTTTTGATGGGAAATCATTAGGCATCCACCTTACAGTACTGATCTGGCTCCTTCTGACTTCCTTTTGCCTTTTTTTTTTTTTTTTTTGGAGACAGAGTTTTGCTTTTGTTGCCCAGGCTGGAGTGCAATGGTGCGATCTCGGCTCCCTGCAACCTCTGCCTCTCCAGTTCAAGCGATGCTCCTGCCTCAGCCTCCTAAGTAGCTGGGATTACAGGTGCCTGCCACCACACCTGGCTAATTTTTTGTATTTTTAGTAGAGACAGGGTATCACCATGTTGGTCAGGCTGGTCTTGAACTCCTGAACTCAGGTGATCTGCCTGCCTCAGCCTCCCAAAATGCTGGGATTACAGGCATTAGCCACTGCACCTGGCCCTTGTTTTCTAATCTTAAAAAACTCTTTCAAGGGCACCCCATTTTTTCTTAGGTTAATAATGTATAAAAGAGGCTGCCTTATCCTTACAAGCAGCCTGCCCTCAACTCTCTCTCAGAGTGTTAAAAAAAAATGTATAAAAGGGCCAGGCATGGTGGCTCATGCCTGTAATCTCAGCACATTGGGAGGCCCAGGCAGGAGGATCACTTGAGCCCAGGAGCTGGAGACCAGCCTGGGAAACATAAAGAGATACTGATCTCCACAAAAAATTTTTTTAAAGAATTAGCTTGGCCGGGCGCAGTGGTTCACGCCTGTAATCCCAGCACTTTGGGAGGCTGAGGCGGGCAGATCACGAAGTCAACAGATCTAGACCATCCTAGCCAATATGGTGAAACCTCGTCTCTACTAAAAAAAAATACAAAAATCAGCTGGGAGTGGTGGCGCACACCTGTAGTCCCAGCTATTCAGGAGGCTGAGGCAGGAGAATCGCTTGAACCTGGGAGGTGGAGGTTGCAGTGAGCCAAGATTGCACCACTGCATTTCAGCCTGGTGACAGAGTGAAGCTCTGTCTCAAAAAAAAAAAAAAAAAAAGAATTAGCTGGGCACAGTGGCATGTCTGTAGTCCCAGCTACTTGGGAGGCTAAGCAGGAGGATTGCTTGAGCCCTGGAGTTTGAGGCTGCAGTGATCTATGATAGCACTACTGCACTCCAGCCTGGGTGATGGAGTGAGACCCTATCTCAAATAAAATAATAATTATAATAAAGACTGCCAGGCACATGGTGGCATGCACATGTGGTCCCAGCTATTTGGGAGGCTGAGGTGGGAGGATCACCAGAGCCCAGGGAGGTTGAGGCTGCAGTGAACTGTGATTGCACCACTGCACTCCAGCGGGGCAATGGGAGTGAGAATCTGTCTCAAAAGTAATAATTATATATATATATATTTATATATATATATATATATATATATATATATATATATATATATATGTTCTAGTATTTTCCTCCCATACCTCCAATGTATAATATCTCATGCACCCTGTGGTCCACCCCCCAAAGACATACACACAACACTTTAGAGTCTCTGATGTAGTCAAAGGGAGTCATTGGAGGTTCTGGAACAGATGACAGGCATGGTAGCAGTTGATTCACAAACTGAAAGCTGAGACATCAAAGAACTGCGACTGCCTTGGAATGTTTCCCATGTGCTAGCCACCGCCTCAGTGCTTTATACATAAATCAGTTAATCCCTATAGCAAGCCTCCATTGTGAATACCATAATTATCTTAACAGACGAGGAGACTGAGGCACAATGAAGTTAAGAAACTTTCCTAGAGTCACACGAAATTGGTGGGGGCCTACTTTTTTTTTTTTTTTTTTTTTTTTTTTTTTTTTTTTTTGAGACTGAATCTAGCTCTGTCGCCAGGCTGGAGTCCAGTGGCGCGATCTCACCTCACTGCAACCTCCGCCTCCCGGATTCAAGCGATTCTCCTGCCTCGGCCTCCCCCCACTAGCTGGGATTACAGGCACTCGCTGCCACACCCAGCTAATTTTTGTATTTTTAGTAGAGACAGGGTTTCACCATATTGGCCAGGATGGTCTCGATCTCCTGAGCTTGTGATCCGCCCACCTCGGCCTCCCATAGTGCTGGGATTACAGGCCTGAGCCACTGCGCCCGGCTGGGGGCCTACATTTGACCCCACGTGGTGGTTTGGGCTCATAGTCCATGTGCTTAACCACTAGTGGGTAGGCAGGGAGCCAGTGTTCTTTCTCTCCTGTGACTTTGGTGAAGTCTCTCACCACTCAGTGTTGTCGTGAGCATGCTAGGCAGAGTGCAAGAAAGGAGCAAGAACTCACTAATGGCTAGGCCTTCCCTGTGTCTCTGTAATTGATGGGTTTGGGTTTTTTTTCCTTTCTCTCTCTCTACCTCCTCTCTCTCTTCTTCATCCTCTCTCTCTCACTCTCCCCCTGAGATAAGGTCTTGCTCTGTTGCCAGGGCTGGAATGCAATGGAATGGTGTGATCATGGCTCACTACAGCCTCAATCTCCTGGGCTCAAGGGATCCTCCCACCTCAACCTCCTGAGTAGCTGGAACCACAGGCATGCACCACCTCGCCCGGCTAATTTTTTATTTTTTGTAGAGAGGGGAGTTTCGCCATGTTGCCCAGGCTGTTTTCGAACTCCTGGGCTGAAGTGATCTTCCTCCCTCAGCCTTCCAAGGTGCTGGGATTGCAGACGTCAGCCACCGTACCAGGCCAACGGGCTCGGTTTCTATGGTTTTGTGGGGAGACGGCTGAGGGAAGGTCGGCTTCCGGCGTCGCGCTGCAAACGTCTCGCTGAGGTCATCCTTTACGGCAGGCGTCCGCGTCGCTAGCTAGTCGTTCTGAAGCGGCGGCCAGAGAAGAGTCAAGGGCACGAGCATCGGGTAGGTAGGGGCTGCTTATGTCCGCGCGGCAGCTTAGCTTAAGGACCTTCCTTCCGAGGTCTCTTTAACAGATTTCCTCTTGGCTTGCTGTGTGTCCCCTTCTCCCAGACCTGAACTCAGGGCGTGTTCCCTGCCCTCCCAGGCCGCTTCACCTCCACAGCTAATGGCACCGAAGCCTGGAGATTGCCGCTCTCTCCACTTTCCACATTTGTTTAGGTTTTTGCCGGACTAATGTTTTGGCTTTCTGTTTCTTAACCTAAAGTCTACGATCCTTATCCCAGCTTTCCAGGCTCTGCGTGATTTCGGCCCCGCCGGCCTCCTGAGCTCATTTCATTCTTTTCACCGTCATGCACGCTGCGCTCCATTGTCCCCCAAACATAGCCAGCACTTCCGGCTGTAACTCCGGGCTGTTGCCCAACTGGAACACTCTGCCCACTGATCTTCACTTGGCGAACTCGCAAGCCATGTTAAAGGCATTTTCAAGTCTCCGGGCAGAGTTCGTGCTTCCTCCTTCGAGCTCTTACCCACTCGTGTTCCTTGCAGTGTATTCGCAATTCCGAGTGTGTGTCTCTGGTGCTTACGTTGGAGCTGCTTTCCCCCGCATCTGAGTGCCTGGAACGTAACTACTCAGTAAATGATGACTGAGGGATGGGAAGGAACTTAAGAAGTTAAATTCACCTTTTTGTTGAGATGGAGTTTCGCTCTTGTTGCCCAGGCTGGAGTGCAGAGTGGCGCGATCTCGGCTCACTGCAGCCTCTGCCTCCCGGATTCAAGCGATTCTCCTCCCTGAGACTCCCGAGTAGCTGGGATTACAGGCATGCGCCCCCACGCCCGGCTAATTTTGTATTTTTTTAGTAGAGAGAGGGTTTCGCCATGTTGGTCAGGCTGGTCTTGAACTCGCGGCCTCAGGTGATCCGCCCGCCTCGGCCTCCCAAGGTGCTGGAATTACAGGCGTGAGCCACTGCGCCCAACTAAATTCACCTTTAAATCTACCATGAGTACACATTTATATTGATATTTGTGGGTGTGCGCGCGCTTCCTTTCAGTCATTTTAGGCAGTCAGGGTTTGTTTTTGTGTGTGTGTTTTTACATTTAACATTATTATGTATTTGCATGTAAATTTTTTTCCCTACTGTCTGTAATAGTCTACAAAGTAAGTCTTAACCCATTTCTTTCGCTCTGGTTTTTTTTTTTTTTTGAGACAGGATCTCGCTTTGTTGCCCAGGATGGAGTGCAGTGGCCAGGTCATAGCTCACTGAAGCCTTGAACTCCTGGCCTCAGTCTCCTGCCTCAGCCTTAGGAGTAGCTGGGACTACAGGCGCACATACCACCACAAGTGCCTTTTTTTTTTTTTTTTTTTTTTTTTGAGACAGAGAACCTGACCAAAGGATCCAAATTCTTTTTTTCTTCTTCTTCTTTTTTTTTTTTTTTTTTTTTTGAGACAGAGTCTCGCTCTGTCGCCCAGGCTGGAGTACAATGGCGGATCTTGGCTTATTGCAACCTCTGTCTCCCCAGTTCAAGCAGTTCTCCTGTCTCAGCCTCCCGAATAGTTGGGATTACAGGCATGTGCCAACACGCCCAGCTAATTTTTTTGTATTTTTAGTAGAGACGGGATTTCACCATATTGGCCAGGCTGGTCTTGAACTCCTGACCTCAGGTAATCCACCCGCCTTGGCCTCCCAAAGTTCTGGGATTACAGGCATGAGCCACCGCGCCTGGCCCACAAGTGGCTGATTTAAAAAAAAAATTTAGGCCAGGTGCAGTGGCTCACACCTGTAATCCCAGCACTTTGGGAGGCCAAGGCGGGCGGATCACCTGAGGTCAGGAGTTCAAGACCAGCCTCGCCAACATGCTGAAACCCCATCTCTACTAAAAATACAAAAATTAGCTGGGCGTGGTGGTGCGCACCTGTAGTCCCAGCTACTTGGGAGGCTGAGGCAGGAGAATCGCTTGAACCCTGGAGGAGGAGGTTGCAGTGAGCCAAGATTGCACCATGCGCTGCAGCCTGGGTAACAGACGGAGACTCCATCTCACGTGGTAGGTGAGCCACCGCTCCTGACCGAGAAAGGATTTCTATGCATTGTTCTTTAGTTATAGTTCTCTTTTCCTTGAGTTTTGAAAAAGCGCAAAAACTGCTTATCTGCCATAAACTGGAAGAACCTATTTAATGAAAAAGTTTGGTGAGAAGAAATCAGGAGAATAATATCAAACAGTGTTCTAGAGGGCTACTTAGCATGATTATCTAATTTTTTCTTAGAAATTTCTCAGTTGATTGCCCTCTTGTGGTATTTTATTTACTTATTTTTTTAAATCTTCCATTACAGCCATGCCTTTCTTGGACATCCAGAAAAGGTTCGGCCTTAACATAGATCGATGGTTGACAATCCAGAGTGGTGAACAGCCCTACAAGATGGCTGGTCGATGCCATGCTTTTGAAAAAGAATGGATAGAATGTGCACATGGAATCGGTTATACTCGGGCAGAGAAAGAGTGCAAGATAGAATATGATGATTTCGTAGAGTGTTTGCTTCGGCAGAAAACGGTAAGGAAATGATGGAGGTGGAAGCTGAATTACTTTCTTGTTCCTTTGGGACTCTTTTTTTTTTTTTTTGAGACGAAGTCTCACTCTTGTCCCCTAGGCTGGTGTGTGATGGCGCCACCTCGTCTCACTGTAGCCTCTGCCTCCCAGGTTCAGGCGATTCGCGTACCTCAGCCTCCCGAGTAGCTGGGATTATAGGCACCTGCCACCACGCCTGGCTAATTTTTGTATTTTTAGTAGAAACGGGATTTCACCATGCTGGCCAGGCTGGTCTTGAACTCCAGACCTCAGGTGATCCGCCCCCCTCAGCCTCCCAAAGTAGTGGGATCACAGGCATGAGCCACCGTGCCTGGCCTCCTCTGGGATTACTCTTAAGTGTTTTTAGTGGGTCATTGAGCAGTGGCTTGCCAAATGTGAATTGGCAAAGCTTTTCTGGTGAAATACCTTTCCTACTTTGGTACCATGATGAGGAAATTAAATGCCTTCAGATATGAGGATGGTCCATTGTTCCTCAGCATTCTTTCTCTTCTCCCAAATTTTCCTTAGTATTTTACCCTGCTTTAGCCACCAGGTTAGAAATTGCATGTGTGTGTATACCCATTTTTTCAGTTGGCTGTGAAGCAGAGAATATCAACTAGTTTTGGATGTTGACCCTTGAAAATCTTTGGGTGAAAATATGTTCAAATCCATTGAATCCTCATTGGAAAAGAGGTTTAACCTTGCAAATCCATTACATTCAACATCTTTGGATTCATTCCACTCTGAAGAAGATGGAGGTGTTAATGAGATTGCTGTACATGAGCGTGAACAACGATGCAGTGGAAAAGGGATGTTAACAGCTTAGTGTTCACCTCCTCAAAAGTTGAATGAGTTGGCCAGGCACGGTGGCTCACGCCTGTAATCCCAGGACTTTGGGAGGCTGAGGCGGGTGTATCACGAGGTCAGGAGTTTGAGACCAGCCTGGCCAAGATGGTGAAACCCTGTCTCTACTAAAAATACAAAAATTAGCAGGGCATGGTGGTGGGTGCCTATAGTCCCAGCTGCTCGGGAGGCTGAGGCAGAAGAATTGCTTGAACCCGGGAGGCGGAGGTTGCATGGAGCCGAGATCGTGCCACCGCACTCCAGCCTGGGCGACAGAGCGAGACTCTGCCTCTAAAAAAAAAACCAAAAAAACAAATTTAAAAAAATCCCATGCAGTGGCTCATGCCTGTGATCCCAGCACTTTGGGAGGCCAAGGTGGGCGGATCACCTGAGGTCAGGAGTTCAAGACCAGCCTGGCCAACATGGTGAAACCCCGTCTCTACTAAAAATACAAAAATTACCTAGGCATGGTGACAGGGGCATGTAATCTCAGCTACTCAGGAGGGTGAGGCAAGAGAATCGCCTGAAACTGAGAGGCAGAGGTTCCAGTGAGCTGAGAACACACCACTGCACTCCAGCCTGGGCGACAGAGCGAGACTCCGTCTCAAGAAAAAAAAAAAAAAGATGGCCCGGCACAGTAGCTCACTCCTGTAATCCCAGCACTTTGGGAGGCCGAGGCAGGCGGATCACAAGGTCAGGAGTTCGAGACCAGCCTGACCAACATGGTGAAACCCCGTCTGTACTAAAAATACAAAAAAATTAGCTGGGTGTAGTGGCTGGCGCCTATAGTCCCAGCTACTCGGGAGGCTGAGGCAGGAGGCTGAGGCAGGAGAATGGCATGAACCCGGGAGGCAGAGCTTGCAGTGAGTCGAGATTGTGCCACTGCACTCCAGCCTGGGCGACAGAGCGAGACTCTGTCTCAAGAAAAAAAAAAAAGAAAATAAAAAAAAGATTTTGATAAATTGATACCAACAGGAGGCATTGTAGTAAGGTGGAAAGAACATTGGATTGGGAGTTAGGAGAGTCAGGTTCTGATGCTGGTTCTGCCACCACTCATTTGTTGTTGGTTGATTAATTTTAATTTATGTTTTGAGACAGCGTCTCACTCCCGTCGCCCAGGCTGGAGTGCGGTAGCGTGTTCACAGCTCACTGCAGATTCAACTTGGGTTCAGGTGATTCTTCCACTTCAGCCTCCCAAGTAGCTGGGACTACAGGAGTGCACCACCACGCCCAGCTAATTTTTTGTATTTTAGCAGAGACAAGGTTTCACCATGTTGCCCAGGCTGATCTCGAACTCCTGAGCTCAGGTGATCTGCCTGCCTTGGCCTCCCAAAATGCTGGGATTACAGGTGTGAGACACTGCACCTGGCCCTAATTTTGATTTTATTTATATAAAATAGAAATGGGGTCTTCTTGTGTTGCCCAGGCTGGTCTCAAACTCCTGGGCTCAAGCGATCCCACATTGGCCTCCCAAAGTGCTGGAATTACAGGTGTGAGCCACCACACCCATCCTGTTAGTCGTGTTTTTGAGACAGGGTCTTGTTCTGTCACCCGGGCTGGAGTGCAGTGGCGTGATCATAGCTTACTGCACCCTCAAACTCCTAGGCACAAGTCATCCTCCTGCCTCAGCCTCCCAAGTAGCTAGGACTACAAGTGCATGCCACCATGTGCGGCTTTTTAAATTGTTTATAGAGACAAGGTTTTGCTATGTTTCCTTTGCTGATCTTGAACTCCTGGCCTCAAACGATCCTCTTGCCTGGGCCCCCCAAACTGCTGGGATTACAGAAATGAGCCGCCACGTCCAGCAAACCACCACTAGTTTTGTGACTTTGAGCAAGTCACTTTCTCTTAGTCTTCATTTCCTTATCTGAAACAATTAAAGAATTGCTCTAAGGTCACTTCCTAATCCTGTGAATTTATGAATAGATAAGTTACCATTTTCAGGGTCACCTTAAGTGAACAGATACCTCCCTGTAAGTGAAGAAGCTAGTGAGTCAGAATTAGAATCAAGTCCTATTGTAAGTTCTTAGCATATTATAATGCATGTATTTCTCACAACAATCCTATGAGATGAGTTACTATTAGTTTCCCCATTACACAGTTAAAAATTTAACTTTGGGAGGCTGAGGCGGTGGATTACCTGAGGTGAGGAGTTCAAGACCAGCCTGACCAACATGGTGAAACCCCCTCTCTACTAAAAATACAAAAAATTAGCTGGGTGTGGTAAGGGGGTGCCTGTAATCCCAGCTACTCAGGAGGCTGAGGCAGGAGAATCGCTTGAACCCGAGAGGCGGAGGTTGTAGTGAGTTGAGATTGCGCCACTGCACTCCATCCAGCCTGAGCAACAAGAGTGAAACTCTGTGTCAAAAAAACAAACAAATGAACAAACAAAATTTAAGGCAAAGAAAAGTTAAGGACATTGCTTGAACTTACATAGCTAGTAAATGGTGGAGCTGGGATTTTATCCTGGCAAGGCTGGCTTCAATACCTATGCTTTTATCCAGAGTTACTGCTTTTAGCTCAGAGAAAGATTTGACATATGGTATTGTCATAGTTCAAAACCATGACTAGTCTTGTGTTGGGAGACTCTAAGATAAATGGTAAGAATGTAGTCTTTTAAAATGGTTAATGTTTATTTCAGGGTTTTTTCTACTGAAGTTATATCAACACTACTTCTTTAAGGTTAATGAGACGTTTAACTGAATATACTAATTTTTCGTATCTTTGTGAAAAGTTAGTCATTGGTTAAAAAAATTATGTCAGAAACTAGTCTAGGCACTAGGAATACAGTAAGCAAAACAGCAAAAAAAAAAAATCTCAGAGTCAGTGAGCTTATGCTATAGTGGGAGGAAGAGCAGAAAAATAACAAGTAAAAATACAGGTGATAATAAGTGCTGTGAGGAGAATAAACAGAAGGATAGAAAGTGCTAGGGGCAGGAGCTAGGTGGATGCTACTTTAAATAGTCAGAGAAGATCTCAGCAAAAGAAGACAGACCAGAGACTTAAAGAAAGTGAGCTATGTGGTTATGAGGGAAGAATGTTCCATGCAGAGGAAACAGCAAGTGCAAAGGTCCCTGAGCTGACTGGAGGGAGCTAGGGGAATATTAAGAGATGAAGTCACTGGAGTAGGCCTTGTAAACCATGATAAGGATTCATCTTTTTGTCTCAGTAAGATAGCCATTGCAGGGTTTTGAGCAGAGGAATAATGTGATCAGATTTAGTAAATTTTCTGTGTCACAGAATCCAGGGACCAGTTCATTGTTGTGGCTTTGACACACTTGTGTAACATAGTTTTGATTTGTTGAGAAGCAACCAATGCCCTGAGTAGAAGAGACAGAATTCAAGACTCAGCGGTGACTAGTGGCTGAGTAAGAATCAGGCCTTTACTTCCATATGGGGAAAAGAGAACTCATATTGGCTATTTCTGCTTCATTCATACCCATTGCATAGTCACCAGCAGCAGTGCCACTTCCACATAGAATATGTAAGTGCTTGCCGGGTGCGGTGGCTCACGCCTGTAATCCCAGCACTTTGGGAGGCCGAGGCTGGCGGATCACGAGGTCAGGAGATCGAGACCATCCTGGCTAACATGGTGAAACCCCATCTCTACTAAAAATACAAAAAATTAGCCGGGTGTGGTGGCGGGCGCCTGTAGTCCCAGCGACTCGGGAGGCTGAGGCAGGAGAATGGCGCGAACCCAGGAGGCGGAGGTTGCAGTGAGCTGAGATCGTGCCACTTTGTCACCCAGGCTGGAGTACAGTAGCGCGATCTCAACTCACTGCAACCTCCGCCTCCCGGGTTCAAGCGATTCTCCTGCCTCAGCCTCCTGAGTAGCTGGGACCACAGGCGCGCGCCACCACGCCTGGCTAATTTTTGTATTTTTAGTAGAGACAGAGTTTCACCATATTGGCCAGGCTGGTCTTGAACTCCTGACCTTGTGATTCGCCCGCCTCGGCCTCCCAAAGTGCTGGGATTACAGGCGTGAGCCACCACGGCCCAACTTTTATTTATTTATTTATTGAGACAAAGTCTCACTCTGTCACCCAGGTTGGAGTGCAGCAGTTCAATCTTGGCTCACTGCAACCTCCGCCTCCCAAGTTCAAGCAATTCTCCTGCCTCAGCCTCCCGAGTAGCTGGGATTACAGATGTGCACCACCATCCCTGGCTAATTTTTGTATTTTTAGTAGAAACAAGGTTTTACCTTGTTGGCCAGTCTGGTCTTAAACTCTTGACCTCAGTGATCCACCCGCCTCAGCCTCCCAAAGTGCTGGGATTAAACTTTTGATATTTTAAAAGATTTTAGTATCCACAAATATGCCTCTTAAAGGTTTTTGCAAATATCCATATTGCTATATATATTAAGAACATTTTAGTTGTTAGTTTTCAGAGAGGTTATGTATACTAAAAATTTGTTTGAAAGCTTGGGAAGTGATTTCATGTTAATTCTTTAAAGGCGGACTTCATTTCAGAGGCCCCGTAAGATGAAAGGCCTTTTGTAGTTTAAAAATGAAACCAAAATTGATCTGTTTTTCCAGTTCTCACTTTTTGGCACATATCTCCTCCCTCAGTTTAATTACCATTTTCCTTTGACAGATGAGACGTGCAGGTACCATCAGGAAGCAGCGGGATAAGCTGATAAAGGAAGGAAAGTACACCCCTCCACCTCACCACATTGGCAAGGGGGAGCCTCGGCCCTGAACAGAGCAGCTGCTGATGTCTGGAGGCTGATTTTCCTGTTCTCTGTTCTCCACTGGAAAGGTTGTTTACGACAAACCTCCTTGTCAAAGTGTGTAAAAATAAAGGATTGCTCCATCCTATTTGTTCTATTTTCTCTTGGATCATGACTTTCTTTTCTTTTCTTTTTTTGTTTTTGAGACAGAGTCTTGCTCTGTTGGCCAGGCTAGAGTGCATTGGCACGATCTTGGCTCACTGCAACCACCATCTCCCAGATTCAAGTGGTTCTCCTGCCTCAGCCTCCCAAGTAGCTGGGACTACAGGCATGCACCACCACACCCAGCTAATTTTTGTATTTTTGGTAGAGGTGGGGTTTCACCATGTTGGCTAGGCTGGTCTTGAACTCCTGACCTCATGTGGTCTACCCACATCGGCTTCCCAAAGTGCTGGGATTACAGGCACGAGCCACTGTGCCCAGCCATATCATGCCTTTCTATACTGAGATTATAACCTATTTTTTAAATTTGATTTTAAAAACAGTTGAAACTTTTAGACAGTTCCTAAAAAATTAGCAGCTATGGAATAATAACTAACATTTAATTAACAATGTGTACAAGATACTTTAAATATGTTAACTCATTTAAGAAATGATAGTGTTTTCATTCTGGTTTTTCTTATATATTTTTCTCTCTCTCTTTTTTTTTTTTTTTCAAGATAGAGTCTCATTCAGTCGCCCAGGCTGGAGTGCAGTGGCGTGATCTTGGCTCACTGTAAAGTCCGCCTCCTGGGTTCAAGCGATTCTTCTGCCTCAGCCTACCAAGTAGCTGGGACTATAGGTATGCACCACCACGCCCAGCTAATTTTTGTATTTTTAGTAGAGACGGGGTTTCACTATATTGGCCAGGCTGGTCTCGAACTGACCTTGTGATCTGCCCGCCTCTGCCTCTCAAAGTGCTGGGATTACAGGCTTAAGCCACCACGCCCAGCCTTTTTTTTTTTTTTTTTTTGAGACTGTGTCTTACTCTTTCACCCAGCCTGAGTGCAGTGATGCCATCACTGCTCACTGGAGCCTCAGCCTCCTGGGCTCAGGCTGTCCTTCCTCCTCAGCCTCGCGAGTAGCTGGGACTACAGGTGTGCACCACCACTTCTGCCTGTAACTTATTTTTCATAAAACATAGACTTGAGCTGGGAGAGGGAGGCAGTGGAGATAGGAATTGTGTGTTGACTGTAAGGTCTGTGAAGTCTAAGGCTAAGAAAATGCCAAGTTCAGATAATTTAATTTTGAAGAAGTAATAACATTGTTTTAATTTGCCACTTTTTGAGATGGAGCCTTGCTCTGTCACCCAGGCTGGAGTGCAGTGTCACGATCTCGGCTCACTGCAACCTCCACCTCCCAGGTTCAAGCGATTCTTCTGCCTCAGCCTCCTGAGTAGCTGGGATTACAGGCGCGTGCTGCCACACCTGGCTAATTTTTGTATTTTTAGTAGAAACAGGGTTTCACCATGTTGGTCAGGCTGGTCTCGAACTCCTGATGTCATGATAACACCTCGGCCTCCCAACATGCTGGGATTACAGGCGTTATAACAGTGGCATATTAGCACTAGTTAACTTTTTTTTTTCTTTTTAAAATTTATTTTATTTTGAAATGGAATTTCGCTCTGTTGTGCAGGCTGGAGTGCAATGGCATGATCTCAGCTCACTGCAACCTCCATCTCCCAGGTTCAAGTGATTCTCTCACCTCTGCCTCCCGAGTAGCTGGGACTACAGTCAGGTGCCACCACGCCCAGCTAATTTTCATATTTTTAGTACAGACAGGGTTTCACCATGTTGACCAGGCTGGTCTCGAACTCCTGACCTCAAGTGATCCGTGCCCCCTCCCCGCCCCGGCCTCCCAAAGTGCTGGGATTACAGGTGTGAGCCACCATGCCCAGCCTATTTTATTCTTTAATATTAATTTTTTGAGACAGGGTGTCACTGAGACCTAAGTGCAGTGGCATGATGATGGCTCACTGCAGCCTCGACTTCCCGGGCTGCAATGATCCTGCCAGCTCAGCCTCCCAAGTTTCTGGGACCACAGGTATATACCGCCATGCGTGGCTAATTTTTGTATTTTTTGTAGAGACGGGGTATTGCCATGTTGTCCAGGCTGGTCTCAAACTGCTGTGCTCAAGCAATCCACCCACCTCGGCCTCCCAAAGTGCTGGGATTACAGGTCTGAGCCATAGTTAACATGTTTAGAAGCTTCTGGTTTTTGTTTTTGAGATGGAGTCTCACCCAGGCTGGAGTGCAGTTAACACCATCTTGGCTCACTGCAACCTCCACCTCCAAGGTAAAAGAGATTCTCTTGCCTCACTTCCTGAGTAGCTGGGATTACAGGCATGCACCACCGTGCTCAACTAGGTTTTGTATTTTTAGTAGAGACAGGGTTTCACCATACTGGATGTTGGCCAGGCTGGTCTCGAACTTGTGACCTGAAATGATCTTCCCACCTCAGCCTCCCGAAGTGCTGGGATATCAGGCATGAGCCACCGTGCCTGGCTAGAAACATGTTTTTAAAAGAAACAGGCCAGGTGTAGTGGCTAACGCTTACAATCCCAGCACTTTGGGAGGCCGAGGAGGGTGGATCACTTGAGGTTAGGAGTTGTAGGCCAGCCTGGGCAACATGATGAAACCATGTCTCTACTAAAAATGCAAAAATTAGCCATGTGTGGTGGCGGGTGCCTGTAATCCCAGCTACTCAGGAGGCTGAGACAGTAGAATCACTTGAACCTGGGAGGCAGAGGTTGCAGCAACCCGAGATGGTGCCGCTGCGCTCCAGCCTGGACAACAAGAGTGAAACTCCATCTCAAGAAGAAAAAAAAAAGACCCAGATATAGAAAGTATGAAACTGCCTGGGCATGGTGGTTCATGCCTGTAATCTCAGCACTTTGGGAGGCTGAAGCAGGTGGATCACTTAAGCTCAGGAGTTTAAGACCCGCCTGGGGAATGTGGCGAAACCCCGTCTCTACAAAAATTACCTAGTGTGGTGGTGTGCACCTGTAGTCCCAGCTACTCGGGAGGCTGAGGTGGGAGGATTGCTTGAGCCCAGGAGGCAGAGGTTGCAGTGAGCTGAGATTGTGCCACTGCACTCCAGCCTGGGCAACAGAGCCAGACCTTGTCTAAGAAAAAAAAATTATATGGGGTTATAAGGAACCCAGAATATGAAAAAATAATCTTGAAAATGACGAGCATATTTAGAGGACTCAACACTTTCCAATTATTTCAGAACTTACTACAAAGCAGTAATAGTCAAGACTGTGGTGTTAGCATAAGGATAGACATATAGATAGAATTGCAAGTTCAGAAATAAACACATCTATGGTCAATTGATTTTTTTTATTAAAAAATCACAATAGGCAAGCATATGGTCAATTGTTTTTTTGTTTTAATTTTTTTTTTTTTCAGATGGAGTCTCACTCTGTTGCCCAGGCTGGAGTGGTACAATCTTGGTTCACTACAACCTCCACCTTGTGGGTTCAAGTGATTCTCCTGCCTCAGCCTCCCTGTAGCTGGGATTACAGGTGCATGCCACCACGCCTGGCTAATTTTTGTATTTTTAGTAGAGATGGGGTTTCACCATGTTAGCCAGATTGGTCTCAATCTCCTGACCTCAGCCTCCCAAAGTGCTGGGATTACAGGCGTGAGCCACTGCACCTTACTGGTCAGTTGTTTTTTGACAAGAGTGCCAAGACTATTGAATGGTCAACAAGTGGTGCTGGGATAACCAAATAGCTACATGCAAAAGAATGAACTTGGACCTCCTAGTTATACTGTATATAAGTTGAAAGGCCTTTTCCTAGACCCAGCCTAACATTGGATAAAATCAATTCTCCATAAACTCAAGGAGAATTGCCTGCCAGAACAAAAACCAACACTTTCCAGTAAATAACAACAGAAGCCAGAGTCTACAACTTTTGTCATTCACAATATTTAGTATACAACAGACGTGTATACTGTTAATGGGAAATGGGACACACAGTAAAGGAGAAAAGCAGTCAACAGAAACAGAG
This sequence comes from Homo sapiens, assembly GCF_000001405.40. NCBI lineage: Eukaryota > Metazoa > Chordata > Mammalia > Primates > Hominidae > Homo > Homo sapiens. Next base: position 39,038,522 of record NC_000001.11, read on the forward strand.
AAACAGACCCAAAGATGACTCAGAAGTTGAATCAGCAGAGAAGGACTTAAAAATATCTATCAAAAATATATTTGGGCCGTGTGTGGTGGCTCACGCCTGTAATCCCAGCACTTGCAGAGACTGAGGTGGGTGGATCACCTGAGGTCAGGAGTTCAAGACCAGCCTGGCCAACATGGTGAAACCCCGTCTCTACTAATAACACAAAAAGTAGCCAGGTGTGGTGGCATGTGCCTGTAATCCCAGCTACTTCAGAGGCTAAGGCAGGAGAATCACTTGAACCCAGGAGGTGGAGGTTGCAGTGAGCTGAGATCATGCCATTGCACTCCGGCCTGGGTAACAGCGTGAGACTATCTCAAAAAAAAAAAAAAGTTCAAAGACTTAATAGTCATAATGAGTGAACAGACCGGCAATCTTAGAAGAGAAACAGAAACAGAAAAAGACCTTAATGAAAGTCTTACAAAGAACACCTGCAATATCTAAAATGAATAATTTACTACCTAGGCTTAACAACAAATTAGAGGCCGGGCACGGTGGCTCATGCCTGTAATCCCAGCACTTTGGGAGGCCGAGACGGGTGGATCACGAGGTTAGGAGATCGAGACCATCCTGGCTAACACGGTGAAACCCCGCCTCTACTAAAAATACAAAAAATTAGCCGGGCATGGTGGTGGGCGCCTGTAGTCCCAGCTACTCGGGAGGCTGAGGCAGGAGAATGGCGTGAACCTGGGAGGCAGAGCTTGCAGTGAGCCGAGACCGTGCCACTGCACTCCAGCCTGGGGGACAGAGCAAGACTCCATCTCAAAAAAAAAAAAAAAAAAAAAAAAAAGAGGGGAGGCCAGGTGCAGTGGCTCACGCCTGTAATCCCAGCACTTTGGGAGGCCGAGGTGGGTGGATTGCCTGAGGTCAGGAGTTCGAGACCAGCCTGGCTAACATGGTGAAACCTTGTCTCTACTAAAAATACAAAAATCAGGTGGGCGTGGTGGCGCACACCTGTAGTCCCAGCTACTTGGGAGGCTGAGGCAGGAGAATCGCTTGAACCTGGGAGTCAGAGGTTTCAGTGAGCCAAGATCACGCCACTGCACTCCAGCCTGGGACAGAGCAAGACTCCATCACAAAAAAAAAAAAAAAGAAAAAAAAAAGGAAACGTTCAGTGAAGTTGAAGGTAGATCAAAGCATACAAAGAGAGATGGCAAAAAAAAAAAAAAAAAAAAAAAAAAAAAAAAAAAAAAAAGCCAATACAGGAAATCTCAAAATCAGGCTGCTTTAAAGAAGCCAAAAGAAATATATATATACAACCCGTATAGTGTGTATGCACAATAAGATACACACATACACACCATAAGATTCTACTCCCAAGAAATTGAAATTCAAGAACAGGCAAACTAATCTCTGAGGATAGAAAGTAAAACAACAGTTGCCTAAAGAGGGGATAGGGATTGAATGGGAGAGGACATAAGGAACTTTCTAGGGTGATGGAAGTGTTCTATATCCTGAATATAGTGGTGATTAAATGGATATATGCAATCATGGAGTCTCATGAAAGATACCTTTTTTTTTTTTTTTTTTTTGAGACAGAGTTTCATTCTTTTTGCCCAGGCTGGAGGGCAATAGTGCCATCTGGGCTCACTGCAACCTCCACCTCCTGGGTTCAAGTGATTCTTCTGCTTCACCCTCCCGTGTAGCTGGTATTACAGGCATGTGCCACCATGCCCGGCGAATTTTGTATTTTTAGTAGAGACGGGGTTTCTCCATGTTGGTCAGGGTGGTCTTGCACTCCCAGCCTCAGGTGATCTGCCTGCCTCAGCCTCCCAAAGTGTTGGGGATATAGGCATGAGCCACTGCACCTGGCCCTCCAAAGAGGATTTTAGAAGAGAGGAAACCGGTCAAAGGGATTCTTTAAGCCTGTATATGAAGTCCTAGGTAGAGCCCTGATTGACCCATACGTCAAACTGAATAGAATTAACAACAACAACAAACTCAGCAATTAGAATATATAAAAATAGAAGTAGAAAATGTTAAAGTGGGCCGGATGCAGTGGCTCACGCCTGTAATCCCAATACTTTGGGAGGCCAAGGCAGGCAGATCACTTGAGGCCAGGAGTTGGAAACAGCCTGGCCAACATGGCAAAACCCCACCTCTACTAAAAATACAAAAAATTAGCCAGGCAGGGTGGTGCATGCCTGTAATCCCAGCTACTCAGGGTCAGGCGCAAGAATCACTTGAACTCAGGAGGCAGAGGTTACATTGTGCTGAGATCGTGCCACTGCACTCCAGCCTGGGGGACAGAGTAAAACTCGGTTTCAAAAAAACAAAACAAACCTTTTGTTCATCAAAGGACACTATGAAGAAAATGAATAGGCAAGCCAAAATTGAGAGAAATGTTCAAAATACATATATCTGACGAAAGTCTTGTGTCTAAAATATGTCTGTGTGTTTACACCGGTGTATATTACTCGTATCTGCAAATCTGTAATTAAAAGGCTCACAATACAATTTTCTTTAATATGATGGAGTTTTGCTCTTGTTGCCCAGGCTGGAGTGCGACGGCATGATCTCAGCTTACCGCAACCTCCGCCTCCCGGGTTGAAGCGATTCTCCTGCCTCAGCTGCTGAGTAGCTGGGATTACAGGTATGTGCCACCACGCCCAGCTAGTTTTGTATTTTTTTAAATAGAGATGGAGTTTCTCCATGTTGGTCAGGCTGGTCTTGAACTCCCGACCTCAGGTGATCTGCCCGCCTCGGCCTCCCAAAGTGCTGAGATTACAGGTATGAACCACTGCGGTCAGCCAATACAACTTTTTAAAAATGACAAAATACTTGAACAGATATTTTCCTAAAGGAAGATATACAAATAGCCAATAAGCACATAAAAAGATAATATCATTAGTAATGTGGAAAATGCAAATTACAACCATGCTGAGATACCACCTTACATCCACTGGAATGTCCAAAATTTTTGAAAAACTGACATCGCCAAATGTTGCTGAAGATGTAGAGCGTCTGGAACTCTCTTACATTGCCAGTAGGAATATAACATGATACAGCCAATTTGGAAAACTGTTGGCCTGTTTTTTATGAAGTTTAACATACACTTACCACATGACTAAGAACCTTCATTCCTAGATATTTTCTCAAGATAAATGAAAATGTATGTTTAAATAGACACTTGTACGTGAATGTTCATAGCAGCTTATAATAGCAATAATAATTATTATTGTCGTTATTTTTTCAGATGGAGTCTTGCTCTGTCACCCAGGCTGGAGTACAGTGGCACAATCTTGGCTCACTGCAACCTCCACCTCCTGGTTCAAGCGATTCTCCTGCCTCAGCCTTCCAAGTACCTGGGATTACAGGCACACGCCACCATGCCCAGCTAATTTTTGTATTTTTAGTAGAGTCGAGATGTCACCCTGTTGGCCAGGCTGGTCTTGAACTCCTGACCTCAAATGATCTGCCCGCCTTGGGCTTCCAAAGTGCTGGTATTACAGGCATGAGTCACTGCACCCAGCCCAAAAGTTTCTTATTTAATTGACAAAATCTTATATATTTATCATGTACAACACACTGTTTTGAAATATGTATATATTGTAGAATGGCTAAGTCAAGCTAATTAATATATGCATTATCCCATATACTTTCATTTTTGTGGTGAGAACACAAAATCTTAGTAATTTTTAGGAATACAATACACTGGCCAGGTGCGGTGGCTCATGCCTGTAATCCCATCACTTTGGGAGGCCGGGGAGGGGTGGATCACTTGAGGTCAGGAGTTTGAGACCAGCCTGGCCAATATGGTGAAACCCCGTCTCTACTAAAAATATAAAAATTAGCCGAGCGTGGTGGCACACACCTGTAATCCCAACTACTCAGGAGGCTGAGGCAAGAGAATTACTTGAACCTGGGAGGCGGAGGTTGCAGTGAGCTGAGGTTGCACCACTGCACTCCAGCCTGGGTGACAGAGCGAGACTCCATCTCAAAAAAAAAAAAAGAATGTAATACATTGTTATTAACTAGCATCACCATGTTGTACAACAGTTCTCTTGAACATATTCCTCCAGTCTAATTGAAATTTTGTATCTTTAGACCAACATCTCTCCGTCTACCCTCCCCAGGAGATAGAAATTCCTTATCCACAAGGATGGAGACAATGTTGGTCAACCCACTTTCATTTACTTAACATTACTTTTATTCTAGGTGTGGCATCTGGCATGAAACCAAGGACAAGACACTCAGTTGAGCTTTGTGAAAGAGTGACAGATGATGGATAGAGTCATGGGCCTGCCTCTTATGGAGCTAAGAAATGAAATCTGGATACGGGTAATCAGTTTGTGGTAGAAAGTAGTCACTCATTTCCGTGAGGGAAGCACAAGTCCTGTGTAGGCCCAGAGAAGGGAAAAAGCCTTTTTGGGCATAAGAGTGAATGTTGAGGGTTGGAGAGAGGAATGGTCTGGAGGCTTTGTAGCATTCATGTTGTGCCCTAAAGGACAGATAACATTTGGACATGAGAAGCTGTAGTGAGCCATGACTGCACCACTGCACTCCAGGCTGGGCGACAGGTTGAGACCCTGTCTCAAAAAAAAAAAAAAAAAAAAAAAAGAAGAAGAAGAAAGAAGATTTGGACATGAAGAGATGCCAGGCATTACAGACAGAGAATACAGTATGAGCAAAAGCATGGAGGTTTTTTTGTTTTTTGTTTTTTGTTTTTGAGATGGAGATTTTTGCTCTTTTTGCCCAGACTGGAGTGCAATGGCATGATATTGGCTCACTGCAACCTCCACCTCCTGGGTTCAAGCAATTCTCCTGCCTCAGCTTCTAGAGTAGCTGGGATTACAGGTGCACACTACCACGCCCAGCTAATTTTTGTATTTTTATTAGAGATGGGGTTTCATCATGTTGGTCAGGCTGGTCTCGAACTCCTGACCTCAGGTGATTGTCCTGCCTCAGCATCCCAAAGTGCTGGGATTACAGGCATGAGGCACCGCGCCCAGCCAGCATGGAGGTATTTGAGAGCAACAGTGATCAGAACCATTTGGTTCAAGCAGCGGTTTTAAAACGGAAGTGGAGAAGGAATTAGCAGATCCCTGACATCCTCTTCAATCAGAGTTCCTCCATTGTGAACTGGTTTACATGTCAGCATTATGGATTTTGGTGCAACACCTGCCCCCAACAGGAAGAAAAGAAGAAAAAGAAAGAAGAGGAAGGAAGAAGAGAAAGACAAAGAAGAAGAAGGAGGAGGAGGCGGCAGGAGGAGTAGGAGGGAGGAAGAAGGAGGAGGAAGAAAAAGAGGAAGAAGAAAGGAGGAAGGAAGAAGAAAGAAGAATTGGGAGGCTGAGACAGGCAGATCACAAGGTCAGGAGTTCAAGACCAGCCTGGCCAACATGGTGAAACCCCATCACTTCTAAAAATACAAAAATTAGCTGGGCGTGTTGGCACATGCCTATAATCCCAGCTACTTGGGAGGCTGAGGCAGGAGAATTGCTTGAACCTGGGAGGCGGAGGTTGCAGTGAGCAGAGAGCTCGCCACTGCACTCCAGTCTGGGCAATGAGCGAGACTGTCTTGAAAAAAAAAAAAGGAAGGAAAGAAGGAGGAGGAGGAGAAGAAAGAAGAAGTTTTATTATTGTTATTTTTTGAGATGGAGTCTTGCTCTGTAGCCCAGGCTGGAATACAGTGGCACACTCTTGACTCCCTGCCACCTCTGACTGCTGGGTTCAAAGGAGAAGGCGGAAGAAGAAGGAAGAAGAAGAAAGAAGGAGAAAGGCTGGGTGCAGTGGCTCACACCTGTAATCTCAGCACTTTGGGAGGCCGAGGCAGGTGAATCACAAGGTAAGGAGTTCGAGACCAGCCTGGCCAACTGGTGAAACCCTGCCTCTACTAAAAGTACAAAAATTAGCCGGGCGTGGTCTGAGGCAGGAGAATCGCTTTAACCTGGGAGGAGGAGGTTGCAGTCAGTCAAGATGGCGCCACTGCACTCCAGCCTGGGTGACAGAGTGAGACTTTGTCTCAAAAAAAAAAAAGGAAAGAAGGAGAAGAAAGAAGGAGGAGGAGGAGGAGGAGGAGAGAAGGAGGAGAAAAGTAGTTGAGGCCCAAACACCAAGAGGGAGCAAAGATTGAAAAGATGAGATGAGCCATGAAAGCAAGTACAGGAGTTACTGATGGTACTGGGGAGCCCGTGTAGGTTTAGGATCTGAGCTTTTGGAAGATTGATTGGGTAGCCTTTGAGCCACCTGATAAGTGGAAAGAACAAGAGAGGCTGGATCTGTGTTTTCAGGAAGCATATGTTGGCCCAGCAATTGCTGGCTTGTAGTGAGGAGGCACACAACTGGCCTAGGACAGTGGTCATGAAAATGCAGAGGAGGTAAAGTCCCTGCACTCCTAGGGAGACTAGTCCTGATGTCAGTCTGGAGTCAGTCAGAATGGTGTCCTCTCCCTCCCTGCACTACCCAGCCCAGTCAGTGGGAGGACTTCCTCAATTCCAGTAGCCATTCAAGTCCCTGGAATTGGTGGCTGTCACTTGCAAACTATAGCCACTTGAGCAGAAATGGGCCAGGATTACTTATCTTTAATCTGCATATCATTGGGAGGCACTTACCTGCTAGCTCTGGCTAAAAACTAGAGCAACCCTGGCCTGCCGTAGCTCCTGCTGCCCAGACAACTCCTCCAATATGAAAGGGATGAGGGGAACTCAAAGTTACAATGTCCTACTTGGAGCAGTAAGTTCAGTAGACATATCACTTGCCTCATTAACATCAAGCATCCCAAAACCCAGTCTGGGTCAGTTTTGCCCAGAGTGGGGTTTGTAGAACACGGGTTCTCCTGGGATCCTATACCTAGCCCAGAATCAGTTGCAAAAGCCAGGCCATAGCGAATTGTCCTGCCAGCCAGATAGCAGAGAATCTGACGGCAGCAGGCAGAAGGAGCCGCTCCATTGCAGTAAGCCAAGATCGCGCCACTTGCCTCATTACATCAAGCATCCCAAAACCCAGTCTGGGTCAGTTTTGCCCAGAGTGAGGTTTGTAGAACACGGGTTCTCCTGGGATCTATACCTAGCCCAGAATCAGTTCCAAAAGCCACGCTTTTGGACTTTCTCTCTCTCTCTCTCTCTATATATATATGTGTGTGTGTGTGTGTGTGTGTGTGTGTGTGTATACACACACATACATACAATGTTGTATATATTGTATATGTGTGTGTGTGTATATATATATATATATATATTTTTTTTTTTTTTTTTTTTTGAGACAGAGTTTCACTCTTGTTGCACAAGCTGGAGTGCAATGGCACGATTTCGGCTCACTGCAACCTCCGCCTCCTGGGTTCAAGTGATTCTCCTGCCTCAGCCTCCTGAGTAGCTGGGAGTACAGGCGTGCACCACCGCGCCCGGCTAATTTTTGCATTTTTAGTAGAGATGGGGTTTCACCATGTTAGCCAGGATGGTCTCGATCTCCTGACCTCATGATCTGCCCACCTCGGCCTCCCAAAGTACTGGGATTACAGGCATGAGCCACCATACCCGGCCTTCATTTTTATATTTTTAGTAGAGACAGGATTTCACCATGTTGGCCAGGCTGGTCTCGAACTTCTGACCTCAGGTGATCTGCCCACTTCAGCAGCCTCCCAAGTGCTGGAATTACAGGCGTGAGCCACCGCCTGGCCAATTTTTTGTATTTTTAGTAGAGACAGGGTTTCACCATGTTGGCCAGGCGGGTCTTGAACTCCTGATCTCAGATGATTAATCCACCTCAGCCTCCCAAAATGCTGAAATTACAGTGAGCCACCATGCCCAGCCTCTGAGTCAAAGTTTCTTTAATTGCAAAGTAGAGATCATTGTTTTTTTTTTGCTTTTTTTGTTTTGAGATGGAGTCTCGCTGTGTCACCCAGGCTGGAGTGCAGTGGTGTGATCTCAGCTCACTGCAACCTCCACCTCCCAGGTTCAAGTGATTCTCCTGCCTCAGCCTCCCGAGTAGCTGGGACTACAGATGTGCGCCACCATGCCCGGCTAATTTTTTGTATTTTTAGTAGAGATGGGGTTTCACCGTGTTAGCCAGGATGGTCTCGATCTCTTGACCTCGTGATCTGCCCGCCTAGGCCTCCCAAAGTGCTGGGATTACAGGCACAAGCCACCGTGCCCAGCCTGAGATCATTCTTACTTCACAGGATTTCCCTGATAATTAAGTGAACACACACACACACAGCATCTAACACAAAATACTTTGTACACAGTAGATACTAGACAAAAGATAACCATGGCTACTGCTGTTTCTTTTTTCTCCTCCTCCTGCCTACCCTTCCCCCTCATCCTTTTATCTATGGCCAAGCCCTCCTGAAGGGTCTCTTTGAATCGCGTTACCTCCTAGTTTGACACCAGTGCTCTTATTTCCCTGTGGCATTGGAGGGCTAGTCACATGGCACTGTGGCCAAGGAGAAGGATGATGTTCCAGGCCAAACACATCTGCAAATGTGTTGAGCTGGTGTCCTTGATGACAAATCAAATTGTTTTGTGTTTGGTTCCCCAGAGGCCTGAGTACCTCAGAGAAGCCAAGGTTCCTGCAGGAACCTCGTGCCTGCTGTCCACGTTGGGCTTCATTTTATCAAAATACAGCAAAGAGCTCATCATTTCTCAGCTCCTGTCGGAAGCAACAGTGGCTGTTCCTGGACACAGAGCTGCAGACAAGGAGTGGTGAGGATTCAGGCAAGAGAAGATGGGCAGCTTCCCCTTCATGCTTCCCTCTCAGGAAGAAGCCAGGGTGCCTGGGATCAAAGAGGCTAGGAGGCTGGTGAGGCCTCCTGTCCCTGAAAGCGGTCAGTGAACCCAAAAGTTGAAAAGCCTCTGCTTTGAGAGTGGTTCTGCTGCCCTACTGGTGCTGACAGTTTTAGAAACTGACATGGCAGAGCTGACCAGGCAGACTATATTTTTAGGACTCTGCTGGGGCCTATTGAAACGTCCACATTACTCAGATCACCAATCTGGCTGGAGCTACCAACACAGCATTCTTTGCTGTTTTAGAATACAAAGCTACCTCCCCTCGGGGCTTCACTTTGCAGCCACTGAGAATCCAAGGCTTCGCTAAATTACACGTTTCCATGGTCCCACTGGCTTGCTTTGCAGGGCTTCCACAAGAATGGGCTGGGAGCGTAACTGAGTAACTGAGTCATGATTAGGGGTTAATTAAGAGGAGAAATGGGCTAGCTGTTTCCTAAGATAAGGGAGGGGAAGTTTTTTTAAAAACTGTAACTGCTCAGAACAGTATGTGCTAAGGCAGACTTTCTGTGCTGGGAGACAGAACACTTCTGCAGTGATGTAGCAGAATCCTTAAAGGATCCTGCCAATGACTCTTTTTTTCTGGTGTCACATCCAATCTTTGCTGCAGCCAACACTTCCTGGAGATGAAACACAACTTCAATACAGAGATAGCAAGTTCACACTCTGGCAGTCATGCAAGGATGAGTGATGCGGGCCTTTTCTAAGTGAGTATGAACGGGTGGGACCTACGGTAAATTCAATGCAGTATAATCCGTCTACGGGGCAGTGGGCACCCAGCAACAGCCAACTGTTACCAAATCAAAGTGCAGGCCCAGGATGACTCATCTTCCAGCATTTCATGAGCAACCAGAAGTCTACATTTCTTTGAGAAAAAAAATTTTTTTGAGACGAGGTCTTACTCTGTTGCCCAGGCTGGAGTGTGTAGCTTCTACCTCCCGGGGCTTAGGTGATTCTCCCACCTCAAGTCTCCCAAGTAGCTGAGACTGCAGGCATGTGCCACCACGCTGGCTAATTTTTTTTTTTTTTTTGAGTCGGAGTCTCGCTCTGTCCCCCAGGCTGGAGCGCAGTGGCGCGATCTCGGCTAACTGCGAGCTCCGCCTCCCGGGGTTCGTGCCATTCTCCTGCTTCAGCCTCCCAAGTAGCTGGGACTACAGGCGCCCGCCACCACGCCCGGCTAATTTTTTTGTATTTTGTAGTAGAAACGGGGTTTCACCATGTTAGCCAGGATGGTCTCGATCTCCTGACCTCGTGATCCTCCCGCCTCGGCCTCCCAAAGTGCTGGGATTACAGGCGTGAGCCACCGCTCCCGCCCCATGCCAGCTAATTTTTTTGTAGAGACAGGGCTTCGCCATGTTGTCCAGGCTGGTCTCCAACCCCTAGGCTCCCCGCCTTGCCCTCCCAAAATGTGGAGATTACAGGTGTGAGCCACAATGCCTGGCCATTTTGAGGAATTTTTAAACACTGGCTTTAATTTTTCAAAGTATCTGGAGCAACTTCTGCTTCTGAGAGATAGAGTAGATATTCTTTTCCCCAGTCCTCCTGCTAAGTACAGCTAAAAACCCCAAAAACACTCTATATTATACAAAATGAACATAAGATGACTCTGAACAAGAAGAAAGCAGATTGGTTAGGGACCTCCAGATCCAAGGAATGACTCAGCAGTGACCTCCCTAAGTTTTCTTTTTGCCTCATATATGTCAGAATGGGTACTGGAGAAGCCAGCAACCCAAAACTGCCAACGATTGCAGACAAAAGCCCCAAGAAAAGCTTGTCTTTTTTTTTTTTTTTTTTTTGAAAGAGTGTCTTGCTCTATCGCCCAGGCTGGAGTGCAGTGGTGCAATCATGGCTCACTGCAGCCTTGATCTCCCAGGCTTAAGCTGCTTAGACTACAGATCTGCGCCACCATGCCTGACTAATCAATACAGTTGTTTTTTTTTTTTGAAACGGAGTTTCACTCTTGTTGCCCAGGCTGGAGTGCACTGGCGCGATCTCAGCTCACTGCTGCAACCTCTGCCTCCTGGGCTCAAGCAGTTCTCCTGCCTCACCTCCTGAGTAGCTGGGATTACAGGCATGCACCATCACGCCCTGCTATTTTTTGTATTTTTAGAAGTAGAGATGGGGTTTCACCATGTTGGTCAGGCTGGTCTCAAACTCCTGATCTCAGGTGATCCGCCCGACTCGGCCTCCCAAAGTGCTGGGATTACAGGCATGAGCCATCGTGCCCGGCCTTTTTGTTTTTTTTGTTTGTTTGTTTGTTATGTTTTTTTGTAGAGATGGGGGTCTCACTGTTTCCCAGGCTGATCTCAAATTCCTGGGCTCAAGCAATCCTCTGGCCTCAGCCTCCCAAAGTGCTGGAATTATAAGCGTGAACCATGGTGTCCTGCAAGTCTGCTTTCTGAGTCAAAGGACAAGAAAATAAACAGCCTAGAAAGACAGACAGCCTTGATTTTTTTATTTTTAGTTTTCATTTGGTTTGATTTTTCTTGAGACAGAGTCTCACTCTGTCGCCCAGGCTGGAGTGCAGTGGCACGATCTCGACTCACTGCAACCTCTGCCTCTCGGGTTCAAGCAGTTCTCCTGCCTGCCTCAGCCTTTCGTTCGGCCTCAAATGATCCGCCTGCCTCAGCCTCCCAGAGTGCTGGGATTACAGCCATGAGCCACTGCATCCAGCCGACAGACAGCCTTTAGACTATAGCCCCTCTACTCCAGCCCCACCCTCACCCCCATCAGCAAAGGCCAAGTGGAAAGCCTAGATCTCCAAACCTTGTTAGGCTGTAATGAAGTACTCCTTCCCTTCCCCACCAGGGTGATGTAGAAGAGGCCTAGTTATCCACTCAGGCCTTTCATCCATAATCAAGGCCACCTCTCCCAACAATGTCGGTGGAGGCCCACTCCCTCTCCCAGCCGGTGTGGTATCAGTGAATGCCTAATAGAGAAACTGGACTCCCACCCCTGCCCAGCAGTAAGAAGGAGCCCTGCCAACACCGGTGTCAATGGAGGCCAAGTGGAAAACCTGGACTTCCACACCCTCCTGGTAAAAATAAGGTAGCATCCGCACTTTCCCCACAGAAGCAATGTTAGAGGAGGCCTGCTGAAACACAAGCTATAAAGTAAGATCCAGAGGCTGGGCGCAGTGGCTCATGCCTGTAATCCCTGCACTTTGGGAGGCTGAGGTGGGAGGATTGCTTAAGCCCAGGAGTTCAAGACCAGCTTGGGCAACATACGGAGACCTTGCTGCTACAAAAAAACAAAAAACAAAAAAATTAGCTGGGCATGCTGATGCCTGCCTGTGGTCCTAGCTACTTGGGAGGCTGAGATGGGAGGATTGCTTGAGGCCAGAAGGTTGAGGCTGCAGTGAGTCATGACCCCACTGCACTCCAGCCTGAGTGACAAGGTGAGACCCTATCCCAAAACATTAAATAAGATCCAGAGTCTTATAACATGATGTGCAAAATGTCCAGGTCTTAAAGTCATTTGAACCGGAACCAGAAAATTTTGAATAAGAAAGGATAATCTATATACACTAACACCAAAATGACACAGATATTAGAATTATCTGAAAAAGATTTTGAAGTAGCCATCATAAAAATGCTTCAATGTATATAACGTGTTCAAATACAAACATACTTGGAACAAATGAAAAAATGGAAAGTCTGGAAAATATAATGTCTCAACAGATCGATACATAAAGAAGAACCAAATGGAAATTTTAGGAATAAAAAATACAATGATTGAAATTTAAAACTCAATGAATAAGCTCAGCAACAGAATGGAGAGGACAGAGGAAAGAATGAGTTTGAAGACAGAAAACTACAAATTATCCAATCTGAACACTAGGGAAAAAAAATAGAATGGAAAAAAAAAAAAACAGAGCCTCAGGGCCATGTGAGACAATAACATAAGATCTAACATTCATGTCATTGGAGTCACAGAAGGAGAAGAAATATTAAAAGAACAAATAGCCGAAATTTGCCCAAATTTTGCAAAAGACAAACTGACAGATTCACATAGCTGAGCAAACCTCAAACAGGATATGCCCATGAGAAAACACATCATAAACTTCTCAACATATACTTTTTTTTTTTTTTTTTTTTTGAGATGGAGTCTCCCTCTGCTGTCCAGGCTGGAGCACAGTGGCACAATCTCAGTTCGCTGCAACCTCCGCCTCCTGGGTTCAAGCGATTCTCTTGCCTCAGCCTCCCAAGTAGCTGGGACTATAGACGTGTACCACCATGCCTGGCTAATTTTTTGTATTTTTAGTAGAGATGGGGTTTCACCATGTTGGCCAGGCTGGTCTCGAAATCCTGACCTCAGGTGATCTGTCCGCCTCAGACTCCCAAAGTGTTGGGATTACAGGTGTGAGCCACCCGCACCCAGCCACAAATTCTTGAAAGCAGCCAGAGAGAAATGATACATTACCTATAGGGGGAAAACAATTCAAATGATGCTGAATTTCTCGTAAGGCACCATGGAGGCCAGGAGGAAGTGGAACAACATTTTTTTTTTTAGACAAGAGTCTTACTCTTTCACCCAGGGTGGAGTGCAGTGGCGCGATCTTGGCTCACTGCAACCTCCGCCTCCCAGGTTCAAGCAATTCTTCTGCCTCAGCCTCCCAAGTAGCTGGGGCTACAGGCGCGCCACCATGCCTGGCTAATTTTTGTATTTTTAGTAAAGACAGGAGTTTCACCATATTGGCCAGGTTGGTCTCGAACTCATGACCTCGTTATCTGCCCACCTCGGCCTCCCAAAGTGCTGGGATTACAGGCCTGAGCCACTGCGCCCAGCTGGAACATTTTTGAAATGCTGAAAGAAAAGAACTATCAACTTGGAATCCCATACCTGGTGAAACAATCCTTCAGGAATTGGGGGGAAGGGCTGTGGGGGAGGAAATCATGACATTCTTACATGAGGGAAAAACTAAGGGAATTTGTCACTGGCAGATTTACTTTATAGGGATTACTAAAGGCAATTCTCTAAACAAAGGGAGTGGTAACAAAAGGAATCTTGGAACATCAGGCAGGAAAAAAGGACAAAAAGAGCAAACATACAGGTCAATACAATAGATTGTCTTTTTCCTCTTGAGTATTCTAAATTATGTTCAACAGTTGAAGCAAAAATTACGCTTGTCTAAGTGGCTGTCCATATATGTAGAGGAAATACTTAAGATAGTTACATTATAATGGGAGAGTAAAAGGACACAGAAAAAGGTTTCTTTCTTTATTTGTAATCTGGTAGAACTTTCCAGAGGTATAGAGGTAATGTTTCTACCTTTCACTCAAACTGGTAAAATGTCAACACCAGTAGACTGTGATAAGTTACTGCACTCCAGCCTGGGCGACAGAGCGAGACCTTGCCTCAAAAAGGAAAGAAAAAAAAGAAAAAAAGAAAAGAAAAAGGAACACATACCAAACTTAAATGTGTACGTACCAAACAACAGACTTGAAAAATAAGTGAACCTGGCCAGGCGCGGTGGCTCATGCCTGTAATCACAGAAGTTTGGGAGGCCAAGGCAGGTGGATCACCTGAGATCAGGAGTTCGAGACCAGCCTGGCCAACATGGTGAAACCCCGTCTCTACTAAAAATACAAAAATTAGGCTGGGCGTGGTGGCTCACGGCTGTAAACCCAGCACTATGGGAGGCCGAGGTGGGTGGATCATAAGGTCAAGAGATTGAGACCATCCTGGCCAACATGGTGAAACCCCGCCTCTACTAAAAAAATACAAAAATTAGCTGGGTGTGGTGGTGCACGGCTGTAAACCCAGCACTTGGTAGGCTGAGGCAAGAGAATCGCTTGAAGCTGGAAGGCAGAGGTTGCAATGAGCCGAGATCATGCCATTGCACTCCAGCCTGGGCAATAAGAGTGAAACTCCATCTCAAAAAAAAAACAAAAACCCCAAAAAACAAAACAAGAAAAACTATTAGACAGAAAGTCAACAGGGCTGAGTGTGTGGCTCACACCTGTAATAGGATATAGAATTTAACACTACCATTAGCCAACAGGATGTAATCAGCACTTATAGTACATCAACAACAAAAAAAACACATTCTTTTTAGGCACCCATGAAACATGTATCAAGATCAACCATATCTTGGGTTATAAAACAAACCTCAACAAATTTAAAAGAATTGAAATCATACAGAGTGTATGACCAAAATGGACTCAAACTTAGAATTAATAACACAAAGACAATCTCCAGGAAGATCTTCAAACACTTGAAAACTAAATAACACATTTCTAAGTAATCTATGAACCAAAGAGCAATCCTCAAGAGAAATACAAAATTCATTAACCTGAATGAAAATGAAAATACAATGTATCAAAATTTGTAAGATACAGCTAAATCACAACTAGGAAGGAAATTAATAGCACTAAATGCTTACATTAGAAAAGAGGAAAAAAACCTCAAATCAATAATACAAGCTTCCACCTCAGGAAATTAGAAAAGAACAAAATAAACCCTAAACAAACAGAAAGAAGGAAAAGAAGAGAAATCTATATAATTGAAAACAGAAAAACAGTAGAGAATACCAACAAAACAGAAAACTGGTTCTTTGAAAAAATCAATAAAATTGACAAATCTTTTATTTTCTTTTAATTGAGACAGCCTCTCGCTCTGTTACCCAGGCTAGAGTGCGATCACAGCTCACTGCAGCCTCAACCTGCCGGGCTCAAGCAGTTCTCCTGCCTCAGCCTCCTAAGTAGCTGTGACTACAGGTGCATGCCAATATGCCTGTCTAATTTTTGTATTTTTTTTAGAGACAGGGTTTCACCATGTTGCTCAGACTGGTCTCGAACTTCTGGGCTCAAGCTGTCCACCCACCTCAACCTCCCAAAGTGCTCAGATTACAGACGTGAGCCATTGCCTGAGGCCAAATTGACAAATCTTTAGCAAGGCTGACCTAAAAAGAGAGAGAGAGGCTGGGTGCGATGGCTCATGCCTGTAATCCTAGCACTTTGGGAGGCCGAGGCAGATGGATCACTTGAGCTCAGGAGTTCAAGACCAGCTTGGGCAACATATCAAAAACCCAACCCTGCCTCTACAAAAAATACAAAAATTAACCAGGCACGGTGGCACACGTGTAGTCCTGGCTACTTGGGAGGCTGAGGTGGGAGGATCCCATAAACCTGGGAGGCGGAGGTTGCAGTGAGCCGAGATCATGCCACTGCACTCCAGCCTGGGCAGCAGAGTAAGACTTCATCTCAAAAAAAAAAAAAGTTATTTTTATAGAGACAGGGTCTTGCTATGTTGCCCATGCTATCCTTGAACTCCTGGGCCCAAGTGATCCTCCAGCCTCAGCTCTCCCAAAGTGCTGGGATTACAGGCATGAACCACTGTGCCCACCCCATACATTCTTCATATCAGGAATAAAACAGAAGCTATCACTACAGACTCTGCAGATAACGATAGGATAATAAGGGAATTTTATTGTATTGTTTATTTATGTATTTATTTTTTGAGACAGAGTCTCGCTCTGTCACCAGGCTGGAGTATGGTGGCGTGATCTCGGCTCACTACAATCTCTGACTCCCTGGTTCAAGTGATACTCCTGCCTCAGCCTCCCAAGTAGCTGGGATTACAGCCACGCGCCACCACGCCCAGCTAACTTTTGTATTTTTAGTAGAGACGGGTTTCACCATGTTGGCCAGGATGGTCTTGAACTCCTGACTTCGTGATCTGGCTGCTTGGACTCCCAAAGTACTGAGATTACAGGCATGAGCCACCGTGCCTGGCCCTGGAAATTTTATAAACACACATTTGTTTTATATGTTACTAACACACATTTGACAACTTAGATGAAATGGACTAATTCCTTAAAAAATAAAAACTACTACAACATACCCGATATGAAGTAGATAATTTCAGTAGCTTTATAACTATTAAGGACATTGAATTTGTAATTTAAAACTTCACCCCCAAGAAATCTTTACTCCAGATGATTTCAGTGGAGAATTCTATCAAACGTCTAAAGAATTAACACCGATTCTACAAATCTGATCCAGAAAATAGAAGAGATGAAGCATTTCCTAAGTCATTTTATGAGGCCCATCTTACCCATATCAAAACCAGACAAGGAAAATACAAAAAAGATGACTACAGACCAATGACCTTTAATAAGAACACAGACACAAAAATCCTTAACAAAACATCAACAAATAGGCCAGGCACGGTGCCTCATGCCTGTAATCCCAGCACTTTGGGAGGCTGAAGTGGGTGGATCACCTCAGGTCAGGAGTTGGAGACCAGCCTGACCAACATGGTGAAACCCTGTCTCTACTAAAAATTAAAAAAAATGAGCTGGGCGTGGTGGTGCGTGCCTGTAATCCCAGCTACTCCGGAGGCTGAGGCAGGAGAATCACTTAGAACTCGGGAGGTGGAGGTTGCAGAGAGCCAAGATCGTGCCACTGCACTCCAGCCTGACTCTGTCTCCATAAATAAATAAATAAATAAATAAATAACAAATAGAGGCCGGGCACGGTGGCTCACGCCTGTAATCCCAGCACTTTGGGAGGCCAAGGCAGGCGGATCACCTGAGGTTGGGAGTTCGAGACCAGCCTGACCAATATGGAGAAACCCCATCCCTACTAAAAATACAAAATTGGCCAGGCACAGTGGCTCATGCCTGTAATCCCAGCACTTTGGGAGGCCTAGGTGGGCGGATCACGAGGTCAGAAGTTCAAAACCAGCCTGGCCAACATGGCAAAACCCCGTCTCTACTAAAAATACAAAAATTAACCAGGCATGGTGGCAAACACCTGTAATCCCAGCTACACAGGAGGCTGAGGCAGGAGAATTGCTTGAACCCGGGAGGGGGAGGTTGCAGTGGGCCAAGATCGCACCATTGCACTCCAGCCTGGGTGACAGAGCGAGACTCCATCTCAAAAATAAAATAAAATAAAAAATACAAATACAAAATTAGCCGGGCATGGTGGTGCATGCCTGTAATCCCAGCTACTCGGGAGACTGAGGCAGGAGAATTGCTTGAACCTGGGAGGCACAGGTTGCCGTGAGCGGAGATTGTGCTATTGCACTCTAGCCTGGGCAACAAGAGGGAAACTCCGTCTCCAAAGAAAAAAAAATGAATAGAATTCAGCAATATATGAAAAGAATTATATACTATGACCAGGTGGGGATTATTCCAGGGATGCAAGGCTAAGTCAATATTCAAAAATCAATCAATGAAAAAAAATCAATCAATGTATTCCACCCTGTTAACAGGCTAAAGAAAAATCAATTGACAGAGAGAAAGCACTTGACAAAATTCCGTACCCATTCATAATAAAAACTCTCAGGAAACTAGAAATAAAAGGGAATTTTCTCAATTTGATAGAGTATCTACAAAAAACCTACAACTAGCATCATACTTCACAGTGAGAGACTGAATGCTTTCCCCCTGACTGAACACAAGGCAAGCATGTCCACTCTCACCAATCTTATTCAACACAGTGCTGGAAATTGTAGTCTGTGTAATAAGAATAGGAAAAGAATTTTAAAAGCATACATATTGGAAAGAAAGATATCAGGCGGTCCTTATAATGGCATGATGGCCTTTATAGAAAATTTCATGAAATCTAAAAAAAAAAAAAAAGCTAGAACCAGTAAGTGAATTCAGCAAGGTCACAATACAAAATCAACATACAAATATCAACATATATATATTAGCAATGAAAACACGGACATCAACATTTAAAACATAATATTTATAATCACAGAAAAAGGAAATATTTAGGTATGAATCCAGTAAAACATGTACAAGACTCATATGATGAAAACTAGAAAATGGTGTTGAAAGAAATCAAAGAAGA
The DNA here is from genome assembly GCF_000001405.40 of Homo sapiens. Taxonomy (NCBI): domain Eukaryota; kingdom Metazoa; phylum Chordata; class Mammalia; order Primates; family Hominidae; genus Homo; species Homo sapiens. Next base: position 39,057,090 of record NC_000001.11, read on the forward strand.
TCTAAATAGACAGATATACTGTTTTCATGACTTCAAAGACTCATCACAGTAAGGATGTCAATTCTCCCTAAATTAATATACAAGTTTAGTGCAATTCCTATCCAAATCCCAGCATGATTTTTGTAAATAAAGATTATTATAAAATGTATGAGGAAAGGCAAATAAACTAGAATAGCTGAAACAATTTTTTTTTTTTTTTTTTTTGAGCCAGAGTCTCACTCTGTCACCCAGACTGGACCACAGTGGCGTGATCACAGCTCATTGCAGCCTTGACATCCTGGGCTCAGGTAATCCTCCTACCTCGGTCTCCCAAGTAACTGGGACCACAGGTGCGTGCCACCACGCCTAGCTAATTTCCTTTTTTTTTTTTTTGAGACGGAGTCTTCCTCTGTGGCCCAGGCTGGAGTGCAGTGGCATGACCTCGGCTCACTGCAAGCTCCGCCTCCCAGGTTCACGTCATTCTCCTGTTTCAGCCTCCCGAGTAGCTGGGACTACAGGCACTCGCCACCACGCCTGGCTAATTATTTTTGTATTTTTAGTAGAGACGAGGTTTCACCGTGTTAGCCAGGATGGTCTCCATCTCCTGACCTTGTGATCCGCCCATCTCGGCCTCCCAAAGTGCTGGGATTACAGGCGTGAGCCACCGAGCCCGGCCCAGGCCCAGCTAATTTTTAAAAATTATTTTTTATACAGACAAGGCCTTCCTGTGTTGCCCAGGGTGCTTGAATTCCTGGACTCAAGCAATCCTCCCACCTCAGCCTCCCAAAGTGCTAGGATTACAGGCATGAGCCACTGTGCCCAGCATAAAATAATTTTCATTAAAAAAACTTTTTTTGAGACAAGGTCTTGCTCTGTCACCCAGGCTGGAGTGCAGTGGCACAATCTTGGCCCACTGCAGCCTCCCGAGTAGCTTCAACTGTAGACATGTGCCACCACACCCAGCTAATTTTTCAATTTTTTGTAGAGACGGGGTTTTGCCATGTTGCCCAGGCTGGTCTTGAACTCCTGAGCTCAAGCAATTGTCCCAACTTGGCCTCCCAAAGTACTGGGACTACAGGCGTGCACTACCACACGTGGCCTAAAATATATTTTTAAAAAGAAGATTAAGCCGGGCGCAGTGGCTCACGCCTGTAATCCCAGCACTTTGGGAGGCTGAGGCGGGTGGATCACTTCAGGAGTTTGAGACCAGCTTGGCCAACATGGTGAACCACCATCTCTACTAAAAATACAAAAAATTAGCCAGGTGTGATGGCAGGTGCCTGTAATTCCAGCTACTCGGTAGGCTGAGGCAGGAGAGTTGCTTGAATCTGGGAAGCAGAGGTTGCAGTGAGCTGAGGTCGTGCCATTGCACTCCATGCACTCCAGCCTGGGCAACAAGAGCGAGATTCCATCTCAAAAATAAAAAAATTAAAAAGGCTGGGCATGGTGGCTCACGCCTGTAATCCCAGCACTTTGGGAGGCTGAGGCAGGCAGATCACGAGGTCAGGAGTTCAAGACCAGCCTGACCAACATGGTGAAACCCCATCTCTACTAAAAATAAAAAAATTAGCCCGGCATGGTGGCGTGCACCTGTAATCCCAGCTACTTAGGAGGCTGAGGCAGGAGAATAGCTTGAACCGGGGAGGTGGAGGTTGCAGTGAACCGAGACTGCACCATTGCACACCAGCCTGGGCGACAGAGCGAGACTCCATCTCAAAAAAAAAAAAAAAAGAAGATTAAAGTGGGAGGAATCACTGCCTAATTTCAAGAATACAGCTATAGTAATTATGACTGTGGGGTATTGGTGGATGGAAAGACACATCAATCAATGGAAGACAATAGAGGACCCAGAAATACCCCATGCAATACAGTGGAGGAAGGATAGTTTTGTCAACAAATGGTACTGAAGCAAATTGATGTTCATAGGAAAAAACAAAAAACAACTCCACAGAAATTGGCTTTCTGTGATCTGATACAGCCTGCCTAGAAGCAGAAGTTCTGGCTGCCCATCACACTGTTTTTAGTAAACCTAGAGTTTTATTTGAAATATTGAGTCTGGCCCAGGCGCGGTGGCTCACGCCTGTAATCCCAGCACTTTGGGAGGCCGAGGCAGGTGGATCATGCGGTCAGGAGATCGAGACCATCCTGGCTAACACGGTGAAACACCCTCTCTACTAAAAATACAAAAAATTAGCCAAGTGTGGTGGCGGGCGCCTGTAGTCCCAGCTACTTGGGAGGCTGAGGCAGGAGAATCACTTGAACCCGGGAGGCGGAGGGTGCAGTGAGCCAAGATCGTACCACTGCACTCCAGCCTGGATAACAGAGCAAGATTCTGTTAAAAAAAAAAAATTATAAAAGATGGAAAAGATGGAGAGCCACCAAGGAAGCAATAATTCTGCATCTAGACTGCCTTCAGACTTGTTCAGACTTGAACTGCAACATCAACTCTTCCCTGGGTCTTTAGCTTGCTGGCCAGTTCTGCAGATTCAGATTTGCCAGCCCCCACAATAAGACAATTCCTTTAATTGCCTTAGTTCTGATGAATACAGAGATCTAGGCTGGGTGCAGCGGCTCATGCTTGTAATCCTAGCACTTTGGGAGGCTGAGACAGGCGGATCACTTGAGGCCAGGAGTCCAAGACCAGCCTGACCAACATGACAATACCCCATCTCTGCTAAAAATACAAAAAAATTAGCCAGATATGGTGGCATGCAACTGTAATCCCAGCTATTCTTGAGGCTGAGGTACAAGAATCATTTGAACCCAGGAGGCAGAGGTTGCATGAATGCTGCTGAAAAAAAAAAAAAGTAAAATAAAAATGTAAAAGTGACCATTAAAAAAAAAAGCAACCAACCTAAACCTCATGCCTTATACAAAAATTAACTTAAAATGGAACAGGTTTAAATGTAAACTGTAAAGTTATAAGATGTTTAGAAGACAAGATAGAAGAAAATCATCAGGACCTAGGAGTCTTTCCCCAGGGCTCAGGGAAAAGTTCTCAGACATGATGCCAAAAGCAAGAACCATAAAAGAAAAAATATATACATAATTGGACTTCATCAAAATTACAAACTTTTGCTCTGTGAAAGACCCCATTAAGAGGATGAAAAGACAAACTACAAAGTGAGAGAAAATATTTGCAAACCATATATCTGACAAAGGACTTATATTTAGAATATATATAAAGAACACTCAAGGCCGGGCATTGTGGCTCACTCCTGTAATACCAGCACATTGGGAGGCCAAGGCAGGCAGATCACTTGAGGCCGGGAGTTTGAGACCAGCCTGGCCAATATGGTAAAACCCAATCTCTGCTAAAAATACAAAAATTAGCTGGGCACGGTTGTGCATGCCTGTAATCCCAGCTATTCAAGAGGCTGAGGCACGAGAATCACCTGAACCCAGGAGGCAGAGGTTGCAGGGAGCCGAGATTGCACCACTGCACTCCAGCCTGGGCTACAGAGCTAGACTCTGTCTCAAAAAAAAAAAAAAAAAAAAAGGTTGGGCGTGGTGGCTCAGGCCTGGAATCCCAGCATTTTGGGAGGCCGAGGCGGGCGGATCACGAGGTCAGGAGATTGAGACCATCCTGGCTAACACGGTGAAACCCCATCTCTACTAAAAATACAAAAAAATTAGCTGGGTGTGGTGGCAGGTGCTTGTGGTCCCAGCTACTCAGGAGGCTGAGGCGGGAGAATGACATGAATCTGGGAGGCGGAGCTTGCAGCGAGAGCCACTGCATTCCAGTCCAGCCTGGGTGGCAGAGCAAGACTCTGTCTCAAAAAAAAAACAACAAAACAAAACAAAACAAAACACTCAAATCTCAACAGTAAGAAAAACACCAGATAATCCCATTAGAAAATGTGCAAAAAAAAAAAAAACTTAAGATATTTCCCCAAAGAGAATATACAGAAGGCAAATAAACACGTGAAAGAATGTTAACATAACTATCCATTAGGAAAATTAAGACCATGATGAGATACCATTACATACTTGTGAGAATAGCTAAAATAAAAAAATAGGGCCAGGCGTGGTGGCTCGTGCCTGTAATCCCAGCACTTTGGGAGGCTGAGGCAGGCAGATCACTTGAGTCCAGGAGTTGGAGACCAGTCTGGCCAACATAGTGAAACCCTGTCTCTACTAAAAATACAAAAATTAGCTTGGCATGATGGTGGTGCACACCTGTAATACCAGCTACTTGGGAGGCTGAGATAGGAGAATTGCTTGAACCTGGGAGGTGGAGGCTGCAGTGAGCCGAGATCATGACACTGTACTGCAGCCGGGGTGACAGAGTGAGACTCTGTCTCAAAAAATAATAATAAAATAAAAAAAATAATAAAACAGAATACCACATGCTAGAGGATGTGGACAATTGAATCTTTTTTTTTTTTTTTTTTTTTCTGAGATAGAGTCTTGCTCTGTCACCCAGGCTGGAGTGCAGTGGCACGATCTTGGCTCACTGCAACCTCCGCCTCCTGGGTTGAAGCAATTCTCCTGCCTCAGCCTCCCAACTAGCTGGGATTACAGGCATGCGCCACCACACTTGGCTAATTTTTGTATTTTTAGTAGAGATGGGTTTCACCATATTGGCCAGGCTGGTCTCGAACTCATGACCTCGTGATCTGCCCGCCTCAGCCTTCCAAAGTGCTGGTATTACAGGCGTGAGCCACCATGCCCGGCCAACAATTGAATCTTTCATACATTACTGTTGGGAATGTAAAATGGAATAGCCACTCTGTAAGCTAATTTTGTATTTTCATTTATTTATTTTTAAGAGACAAAAACTTGGAGTGCACTGGTGCCATCATAGCTTACTGCAGCCTCCAACTCCTGGGCTCCAGCAATCCTTCCACCTCACCCCACCGAGTAGCTGGGACTACAGGTGTGCACCCCAAAGTCTGGCTAATTTTTTAATTTTTAATTTTTGTACACATAGGGCCTAATTACGTTGCCCAGGCTGGTCTTGAACTCCTGAGCTCAAATGATCCTCCTGCCTTGGCCTCCCAGTGTGCTGGGATTACAGGCATGAATCACCATGCCCGGCCCTACTATTTGCTTTAAACACTAAACATTCCCTTACCATATGACCCAGAAATTTTCCTACTTGGCATTTATCCCAGATAAATGAAAACTTATGTTCACACGAAAGCCTGTACATGATTTTTCATAACACATTTATTTGTAATAGCCAAAACCTGGAAACAACCAAAATGACCATCAAATAGATGAATGGCTAAATAAACCATGATATATCCATATCACATGTATCGAGTTAAATGGGAGCCCCCCAAAAGACATGTACATATATTAACTCCTGAACCTATGAATGTGACGTTCGAAAATAGCGTCTTTGAAGCCGGGCGCGGTGGCTCACGCTTGTAATCCCAGCACTTTGGGAGGCCTAGGTGGGCAGATCACCTGAGGTCGGGAGTTCGAGACCAGCCTGACCAACTTGGAGAAACCCCGTCTCCACTAAAAATACAAAATTAGCCCGGTGTTATGGCACATGCCTGTAATCCCAGCTACTCAGGCTGGGCAGGAGAATCACTTGAACCCAGGAGGCAAAGGTTGTGATGAGCCGAGATCGCGCCATTGCACTCCAGCCTGTGCAACAAGAGCAAAACTCCATCTCGAAAAAAAAAAAATTAAAAATAGGGTCTTTGCAGCTGTGATTAAGTTAAGGATCTCGAGATGATATCAACCTAGATTATCTGGGTGGGCCCTAAATCCAATGACAAGTGTCTTTTTTTCCCCAAGCAATCAATCCTCTTGTTGCTGGGACCACAGGCATCTGCCACCACACCTGGCTGAATTTTTTTTTTTTTTTGAGACAAAGTCTCCCTGACATCCAGGCTGGAGTCCAGTGGTGCTATCTGGGCTCATTGCAACCTCCGCCTCCCAGGTTCAAGCAATTCTCATGCCTCAGCCTCCCGAGTAGCTGGGATTACAGGTGTTCCCCACCATGCCCGGCTAATTTTTGTATTTTTAGTAGAGACGGGGTTTTGCCATGTTGGCCATGCTGGTCTTGAACTCCTGGCCAGAAATTATTCGCTGCCCTCAGCCTCCCAAAGTGCTGGGATTACAGGCGTGGGCCACCATGCCCAGCCAACATTTGACTAATTTTTTAAAAAATTTTTTGTAGGGACAGGTCTCACTATGTTGCCCAGACTGTTCTCAAACTCCTGGGCTCAAATGATCCTCCCGCCTTTTCCTCCCAAAGTGCTGGGATTACAAAGGTGAGCCACGTCACTCAGCCAATAAGTGTCCTTTTAAGAGACAGGAGAGGAGAAGGCACAGACATAGGGAAGACCATGTGATTGGAGCGATGCCCTTACAAGCCAAGGAATGGCTGGAACCAACAAAACAGAACCTAGCAAGGAAGCATTCTCCCCTCGAGGCTTCAGGGGGAGCATGGCCCCGCTGACACCTGGGTTTCAGACTTCTGGCTTCCAGAACTATCAGAGAATAAATGTCCGTTGCTTTAAGCCACAGACCGAGTTTGTTGTGATTGGTTATGGCAGTTCTAGGAAACAAATATACCATGGGATCCTACTTAGTAATAAAAAGGAACAAACTTGATACAGCAGCAACTTAGCTGGATCTCAAGGGCTGAGTGAGAAAAGCCATCTGAAAAGGTCACATACTGTATAGTTCCACTTACGAAACATTCTTAAAAAGACAAAATTATAAAGATGGAAAATAGTGCTTGCCAGGTGTTAGGGATGGTGGGGGACAGTGTAACTATAAAGGAATATCTCCCTGCACAAAGAAGGGAGATCTTTGTGGTGATATATTTATCTTGGTTGCAGTGGTGCTTACAGGAATATAAACGTGATAAAATGACGTAGAACTATGTATTCATATCAGACCAGAGTACATTTCCTGCTTTTGATATTGTGTTGTAATTATGGAAGAGGCAGCCATCGGAGGAAACTGGGTGAAGGCTATGTGGAACTTTTCTGCACTATCTTTGCACTTCCTGTGCATTTACAATTATTTCAAAATAAGAAGTCAAAAGTTAATTTGAATAAGGGAGCTGGGTGCAGTCGCTCATGCGTGTAATTCCAGCACTTTGGGAGGTTCAGGTGGGAGGATCGTTTGAGTCCAGGAGTTCAAGACCAGCCTGGGCAATAAAGTGAGAACCCATTTCTATTTAAAAAAAAAAAAAAAAAGACCGGGCACCGTGGCTCACGCCTATAATCCCAGCACTTTGGGAGGCTGAGGCGGGTGGATCACAAGGTCAGGAGTTTGAGACCAGCCTGGCCAATATGGTGAAACCCCATCTGTACTGAAAAACAAAAAATTAACTGGGCATGGTGGGGCGCGCCTGTAGTCCCAGCTACTCAGGAGGCTGAAGCAGGAGAATTGCTTGAACCTGGGAGGTGGAGGTTGCAGTGAGCCAAGATCACACCACTGCACTCCAGCCTGTGCAACAGAGTCAGACTCCATCCCCTTTAAAAGACAAAAAAAAAAAAGGCCACAGTGGCTCACACCTGTAATCCCAGCACTTTGGGAGGCCGAGGGAGGCAGATCATGAGGTCAAGAGTTCGAGACCAGCCTGGCCAACGTGGTGAAACCCCGTCTCTACTAAGAATACAAAAACTCGGCAGGGTGCCGTGGCTCACACCTGTAATCCCAACACTTTGGGAGGCCAAGGCAGGCGGATCACGAGGTCAGGAGACCGAGACCATCCTGGCCAACATGGTGAAACCCTGTCTCTACTAAAAATACAAAAAAATTAGCTGTGCGTGGTGGCGTGTGCCTGTAATCCCAGCTAGTCAGGAGGCTGAGGCAGGAGAATTGCTTAAACCAGGAAGTCAGAAGTTGCAGTAAGCCGAGATTGCGCCATTACACTCCAGCCTGGTGACAGAGTGAGACTCTGTCTCAAAAAAAAAAAAAAAAAAATACAAAAATTAGCCGTGTGTGGTGGTGGCGCATGCCTGTAATCCCAGCTACTCAGGAGGCTGAGGCAGGAGAATTGCTTGAACCCGGGAGGCGGAGGTTGCAGTGAGCCCAGATCATGCCACTGCACTCCAGCCTGGAGAACAGAGCAAGACTCTATCTTGAAAGGAAAAAAAAAAAAGAAGGAACTTTTTGGGATGATGAATATGTTCTATGTTTCATGGGTAAATACAACTCTCAAAACTCATCCAACTAGACCGTTAATGTGGGTGCATGTTCTTGCATGTAAATTACACCTCAGTAAAAAAAAATTTTTTATACAAAAATTAGCCAGGCACGGTGGGGCACCTGTAATCCCAGCTACTTGGGAGGCTGAGGCAGGAGAATCGCCTGAACCCAGAAGGCGGAGGTTGCAGTGAGCCAAGATCGCTCCACTGCACCCTAGCCTGGCCGACAGAGCAATACTCCGTCTCAAAAAAAAAAAAAATTTAGTTAAAATAAAAACAACAACAAAAGTAAGAGGAGCAAACAAAATGTATCAATTTCAGCCGAGGTTTTCTAGGGCAAACACTAGAATATTGTACCTTTTGCTACCTGATACCTTATCAATCAATATATATTACTGAGCACTTCGATGCAAGGATTCCATCACCTCCCCAACATGTGATATAGAATAGAAGCAGGTAAATGTTTACTAAATGAAGGTACACAGCGGGCTTTTGGAGAGGAAATAGACTCTGGCCTCCAGCCATGGAATAATTTATACTGTCTCTTGCTAACATACCTGGAGCCGTTTCCTCATTTTGTGATCCAAAGAGTAAACATGTAAAACCAGCCAATCTTAGGTTATATTCTTGCCATCCTAGAGAGTAAGTGCTCCAGGACATCAGAGTAAGAAGTCTGGACCAGGGGCAATTCTCTTTGTATAATGTGGATTATTGTTTATGTTCCTATCTTGTTTCCCTGTTAGACTGTGAGCTGGAGAGTTTGCACTTTTATGTGTCGTTCTAACACTCTCAGTCCTTACAGTTCACTGAACCCAGCAGCCAGTCAAAAATCTTTGCCACTGTTGAATTGTAATGCTGTACGTTCAGGGGAATACATTGCTATTTATTAAATGAAGGAGAACTTTCAAATTTAAGAAGAGATTGTTTTGCATGCTGAAGACAGTAGGTATTATAAAATACTTAAATGGGAGCCTTTCCCACCCCAGAACAACCTACTTAGCATTAGATAAATTTACTATTTAAAGTAGCCAAAGACCACTTCTAGAAATAGAACCTAAAGAAATAATAGCAAATGCATGTAGAGAAAAAAAAGCTAAAAGAAATCTTTGTAAAAAAACAAAACAACAACAACAAAAAAGCGCATTTAGAAGATTTGTTGCAGCATTGTTTGTTTGTTTTGAGACAGGGTCTCACTCTGGCGTCCAGGCGGGAGTGCAGTGGTGAGGTCTCGGCTCACTGCAACCTCTGCCTCCTGGGTTCCAGAGATTCTCGAGCCTCAGCGTCCCAAGTAGCTGGGATTACAGGCATGCGCCACCAAGCCCAGCTAATTTTTGAATTTATTTATTTATTTATTTTTATTCTTATTTTTTTTTGAGACAGACTCTTGCTCTGTCACCCAGGCTGGAGTGCAGTGGCGTGATCTTGGCTCACTGCAACCTCTGCCTCTTGGGTTCAAGTGATTCTCCTGCCTCAGCCTCCTGAGTAACTGTGATTACAGGCGCCCCCTATCACGCCCAGCTAATTTTTGTATTTTTAGTAGAGATGGGGTTTCACCATATTGGGCAGGCTGGTCTCAAACTCCTGACCTTGTAATCCATCCGCCTCAGCCTCCCAAAGTGCTGGGATTACAGGCATAAGCCACTGAGCCTGGCGTAATTTTTGTATTTATAGTAGAGATGGGGTTTCACCATGTTGGCCAGGCTGGCCTGGAACTCCTGACCTCAAGCGATCCGCCCTCCTCGGCCTCCCAAAGTGCTGGGATTACAGGTGTGAGCCACTACAGCTGTCCAAAATGCACACCAGATTTTGAGAATTTTGTTCATGAAAAAGTACTTAATTTTTTTTTTTTTTTTTGAGACAGAGTCTCGCTCTGTCGCCCAGGCGGGAGTGCAGTGGCTTGATCTCGGCTCACTGCCAGCTCCGCCTCCGGGGTCCATGCCATTCTCCTGCCTCAGCCCCCCGAGTAGCTGGGACTACAGGTGCCCACCACCACGCCCAGCTAATTTTTTGTATTTTTAGTAGAGATGGGGTTTCACCATTAGCCAGCATGGTCTCCGTCTCCTGACCTCATGATCCGCCCTCCTCAGACTCCCAAAGTGCTGGGATTACAGGCGTGAGCCACTGTGCCCAGCCAAAACTATTTAAATTTTTAAAATATTGGTTACATTTTGAGATGATAATATCTTGGATATGTTGGACACATAGGGTTGTTGTGAGGACTGAATATGCTGAGAGTTCTTATACATATCCTGCCCTCATAAACACCCAAGCTTCCTACTGTCAGCATCCCACACTACAGTGGTACATTTGTTACCGTCAATGACAGATCATTTCCATCCAAACTTCATAGTTAATGTTAAGGTTCCCTCTTAGTGTCAAGCATTCTATGGGTTTTGGCAAATGCATAACGATATCTATTCACCATGATGCTATCATACAGTGTAATTTCATTGCCCTGAAAATCGTCTGTGCTCTGCCTGTTCATTCCTCTTTCCCCTCATTCCTTGGCAGCCACTGATCTTTCCTTTTTTATACATATACTCCTAGTTTAGGAGCTGAACTCTTTTACTTTTTTCTTTTTTTTTTTTCTTGAGACAGAGTCTCACCCTGTCACCCAGGCTGGAGTGCAGTGGCGCGATCTCGGCTCACTGCAAGCTCCGCCTCCCAGGTTCACGCCACTCTGCTGCCTCAGCCTCCCGAGCAGCTGGGACTACAGGCACCCGCCACCATGCCCGGCTAATTTTTTGTATTTTTAGTAGAGACGGGGTTTCACCATGTTAGCCAGGATGGTTTCAATCTCCTGACCGCGTGATCCACCCGCCTTGGCCTCCCAAAGTGCTGGGATTACAGGCGTGAGCCACCGTGCCTGGCCTCTTTTACTTTTTTAAATGTGAATTTTAGAAAATTTTAAATTACACATGTGGGCCGGGGACAGTGGCTCATGCCTGTAATCCTAGCACTTTGGGAGGTCAAGGTGGGTGGATCACTTGAAGTCAGGGGTTTGAAAGCAGCGTGGCCAACATGACAAAACCCCGTCTCTACTGAAAATACAAAAATTAGCTGGGTGTGGTAGCGGGTGTCTGTAATCCCAGCTACTCGGGAGACTGAGGCAGGAGAATCGCTTGAACCCAGGAGACGGAGGTTGCAGTGAGCCGAGATTGCTCCACTGCACTCCAGTCTGGATGACAGAGAGAGACTCCATGTCAAAATAAATAAATAAATAAATAAATAAATAAATAAATAAATAAATAAAATAGTAGCTCTGGTTGAGGGCAGTGGCTAATGCCTGTAATCCCAGCACTTTGAGAGGCCAAGACAGGAGCATCGCTTGAGCCCAGGAGTTCAAGACCAGTTTGGGCAACATAGGGAGACCCCATCTCTACAAAAATAAAAAAATTAGCCAAGTGTAGTGGCACATGTCCATGGTCCCAACTCCTTGGGAGGTGGGAGGATCACTTGGGCCTGGGAGGTCGAGGCTGTGGTGTGTCATGATTGCATCACTGTATTCCAGCCTGGGCAACAGAGTGAGACCCTGTCTCAAAAAATAAAATAAAATAGTAACTCCCAGTGTCATGTTTTTCTATTTTATTCTTCTTCCTAACACTTATTAATAACTGCATTAGACAGAAAACAAACAGGTAAACAAATGAGCTACATGATGACAAAGTGATCAAAGTTATGAAGAAAATAAAGCAAGGCTTAAAGGAGGGGGCTACTTTGGATGGGAGGTCAAAAAGGGCCTCTTTGAGAAGGTGACTTCTAAGATGAATTTTAGGTGATGAAAATGGCACCAATCATGCAATGATTTTAGGGAATTCCAAGCAGCCAGAACAGCTTTGCAGAGTCCCAAAGTGGGACGGAAATTCACTTATTAGAGGAACAGAAAGAAGGTTTGATTTGCTAGAATCCAGTGAGCAAGGGGGTCCTGGAGCACGAGTCAGATCATTTGAACATTATGGTCCATTGAAAAGAGTGTATATTTTAGTGTAAGTGCATATTGGAACTGTGTAGGTGACATGGTTTATGGTTTTTTTTTTTTTTTTTTTTTGAGATGGAGTTTCCCTCTTGTTGCCCAGGCTGGAGTGCAATGGCTTGATCTCGGCTCACCGCAACCTCTGCCTCCTGGGTTCAAGTGATTCTCCTGCCTCTGCCTTCCAAGTAGCTGGGATTATGGGCATGCATCACCACTCCCAGCTAATTTTGTATTTTTAGTAGAGGTGGGGTTTCTTCATGTTGGTCAGGCTGGTTGCGAACTCCTGGCCTTAGGTGATCCGCCTGCCTCAGCCTCCCAAAGTGCTGGGATTACAGGCATGAGCCACGGCGCCCGGCCCTACCTTAGGTAATCCGCCCGCCTCAGTCTCCCAAAATGCTGGGATTACAAGTGTGAGCCACCGCACCCAGCCACTGATCTATGTTTTAAAGAATTCACTCTTGGCTGCAGTATGGATTGAAATGGGGGAGGGAGAAAGAATGGAAATAGGCCATTCAGAAGGCTGGTGCAGTTGTCCAGGTGATTGATGGCAGTGCTTGGACCAAGATGGTGACAGCAAGATAGAAGAAATGGGTGAATTCAGGATACATTATGGAGGCAGTTTGTCAGAACTGGCCGATAGGGATAAGAGGAATGAGAGAAAGAAAAATCAAGAATGACTTCTGGCTGGGTGCGGTGGCTCACGCATGTAATCCCAGCACTTTGGGAGGCTGAAGCAGGTGGATCACCTGAGGTCAGAAGTTTGAGACCAGCCTGACCAATATGATGAAACCTCATCTCTAGTAAAAATACAAAAATTAGCTGGGCATGGTGGCAAGCACCTGTAATCCCAGCTACTCGGGAGGCTGAGACAGGAGAATCGCTTGAACCCAGGGGGTGGAGGTTGTAGTGAGCCGAGGTTGCGCCATTGCACTCCAGCTTGGGCAACAAGAGCAAAACTCCATCTCAAAAAAAGAAAAAAAAAAAGACTTCTAAATCTTGTACTTGAGTAACTGGGTAGGTGGTCAAGCCATTTTCTGAGATGGCAAAAACTGGGAGAACAGTTCTGTGGGTGTTGTGGGTGTTAGAAGCCAGATATCAAAAGTGTGTGGGACATTTAGACTTTGAGATGCCTATTAGACAAGCAGGTGGGGAAGGAGGCAGTTGAATATGAGTCTGGAGCTGGGAGGAGAGAGATGAGAGCTGTAGGTACGGATAGAAGTCAAATCTGGATGTTGCCAGGCGCGGCGGCTCACACCTGTAGTCCCAGCACTTTGGGAGGCCGAGGCAGGCCAATTGCCTGAGGTCAGGAGTTTGCGACCAGCCTGGTCAATATGGTGAAACACTGCCTCTACTAAAAATACAAAAAATTAGCCAGGCATGGTGGCAGGCACTTGTAGTCCCAGCTACTTGGGAGGCTGAGACACAAGAATCGCTTGAACCCGGAAGGCAGAGGTTGCAGTGAGCTGACATCGCGCCACTGCACTCCAGCCTGGGTGACAGAGTGAGACTCCATCTCAAAAAAATAAAAAATAAATAAAAATAAAAACAAATCTGGATGTCATCAGTGTATGGATGGAAGGGATCAACTAGGAAAAGGTGGGAGGAAGAATGTTCTAGGCAGAGCCTGGAGATCTTCGAAGTCCCTCCCAATTTGAGGATTCTGTGCTATTTCTTCTGTTTGACAGTGCTACCTGCACAGAGTTTTAGTCTCTACTCAGGTTCATATTTCACCTTCAACCTGTCACCTGTCTTGAGTCCAGAGGATCCAATGGAACAAGTTGAGATGGAGGGCAATCATGGAAGGAAAAGCCAGTATTGAAGTGTGACCCCTGAAAATTTGAGACAGGTCTCAGTTTTTTTTGCTTTTTTTGTTTTTTTGTTTTTTGTTTTTTGAAACTGAGTCTGGCTCTGTCACCAGGCTGGGGTGCAGTGGTGGATCTCAGCTCACTGCAACCTCCAACTCCCTGATTTGTATTTATAATAGAGATGGGGTTTCACCATGTTGGCCTGGATAGTCTTGATCTCTTGACCTCGTAATCCGCCTGACTCGGCCTCCCAAAGTGCTGGGATTACAGGCGTGAGCCACGACGCCTGGCTAAGAATAATTATTTTTTTACATAGGCTTTAAATTGGCTTTGATGGAACTTTGTCCATAGAAGGAATCCCAGATAAGACTTTTTTTAAAGCTGATACTGGCCATGGATTTGTGCCATCAAATATCTATGAGTTGGGTGAATTTTCTCTCCCCTTGAGGTTCCAAGATGAACCTGGGGCTTCTGTGCCTGTTAGAAAGTGACACTCTTTACTTACCACAGGTCAGAAACCCTGTACATGAACTGTGTACACAAAATATGAGGCCAGTTTTTCCAACGGCTTTATTGGGTCCATAAGTCAAGTTTTATTCCTTAAAGGAAAGCAGACCATTCCAGTCAAAGCCTTGGTTAAAATAACCAGTTTCTCCAATAGTGTCCTGTTACAAATGAAAACAGATTCTTATTGCATTTATGCAAATAACTGTATTGCCATAAGTTAAGAATACTCACAAATACTTTCTAAATTCTGGAGAAATCAGGTAGAGAGAAACAAATATTCTCCAAATTTTGTTCATGGGAGTATACTAAATTGTTAAAACCTATCAATAGCTCAAGAAAAAAGTTTTAAGACTCTGAAAAACAAAACAAAGGATCAGCAACATTTTAAGTCAAAAGTCAAAAGATTAGTTCAGTCCATGCAGTTAATTTCTGTTCTGCTTGATACTCATCAACATTTTAGCTCTCCATGAGTCCTGAAAGTTTTTCCTCTATTCTGATGTCACAATCTCCAAAGTTATCAGAAGCCTGCATCCAGGAGCACCTGTTAAGAGTTTTTGATTATAAAGCCACCTTCTAAAGAGAACCAAAACAAGACAATTGTCTGTGGATGACAAAAAGTTCTAGGACAGCCATAGTCAAAAACACAATTGAAAAGGAAATTTGTTGGGGGATGGGGAGGTGGCTCAAACCTGTAATCCCAGCACTGTGGGAAGCCAAGGCAGGTGGGTCACCTGAGGTCAGGAGTTCGAGACCAGCCTGGACAACATGGTGAAACCCCATCTCTACTAAAAATACAAAAATTGGCCAGGTGCAGTGGCTCACATCTGTAATCCCAGCACTTTGGGAGGCCAAGGCAGGAGGATGACAGGAGTTCAAGATCAGCCTGTTCAGCATGGTGAAACCCCGTCTCTACTAAAAAAATACAAAAAATAGGCTGGGTGCAGTGGCTCACACCTCTAATCCCAGCATTTTGGGAGGCTGAGGCTGGTGGATCACCTGAGGTTGGGAGTTCAAGACCAGCCTGACCAACATGGAGAAACCCCCTCTCCACTAAAAATACAAAATTAGCTGGGTGTGGTGGCACATGCCTGTAATCCCAGCTACTCAGGAGGCTGAGGCAGGAAAATTGCTTGAACCCAAGAAGTGGAGGTTGCAGTGAGCCGAGATCGCGCCACCACACTCCAGCCTAGGTGACAGAGCAAGACTCCATCTCAAAAAAAAGAAAAAAACAACAAAAAAAGGCCGGTCGTGGTGTCTCACACCTGTAATCCCAGCACTTTGGGAGGCCAAGGCAGGCAGATCATGAGGTCAAGAGTTTGAGCCATCCTGCAAACATGGTGAAACCCCATCTGTACTAAAAATACAAAAATTAGCTGGGCCTGGCTGGGCGTGGTGGCTCACACCTGTAATCCTAGCACTTTGGGAGGCCGAGGCGGGTGGATCGCGAGGTCAGGAGATCAAGACCATCCTGGCTAACACAGTGAAACCCCATCTCTACTAAAAATAAAAAAAAATTAGCTGGGTGTGGTGGCGGGCACCTGTAGTCCCAGCTACTCGAGAGGCTGAGGCAGGAGAATGACGTGAACCCAGGAGGCCCAGCTGGCAGTGAGCCGAGATCGCGCCACGGCACTCTAGCCTGGGCGACAGAGCGAGACTCCATCTAAAAAAAAAAAAATTAGCTGGGCCTGGTGTCGTGGACCTGTAGTCTTAGCTCCTTGGGAGGCTGAGGCAGGAGAATCACTTGAACCTGAGAGGCGGAGGTTGAAGCGAGCCAAGATCATGCCATTGAGCTCCAGCCTGGCGACAGAGCAAGACTCCATCTCAAAAAGAAAAAAGAAAAAGGAAATTTGTTACCTCTGTGGCACACAATAATTTTAACATAACAATTATGATTATTACTGATAATATACACTAAGTTATATCAGAATTATAGGAGCTTCCCATAATTTTGGAACACATGCCAATAACATATTTGTACAAATACAGCCCAAAGAAAAACCAATACCATTTCATATTTGACAATGCTTCCTGTATAAATTTTGTACCAAATAAGTCAAATTATGTTATTTTTTGGACTTTAGGGAACCTAATGTCTTAAAGGATTTATTTAGGTCAGAAAAAGACATAATTCATCATTTGATTTTGAGAAGTTTGTCAAATATCAAAGGTTTTAAACACTTGATATCACAAAATAGAAACACAGGTCATTGTAAAATAAGTCATTCATTTAACCAAAGTGATAACTCATGGATTTCAAAAAAAGCCAAGAATCTTTATTCTTTAAGAGAGGAGACTTAATTTTCCAAACAATAAGCGCTAATAAAAACAGCGTGAAGCCAATTAAATTTGTTTTTCAAAATCTTATAAACATTCTATTAAATTTTAATCTTGACCATAAGATATAGCTTCCATAATCCTTTTATAACCTTTATTAAGGAGTTGGTTAATGCTTCAAGAAAACCTTGTTAATCTGGGCCGGGCGCGGTGGCTCACGCCTGTAATCCTAGCACTTTGGAAGGCGGAGGCGGGCGGATCACAAGGTCAGGAAATCAAGACCATGCTGGCTAACACAGTGAAACCCCGTCTTTACTGAAAATACAAAAAAATTATCCGGGCGTGGTGGCGGGCGCTTGTAATCCCAGCTACTCCGGAGCCTGAGGCAGGAGAATGGTGTGAACCTAGGAGGCGGAGCTTGCAGTGAGCTGAGATAGCGCCACTGCACTCCAGCCTGGGAGACAGAGTGAGACTCCGTCTCAAAAAAAAAAAAAAAAAGAAAACTTTGTTAATCTGACACAGGGGCCCATATGCTGGTCTTGCATTAGTATGCCTTTTGACATTAAGGATTTATAGAGAAACTGAACTTATTTTATCTTTCAAAATTAACCCTTACAATCTTACAATCACTTCTCCCTGGGCCTTGAGGAGTTGAAATAGCTTTAATTTCTGGCCCTGTGTCTCAAAAATGCAGTTTATTTTGATGGGCATCTTCTACAGGGCCTGAAGCTGAGGCCTTTTTTTTTTTTTGAGACAGAGTTTCCCTCTTGCTGCCCAGGCTGGATTGCAATGACGAGATCTCTGCTCACTGCAACCTCCGCCTCCTGGGTTCAAGTGATTATCCTGCCTCAGTCTCCTGAGTAGCTGGGATTACAGGCATGTCACACCACGCCCGGCTAATTTTGTATTTTCAGTAGAGACGAGGTTTCTCCATGTTGGTCAGGCTTGTCTCAAACTCCCGACCTCAGGTGATCTGCCTGCCTTGGCCTCCCAAAGTGCTGAGATTACAGGCGTGAGCCACCGTTCCCGGGGAAGATAAGGCTTTAATTGCTGTCAGTGCTTAAGATTCAGCAGGACTTGGTGTCCTTTTTAGATACAGGAGTCAAAGCCCTTTAATTCAATGTCACAAGGACTTTTTTTTTTAAGATGGAGTTTCGCTCCTGTAACCCAGGCTGGAGTGCAGTGGCACAATCTTGGCTCACTGCAACCTCTGCCTCCTGGGTTCAAGCGATTATCCTGCTTCAGCCTCCCGAGTAGCTGGGATTACAGGCGCCCACCACCACGCCCGGCTAATTTTTGTATTTTTAGTAGAGACGGGGTTTCACCAGGTTGGCCAGGCTAGTCTCGAACTCTTGACCTCAGGTGATCCACCTTCCTCAGCCTCCCAAAGTGCTGGGATTGCAGGCATGAGCCACCATGCCTGGCCTGTCACAAGGACTTTAAAAGTACATACAGGAAGACACATGGATGTAATAACCTTAATATTAAAAATTTTTTATTTTATCTAAGTTTTTTTTCCTAAGCAAACCAAAACATAATAATAATATTTGGTCTTTCTGGTTTGTCCTGAACATCCCATCTTCTTCTTTTTTTTTTTTTTTGAGATGGAATACTGCTGTGTCACCCAGGCTGGAGTGCAGTGGTACGATCTCAGCTCACTGCAACCTCCACCACCCAGGTTCAAGCGATTCTTCTGCCTCAGCCTCCAAGTAGCTGGAATTACAGGCATGTGCCACCACGCACGGCTAATTTTTGTATTTTTAGTAGAGATGGCGTTTCACCATTTTGGACAGGCTGGTCTCAAACTCCTGACCTCAGGTGATCAACCTGCCTCGGCCTCCCAAAGTGCTGGGATTACAGGTGTGAGCCACCGCGCCCAGCTCATCCCGCCTTCTCAAACAACCAGTCATTTTATTTTAGGACTAAAATTTACCATATTTTTCCTCATATAAAATTATTTCTCTTTAAGCTTTCTTGCCACACACACAGGAAAATACCTTTTTATAACTTTCTTTACATGTATTTTTATTTTCTGGTTCTTCTTACCTTGTTTAATGTTTTTTCATTTTTGTTTTGTTTTTTTGAGGCAGAGTCTCACACTGTCGCCCAGGCTGGAGTGCAGTGGCGTGATCTCTGCTCACTGCAAGCTCTGCCTCCTGGGTTCACGCCATTCTCCTGCCTCAGCCTCCCTAGTAGCTGGGACTACAGGCACCCGCCACCACGCCCGGCTAATTTTTTGTATTTTTAGTAGAGACGGGGTTTCACCTTGTTAGCCAGGATGGTCTCGATCTCCTGGCCTCGTGATCCGCCCGCCTCGGCCTCCCAAAGTGCTGGGATTACAGGCATGAGCCAGCAAGCCTGGCTCATTTTTGTATTTTTTGTACAGACGGGGTTTCACCATGTTAGGCAGGCTGTTCTCGAACTCCTGACCTCCTCATCCGCCTGACCTCCTCATCCGCCTGACCTCCTCATCCGCCTGCCTTGGACTCCTAAAGTGCTGGGATTACAGGCATGAGTCACCTGGCCCGGCATGTCTGATTCGTTTTTGAATCACCAGTACAAAGCTAGATGTTGTTCTTTTTGTGAAAAGTTGCCCCTTCAGGCCCCAAAGAGGACCTTATCAGGCATTTGGCGTATGAAGTTCCAAGGCCACTTGCTTCTGGAGGGAATGAGTAGTGGCCTGCAGTTGAAATGAGATAGAGTGGTGGGGAGCACTCATCAGACCTGTGGGATGTTGTGGACGGAAATAATTTTTAAGTGCCTGCACCTCTACCATCCTGTGAATCCTCAAGGACAAGGACCTGATTGGAGTCACTTCTGTGTTCCCGACAGAACCCAGAACTCTCCCCAGGACATAGCATTCCTCAATAAAAGATTGCTGAAATGAACCGAAGCCCAGTAGCTCAAGGTTACTGGCCAGCTGCCAGTGGCGAAAAGCTTGGCGAATCTCCCCAGCAGCTCAGTCCCAGGGTAGCACTGTTGGAGCTGGAGAAACAGCCCTGGAAAGACACAGCTGAATGTCCTAAGTCCAACATCCAGAAGCTTCCAGAAGCTCCACTCACAGCATGAATAATTTAGGACAGGACTGGTGGTCAGATTTGGGAAGGGCATTGAGGTTGGAGAGGAGAACTTCTTAGGTGCCCTCTCAGCCGGGCAGCTGGGCCTTCTGGCTTCCCAGGTGACTGCACAGCCTCCGTGAGCCCTCCCAGCTGGCCCTGGCTGCTGAGACCCTGCCCACAGGACCTGGCCCTGTGGAGGTTCAATTTCACACCCAGGCCCCCCACACTCTTCCTGTGCATGCAGCTTGGCTTCCCTTGGTATTCATCTTCCCCTCTCACCAGGGAAGGACTGTGGCACTTACTTCTCTTCTTCTCCTTCTTCTTCTTTCTTCCTCTTCCTCTTCTTATTCTTATTTGTAGACAGGGTCTTGCTGTGTTGCCCAAGGTGGTCTCAAGCTCCTGGAGGCCTCAAGTGATCATCTCACCTCAGCCTCACAAAGCAGTGGAATTACAGGCATCAGCCACTGTGACTTGACACTCATTTATTTATTTATTTATTTTCTAAGACAGAGTTTCGCTCGTCGCCCAGGCTGGAGTGCAATGGCGCAATCTCAGCTCACTGCAACCTCTGCAGTGAGTTCAAGCGATTCTCCTGCCTCAGCCTCCCGAGTAGCTGGGATTACAGGCACCCACCACCCCCCAGCTAATTTTTGTATTTTCAGTAGAGATGGGGTTTCACCATGTTGGCCAGGCTGGTCTCAAACTCCTGATCTCAGGTGATCTGCCCGCCTCGGCCTCCCAAACTGCTGGGATTACAGGCGTGAGTCACTGCGCCCAGCGACACTCATTTCTAAGTTGAAAATGATTCTTCAGCTTCATGCCTTAGTGCCTTCTAGCCCCCCTCACAGGATCTTTTTTATTTTTATTTTTTAAATTTTATTTTTTATTTTTTTGAGGCAGAGTTTAGCTCTTGTTGCCCAGGCTGGAGTGCAATTGCGCGATCTCGGCTCGCCGCAACCTCCACCTCCCCAGTTCAAGCGATTCTCCTGCCTCAGCCTCCCGGGTAGCTGGGATTACAGGCATGCGCCACCATGCCTGGCTAATTTTGTATTTTTAGTAGACATGGGGTTTCTCCATGTTGGTCAGGCTGGTCTTGAACTCCTGACCTCAGGTGATCAGCCCACCTTGGCTTCCCAAAGTGCTGGGATTACAGGCATGAGCCACCGTGCCCGGCATATTTTTAAAATTTATTTGTTTGTTTCCTTTTTTGAGATGGAGTCTCGCTTTGTTGCCCAGGCTGGAGTGCAGTGGCACGGTCTCAGCTCACTGCAACCTCCGCCTCCCAGGTTCAAGCGATTCTCCTGCGTCAGCCTCCTGAGTAGCTGGGATTACAGGCACATGCCACCACACCCAGCTAATTTTTTTTTTTTTTTGAGATGGAGTCTTGCTCTGTCGCCCAGGCTGGAGTGCAGTGGCATGATCTCAGCTCACTGCAACCTCCGCCTCCCGGGTTCAAGCGATTCTCCTGCCTCAGCCTACTGAGTAGCTGGGATTACAGGTGTGTGCCACCACACCCAGCTAATTTTTGTATTTTTAGTAGAGACGGGGTTTCACCATGTTGACCAGGCTGGTCTCGAACCCCTGAACTCAGGTGATCTGCCCATCTCTGCCACCCAAAGTGCTGGGATTACAGGTCTGAGACACCGCACCCGGCCTACTCTCTGCCTCTATGAGCTCAATATTTTTAGGTTCCACATGTAAGTGAGATTAGGCAGTATTTATCTTTCTGTGCCTGGCTTATTTCACTTAACAGTGTCCTCCAGGTTAATCCATGTTGTCACAAATGACAGGATTTCTTTCTTTCTTTCTTTCTTTCTTTCTTTTTTTTTTGAGACAGTGTCTTGCTCTTGCCCAGGCTGGAGTACAGTGGCTTGATCACAACTCACTGTAGCACTGTAGCTTCAAAATCTCCTGGGCTCAAGTGATCCTCTTGTCTTAGCCTCCAGAGTAGTTAGGACTACAGGTGGGAGCCACTATGCCCAGCTAATTTATTTTTATTTTTTATTTTTTTGTACAGTTGGGGTCTCCCCATGTTGCCCAGGCTGGTCTCAAACTCCTGGCCTCAAGCAATTCTCCCACCTTGGCCTCCCAAAGTGTTGGGATTACAGGTGTGAGCCACCACACCCAGCCAGGATTTTCTTCTTTTTAAAGGCTGAATAGTATTCTATTGTCCCATAGGGACTTTAGAATCAGGCTGTAGAATTCTCTGGTGCTGAGGCCTCTGCAGGCTTCTGTGGAGAAGATATCCCACAGAGGGACCTGCACTTAGGCAGGTTACAACTGTGGTCTCCTGATCTTTCTCCGGAAGCCCCAGAGGTACCTGTGGTCTAAGGAAAAGAACCCTTGGCTGAGTCATAGGACCTAGATTCTTTGCCTTCGCTTCAGACAGTAGAGAGCAGTGGTTAAAGCATGAGATTTGGAGACAGGCTTGGATGAGAACCCCAGCTCCAACACTAGTTTGCTTTGTGGACTTCAGCAAGTCATTTAACCTCTTGAAGTCTCTGTTTCCTTATTTGTAAAATGAGAATAATAAAGGTAACTACTGTACAGGGTTTTTGGGAAGACTTAATGAGATAATATACACAAAACGCCCAGGACATTGCCTAGCACTTAGTAGGAGTTTTGTAAATGGTGGTTGCTTGCCCTTAATATGAAACAGTGCCTGCAAACACAGAACCTTAGCAAGTTTCAGTGAGTGGAAAACATCCCTTCCCATCTCTATCGTCCCTGCTCCAGTTGACAGCCTCATTACCTTTGGCTGGGACTAGTACAGTAGCCTCCTAGCGTAACCATCCACACCCATCTGGTACCTGTCCTTGGGTTACTTTTGCTGTTACTTTGACACCTTTCTTGGCTGCTTATAATAATTAAATTTAGGTCAAATTTCTTTTCCTTCCTTCCTTCCTTCCTTCCTTCCTTCCTTCCTTCCTCTCTTTCTTGATGGAATTTTCACTCTTGTTGCCCAGGCTGGAGTGCAATGGCACAATCTCGGCTCATCACAACATCCGCCTCCCGGGTTCAAGTGATTCTCCTGCCTCAGCCTCCTGACTAGCTGGGATTACAGGCATGCGCCACAACGCCTGGCTAATTTTTTTGTATTTTTAGTAGAGACAGGGTTTCTCCATGTTGGTCAGGCTGATCTCGAACTCCCGACCTCAGGTGATCCGCCAGCCTCGGCCTTCCAAAGTGCTGGGATTACAGGCGTGAGCCACCACGCCCAGCCAATTTAAGCCAAATTCCTTAGCTCAAGGGCCTTTGTAAATTGCTCCAACACATTTTTTTTTCTCCCAATCGTTATGGTGAAAAAGAACAGAATGTGAATCTGAAGACAGGGGTCCAGTCCTGGGACCATCCGCTTTCTCCCTACATGACTTTGAGTATATCATCTCAGTTCTACATCTATACATTAGAGATCATTATGCTGCCTCATGGGATGCATCCATCTTTCCTGCTGAACTGTGAGCCCATGGTCAACAGGCAGGGATGAAATGCATCTTGCTCACACTGTATCTTCAGTACCCTGCATGGGGCCTGACACCGGGTAGATGTTCAGCACGTATTTGTTGAATGAATGAATGAATGAATGAATGAATGAACAGGGTTGTGAGGACTGGATTTGGCATGATCCAGGTAAAGCGCCTTGCACAGTCACCAGGAGACACGCCCATATGGTAGCTGTTGCTACGCAGGTTACTAAGTGGAATGACTTTAGACACATTACTTCTCTGGAAACATTCACGTATCTGTCCTAGGAGAGGATAGAAGGGACTCCTGCCTCGTTTTGTGCATCATTAGGTCGTGTGTGCAGAAGGAGCTCAATAAATGCTTCCTCGGTGGATAAAGCATCTCCCAAGGCTCCACTTGGGGCTAGCGCTGTCTAAAGAGACTGAGTTCCCTCATTGGGGCCTGGTTCTTTTCTGCTCTTTACCCTGCGGGGAAGATGAGGCCTTCTTTGGGTCCCTCCTTCATTCAGTTCCAGAAGCCCAGCAGATAGGTGGGCCTATAGGACCCGCAGGATCTGCAGGACGCTCTCCGAGAGCTGGAGCAAGAGCGCCAAGGGCGGGGACGGAATGTGGGTTTAAGGGAAACGGGCGAAAGAGGGGTGGGCATGGAAAAGGGTGGTTTGAGAACCAGGGGCCAGGCAGAAGGACAGCCCGGCAGCCTGAGAGAGCGACTGGGGGGCGGTGAGGAGCTCCAAGGGGGCGGGTCGGCTGAGCTGGCCCAGGGTCAGCTAGCGGCCGCGGGGCCGGGGCGGAGAGGTCGCAGAGCAGAGGGCGGAGAATTTGGGGGTGTGGTTGGCCTGCGGGGGACACCGGAGGCCACTAGGGAGGAGTTGCAGAGGGGAGGGACCGAGGGAGGGCCTGGGGGCGGCCAGAGGACGCGGGGTCAGTGAGGAGGGGGCGCCGGGCGACGGACTGGCAGGGGCGCGCGGGGCGGGCGGAAGCGCAGGGGTGGGGTGCAGGGCGGGGGGAGCGCGCATCGGGGGGCGGGGGGCGGCGTCGGCGCTGGGAGTGGGGGAGCGGGTTGGGCGGCTGCGCCGGCTCTGCTTCAGCCGCTGCCGCTAGGGCGCGGGGGGCGGGGGGCTCGGCGCCGCGAGCTCGGCCATTGTGGGAGCCGCTCCCCTCGGCTCCGCCACGCTCCCCTCGACTGCGCTCCAGCCTGGGGCGCGCCCGGCCGCCGCCGCCTTCGCTGCCGCCACGGGCCCGTCTTCTTCCTCCTTCGGCTCCCAGGGTAAGGCGCGGGGCGCGGGGTTGGATGCAGGCGCCCTGCCCGCTGCGCGGGATGCGCAGCGGCGGCTGGGGAGCGGTGATTGATCGCCCCCGGCGGCCGCGCCCCAGCTCCCGGCAGCCGGCGGCCGCGGACAGGCGGCTTGACAGGCGCGGGCACAGCGGCAGTGCGGGCCTCGCACCTGCAGCCCCCGCGGCCGGCGCCGGGGAGCGGCGAAGACTCGGAGCTGGGGTTTCCCCTCTGCGGGCGCTGCCAGGGTGGAAGGGAGGCGTGTTCCCCGGGAAAATGGGACACGGAGCCCTGCAGGGGCCGGGCGCCGGACCTTAGGGAGCGGGCAGGGCTGGGCGGGGAAGGTCGCTTCCCGGCCCCAGGGCTCGGCCGCTGGCCCCAGCGCCCTGTCGGTCCTCGGTCGCGCGTCCCCGCTCTTTGTCAGCCACGCTTGGCGGGCGCGCGGACCCACCCGCGCCGCCCCAGGCTCGCGGGCGCGCCCCTCCTCCGCCGTGGGGAAACGGGTGGGGGCCAGGTGGGGAGGGTCGCAGGGGGTGAGAGCACCTGGTGAGGTGCCTGTCGCCGACCGGCCTGCGGCCTAGGGGGTGGGCTGGGGCTTGGGCGGGCACTCCTGTGAGTCTCGGGGATTGATGGAATGACCCAGGTGGCCGAGGGTCGGGCGGGAGCCCGGAGGTCAAACAAGTGTTTGTGAGGGGCCGGAGATTGACGGGGTAGAGCCCAGAAGGGACGCTTTCTCCGGGAGGAGGCCTTGGGAGAGCCGGCCTTTGTAGTGAAATGGGCGTCTTGGAGAGGAATGGGCGGTTCTGGGATGAAGCAGGTGGTCTGAGAGGAGGGGCATTTTTCCTGCCCCCGAGCTGAGGGTAGGGATGGAAGCTTGGCCTGAGTTTCCCAGAGGTTGAGGCTGTCACTTCAGCACCTGCCCTGGCACTAGAAGGTAATGGGAGGAGGGGTAAGTGCTAAGATAAAGGGCAAAGCTGTGCCAGGACCTGGGTCCTTTCCTTTCTGCTTCCTGTGGCTAGATCCCTTCTAGATGTTCTTTGGGAAGAGGGCTCACACGCTGCTGGCACAAGGGGTGCCCTGGCAGGGAGGCTCTGCTGCCCGAGGCTGCCTACAGGCCTCCTACACCATTTTTATGTTTCTTTTGTTATCTCTTTGAATTCTGTGCCTATGGTGGGGATCTGCCAATGACCCAGGAGGCTGTCTCTGCCCCTTGCTGCCTCTAGGCTCAGATTCGAGAATCCTGGAGGAGCTGTGGCCACAGACCCATTGTGTCCAGCCATGTAGGCTACCTCGCTGTCTCTACACAGCCCTGTGAGCCGGTATTCCCTATAAGGGAAAATCAACAGCTCTTGCCCTCCCTGGACCCTACAGCCAAAGTCAAAGCTGGGTACCCAGGTTGGCTTTGCGGCCTGTAGGAAGGCTGGTAGCTGAAGGCACATACCATTTGTGCTCTGATGGAGCCCTTGGGGTGGTGGGCCATGTGTAGCAGATGGTTCTGGGAAGTGAGCTTGACCTGGCTGAGGGAAGGCTGCCCAGTCTGGCTGGTGGAGCCCAGCTGGCCTTAGAGCAATTGTATTTTCACTCAACTCTCTCCACTAGCTAAACTGACCAGAAAAAATGGGCTTTCTGTCCCATCCCCCCACCCCATCCTCATGCTGTGCCACGTATTCCCACAACAGCCCTTGGAATAAGCAAATGAACATTTAATCTAATGCCTGCTGGGTGCCATGCATGGCATCAACCAGTACTACATTTGCATTTGACAATGTTCTTAAAACATCCTCTGAGGTGGAATATTACCCCCATTTTGCAGATGAAGAAACTGAGTCTCAGAGAGGTGAAGTGACTTGCCCAAGATCACAGCAATTGTAAGTGGCCAAACCAGAATATATACCCAGGTCTGTCTTACTTCAAGTCTGGTACATTTTCTAATATATCTGCTGGAGACAGAGTGGGAGAAACCAGAGAATTTCTGCCTATTCTAGCCCATGGTTTGCTTCTTGCCTGCTATTGAGATCATGCTTTAGCTTTTTGAAAATACTTCCCATCTGTTGCCCCACTTTATCCTTATAGCATTCCTGGGAGGTAAGTAGAACAGGAATATAATAATAGATACTGTGTATTGAGTGCTTACTGGGCAGTGGGCACTATTAAGCACTTTACATGCAGGATTAAGCACTTTACATGCAGAACCCAACCCTATAGGGCTAGGTTCTAACTGTCGTCATCCCCATTTTGTAGATGAGGGTGCTGAGGCTCAGAGAGATTAAATGGCTTCTCCAGGGTCACACAGCTAGTAAATGGAGTAGAATTTAAACCCACAGCATTCTGTCATGGGATCTGTGAGCTTAATCCTCCAAATGTGCCAAATAGCAATAATAATAGTTCCTAGGAATAGGAGCTAACTTTTACATGATGCTTTAAGATTTATAGACATCATCACATATAATATCCCCCAAACCTCATGAATTAGTTTTGGGATGTATTGTCTTCATCCCATTTTCCAGGTGAAGAAACTGAGGTACAGATAGGCAGGACTAGAACCTCTGCTTCCCAAGTCCCAGTGTTCCTTATGGGACCCCTTTTGTCTGCTCACATTCACCCCTTTCTCCTTCAGATCACTTCTCCCTGGGCTCCCAGGCCCTCCTGCAGCAGCCCCCGCCTGGGCCATGTCTTCCTCAGATGAAGAGACGCTCAGTGAGCGGTCATGTCGGAGTGAGCGGTCTTGTCGGAGTGAGCGATCTTACAGGAGCGAGCGGTCGGGGAGCCTGTCTCCCTGTCCCCCAGGGGACACCTTGCCCTGGAACCTGCCACTGCATGAGCAGAAAAAGCGGAAAAGCCAGGATTCGGTGCTGGACCCTGCAGAGCGTGCTGTGGTCAGAGTCGCTGGTAAGAGAGGTCCCCCAGCAGGCTGGACGCTGTGGGTGTGAGGGAGGAATGGGCCAGGGCACAGCAGCTGTGTGGGGAGCCGAGGGGTCCTCACCAGGGCCTCTGACAAAGCAGCCATCATCTGATTTGTTATTATTATTCTTGGAAAGACGTTGAAATAACATTAACGAAAAACTCAAAAGAGGAAAATCTGCCACCCCTTGCTCACGTGAGACCTGTTTTCATTTCTGCACCTTCTTCCCTGTCTTTGTCCCCATTCAGTTATATTTTCTATGCAGTTGCCTTCATGGCTTAGGTACCATTCTGCATCTGACTCTTTTCAGTTAATCTTATATTAAAAAGATTTTCCATATTGCACTTTAGACTTTATGGTTACCATTTCTAAAAGCTGTCTATTTCATGACTTTCTAAATCCTACTCTTTTTTCACTTTTTGGCTATATTAGACAATGCTGCTGAGAACATGGTTAAGAATGATTTGACTTCTGTTATTTCCTTATAATGAAATCCTTGGAGAGTACAGTTTTACTTGTATCGCCTTCCAAAAGTGTTCTACATGCTGACCTTTCACACGACGTGAAGGCTGGGGCTACCTCCTGTGGTGGGATGTGCCCAGCTCTTTGCCAAGCAGCAGCACAGTGCTGTAGTTATGAGTGTAAGCTTTGGAATCAGAGAGGGTAGGGTGCTGGATCGTGGCCCTGCCACTGACCAACTGTGTGACTCTGGGCAAGTCCCTTATTCTTTCTCAGTGTCACTTTCCTTGTCTTAAGAATGCCCACTGTGCAGGGATGCCTTGAAGGTTAGATGAAATAATGTGTGGAAAGCCCTTAGCACAGTTTTTGGCTCAATAAAGGAGATGCTTCCACTGAAGGCATCCACAGCTGCCTCCCTGAAGTGTGCTCAGCATCTCAGCAGGGTGTTGGTGTTACAGTACGGATAGGAAGATAGAGCAGTGCCTGCAGCTAATTCAGTGACATCACCCGCTTTCAAGCCGTCACCAAGGCCTGTACTGCTACCTTCTTTGTGTCCCTCAAATAATACAGCCACCCCCTCCACTGTGTCATCTCTCACCTGGACCTTCCAATGAGCATTTAATAGCTCTTCCTCTCTTAGTCTTGCCACCATCCTCCACGTGACTAATAGAGTATTTTTTTCTAAAATACAAACCTCAAGAACACATATTCTATTTTATGAAATGAAGTGCTGCCTGTACAACACTTCATTAAAAATACAATAAAAAATAAAATAAAATACAAACCTAATTCTATTACTCGGCTGCTTAAAAACCACCTTTGGCCCCTCATTGCCTGTGGAATCAAGGCTTCAGCATAAAGACCCATCAAAATTACTTACCTCTTCAGCTTCACCTGCCACCACCTCTACCCCCAATCACCCTGCCACAGTACACTGTAACTGGACCCCCAGAGGGATGCATCTTGCAGGATGAAACCACCACACTTTAATTTTCTTCTCTGCAAGATGCTGGTAAACCCTCCTCCTCTTTTAAGTGCCGCCTCCTCTGTCCTTAATGCCCCCAGTGGTATCCAAAGCTTCCTCCTCCGCTCTCACAGTCATACTTTTCTCTCCTCCATGTTCCCTTGTTCAATGTAGCAGTTAACCCACAGGGTGCCCATCACTCCCTTAGAAGAGTGAGCAATTTGGGATGTGTCTTATGTTTTGAGCCCCCGAGGGCTGCACGGGGCCTTGTACATGCTAGAGATCAATTGGTATTGAATGACTGAATGAATGCTGAATGAGTGTTTTGAGGATATTATGTGATGTGACAGACTGTGATCCAGAAACAGGCACTGAGCTATAACGGAAAGTTAGAGAAAGGCTTATGTGGGCTCAGGTAATCAGGAAAGGACTTTAGAGGGAATGAGCTCCAAGTGAGGAGACAACAGTGGGGCCTGGAAGGCAGGAGGGAGAGTTGGAGCTCTTTCTAGTGGGCAACGAGGAGTCCTTGGAGGAAGTCCTTCTCAAAACCTTTGGGCCTGCAGCATCAGCCAGTAACAGAATTTTAGAGCTGTCCCTAGGGTGCAGGAAGGGGTTTACTTGTCCCCAGTCTTGAAGGGCCATAACTCAGGGCCCTGATGACTCATAAACCTCTTTCTCCTGAAGAGAGAGTGGGCTGTCTCATTCTTCCTTCTTTATGCCCTCTGCCTCCATCCTTCATCACTCATGCATACTTAGATCGTTTTGTGATGATTTCCACTTCCAGTCTTCTCTGAGGAGGCCCACGGGATGATTTGCTTGCTGCTTCAGATTTGGAGTCTAGAATAGAAGTGGAGTGGACTCAAGGAGGCTTAATTTTACACAGGCAAGGCTCCTAAGGACCCTGCTGGGTCAACTGAGCAAAGGGATGGTGGGTGCTGCGCTGTGCTGTGTTTCTGGCATAGATGCTGATCTCCTTTGCATCCTGACACTGCTGAATGCCTCTTTTGAGGAGGGGGCTGGGCCAGTGAGGCTGAAAATGGGGAGACTGCCATGGTTAAAAATAACTTGTGCACTGCAGTTGGGCGTGTTTCTTTAGCAGGAGAGGAGAGAGGCAGCAGAGACGAGGCGGGACTGCGACTTTAGGGTCTTGCTGAAATCTTCATGTGATTTTAGAATGCTGTGGGGGCTCCACCAGAGTAATGGAAAAGGCAGCCTTAGCTCTGCAGGGACTCCTTCACAGGAGGTGCAGGGGGGCATGTCTGGGAGACCCTGGATGCTCTGAAGCTCTCTGAAGCAGAACTTTAATTGTGGGAGGAAATGAAGTCAGTCTTACGCTGGAAGCCAGCTGTGGCCTGTGCAATTTTCTCCTCCCCCTGGATCTTGCTTATGAAGCCAAGTGGGGGTGTCTGAATCACTCTCACCAAATAGAGATCTTCCCTTTCCCTGGCCCACTCCGTGTCCTGAGCTGGTCTTAGGGCCTCGCCCTTGCTTGAGAGGCCTGATGGGGCAAGCCTGGTGGTCACACATGTCAGAGTAGAGAGGGATGTCGGGGCTGAGAAACCTGCTGATTTCAGTCTACAAAGCCAAACAGGTTTTAGGGTGCTGAACCTTGTTCTTCTTCCCATCTTCCTGTTCTCATCCTTTCCCTACATTTGTTTCTCCTTCTTCTTTGCCAGCCATATTCTCAACTCCCTAAGCCCAGCCACATTCAAATGTAACAAGAGTCACTAATGAAAGTGTCTTGTTTCGGTTTATCAGCTTTATGGTTTACACAGAGATTTCAAAATAACTCTGTTAGGCAGGACATATGTTAGCATCCGAGGCTCAGAGGGTTTAGGGGACTTGCCTATAGTTACACAGGACTGGTAAACACAGATCTTCTAACTCCAAGTACATTGCTATTTCTTTTTTTTTTTGAGACAGAGTCTCACTTTGCCACCCAGGCTGGAGTGCAGTGGCGCAATCTCAACTCACTGCAACCTTCACCTCCCGGGTTCAAGCAATTCTTCTGCCTCAGCCTCCCGAGTAGCAGGGATTACAGGCGTGTGCCACCATGCCCAGCTAATTTTTGTATGTTTAGTAGAGATGGGGTTTCTTTTTTTTTTTGGAGATGGAGTCTCGCTGTCGCCCAGGCTGGAGTGCAGTGGTGCAATCTCTGCTGGATCTCAGCTCACTGCAGGCTCCGCCCCCTGGTTTCACGCCATTCTCCTGCCTCAGCCTCCTGAGCAGCTGGGACTACAGGCGCCTGCCACCTTGCCCGGCTAATTTTTTGTATTTTTAGTAGAGACGGGGTTTCACCATGTTAGCCAGGATGGTCTCCATCTCCTGACCTCGTGATCCGCCCGCCTCAGCCTCCCAAAGTCCTGGGATTATAGGTGTGAGCCACCGCGCCTGGCCCGAGATGGGGTTTCACCATGTTGGTCAGGCTGGTCTTGAACTCCTGACCTCAGGTGATCCGCTTGCCTTGGCCTTCCAAAATGCTGGGATTACAGGCGTGAGCCACCGCACCCGGCCCTGTACATTGTTATTTCTATTTCCTTAGGCAATACCTGGCAACCAGCCCAGTCTGAATCTTCTGTAGTTGACAATCTAAATCTCCACACTCACCTGAGAGACTTGGTCACTTCCGGGAAAGGCCTCAGGATCCTGGTCTATAGAACCAGGAAAGGGGAGAGACAAAGATCTTGGAAAATTTGCCTCTTCCCCTCTGGCTCTCTGTCTTTAGTGAAGAGCAGTAGAAATATCCTTACTTAATGGTGGGGAGCAACAAGGAAGTGGGGCGCTAGGGAGCTTACTGTAGCAAGGAGTACAACCCCAAAGGGTAGAAACAAAGAGAGGAAGAAATGATGTATCCCTTGGGACCTGTGGGGAGTATATTGAGAACAGGGTGCAAGACAGGGTGTCACATGGCTGTACACTGCACAACCCTTGGGGGTGCGATTCACATCACATTTGTTGTCATTGCAGACGTGTACATTTATTATTACAAGTTTCCTGCAGATGGCAGTAACATGTTTTGAAGAAGGGCTCATGTTTGGGCTAGGGCACGGTAGGGTGCAGGAAGATTCCACCATCTACCCATCAATCAGGTATTCATTCATCTAACATCACATAATCAGGACCCTCCCTGTCCTTGGCATTGATATTCAAAGATGACTGAAGATGTGGTCCCTTCTGCATGGAACTCAGTCTAGTGGAGAGGACAGAAGGGAGAAAAGGCCGGGTGTAGTGGCTCACACCTGTAATCTCAGCATTTCGGGAGGC
The DNA here is from genome assembly GCF_000001405.40 of Homo sapiens. Classification (NCBI taxonomy): domain Eukaryota; kingdom Metazoa; phylum Chordata; class Mammalia; order Primates; family Hominidae; genus Homo; species Homo sapiens. The sequence continues at coordinate 39,089,139 of NC_000001.11, forward strand.
CGAGGCAGGAGAATCATTAGAGCTAAGGAGTTCAAGACCAGCCTATGAGACCCTGTCTCTATTTTTTTTTTAAGTAGTTAGAAGGGAAAAAATAATTATATCCCCGTATGTGTTGTGAAAAAGGGGAGTGCAGTGACTCAGAGCTAAGGATTGGATCCCTCTCTGGTTGTTCATTTATTCATTCCTTCAACTAAAAAAGGGGTTAAGCTATGTGCCAGTAGAAAGCATCTATGGGATTCATTCCTAGGAGTATCAGCAAATGCTGCTGAAATAATCATTCCCAACATCTGCTCCATTGTGGCCTTCTAGTCAGACGACAATTGTCTCTCTGCACAGCCCTTGTTTCAGTTGGCTTTATATTCACGTTCATTGTTCCCAGGTTCATTTCCCTCACCAGCTCTGGAGGTCTCTGTAGTCAGGAGTCCCATCTTACCCTTTTTGCCCTGGGACAGAGAGCCATGAGAGCACTACCTGGTCAGAAGCTGGAGCTTACTCCTCTGGGCCCATGTGTCTCTCCTCCAAGTTGGGAGCTCTGAGAAGACATCTCACAGGCACCTCTCTGCTTCATTCATTCATTCAATAAAAAAAATGGATTAAGCTCCTGCCATGTGCCAGGCACTGCGGAGATAACTGAATCTGGAGTTACAAGACTTAGGCAAATGACCTCACTTCTTGGATCCTCAGTTTCCTTATCTATAAAAGGGAGATGGTGATAAAGGGTGTAAAAGGGAAATGAACGAGAATCAGAATGTGCTGGAAAAACACAGGTTCACATGGCCCGTTACTGCACTTAACAGTGTCATTCCTTGTAACCTCCCTGGCAGCCAGATGAGGCAGTGGAGACTCAGGAGGCCAGCAGTTTCCCAGGCCAGCAAAGAAGGAGCCCAAGCCTCTTATTTCTGTCCCCTTCTTTTGTTCTTTAGGCCTTTGTCAGGGAGCAGATGGAAGTGGCTTATTCTGGCCAAGCCGTGAGTGGGAAGAAGGGAATGCAGGGATGGGAAATGGAACCCTAAAGACAATCTCATTGGGAATCCTTACTCCTCAGCTGCCAAACTTCCTTGCCCTGAGGCTCTTCGAGTTTTGTATCCAGGAAGGCTCCTCCTCCTTCCCAGCTTCTCTACTTCTTCCTGGCAGTGTCCTCAGAGTCTCTGGCCCTGTCCTGGAGCTTGGTTTCAGTAGCAGCAGAGAAGAGCAGAGGAGAGTGCCCTGAAAGTGGGGCAGAATGAATTGTAGCTACACACCACCAGCTCAGCTCCAGCTCTTTGAAAGTAAATCTGGGTCACATTAGCTGTGGGCTGGAACATGACCACGTGGGCAGAATTCTGTGCAGGCAGCAGAAAAGACAGCCAATCTGTCCTTTCTCTGAGGTGCAGGGCCCCTGTGGGACCCCAGTTGGTGAGGGAAGGTGGTTTCTGGATTGCAAGGTGTAATGCCATCTTAATGCCATCATGCTTTTCTAATGACATCCTAGGTGACATAGAGAAAGGTATGGAATGGCAGTTTGGCTCATGCCTTTCTGTTTGTTATGGGAGAAGCCTAGGCTGAAGGTAGGAATGCAGAGGAAGGACTGGTTACTTTGGGGACTGTGGAAGGCCATCATTTCTCAGTCTCATGGGCTCAGGGGTTAGATGCCACCAGAGTAGCTGACACTGCAGCAGGATCTAGGGCTGCACTTGTTCTTTATTTCAGCAGTCCTCCCCTTGAGGAAAGGTCTGTGAACAGATCCATCATCACTAAAGTGTTATATGGAGCCTGGCTGGCCTCCTTTTTCTGGTTGCTGTGGCTAGGGCCTGCCATGATTTGGCCCGGCCACTGCTTGTTGCCACATGTCAGTTACAAGCCTGCCAGCCTGAAAGCCCTGTCTTGGCTTTCCTGTAGGAGCAGAATAGGTGTCCCTTGCTGGAATCTCTGCCTGGATCTGGGATACTGCTACAGGGAAGGTCTGAAGCCCCTATAACTTGAAGGGTGATGATTATGAGCTGAAGCTTCTGTCTTAAGCTGTGCCCCACCCCTACCCCAGAAGATACCAGGCTTTTGCCTTGTGGTCAGGGGAGGATTCTGCCTGGGGCCTCAGTGGATGTCTCTGGGATGCCCTCCCCCACTCATTCACACATTTCTTCATGTGCTCACTCTTCCATTCATTCACGCAAAGGGCTGGCTTTGGGAGTCAGCTGGAGCCCTAGTTTCATTGCTCACTTGCTAATTGGGTGACCCTGGGACGTTAGTCACTTCATTGAGCCTCAGTTTCTTACAGTTAAAATGGGGGAGCAAGAGCACTACCTCAGAGACTTGCACAGTAGATTAAATAAGGTAGTTGGGAGTAGGATGCTTGGCCCAGTACCTGCTATATATTCAGCCCTTGATAATTTTTTTTTTGAGACAGAGTCTCGCTCTGTCACCAGGCTGGAGTGCAGTGGCACGATCTCGGCTTACTGCAGCCTCCACCTCCCAAATTCAAGCGATTCTCCTGCCTCAGCCTCTGGAGTAGCTGGGACTACAGGTGTGCGCCACCATGCCCAGCTGATTTTTGTATTTTTAGTAGAGACCCATGGTGGGTTTCACCTTGTTGGCCAGGATGGTCTCAATCTCTTGACCTCGTGATCCACCTGCTTTGGCCTCCCAAAGTGCTGGGATTACAGCCACTGCACCCGGCTGCCCTTGATACATATTAGCTCTTTTCATGAATATCATTCATTCACTCATACACTTGTTCATAGATTCATGAATGTGCTGATTTATCCCCTTGCTTATTCACTGATTACACACTTGCTTATTTAACAAATATCCCTAGGGCTACTTTGCTCTAGGCTCAGACTGCACTTCAGAGCCCAGCTCCTGCCTATGAAGACCGTTAGAATGCAGCATGAACTGAGCTACGTTGCAAGTCCAAAGAGTTTTGAGGAAGTTCTGGAAGGGAAGGCACTTCTACTCCTGCCCCTCCCTGGCTTAGAGCAATGATAGTATTTCTTCTGGGGCTGGGAAAAGAAATAGGAATTAGCCAGGACAACCTGAAGAGACAGGGCACTTCCCGGTGGTTTGCATCTATTCTTGCTCTCCTTTCTTTGGCTTTCGTAGGAAGGAAAGAAGGAAAATGAAGAGAGAACAGCTGGTGAGAATTAGGAACTAAAGAATCTAGACGGTGGTTTGGGGAGTGAACTCTGGACTCAGTTTAGGAGCACCTTAGAGCTGGTGCCAGCTGGGTTCCTCCGGTGAATAATAGCTGGTAAAGTCACTGTGTAGAGTCCTAGATGGGTGCCAGGCATTTTACATACATCATTTAATCCTCATAGAACCCTGGGAAGTAGTTGCTATTCTCAACAGAAATGTTAAGTAACTTGTCTGAGGTTATACACTGAGCAAATAATGGAGCTGGGATTCAGCATTACTTAATGTGCATGGCGCCCCCTGGCCCTCAACATGTACAATATGCCCTTTGCAGTTATTCAAGTGCTGAGTTTCTGGTCAGCCTAACTCCAAAGCCCTGGCACTTTTCAGGATATTTCAAACATAGTAAAGTAGTGAGAATAGTACAGTGAACCCCCATCACCCAGAAACAAGAATGATCAATTAATTCATGGCCAATTTTATTTCATTCATACACCGCTGTCAGTGGAAAAAACACAGTTCCTGTTTTTTCTTTTTTCTTTTCTTTCTTTTTTTTTTGAGATGGAGTCTCTCTCTGTTGCCCAGGCTAGAGTGCTGTGGTGCCATCTCAGCTCACTGCAACCTCCGCCTCCCGGGTTCAAGCAATTCTCTGCCTCAGCCCCCCGAGTAACTGGGATTACAGGTGCCTGACACCATGCCCAGCTAATTTTTTTGTATTTTTTAGTAGAGACGGGGTTTCACCATCTTGGCCAGGCTGGCCTTGAACTCCTGACCTCATGATCCACCCGCCTGGGCCTCCGAAAGTGCTGGGATTACAGGTGTGAGCCACCGCGCCTGGCAAGTTCCTGTTTTTCCATTCTCTTACTCAACAATCAACACAAGAAGACTTCTGTGACGCCAAGATATGTGGGGACTTCTCCCCGCCAGCAAGTTAAACAATAGTTCTGCAGTGGACACCAGCGGGGTGTCCTCCAGTTCAATTACAACACTGTCTACCTGGAAATAGCATCAGATCTCACAGTTTGAGGGTTCAGTCCCCAAGACATTCCCCTACTCCACTTCTTTTTTTTTTTTTTTTTTTTTTTTTTTGAGATGATGTCTTGCTCTTGTTGCCCAGGCTGGAGTGCAATGGCTCAATCTCTGCTCATTGCAACCACCGCCTCCTGGGTTCAAGGGATTCTCCTGCCTCAGCCTTCTGAGTAGCTGGAATAACATGTGCGCGCCACCACGCCTGGCTAATTTTTTTTTTTTTTTTTTTTTTGAGACGGAGTCTTGCCCTGTCACCAGGCTGGAGTGCAGTGGTGCGATCTCGGCTCACTGCAACTTCTGCCTGCCGGGTTCAAGTGATTCTCCTGCTTCAGCCTCCCGAGTAGCTGGGACTACACGCACACGCCATCACACCCAGCTAATTTTTGTATTTTTAGTAGACACGGGGTTTCATCATGTTGGCCAGGATGGTCTTAATCTCTTGACCTTGTGATCTGCCCACCTTGGCCTCCCAAAGTGCTGGGATTACAGGTGTGAGCCATCACGCCCGGCCAAGGGATTCTTTTCTTTTTTTTGAGACGGAGTCTTGCGCTTTTGCCTAGGCTGGAGTGCAGTGGTGTGAACTTGGCTCACTGCAACCTCTGCCTCCCGGGTTCTCCTGTCTCAGCCTCCTGAGTAGCTGGGATTACAGGCGTGCGCCACCACACCTGGCTAATTTTTGTATTTGTAGTAGAAATGGGGTTTCACCGCGTTGGCCAGGCTGGTCTCGAACTCCTGACCTCAGGTGATCCACCGCCTCGGCCTCCCAAAGTGCTGGGATTACAGGCGTGAGCCACGGTGCCCAGCCCCACCCCACTCCACTTCTAATGCCAATCACAAGACTCAGATTTTTTTTACCTGTGCTTCTGACTGACTGGCTATAATGGGGTGCTGGCTGGGTGCAGTGACTCATACCTGTAATCCCAGCATTTTGAGAGGCCAAGGTGGGAGGCTCGCTTGAAGCCAGGAGTTCGAGACCAGCCTGGATAATATAGTGAGACCCCGTCTCCACAAAAAATAAAGCAAAATTAGCCAGGCAGGAGAATCGCTTGAACGCGGGAGGTGGAGGTTGTGGTGAACTGAGCTCACGCCATTGCACTTCAGCCTGGGCAACAAGAGTGAAATTTTGTCTCCAAAAAAAAAAAAAGAAAAGAAAAAAGAAAGAAATCGGGCCGCGCATGGTGGCTCACGCCTGTAATCCCAGCACTTTGGGAGGCCCAGGCGGGCAGATCACCTGAGGTCAGGAGTTCGATACCAGCCTCAACACGGAGAAACCCTGTCTCTACTAAAAATACAAAATTAGCCGGGCGTGGTGGTGCATGCCTGTAATCCCAGCTACTCGGGAGGCTGAGGCAGGAGAATTGCTTGAACCTGGGAGGCGGAAGTTGCGGTGAGCTGAGATCGCGCCATTGCACTCCAGTCTGGGCAACCAGAGCGAAACTCTGTCTCAAAAAAAAAAAAGAAAAAAAGAAATTAGCCAGGCGTGGTGGTATGCGCCTGTAATACCAGCTACTCAGGATGCTGAGGTGGGAGGATTGCTTGAGCCCGGGAGGTCAAGGCTGCAGGGAGCTGAGATTGTGTACTGCACTCTACCCTGGGCTACAGAGTGAGACCGGATCTCAAAACAAACAAAACAAAAACCACAAAACACACAGAGGATACAGGTGAAGAGATGCAGAGGGCAAGGGCGAGGTATGGAAGAAGGAATGTGGTGCTTCCATGCCCTCCCTTGTATGCCACCCTTCAGGAATCTTCACGAGTTGTTATCCTGGAAGCTCCCTGAATCTTAGGCCTTTCATGGAGACTTCCTTGGGTAGGCATGATTGACAACCATGCAGAAATGTGATTGGGCAAAAAGGGTATGTCTAACACTAACAGTGTGGAAACCCAGCAAAGCCTGGCTGTTCAGATTCTGCTTGAATTTTCTATGTAGTATTCCTTCCCCCAGGGTATGGGGCAAGACTCCTGAAATAGGGGTCTCATGATTATAGTCAGAAATGTGGGGGAAGGCGGCTGGGTGCGGTGGCTCACGCCTGTAATCCCAGCACTTTGGGAGGCCGAGGCGGGCGGATCATGAGGTCAACAGATCGAGACCATCCTGGCCAACATGGTGAAACCCTGTCTCTATTAAAAATACAAAAAAATTAGCTAGGCATGGTGGTGCGCGCCTGTAGTCCCAGCTACTCAGTAGGCTGAGGCAGGAGAATCATTTGAACCCAGGAGGAGGAGGTTGCAGTGAGCTGAGATCGCGCCACTGCACTCCAGCCTGGTGACAGAGTGAGACTCTGTCTCAAAAAAAAAAAAAAAAAAAAAAAGAAATGTTGGGGAAGGCTGAGAGTGGTGGCTCACACATATAATCCCAGCACTTTGGGAGGCCGAGGAAGGTGGATCACTTGACACCAGAAGTTCAAGACCAGCCTGAGCAACATAGTGAGACCACCATCTCCACAAAAAAAAAAATTAGGTGTGGTGGTGCATGCCTGTAGTCCTAGCTACTTGGGGGCTGAGAAAGGAGGATCCCTTGAGCCCAGGAGGTCATGGCTGCAGTGAGCTATGATTGTACTACTACACTCCAGCGTAGGCAACAGAGTGAGATGGCTGTCTCAAAAAAAAAAATGGCTGGGTGCAATGGCTCATGCCTGTAATCCCAACACTTTGGGAGGCCAAGGCAGGAGAATCACTTGAGTCTGGGATATCAAGACCTGCCTGGGCAACATAGTGAGACCTTGTCTCTAGAGAAAATCAAAAAATAATCCAGGCGTAGTGGCACATACCTGTGGACCCAACCACTCAGGAGGCTGAGGTGGGAGGATCATTTGAGCCAGGGAGATGGAGGCTGCAGTGACCCATGATCGCACCACTGCAGCTGTGATCATCATCATCCAGCCTGGGTGACACAGTGAGACCCTGTCTCAAAAAAAAAAAAAAAAAATTGCAGGAAAGATTGAGTCTTGCTTTGGGAGGAAAAAGAAACAGGTGAAAGGAGGGCAGGAGGGCAGAAAGATTCTGTTTTCTAAGACTTGACTTGCTTCTGAGGTCTACAGTGCCTCAACATTATAGCAGAAAACTATGACAAGGGCTATAGAAGTTATGAGCCAGGAACTGTGAACGAAAAAACCCATATATTGCAACCCCACTTCTCCCTCCCCAGTTATGTATAAGAAAGTTCCGGTAGCTGGGTGCAGTGGCTCATGCCTGTAATCCTAGCTACTCGGAGGGCTGAGGCAGGAGAATCACTTGAACCGGGAGGCAGAGGTCGTAGTGAGTCGAGACTGCGCCACTGCACTCCAGCCTTGGTGACAGAGCAAGACTCTATCTCAAAAAAAAAAAAAAAAATCAGAAAGTTCCCGTAATCACATACTTCTACCTTCCTCCGTTTTTGTTTTTGAGACAGAGTTTTGCTCTGTTGCCCAGGCTGCAGTGCAGTGGCACAATTGTAGCTCACTGCAACTTCAAACTCCTTTACTTCCCTCACTTTTTAACCATTATATTATACTACCTTTCCTCTAGTAGTAAATATACCAGTTTATCTGCTTCAGAGTCCATGTCTGAGGACTGGAACCACTGCCACCTGACCTACTGCCCAGAGTCTTCATGAGGGATTCCTTTTTTTTTTTTTTTTTTTGAGACGGACTCTTGCTCTGTCACCCACGCTGGAGTGCAGTGGTGTGATCTCGGCTCACTGCAACCTCTGCCTCCCAGGTTCAAGTAATTCTCCTGCCTTGGCCTCCTGAGTAGCTGGGATTACAGGTGCCCACCACCACGCCCGGCTAATTTTTGTATTTTTAGTAGAGACGGAGTTTCACCATGTTGGCCAGGCTGGTCTTGAACTCCTGACCTCAGGTGATCCACCCGCCTCAGCTTCCCAAAGTGCTGGGATTACAGGTGTGAGCCACCGCGCCTGGCCTCTTCATGAGGGATTCTAACACCCAGATGTTCAGGCTCCAGGGGCAGTGTGTCCCTCCTAGCGTTGCTTGGCTGATCCTCTGGTCCTTCCAGCTTGAGGTTCAGGCTCTATCCCCAGAACACACAGAGCTAGGCTAGAGCATATCTGGTTCTGTTCTGCCAGTATAATTAAACTAAATATCCAAAAAATGAATTTCAAGGATTCAATCTTGACAGACTGAAGTCGAGTTGCAATAGGATTCAGGTCCTTAACATCATGGCGGGAGGATAGCACAGTGGCTCATGTCTCTAACCCCAGAACTTTAGGAGGCCAAGGTGGGTGGATCACTTGAGCTCAGGGGTTCAACATCGGCCTGGGTTACATGGCGAAACCCCATCTCTACAAAAAATACAAAAATTAGCTGGGCATGGTGGTGTACACCTGTAGTACAAGCTATCTGGGGGACTGAGGCTAGAGGATCACTTGAGCCTGGGAGGTTGAGGCAGCAGTGAGCCATGTTCATGCCACTGTACTGTAGCCTGGGTGACAAAGTGAAACCCTGTCTCAAAAAAAAAGAAATTCATCAAGGGAATGAGTTCCATTTTTGTTATAGGGGCCTGTGCCCCAGGACTGCCCTGATGCTGGTGAACTGCTTCACGTGACTCTGATCTCAACTGAGAGCATTGGCCACCACTCTCAAGGGCCTCTCCCGGCCTCAGTGATTTGTGCTCTTTCCAGGCTGCCTGTTAGTGCCCCTTTAGAGGTTTCTACCTTGAGATGGTGTTGGATGGGGAGCTGTGGCTTCAAGTGAAGAGAAGTTTCATAGATTAAAAAAAGCCACACCTCACAGTTTGGGGAACCTCCCAATTCCCCAAAGAGTATAGACTGCCTCAGAGGATCCACACAGGGTAAGACCCTGTCCTGCCTCAGAGCAGGAAGAGAGATTGGGTATGGTTCAGCAGGGCTCACATTAGCCTGATTCCTTCAAGAGTGAAGATAAAAACAGTTTTACTGACAAAGAAGCTGGGAGACAGCAGAGGGGCCAATACCTTTTATAACTACTATTGTTAGGTTCTGAATGCCAGCCTTGGCGCTCAGCATCTTACATGCTGTATTTGACCTAATCCTCAAAACAACTTTAGGAGGCAGATGTGCTACAGCAGAGGAAGCAGAAGCCCAGAGAGTTTGGTAACTTGCTCAAGGTCTCCCAGCCAGTAAGGGGCCAAGCTTGGAATGGTGCTAGCTCTGCCTAGGGCAACCCACTGCCTCCCCCATTACAAGGAACAGTAGTTTAATAACAGCTAACATCTGTGTAGCACTTCAAGGTTCACGGAGTGCCTTAACATCCATTATCTCTACTGTGCCTTGGGAAGCCGGTGCGGTGAGGCCTTCCACGCCCCTTTGGGATAGCTGCCTGTCAGGGGTCCAGCCTCTGCTCATTTCTTCCAGGAAGCACTGGAGATTATTTGGAGTTGGCTCTGACGAGCCACGGGAGAGGCCTAGGGAGAGGCTGAGGTGGAGCGACTTGGCCAGTTGCTATGGTAACCCAGATGGCTGAGTAACCATTTTGAGGGTTGCTATGGTGATGGGCTGCTGGTGGCAGGGATCTTGTCTTCCTGGGTGGCTGGCACCCTCCAGGCCTCTTAAATTGAGATGTTGCACTTTCTGAACAGAAGAGGGCAGCATGAGAGCAGGCAAAGGCTTCTTACCCCAGAGCGGATTTGGGAACTTGAGGCAAAGCTTAGAAAAGGTTTCTAGGAGCTGGGCAGAAAGGGAGCTTTGGCTGGTGCCCAAGAGGCTGGTGGAGCTTCACTTCTGAGACTAGAACTAGGTAATTTTCTTCCAAGAGCTGGTCAAAGGATAATGCTTGGGGCTGCCCCTTCAGTGCCTGGCATCAGCTACTATTGGGGAATATAAAAGTTACAGCAGACAGCTACCCTTGCAAGGAGGAATGGAGAGAATATGTGCATGTGTGCACACACACACACTCACTACTAGCAAAGAATTTCTTTTTTTTGAGATGGAGTTTTGCTCTTGTTGCCCAGGTTGGAATGCAATGGCACGATCTAGGCTCACTGCAACCTCTGCCTCCTGGGTTCAAGCGATTCTCCTGCCTCAGCCTCCCAAGTAGCTGGGATTACAGGTGACCACCATCACGCCCGGCTAATTTTTTGTATTTTTAGTAGAGACGCGGTTTCACCATATTGGTCAGGCTGGCCTCGAACTCCTGACCTCAGGTGATCTGCCCGCCCTGGCCTCCCAAAGTGCTGGGATTACAGGCATGAGCCACCGCACCTGGCCTAAGAATTTCTTTATAAAGCATCAGTTAACACATAAAATAATGCAGCATGAACCAAAGGTGAAGAAAAGCTGGGAATAAACTTTCTAGAGGTTGAGGAAGGAGCACTAGCAGAAAGAGAAATAATTTTGTACTTCCCTCTTTCCTCCCTACACATGAAGTGCCCTCAGCCCTTGACCACTGAGTGGACATTGAGTTGGATTCTCAATTGTCTTGAATCAGATCTGGCTCCCTCCCCCAACCCCCATAACAGTTCAATGAGGCATCCATTCCTTCAGCAAATATTTATTGAACATCTACTATGTGCAAAGTATTGTGTTAGGCCCAGTGATGAAGAAAGATGAAATAGATGTCTTTGCCCTCAGGAACCTATGAAGTAGGAGGTTAAGGAGGCAGTGATACAGACATCCACAGTACATGTACCTGGAGTTCAAGACCAACATAGTGAGACCCTGTCTCTATAAAAAATTTTTTTAAAAAGCTGGGCACGGAGGTTCACACCTGTAATCTCAGCACTTTGGGAGGCTGAGGCAGGCCGACTACTTGAGCCCAAGAGTTCGAGACCAGCCTGGACAGTATGGTGAAATCCTGTCTCTACAAATAGCACAAAAATTATCTGGGCGTGGTGGCACCTGCCTGTAGTCCTAGCTGCTGGTGGGTTAATTGGTGGGCGCACTGAGGCAGGAGGATTGCTTGAGCCTAAGAGGCAGAGGTGTCAGTGAGCCAAGATTGTGCCACCGCACTCCAGCCTGGGTGATAGAGTAAGACGCTGCCTCTAAATAAATAAATAGAAAAAAAATTTCACGTCATTTGGGGTGAACTTTCAAGGTAGATTTCAGTAGGTGGAGTTGGGGGATGGGACATTCTAGGCAAAGCCTCAGAGTCTGATTATAGGGAAAGGAGGTACACACAAGGGTGTCATTGGAGATCAGCCTGAAAAGGAAGCTAGATGTCTAAATATGGAAGACTTGGAATTCCAGGCTTAGATAAGGGATGCTGTGAGACAAACATACTCTCTCCTTAAATACTCTAGCCTTCCAGCTAGTCAGTAGTCACAGACAGCCAAGTATTTTAGGATCATCTGGTTCACTCATTCATGCATTTAATCAAAAATTTAGGCCGGGTGCGGTGGCTCATGCCTGTAATCCCAGAACTTTGGGAGGCTGAGGTGGGCAGATTACCTGAGGTCAGGAGTTTGAGACTAGCCTGGCCAACAAGGTGAAACCCCATCTCTACGAAAAATACAAAAATTAGCCGGGGGTGGTGGCAGGCGCCTGTAATCCCAGCTACTCGAGAGGCTGAGGCAGGAGAATGGCTTGAACTCAGGAGGTGGAGGTTGCAGTGAGCCCAGACTGCGCCATTGCACTCTAGCCTGGGTGACAGAGTGAGACTCCGTTGCAAATAAATAAATAAATTAAATTAAATTAAATAAAGTAAACAAATATACAAATGCACGCGCGCGTGTGTGTGTGTGTGTATGTATATTTTTAGAGACCAAATTTTGCCATGTTACCCAGGCTGGTCTTGAACTCCTGGGCTCAAGCGATCCTCCTGCCTCGGCCTCCCAAATTGTTGGAATTACAGGTGTGAGCCACCATGCATAGCATTAAAGAAATAGTTGGCCAGGTGCGGTGGCTCACGCCTGTAATCCCAGCACTTTGGGAAGCCGAGGTGGATGGATTACCTGAGGTCAGGACTTCAAGACTAGCCTGGCCAACAAGGTGAAACCCCATCTCTACTAAAAATACAAAAATTAGCTGGGCATGGTGGCAGGCGCCTGTAATCCCAGCTACTTGAGAGGCTGAGGCAGGAGAATCACTTGAACCCAGGAGGTGGAGGTTGCAGTGAGCCGAGATCACACCATTGCACTCCAGCCTGGGTGACAGAGCCAGACTCTGTCTCAAAAAAAAAAAAAATATGTATATATATATATATGTGTGTGTATATGTATATTTTTAGAGACCGAATTTTGCCATGTTGCCCAGGCTGGTCGTGAACTCCTGGGCTCAAGCAATCCTCTGGCCTCGGCCTCCCAAAGTGTTGGGATTACAGGTGTGAGCCACTATGCATAGCATTAAAGAAATAGTTGGCTGGGTGCGGTGGCTCACTCCTGTAATCCCAGCACTTTGGGAGGCCAAGGTGGGTGGTTCACGAGGTCAGGAGATGGAGACCATCCTGGCTAACACAGTGAAACCCTTTCTCTACTAAAAATAAAAAAAATTAGCTGGGCATGGTGGCGGGCGCCTGTAGTCCCACCTACTCGGGAGGCTGAGGCAGGAGAATGGCGTGAACCCGGGAGGTGGAGGTTGCAGTGAGCCGAGATCACGCCACTGCACTCCAGCCTGGGTGGTGACAGAGCGAGACTCCATCTCAAAAAAGAAAGGAAAGAAAGAAAGGGAGGGAGGGAGGGAAAGAAAGAAAAGAGAGAGAGAAAGAAAGAGGCTGGGCGCGGTGGCTCGCGCCTGTAATCCCAGCACTTTGGAAGGCCGATGCGGGCGGATCACGAGGTCAGGAGATCGAGACCATCCTGGCTAACACAGTGAAACCCCGTCTCTACTAAAAATACAAAAAATTAGCCGGGCGAGGTGGCGGGCGCCTGTAGTCCCAGCTACTCGGGAGGCTGAGGCAGGAGAATGGCGTGAACCCCGGGGGGCGGAGCCTGCAGTAAGCCGAGATCGCGCCACTGCACTCCAGCCTGGGCGACAGCGAGACTCCGTCAAAAAAAAAGAAGAAAAAGAAAGAGAGAGAGAGAGAGAGAAAGAGAGAGAGAAAGAAAAGAAAAGAAAGACGAAATAGTTAATGAGTGCCCTATATGTGCCAGATCAGTTGCTAGGTGCTAAGGATCCTGTGGTGAATTAGACGACAAACAGTCTCAGCCCTCAGGGAGCTTACGATTTAGTAAGGATGAGAGACACTGTACCATAACTTCAAGTGTGATGAGTATTACCAAAGGGTAGAGGAGGACCTATTAATTGGAGGCGGGGGGGGGGTCAAGGAAGGCTTTCCCCTGGGGAGTTTCAGCAGAAGCATGGGTAGGAGTGAGCCAGGCCAAAGGAGAGTGATGAAGGGTTATAATCTGGGAGGAAAGTCGGTTGGATGGCCCTGAGGCGAGATAACACATTAGAGGCGCTGAAAGAAATAGAAAGTGGCAGGGCTTTAGGGATAGGGGTATTTGATGAGGCTTTAATTGGGAGGACACCAAGGATAAAGGGCATTAATTTCCTTGTATTACTCTTCTCTTCCACTAGATGCCCTTCCGAGTACATCCTTCTGCTTCCCCCATTGCAGCCTTCTTAGAAATGCAGCAGCAGTCTCACCCATCAGGAGCAAAAGAAAATCAAAGACCAAAAGGAGAAAGCCTCAGAGCTTTTGCGACTGTGTGGTCTGGCTATAAATTTAGACTGTTGCTTGAAAGAAGCGAAAAACCTCCCCTTCATAGACTTCCTTCTTCCCATCCCCCCTGGCAGCCGCTTTGTTCCTCTAGCCTTGTAAAATTTTCTCTGTATAAAACAGGAACATCAGCCAAACATGTGGACTTCCCCACTTTCCATTCATTAGAAGAATGCATTATTTCAAAATCTCCTGGGAGCATTTAAATGCAAATTTTGTCAAGAAAGCAATTTGAGTCTTAGAGAAGCTCTCTAGCCACAACCTAAAGCAGAAGTTTCTTCTTTGATTTGTGTGTTTCTTAAAAGGAATCTCAACCCCTTGCCTTCTCCCTGCAACGCCCCCAGGTCTTCTCTGATTCTCACAGCGGACTCTTCCCCTTTTTGCCCCTGTTCTTTCTTCACCTTTGGCAAGCATCAGTCACACATCTTGAGGAACCTGCTCACAAAGTGGCGCGTGTAGCAGCCCCAGGTGGGAATGGAGGGACTTTTCTATGTAGTGTAATGGACATAAGGAGGCAGATGTCTGTGTGGGGGTGAGATGTCTGTGTGGAGGTGTTTGTATGCGTGATTTCTGTCTGGGCCTTCTTAGGCCTGCTGGTATAAAATAATATGGGAAATGCAGATGACTCAGCACTGACACAGTCAAGATCCCCAGAGTTAGCATTTCTATATTCTCTGCTGTTTACGAAAAATGTGCTTGTGCCATCAATCAGCAACTCATCCTGCATTTTCCGCTAAAAGCCTTTTACTGAAAAATGCATATACTTCAAACTTATTCCCCTTCTTTTTGTAAACTGAGCTCATTAGCAGCTGACACCAAACTGAGAACTAGTTTTGTTTGTTTGTTTGTTTTAGCACGGAGGATTAAACTGGAAGGAAATGAGCATTTGTCTAAGGATCCTCCCTGTCCTCTTTCAGGCCCTTCCCTGCATGATCTTCATGCCCACAACTTGGGCAGGCCAGCAAAACTTGATGGGAAAAGATATGATTAATGACTTGCTCACCTGATTTCTGATCAGGGTGTGGTGTGGAAACAACCAGCATGCACCTATTAGCGAAAAGCGTCATTTGTTTTACTTGTTACCAATGTGCTGAGCATTGACCAAAATACTTGGCACTACTCACAAGGTACAAAGACACCTTCCCTAGCCTGGGGTTAAGAAGTTTCTCCTTCAAACTCTTGAGAATGGGAACTGGAATGGAAGCCCAAGTCCCAATTTTGGTTGCTCAGTGTTGCATGAATTCTTTTTTTACTTGCTAATGTGCCCTTATTGTGAGATCAGCCAGTGTAACTTCTTACCCACAACCACCTCTCCAGACCTCCTGAAAAATCAAGCTAACAGGGGAGGATAACTGCTAAATGGGGGGTGGCGGGCACAACGTGTCACCTACATTGACCAGAGTTCTTCATTCACTGCTCATGGCTCCAGCGCACTCCATGAATATTGGGATTGAATGATACACAACCGAATGTTGGATCAAATGATGTTGGGAGCTCTGTCCTCAAAATGGCCCCTAATAAATCCCTACCCATATTTTCCAGTTTCCTTTCTTTACTCTTTCCTTTCCCCTGATGACAAAGAATAATTGGCTTCCCCTTTTCTTCCCTGACCAGCTATGCTCCAGAGTCCTTTCTTTGTTCCCTAACAGTCCTGGTTCCGTCTCAGGTTCCCACATTTCTCCCTTTTGATCTCTGTCTCTCTGTTCAGATGGCTGTCACAGTTTAATAATTCTGGAGGGTCTATCCCCTACAGATTTATGTCTCCCTGTCTCTCCTCTTATTCACCCCATGGTGCATTCAGAATCCCGTTTTCGTGCCTCCCTGGGTTGTCATTTCTCAGGCTCTGGCTCCTTGGCCTGGTTTACTTCATGGTGCTGGATCTGCCCCGTCACTTCTTGTTCAGCTTCTTCTGTTTCTGGAAAACCCTTTGTTCCCGGGCTTCTTTGTGGGCTCAGTGTCCTCCGGCCCTACACTGCAGCCCTGTCTGGATCTTGCCCTTGTCCTCGTTCTGACCGCGTCTAGCCCTGGGATCTGAGGCATCGTGGTCTTTTGCCCTCTGCTTTCCCTTCAGTTTCTCCAGGTCCTTCTCCAGCAGCCGCACAGGCCCCGCTGGGTTTCTCTCCAGCCAGGGAGAAACCCTCCTTTGTCCCGCTCCCGGCGGCGTAGGTCAGCGCTGACTGGGGCTCCCGCTCGCCCTGTGGAGCCGGCCCGGGTCTCCCTGC
The DNA here is from genome assembly GCF_000001405.40 of Homo sapiens. NCBI lineage: Eukaryota > Metazoa > Chordata > Mammalia > Primates > Hominidae > Homo > Homo sapiens. The sequence goes on from NC_000001.11 coordinate 39,105,067, forward strand.
CGTTCGGCCGGCCCAGCCTTTCATCCTGACGCGCGGGGCCTCCCACCCAGCGGGACTCCCGCGTGGGCCGGCCTCTCGCGCCCCTCGGCTCGGGCCCCAGTCCGGGCCGGGCGGGGGTCGGCAGCCCCTGGGGGACCCGTGTGGGCAGCCCGGGCCCAGCCGGCCGCAGCCTGGGGCCGAGGACTCGCCGGGACCCGGAGGCGGCGGGGAGAGGGGGCGGGGAACGGGCCGGGCCTGGCGCTCCTGACAGGAGGAGCCGCCGCCGCCGCCCGCCGCTGCAGCCGCGCCGGGGCGGGCTGAGGGAGGAGCGGAGCCGAGGGGTGAGGACGCGGAAACGCGAGCCGGGACCGGCGGAGCGCGAGCGGGCCGGGTGCGAGCGGACTGAGGAGCGGAGCGCGACTGCCGGGCCGGGCGAGGCGGGCGGACGGCGGAGAGCGAGGGCGCCGTCGCCGTCTCTGAGACGCACAAAGGGTCGAGGCTGGGGCCGCCGCCGCCTCAGCGCGCGGGCCTGGAACCGGCAGCCCCCGGGGCTCGGCGAGAAGGCGGTGCGGGCGGCCATGGCCGGCTACGTGCCGGGTCAGCAGCCGGCCAACCGCAGCCAGGAGAAGGAGTTCGTGCAGGCGTACGAGGATGTGCTGGAGCGGTACAAAGGTAGGGCCGGGGACTGGCCGGCGCTGAGGCCCGCGGGCCGGCGCAGCGTGGCCTTCGGAGCCGGTCGGCTCGGCGGCTGCAGGTGGGGCGGCCGGGCGGGGTCGCACCCACCGCGCGGGGCTTGGCCCTGAGCTGCTGCTTCTCGGGGCCAGTTTATTTACAGAGTTGAGATAAGCCTTCGGAAACCGCCCCCGGGGCAGTCGGCGCGCTCAGAGCGCCAGTTACATGATTTGCCCTATTATCCGGCCCCAGCTGGAAGAAGGCGAGACAAGGCGCTGGCCTGGAGACCGGCCGCCGTGGGGAGTTGCTGGGGAGGAGGAGGAGGAGGAGTTGGGCGCGGGAGAAACCACCCGCTCTGCTCTGGGTGCGAGCTTCCTCCCAGAGGGGCTCGGACCTCTGTGTGCCCGCGGAGAGTCCCTCCCTCGCCCCCTTTTGTCTCTTTGAGTCTCGGATGAGTCGCGTGGAAGCCGAGGTTGGAAAGCACCTTGGTGTCTTCGGGGTGGGGTGGGCAGCGGTGTGGGTGAGTGTGCAGTTTTTGGTGGCGAGACCTTACCCCCTCCATCTCCCCGGGGGTCTGGGCCTGCTGGAGGTAGGGGTCTGTTTTTTTCCTCCCACATAAAGATTTGCCTTGGAGCTCGGATTTCAGCCCTGAAGGCTCTCTTGCGAGACACTTCTGCAAGTTAATGCCTAATCTGCGCCTTGGGTGTATGGGGAGAAAGTTTTGACAGACAAGAGGGCCTGTGGACTGCATTTCCCTAACTGCTGTAGGTGCCCCTGAATGGAAGCCAGGGATGCGTGGCCTTGGGAGGCCCTTGCCTTGATCTTTAACATCCGGTTCTGGGAGTTTGCTTTGGCTGGCAGTTATGCTTTCCACAGACGGGGAGATTTTCCCAGAAACGACACAGGCAGCACTTTTCCCCATTTTATTCAGCTCGGGCCCTTGTGACTAGGCCCTTAGTTTCTTTTTATCTGAAGGAGAGGAAACTTCAGCCCCTATGACTGAGTCCAGCGTACTTGTTTACAGCACCTATCCAGTGAAGGGAAACTAATGAAGAAGCTGTAAAACGCCCCCCCTCTCCCCCCTCCCCCCCACTTTTTTTTTCTTGTGGCATTGGAACTCTGCTTGGGAATGCAGCAGGAAAAAAGTAGAGATGAAATGCGAAAAAAGACCTACTAGGGTTTTTGCTTGTTCCCTCTGCATCAGCTCCTGTAAACTGTCCAGCTTTTCCTGCCTGCAGCAAGTTTTCTGTCAACCCCCTGTGGTCTTTCTTTTTAAGAAATGTGGTTCATTTCAGAGCACAAAGAGGTTAGATTGTGCTGCTGAACTTCATTGAAAAAATGCTGCTCAGTGAATGGTTGCATTAAGTTTCCTTTGCAGGCTTTTGAGTAACACTGCTCTCTTCAGAGAGAGGAGATACATTAGGACCGTCCCGGGCTGTGACAGCTTCAAACCAGCAGAATTAAGACCCAAAATAGGTGAAGAAATCTCAGCACCTCACTGGATGGTAGTACTGGTGACCTCCAGCGGAAAGGAAGTTGGACTCCTAGCAAATGAGGCTGGGAAAGAAGGGGGCAGTAGGGCTTGTTCCAGGAGAGACCTCTTTTGTTCAGTTTTTTTTTTTTAGCTGTCTCACTCAGTTTGGCTTTCCTCTGAAGGGCCTTGATCAGGTGTATAGGAACTTAATCCTTCCCAGACACAGGTCTCTTTCTTGAGGGGAGGAATGAGTTAAAAATGGTTGCCCAAAGTAAATTACCTCGAGTTGTATACGGTGGTCGTGCAGTCTGCTCTTCTGATCGGTGCAGAACAATCTCTCTTCCCCCCACTGCACCGTTCTCACTGGGAGGTCAGAGTGGCTTAGCATCCGGGCCTTTGTTACTTTGCTTATGGAATTCCTGCATTTTCCAGACTTAGAAATCCCCGTACTACCTTAATAGGAGAACAGTTTGTCTAAGCAGAGGAGTGAGCTGGAATCTATAGAGTGACCAGGGGAAGGAGTTTGTGAGGATCATGCCACGTATTGGTTTTGGAAAGAGATGGGAAAATAGATATTGATGATGGTGGGGTGTTCTAGACCCTTATTGGCTGGTCACCACATTACTTGGATCTCTCTCTGCTGCTATTAATTTGTAGTCACCTCATTATACAGGCTGAAGCAGGATTTTTATATGCAGAAGGAGAGCTAAAATTTTCAGCTGCCTAAACTGCCCCTAGGGCCAATGGGAGAAGGGCAGTAATGTATTTGGAGTGTGAGGGAAGCAGAGCTGTGTGTAGTGCAGCTGTATTAGGAATGGTAGTCAAGTATGGGTTTTCCAGAACTGTGCTTGGCAACCATTTTTTTTTTTTTTTCTGTGTGGTGGCAGTGAGCATGGTCTTGGCAGGATTAGATGATTCAGCATGGAAATAAATGCTCTCCCTTATTTCCTAAATGTCCCAAAGGTTCTTTCAGATAGCTGGCCAGTAAACAGGAGGCATTAGATAATAACACTGGATTCTAACAGTTCAGAGTGGGCAGCAGCCAAGAGAACCAGGGTATATCCTTCATTTCCCCAATTCTCTGACAGTCATTAAAGTCTCTCTTGGAGGTGCCACAATGTTAGATGCCAGAATTCTGAATGAGATCTGGTTCCTGCCCTTGGTTATTCCATCTAGTAAGGGAAAGATACTTGCAAACAAGTAGTTGTCATACTGTGATAAGTGCTAGAACAGAGATAGTATGGAAGCCAGAGGAAGGCTGAAACCCTATTTGGATTTACCTGGGAGATTTGACAAAGGAGGTGACATGAGAGGGTTTTTTTTTTTTTTTTTTTTTTGAGACGGAGTCTCACTCTGCTGCCCAGGCTGGAGTGCAGTGGCACGATCTCCACTCACTGCAAGCTCTGCCTCGCGGTTCACGCCGGAGGAAATTAAGAAGGAATAGTCAGGGAGGTAGGAGAACCAGGATTTTATTCCTCTCCTAGGATAGAGACCAACTCTACTGAAGAAGCAGGTCACATATGAGCATAGTTTTAGGTTTTAAAGAGGTGGTTAAAAACCAGCACACTTGGTTGATGGTGGTTGGTTAAGACAGAATTAGACTTTTGTTTTCACAAAGCTTTAAGGACTAAATAGTCTTTACTTGCTGGGCTGGGCTAGGAATAAAAGAGAACATTCACATTTCAACATTGGTAACATCTATCTGGTACTTATGAAATTCAGAATTGTCACTAAGTGTTGTGGGTTATACGAAGCTAGTTAGGACCAATTTTCATTTATCCTAGTGCAGAAAATAACTTATAAAACTTACTGCACAGAGGGTTACAAGTGAAGAGTCTGCATATTACTTAATGTACAAAATTGATATCGTAGAAAGACTATGCTTTGGATTTCTTCTGTTGTGGGCTCCAGTCCTAGTTTTTGCCAGTTAATTTCTACTGTGTGACCTTGGAAAAGATTTCTCTCATCTTTTGGGTTTCTCATCTGTTAAAATAGGGATGATAATACTAATTTCTTGGGATTCATGAGAATATAAATGAGCTCTGGGCATATATTTGTCCTTTAATGTTCCATTTTATTTTACTTTACTTTATTTTGAGGTGGAATCTTGCTCTGTTGCTCAGGCTGGGATGCAGTGGCACGATCTCACCTCACTGCAACCTCTGCCTCCCAGGTTCAAGCAATTCTCCTGCCTCAGCCTCCTGAATAGCTGGGATTACAGGTGCACGCCACCATGCCTGGCTAATTTTTTCTATATTTTTTTTTAGTAGAGATGGGGTTTCACCATGTTGGCCAGGCTGGTCTTGAACTCCTGACCTTGTGGTCTGCCTGCCTCAGCCTCCCAAAGTGCTGGGATTACAGGCGTGAGCCATTGCACCTGGCCTATTTTATTTTTTAACTCTTTTCTCTCCTTTTTTTTTTTTCTATCTCCTACCAGAAGGAACCTTTAATGTTTAGAAAAACGTTGATTTATATCTTATTTAAGCTTTATAATATCCTGAAGGATAGTATTACACAGATGAATAAATTTAGGCACAGAGACTTAAAATTACTGTCTAAGAGCCAGGCTCCAGATTTCTGGGTGAAGGTTTCACATTGTATCACAGAAGGGAGTTTTAAAATCACAGTAGATGACTTGGGCTAAGTGAGAAATTGTGAAAATGCTTTAATTGTTAGTATCATTATTGTTGTTAGTTTTAGTTTCTGAAGTATAGTCACACACTTTAAGTGACATACATTTCCAGATCTCTGAACTGTGGAGAATTTCTTTTCCCCTTATTATGGGAGAAGTTTTACGATATATAAATCACATTGAAATTTTCATACAAAAATAATACAAAATAAAATAAAATACAAAAAATACAAGAAATAAATACAAAAATAATTTTTAAAATAGTACAAAATGATGAAATTTTGTTAACACAGTGATTGGAAAATATGGGTTGAGGATTTGGGATTGTTTACCTAAGTGACGCTCTGAAGCAACCTTTTGGTTATATGTAGATTCAGCTTATTTATCCTTTTTAGTGGATGTTGTTCTTTTTTTTTTTTTTTTTTTTTTGAGACAGGGTCTTGCTTTGTTGCCCAGGCTAGAGTGCAGTGTGGTGAGATCAGGGCTAACTGCAGCCTTCACCTCTCAGGCTCAAGTGATCTTCCTACCTCAGCCTCCCAAGTAGCTGGGACTAACAGGCATGTGCCACCATGCCTGGCTAATTTTTAAGTATTTTGAAGAGAAAAGGTCTCACTATGTTGCCCAGGCTGGTCTCAACCCCCTGGCCTCAAGTGATCATCCTGCCTTGGCCTCACAAACTGCTGAGATTACAGGCTTGAGCCACCGTGCCTGGCCTACACTCAGTTTTTAAGTTCCTTTTTAGATCAAAGTCCTAGAGTTGGAGTGGATAGTTTTTAGCCAGAACAAAAGAGTAAGTGCTACTTCTGGACATGAACACTGTTAATTCAGAAAGTGAGTCAAGTCAGTCTGCTGGGAAATCACAAGTTTTGGCCACATTCATGCTGTTGAAATAATAAAATGTGTCCATGTGCTAACAGTGCTTATGGGAGCTACTGCCTTGTCTTGGGCTTGTTGGCAAATGACGTAATACAAACCAGGGAAATGCACCAGCGTAAGCCTATTATACTGGTATTTTTCAGTGCCAATTCCAGGTTTAAGAGATCATGGTGGAAAGAATACTTCAGAGTGCATATCTGAGAACAGAAACATCCCAAGATCAAAAGTCACAAATGAACAATTATAGATTGTAAGGAGTCTGTTGTGTTTTCTCAGTGTTCTTGAAAACACCCAGTCTTTACTCCTTTTTCTAAGTAAGGTTGGCCCTTTCAGCTTCTGATAATTATATATTGAGCCATGTTGTGACTAGGTTGTATGGAATGCTAGAGCTCCTGTTTTTACTCTCATGGTTTTGATTGGAGTTGAAGCCTCTCTCGTCTGGCTTCTATTGGTGGCATTTACTAATTTTCTGGCCTGGTAAATGGCTTGTGGTAGCTAAGAATGTTTATTCCAGTTTTTTGGAGACAGGGTCACCCATGTCAGAGTGCAGTTGATACCATTGTGTAGCTCACTCTAACCTCAAACCCCCGGGCTCACATGATCCTCCCATCTCAGCCTCCGGAGTAGCTAGGATTAAAGGTGCATGCCACCATGCCCAGCTAATTATTTTATTTATTTATTTATTTATTTATTTATTTTTGGAGACGGAGTCTCACTCTGTCACCCAGGCTGGAGTGCAGTGGTGCGAACTCGGCTCACTGCAAGCTCCGCCTCCCAGGTTCATGCCATTCTCCTGTCTCAGCCTCCCGAGTAGCTGGGACTACAGGCGCCCACCACACACCCGGCTAATTTTTTGTATTTTTAGTAGAGAGGGGGTTTCACCGTGTTAGCCAGGATGGTCTCGATCTTCTGACCTCGTGATCTGCCCGCCTCGGCCTCCCAAAGTGCTGGGATTACAGGCGTGAGCCACCGCACCTGGCAATTATTTTATTTTTTTTATAGAGATGGGATCTTGCAATGTTTTCTAGGCTAGTCTCGAACTAGCTTCAAGCCATCCTCTTGCCCTGGCCTCCCAAAACGCTGGGATTTCAGGTGTGTATCTTCTGAAAGTACAGTTTGTTACTTCTGATGAAATATTTTTTTCTTCCAGAGCTTCTCAGTTTCTGAAGTAAATTAGAATTAATCTCTGATTCTTTGTCTCTTTCAGGGCTTTTCATAATTTGACTTACTCTGCACACCCAACTATACCATCTGTTACTGCCTAACACATCTCTCTTCTCCATTTGGACTGGTCTTAGCAACCTTAGCAACCCTTCCCCCTGTGTCCTGTGCCTTTGTTTACATTCTCTTTTCCAGGAATGCCCTCTCCCTTCCTGATTATTCAAATCTTTTTTTTTTTTTTTTTGAAACAGAGTCTCGCTCTGTTGCCCAGGCTGGAGTGCAGTGGCATGATCTCAGCTCACTGCAACCTCCACCCCCTGGGTTCAAGTGATTCTCCTGCCTCAGCCTCCTGAGTAGCTGGGATTACAGATACATGCCACCACGCCCAGCTAATTTTTGTATTTTTTAATAGAGACGGTTTCACCATATTGGCCAGGCTGGTCTCAAACTCCTGACTTTGTGATCTGCCCTCCTCGACCTCTCAAAGTGCTGGGATTACAGGCATGAGCCACTGTGCCTGGCCACAGTAAAATCTTTAAAAGATTTTTATTAAAGAAGTAAGATGTAATCCCAGCATTTTGGGAGGCCAAGGCGGGCAGATCACTTGAGGCCAGGAGTTCGAGACCAGTCAACACGGTGAAACCCTGTCTCTACTAAAAATACAAAAATTAGTCAGGCATGGTGGTGCAATCCCGTGGTCCCAGCTACTTGGATGGCTGAGGCACAAGAATTACTTGAACCTGGGAGACAGAGGAGGCTGCATTAAGCCAAGATGACACCACTGCACTCCAGCCTGGACAACAGAGCAAGACTTTATTGCAAAAAAAAGAAAAGGACTTTGTTCTAGAAAAGTCCTGGGATGAGGGGTAATTCTTTTTCAAGGCAAATCTTCTAGAAAAGAATTAGCAGTGTTAGTATCTAAACTTAATTCCCTGTACCTGCCCAAAATGTTCTCAAATACAACCCTCTCTTCTTTAACAGTCATCCCTAGAGCTGGGCATAGTCCCAGTTTCTAAGAAGGCTGAAGTAGGAGGATCGCTTGAGTCCAGGAGTTTGAGGCTACAGTGAGCTATCATCACCCCACTGTACTCCAACCTAGGCTACAGAGCAAGACCCCATCTCAAAAAAAAAAGCAAAAACATCATCCCTTAATCTAACCTCATGACTCAATTACAATGCGGCTTCCCAGAGAGTAGATTTCTACTGTCACCCATCATTTACATAACCTCTTCATTAATCCTGCCCATCACATAAAACTCAAATTCTTCCTACTGGCATTCCAGACCCTCCTCTCCCTACCCCTAATCTCAATATCATTCTTTCAGTGCTTCTAAGTGGCTCACCCATCTCCCTAATACCACTTTCCCCATCATAGTATCTGCTTGTAGGTACTAGTAGAATATAGTGCACACAGTGAGCTTATTCATGGTTGTTGACTGACTAAAAAGCACAGAAAAAAAAATCACTTCCTATATGTCTCAATCCAACATGTTCCTGCAGGTTGAAAACTATAAACTCCAAAAAACACTTCAAGCAAGCCCTTTCCTTTCATCAACACAAACGAATTGTGTTTATCGTTCTGAATAAAAATCACTATGGAAATTTGCCATGGTAAGAGGGAATCCAACAGTACATCTGGCAATGCTCTTGTCTAAAAGAAAGATGCTGACTGACCAATTATTTAATTAGTCTTAGGTGACTACTCAAATCATCCCTGATAATTGGAACATTCCTGATGGTTGACACATGGTCATACAGAAGAAAGCAATTTTAAACAGAGAAAAATAAAAGCTTGTGCCAAATGAAAGCAGACTTCCACTATAACACAATTTTAGGTAGCCACAGCAAGTGGAGGATATCAGATCCCAGGCAAGCAAAAAAGATCCCATCCTTGGCCAGGTACGGTGGCTCACACCTGTAATCCCAGCACTTTGGGAGGCCGAGGTGGGTGGATCACCTGAGGTCAGAAGTTTGAGACCAGCCTGGCCAACTTGGCGAAACCCCATCTCTACCAAAAATACAAAAATTAGCCAGGCATGGTGGTACATGCCTGTAGTCCCAGCTACTTGGGAGGCTGAAGCAAGAGAATCGCTTGAACCCAGGAGGTGGAGGTTGTAGAGAGCCCAGATTGTGCCACTGTACTCCAGCCTGGGTGACAGAGTGAGACTCCGTCTTAAAAAAAAAAAGGTCCCATCGTTGCTCACTCCATTTTTTCCCAAGCATCTACCTGTTGGTCAGCTTGCCTCTCTATCCCCTGCCCCTACACACCCCCACCCAACAACCACAGAAAGCATATTGTCTAAAGCTCTGTATACTTTACTGTTTTTTTTTTTTTTTTACAATTTTCCACATTAATATGTGTTCATAATATGAAAAGAAATTATTCAAAAATATAAATCAGTTGGCTTCCCTGGTGGTCTAGTGGCTAGGATTCGGCACTTTCAAAAATATAAATCAAAGTCCATGACTCTAAAAATAACATATGCATTGATATGCTCGCCCCTTTGACCCTTCTCTCAAGAGAAATTCCCTGCCAAGTAATCCACATACATAAGAAGTGTAAAAAGTCCCTAGATTAAAAGAGCATAAAACTTCATTATGGAAACACAGTAGTCCCAGCTATTTGGGAGGCTGAGACAGGAGGATCACGAGTCCAGGAGTTTGAGGCTACAGTGAGCTATGATCACGCCATTGCACTCCAGCCTGGATGACAGAGGAAATATTAATTTTAGAGTAATCAGAGAAAGCCGCATGAAGAATAAATTAATAAGTATTTATTGAATGTCTACCATGAACCAGGGAGTAGGTGATGTGCTGAGAAGACAAAGATATTGTCCTTGTCTCTCTATGATCTTACTGTTAAATGGAGGAAACATATTGGCAAACTGACAGTTACTGTCTATTGTAGGGAGGGCTATCATATAGATAAATGCTGATGCTGTGGTAGTGAAGAGGAGTACCCAGTATAGCCAGAGTGAGAAAGTGTCCAGGAAGGCATCCAAGAGTAAGTGAAACCTGAACTGTTACCTAAAGGATGTGGGACCCTGAGCAAAAAGTTTGGGGAAAGAGCATTCTGGGCAGCATGAACAGAAGTAAGGGGATGAGCAAGCTTGAGAGGGGGAATATTGGGCATTGATAAGGTTGGAGCATAGGATGTGAGGGAAGGAGAGATGAGATGAGATAGGGAGAGTGGGCAGGACAAAAATGTTGACTGGCTTTGTATGTCATATTGTATAGAGCTTGGACTTTATCCTAAAGGCTTTTGGGAGCCATTGAATAAAAGTAGGCAAGGAAGACTATGCTTAGATTTACATTTTAGGAGTACTTTTCCTCTGGCAGCAGTGCCAAGGAAGGTAGGGGCGAGGAGGAAAGACTAGTGGCAGACAAGTTAGGAAGCTGTCACAGGAATTTAGGCAGGGAGTGAAACTAAGGTTGTGAAAATAGTAATGTAATAAAGCAGGCAAATCAAGAAATGTGAAGGGGTAACATCCATGTGTTTTGATGACTAATTGTATGTGGTATATGAGGGGGAGAGGGAAGAACCTAGGATGACTTGGAGGTTTCTGGCTTGAGTATTTGTGTGGGTGGGTCGTGTCATGAACTAAAATAGAGAATATAAGAGGAGGAAGGTTATTTTCTGTGAAGTGGTGGCAGTGATGGTCCACGAGAAGATACTGAGTTTAATTTAGGTTACATTGCGGTCGAGGCTTCTGAGGGATGCTAGGTAGAGATGTCCAGGAGGTAGTTGGTTGTAATGAACATGAAACTTAGGAGAGTGATAGGTGAGAGGGTGAGAGAGTCATCAGCTTATCAAACCACAGCCATAGGAGGGGAGAAGGAGCTGGCTTTAGGAGTGTATGTATATTGAGACAAAAACTCTGGGGAACTCCAACAGGAGAGTGGTGTCAGAAGCAGAGAAAGAGGATCTCCTGAAGGAAATTGTCCACAGAAAGGGAGTGGCCAGAAAGGTAAGAGGAACAGGAGAGAAGTGAGTTTCAAGGAGAGTGTGACACACATTGTAGATTATGCAGAGGTCAAATAAGGCAAAGACTACAGATGTCCAAAATAAAGGTTACTGCTACTGGAACATTTTCAGTGGAGTTGTGGGAAGTGAATGGAAAGTGCAGAAGAGGAGTCAGTGACCTTTGGAACTTGGACTTTGAAGGAAGAGAGAGGAGGAAGACAGGTGAAGAAGGGTGGGGAGAGTTTTGTTTATGTATTGTAACACAGGAGAGACTTGAGCATGTTTATTTTAAGTGCTGTTTTGAAAGAGCCAGTAGAGAAGGAAGATATAATACAATTCAAAGACGGGGAGAAAAATTGATGGAGCATGGGCTCTAGAGTCAAAAGTTGTGTCTTTTAGAAAGATCAGAGGGTTAAAAATAAGAATGCAGGTGATTAAGTTGGTTGGTTAGAGGTGTAGGAACTTGAGGGAATTTCTCCTGATGCTCATACTCTCTCTATGAAGTAGGAGGTGAAGTTATTTGCTGAGAGTCAGGAGGAAGGAAAGAAGGGGTGAGTGTGTATGTGTGTGTGTGTGTGTGCACGTGTGTGTGTGTATGTGTGTGTGTTTTCCCTCTAGCCCTAGAAGCACTCAACAACCTGATTGTAATAGATTCCAAGGCAGACAGGTAGATTGATCTAGGATCAGAATTTTCCAGCATAGTTTTGACGGAAGAATATGGGGTCCTTGTAGTTTGTCTTAAAATGTAGCATCAGTTTGATTATTGATTGTTTGTACTGTTGTTCTCTGGCTGGCTTGTATTTTGGCTCCCCAGTGAAATTGTCTACTCCTCTGGGAAGAAGCATATATGTAACTTTTGCATTCCTGCCTGTCATTTAGCTAAATACTATGCAGAAATTAATTCTTAAGTTTTTGTTGAGATAATTTGACTTTTGGACAGGACATCTTGACTCTTGACATAGAGAGAGGCTTTCCTCACTTGTGGTCTTTAATCCCCATCTCATTATCTGACATGGATAGTGGAGGATTCACTCACTCTCCATGAGTGAACTCCAGGCCTAGCTTCTTCATTAGTCTTAACAGGTTAGCTTTACTACTCTCCCCAGGGCAGTTGAGCTTTGCTTTCCATGAAGGTTATGTAGTTAATTTGTACTAGGCTTGTGAAGACCTGGGTGTTTACAAGACTGGACAGAGAGGCTGTTGTGGAAAATGCAGCCTCCTTCTTGTTTATTTTGGCAGGCAGGCAATGAAGGAGATAGATTTGTTCTCATGACTCAGAGCCCTACCTGCTTTACCTTAACAGGTTCAATATAACCACCACCTTTCAGATGTGATAGTGTCCTTCAGAGTTTATCTGACCTTTATATCTAAAAAGAGTATTAGTTACCCTTTGCCCTCTACTTGCTTGGTTTTTTTTCACTTTTATTCCAGTGTAGAGGATATTTCCTAATGTGTTAGGGCCAGCTCAGAATTGATGTAGTTCTTTCCCATTGGCACATTCCGCATCTTTGTTTGTTTATTGCCATGTTCGCCACAGTGTGCCTTGTTTTGCGCTCCTTGTTTTGTGAAGCTGGACTCTTATCAGATAAACTTGCCATGAGTCACACTGGGGAGTGGAAGTATGTCTCCACTAATTTGGAGAATCTTTGATCTTGTTTCACTCCCTGGTTTGGCTTGTCCAGTGCAATTTGTCTCTCAACCTGCAAGAGGTGTGTGTGTGTGTGTGTGTGTGTGTGTGTGTGTACTTGGGTGTCCCTTGCCTGTGGCTTCACCTGTTGCCATGAATGGTTGACTTCAGGGCATGCCCCTTTGTGTATACAGACTTCCTCTACTATTGTTATCACCATCAGCAAAAATGTCTCTGTTAAGAGCCTCTTTGAATGTAGAATATAGTATATAACACTGAGAGTTCATAAACCCTCTGTCCTCTAGGGATTTACAGTATATAATACACATTACAAATGACAAAAGACAATAAAGAATGTGTAAGCGGTTGAACAAATAATGGATTATTGCTCCTCATTTAGCTATCATATTCACAGTAGAAGATATCCTAAAAAGACATGTAGTCAGTGAGGAAGAGGATTAACAGAGACCAGATCATCTTCAGCTCCAACTAAGATGGCAGAGAGCTGCCACCTGTGGCCCTTTGATGCCAGGTAATTTCTCTCTGATATCCTTTCTAGTCATGCAGGACCTTTTTGCCATATTATCTATACATATGGGGCAGGATCCTAACAGGACCTTTGCTCTCTAGTGGTAACCTGTCACTGAAATGGGAGGCTCCAGTTTCCAGCAGGGAGAGTGCCTGGAAGGCTTGGCTCTTCTGGTACAGTTATCTTTGTAACTTGAGAAAATTTATTCCAGACCTACTACAAACATTCGTGTGCTCACAAGCACCACAGACAGAGCAGCAGCCAAAGCTAGCTGCAGCCTGAGCATGGGTCAGTGTAGGGAAAGAAGCTAACTGACCTGGCCTGAGTCACCTCTAGAGGGGAAGAATGTAGGACTTGTCCCAGCCTTTGTTGGTTAGTTTCCCAAATGGAAAACAGGGACCAGAGTAGGTGGGGTACTTTGAGGTCCTCATACCTTTCAGAGGACTGGATCCTTGTTTTCATTCTTGTTCTTATTGTTAATAAGTGTAATAACAGTATTCATGTAACACTGCCTTTATTAGGAAGAATGAGGAACTGCCAAAGGGCTGGAAATTTTCTTTACTTTCCCTGTGGGAGAGAAAGATAGATGGAGCATTAGGTGCCCATCTCTCAGGCCTCCTTTCTCTGATTATCCTGTGGGAAGTACCTGGAAAGCAGTGAGGCATTGGAAGGAATGGTCTAGGCCTTGGCATGAGTATGTGGTCGTGAAGGCATAAGACAAAATATCTTGTGTAGCTGTAGCACAGGTGCTGTGGTAAGAGGAAATAGGTTTGGGGGCAGTATTAAGGGGGCTAATAAGCGCAGAAAATAGTATTTGTTGCTGTCGTTAGTTACTTCACTTTGCCTTGCCTATATGTATTGTCTGACAGCAGAGCCGAAACTCCAGCATCCTTTTGTCTCCTCCTCCTCCTCCTCTTTTTCTTATTTTCTGACTTATAAAGATGTATATCTTCAATAAATAAGCTTGTGATGATATGGAAAGTTAAATAAATAAAAGTTCTAGAAATTGGAAAACTAAATGGTGATTTCATTGTGGTCTTTAAATATAACAAGTGTTATAGGCCACGGTGGCTCACACCTGTAATCCCAGCACTTTGGGAGGCCAAGGCGGGCAGATCACCTGAGATCAGGAGTTCTAGACCAGCGGGACCAACATGGAGAAACCCCGTCTGTACTAAAAATACAAAATTAGCTGGCGTGGTGGCCCATGCCTGTAATCCCAGCTACTTGGGAGGCTGAGGCAGGAGAATCGCTTGAACCCGGGAGGCGGAGGTTGCGGTGAGCCGAGATCGCACCATTGCACTCTAGCCTGGGCAACAAGAGCGAAACTCCGTCTCAAAAAAAAAAAAAAAAAAAAACAACCAGAAAAACAAACAAGTGTTATAATTGTAATTCTTGTAATTCCTTAAGCCAAAACTCCATTATAACATTTCTTAGTTTGTTGTTGTTGTTGTTGTTGTTACTTTTTGTGTGTATTTGTTTGAACTTCCCAGCTGTATTGTGATCTCTTTGAAGGTCTAGATTGTGTCTGATGAGATGCATATGATGCACTTCATGAATTGAGCTACTTTGCAAATGATGCTGGTTGTTTTATTTCTTAGTGTTTTCAGCAACTTCCAGCACCTTTCACAATGTTTCTTTCCACGTGGTTGTCCCACAGATGTTGCATACTTGATATGTCCAAAAGGGGCATTGTTGTCCCCCTCCCTGCTCCTGGACCTGCCTCTTCTTCTATGTTCCCGATTTTAGTGAATGCTTTTCCCGTCCATCCAGTGGAGAAATTCTAAATACTGAATGCTTTGTGTATACTAAATATATATTCTGTCCATTTCATAGTTTAAAGTGTTGCTATCAGATGGAGAATTGTAATGTGCAGAATATAATAAAGCCTCTTTTTTTTTTTTTTTTTTTTTTTTTGAGACAGAGTTTTGCTCTTGTTGCCCAGGCTAAAGAAGTGCAATGGCATGATCTCGGCTCACCGCAACCTCTGCCTCCCAGGTTCAAGCGATTCTACTGCCTCAGCCTCCTGAGTAGCTGGGATTACAGACATGCGGCACCACGCTTGGCTAATTTTGTATTTTTTAGTAGAGACGGGGTTTCTCCATATTGATGAGGCTGGTCTTGAACTTCTGATCTCAGGTGATCCACCTGTCTTGGCCTCCGAAAGTGCTGGGATTACAGGCGTGAGCCACCGCACCTGGCCAATAAAGCCTCTTTATACCATTTTCTAATTTCTATTTCATAGAATTTTAAAACTGCATAAGCCTTTAACCTCTGTTTCTCAAATTCACTTTCCCCTTTGGAATGTTATAATTCTACTTCACCTGACTCCTGGAACTCCCTGTTATCATGTAACATATTTTAATTATTTTGATTGTTGTCTGAGTCTTCCTACTACAAGAGTGAGACTGAGTCTCACTCTTGGCCAGGCTGGAGTGCAGTGGCGCTGTCTCTGCTCACTGTAACCTCTGCATTCTGGGTTCAAGAGATTCTCCTGCCTCAGCCTCCCGAGTAGCTAGGATTACAGGTGTGCACCACCACACTTGGCTAATTTGTGTATTTTAGTAGACACAGGGTTTCACCATGTTGGCCAGGCAGGTCTCGAACTCCTGACCTCGTGATCTGCCCGCCTTGGCCTCCCAAAGTGTTGGGATTACAGGTGTGAGCCACCACACCCGGCCAACAATGCAAACTTCTTTTAAAAATTTGTTTTTAAATTTTTTGTGGGTACATAATAGGTGTATGTATTTATGAGGTACATGAGATGTTTTGATACAGGCATGCAATGTGAAATAAGCACATCATGGAGAATGGGGTGTCTATCCCTCAAGCATTTATCTTTGTGTTGCAAACAATCTAATTACACTCTAAGTTATTTTAAAATGTATAGTTAAGTTATTATTGACTATAGTCACCCTTTTGTGCTATCAAATAGTAGGTCTTATTCTAACTATTTTTTAAAAATGTGGAACACTTCACGAATTTGTGTGTCATCCTTGTGCAGGGGCCTCCCTAACCTCTCTGTTGTTCCAATTTTAGTATATGTGTTGCTTAAGTGAGCACTAGAATGCAAACTTCTTAAGAATAGAGGTTTTTATTTGTGTATTAACTAATTTCCCTAGCACCTAGAAGAGTTTCTGGTATAAAGTAGCTGCTCCAATCAATATTGAATGAATGAATTGGAAATGTTAAGTTAGTTCACTCTTGTTCCCCATAAGGAAAAGAGGCATGGAAAGGCACAATAACTTGCTCAAGCTAACGCCATATCTCCTTACCAGGTAAGTGGGTTTTAAAAAAGTTTAAATAAAACGATGCTTAATCACAGTTCCTTTATGTGATTTGGTACTAATGTGTATTATGGACTTAACTGTATTATCTCTATGAAAAGGGGTGGGGGAAGCAAAAGGGAAGAAGCTAATATATATTGAGTCCTTACTATATGCCGGGTATTTTGTTTTATTTTATTTATTTATTTATTTATTTATTTGAGACAGAGTCTTGCTTTGTTGCCTGGTCTGGAGTGCGGTGGCACTATCTCGGCTCACTACAACTTCGCCTCCCGGGTTCAAGTGATTCTTGTGCCTCAGCCTGCTGAGTAGCTGGGACTAGGCGCGTGCCACCACTCCGGGCTAACTTTTTATATTTTTAGTAGAGACGGGGTTTCGCCATTTTGGCCAGGCTAGTCTCAAACTCCTGACCTCAGGTAGTCCGCTCGTCTTGGCCTCCCAAAGTGCTAGGATTATAGGCGTGAGCCACCGCGCCAGGCCAGTCTTATTTAATTGTCATAAATGATATCCTATGATAGTCCAGTAACCTTACTAGATTTTACAGATGAGAGAACTGAGGCTTAAGGAACCTAAATCACTTCCCAGAGGGTCACACAGCTAGTAAGTGACTGAACTGGGTTTTGAACCCAGGCCCGATTAACTCCATTTGGCCCTCTTTTACCTTAAGGCACAG
Source organism: Homo sapiens (assembly GCF_000001405.40). Taxonomy (NCBI): domain Eukaryota; kingdom Metazoa; phylum Chordata; class Mammalia; order Primates; family Hominidae; genus Homo; species Homo sapiens. The sequence goes on from NC_000001.11 coordinate 39,121,941, forward strand.
GAAAATTTTGGATTTGTGGTCTGGGTTGCTTTAAGATTCCCAGATCAGACTACTCTTGAAAATGGTCTGATTTGAACTACTCAAGTAGAGTTACAAAAATTGTTTACCTTAAGACAGCCCCATGGAGCAGTGGGGTTGTGTCTGTAGCGCTCTTGAGTAAAAAAAAATTCTGTGTTGCACATACTCCCACTCAGTTGTATCGTATATAATTCACATTTCAGACTTTCTTTTTAACCAGGGATCCAGAATAACTACAGAAAGGTGATTATGTAACATACTTGTACAGTGCAGCCACTTCTGTGTTTGGTAATATTCTTTTTTTTTTTTTTTTTGAGATGGAGTCTTGTTCTGTCACTCAGGCTGGAGTACAGTGGCGCGATGTCGGCTCACTACAACCTCTGCCTCCTGGATTCAAGCAATTCTGTACCTCAGCCTCCCGAGTAGCTGTGATTACAGGTGCCCACCATCATGCCTGGCTAATTTTTTGTATTTTTAGTAGAGATGGGGTTTCACCATCTTGGCCAGGCTAGTCTTGAACTCCTGACCTCATGATCCACCTGCCTCAGCCTCCCAAAGTGCTGGGATTACAGGCGTGAGCCACTGTGCTCGGCTGGTAGTACTGTTAAGCGCTAAGAGCACAAACAAAAACTATGTCTAAAATGTAGGGCAGGTAGAGCAGGTGAGGATTAAACCCAGTTGAAATCAGCGGTTTCAGTAGTAAGTGGGCAGATCATAATTACCTGTGTTGCTCAGAGACCTAAGCTGAGAGTGGGGGTGGGGAAAGGTCACACCCATTATCTTTGGAGAAATGATGAGAGTAAATAACCCATAGTTTCCAGTTTATTCCAGAAGCATTCTCGCCAGAGTCACAATGTTGAAGTGGGTTTTGAGTTAGACCTTGTTACCCCAGATCATCCAAGGTTAACATAGTTTCCTTAGATACCACAGCCATTCATTGTGAACGCTGTTAGCTTCCTCTTAGGTAGCTTTATGTAGCCTACCTTAGAAAGGAGGGTGGGGTCTGGGAGGGGAGAGGAGGGAATAGCAAAAGTAGCAGAGAAACAAAGGACTAATTAGGAGGTTCCTCAGTCATTTGGGAGTAGATCTTTTTCATTAGCTGATCACTGAGATCAAGGATGGAGGTGGTGATCCAGGAGGAGGAGGAGTTGTAGTAATCAGAAGCAGAATAGCATAACTTGGCAGTCAGTGGTGGTCCAAGGACCAGCAGCATCTGATAGCTTGTTAGATACATATATATATAAATTTTTTTTTTTTTTTTTTTTTTTTGAGAGAGTCTCGCTCTGTTGCCCAGGCTGGAGTGCAGTGGTGCGATCTTGGCTCACTGCAACCTCTATCTCCCAGGTTGAAGCGATTCTCGTGCCTCAGCCTCCTGAGTAGCTGTGACCACAGGTGCATGCCATCACACCCGGCTAATTTTTGTATTTTTAGTGGAGATGGGGTTTTACCATGTTGAACAGACTGGTCTCGAACTGCTGACCTCAGATGATCCACCCGCCTCGGCATCCCAAAGTGTTGGGATTACAGGTGTGAGCCACTGTGCCTGGCCTGAATCAATTTTAATTTTATCAAGATTCCCAGGTGATTTTTTTTTTCTTGAGGCAGAGTCTTACTCTGTCACCCAGCCTGGAGTGCAGTGGTGTGATGACAGCTCACTGCAGCCTCAATCTCCCCGGGCTCAGGTGATCCTCCCACCTCAGCCTCCCAAATAGCTGGGACTACAGGCTCGTGCCACCATGCCCGGCTAATTCTTGTTTTGTTTTTTTTTTTTTTTTTTTTGTCCGAGGCAGAGTCTTGTTCTGTCACCCAGGCTGAAGTGCAGTGGCATGATCTTGGCTCACTGCAACCTCTGCCTCCTGGGTTCAAGCAATTCTCCTGCCTCAGCCTCCTGAGTAGCTGGGGATTATAGGCGCATGCTACCATGCCTGGCTAATTTTTTTTGTATTTTTAGTGGAGATGGGGTTTCACTGTGTTGGCCAGGCTGGTCTCAAACTGGCTGGTCTCAAACTCCTGACCTCATGATCCGCCTGCCTTGGCCTCTCAAAGTGCGGGATTACAGGCGTGAGCTACTGCACCCGACCAATTCTTGTATTTTTTTTTTTTTTTTTGTAGAGATGGGGCTTTGCCATGTTGCCCAGGCTGGTCTCAAGCTCCTGAGCTCAAGTGATCCGCCCACCTTGGCCTCCCAAAGTGCTAGGATTACAGGCATGAGCCACCATGCCAGGCCCCCAGGTGGTTTTTTAATTCGATTCTGTGCCCGTTAAAGTTTGAGAAGCACCAAGTTTGTGATTAGGTGGTTAGTGCAAGGGGCTTTGGAGTTGGACAGACCTGGGATTGAAACCTGGTTTGGCCACTTACTACCTGTGTGACTTTAGATAAATTATTTGAACTCTCTGTGACAGTTTCTCATATGTGTAATAGGGGAACTCTCTATTTCATAGGGTTGTGGGGGAGAGTAAATGACATGGTGCATTTTGCAACTGACACTATCTTAGATTTAATGAAATTTAGTAATGTCTGTATCATATTAAGCACTGAGTCTAGCACAGCCTAGCATACTCAATAAGTGTTATTACTAATAATTAAATTAGGCAAATTTACAGGAATAAAGAGGCTTTCTCCTCTTCCTCTTTTTCTCTTTATCTCTCAATGAGTACGTTTGTCTGCAGTTTTATAAAGCTGTATTGTGTGTGTACACTCTTTGGTGTTTTGCCTAGCATTATTTAATGGTAGTTATAGCAGCAGCATTAACACATCTTGTACTTATTAATGTGCCAGGCATAATTTTTATGTACTTTATGCATATATTATTTCATTCAGTCCTTAGAGCAACCATGTGAAATAAATATTATCTCCATTTTCGGATGAAGAAACAGAACAAACAGGTTAAGTGACTTGCCTGAGATCACATAGCCAGTCAGTGGCAGAATCAGGATTTGAGCTGAGACACTCTTATTCCAGCATCTGTGCTCTATTTTCATGTATTGCTATTGCTCTCAAACTTATGTGGTGTGATGGAAATCAGGAAACTTTGATTGGATACTTGATTCTGCCACTAATTTATTTGTGACCTTGGTCAAGTCACTTGTCGTCTTTGGGCCTATTTCCTTATTATAAAAATGGAGGGATTATCAAACTCAAAAGCAATTAAACAAAAAAAGACAAAAAATGAAAAAAGAGTAAAACACAAAAACGGAGGGATTAGATGAGATTTGTAAAGTCTGTTCAGTGATTCATTCAACATATAGTGATTTCAAGCAAAGATTGGAAGAAAATTTTATCTAGGGAATTGGTTCAAAAGTACTTGTTCAAGCAGGTTGGTGTCATTAAGAACAAGGGGTTTGAATCTTGACTCAGCCACTTCCTGGCTATATGACCTTGGGCAACTTACTTAACCTTTCTAAACATTGATTTCCTCGTTAGTAGTGGGGAGAATAGTTCTTACCTTGCAGGGATATTGTGAGGTTTGAATAAGATAATACGTATTAGCACCTAGCATATGTGAAACATGCAGTGGATACTCAATATCCGTGAGTTGTCTTTTCTTCCTTCCATTCATTCGGGAGATGCTTAGGGAAGCAGATATACCAGATTCAAAAGGATTTAGACCCTCGCTTGGTCCTTATGTCCTTTTCTGTAATGGTATTCTCACCTTTGGGAAATGAGAATTAGTAGGGAAGGAAGTGTGCATATAGCCAGGTCCTGTCTGTTTTTAAATAATCCATCTTTTTGATTTTAGATTAAAATTTCTTTTTACAATATATAATTTAGGCCAGTAATCCCAGCACTTTGGGAGGCCTAGGTGGGCGGATCGCCTGAGGTCAGGAGTTGAAGACCGGCCTGGCCAACATTAGTGAAACCCCATCTCTACTAAAAATACAAAAATTAGCTGGGCGTGGTGGCATGCGCCTGTAATCCCAGCTACTTGGAAGGCTGAGGCAGGAGAATCGCTTTAACCCGGGAGGCGGAGGTTCCAGTGAGCTGAGATTGCGCCACTGCACTCCATCCTGGGCGACAGCGCAAGACTCTGTCTCAAACAAAACAAAGCAAACGACAGCAAAAACATATAATTTATGACAGGATAAATGCCATTTTTTTTGACCAGCTGGGCAACATAGTGAGACCCTGTCTCATAGTAATAACAATAACGAAGTACCACAAACTGGGTGGCTTAAACAACAGATATTTATTGTCTTACAGTTCTGGAGGCGAGAAGTCTGAAATCAAGTTGTCAGCAGAGTTGATTCCTTGTGAAGGCTGTGAGGGAGAACCTGTTCCATGCATCTCTTCTAGTTTCTGGTTGCCTCAGATGTTCCTTGGCTTGTAAATGATGTTCTCTCACCGCCTTCACATCTGTATATGTCTGTCTGTGTTCAAATGTCCCCTTTTTATAACACTAGTTATATTGGGTTAGAGCCTTTTCGAATGACCTCATCTTAAGTTGATCATTTGTAAAGACCCTATTTCCAGATAAAGTCACATTCACAGTCCCTGGGGTTAGGACATCTTTCTGGGGGATACAATTCATCCTATAACAAATGGTTTAGGGCCGAGCACGGTGGCTCATGCCTGTAATCCCAGCACTTTGGGAGGCCAAGGCATGTGGATCACCTGAGGTCAGTTCGAGACCAGCCTGGCCAACGTGGTGAAACCCTGTCTCTACTAAAAATACAAAAAAATTAGCTGGGCGTGGTGGTGGGTGCCTGTAATCCCAGTTACTTGGGAGGCTGAGGCAGGACAATCACTTGAGCTTGGGAGGCAGAGATTGCGGTGAGCCAAGATTGTGCCACTGCAGTCCAGCCTGGGCAACAGAGCAAGACTCTGTCTCCAAAAAAAAAACCACACAAAAAACAAACAAAAAAATCAAAACAAATGGTTTAGTCACTTTGTAACCTGGACAGAGGAGTGAACATATATGAAATTAACTTTCTTTGGTCTTTTAAGATTTATTACTAAGATTTAACTAGAGTTAAAACTTTCCTTGTCCTGTTGGCCGGGTGCCTTGGCTCAAGCCTGTAATCCCAGCCCTTTGGGAGGGTGAGGCAGGTGGATCACCTGAGGTTGGGAATTTGAGACCAACATGGCGAAACCCCGACTCTACTAAAAATAACAGAGTAGCTGGGCATGGTAGTACACGCCTGTAATCCCAGCTACTTGGGAGGCTGAGGCAGGAGAATTGCTTGAGCCCAGGAGGCAGTGATTGCAGTGAGCTGAGATCACGCCACTGCACGCCAGCCTGACAACAGAGCGAGAGACTCTATCTCAAAAAGAAAATAAAAGCTCTTCTTGTCCTGCTAATTCTGCATTTTGATTTTTGGCAGCATTTAGGAAAGAGCTGAGGTGGACCTGGTGTGTAGCGTTGGTGGGAGTTCCTTCGTTTTCTGGGCTGAATGATTTAATAATAATATAATAGTGGCTTTCATTAATTTCTTACTATGTGCCAGGAATGGACTGTGTTAAGCACTTTATATACATTAATCCACTTAATTCTCATGATAACCCTGTGAAATAGATTATCTCATTTTGCAGAGGAGAAAAGTGGGTCTCAGCCAGTGAAATAACTTGCTCAAGTTCTCTCACCCAGTAAATGGTAGAGCAGTCATTTATGTGTAGCTCTGTTGGACTTCAGAACTCCAGCTCTTAACTCAGTATATACTTTTCCTTCACTTCCTTGAATAGAACTGTTTGGCTTGAGTCTCCTTTTCTCTAAAAACTCCTAGTTCTGGAATGGTGCCAACTTAAGGGGTCAGGGAAGTGACCTTTACTTGTGTTCCTTTGAGCTGTTATTGTTTTCATTGGGAAAGAGAATGTGAAGTCAGTTCACATTTCTTACCTACTGGTTGCAGTCTTGCCATGGGGCCCTAGTCAGATGTGAGATGTTGTAAGTTACTTAAAAAAAAAAATGTCCTAGTGATTAAGAGGAAAAAACATAGGCCTGCTATGTTTATGTAACTCTCTTTTGTATTATTACAAAATTAAACATGTTCACTGTAATACATTTAAGCAGAAATTACAAAGAAAAAAGTAAAAATTCTCTTTTCTAGTCTTTATTTTCTCCACCTAGGCCCACTGGTCAGGGTAACCACTGTTCAAGCTTTGGTTTGTATCCTTACAGGTTTTTTCTTGCCAGGCTTGCTTTGGAACTGCACCTTTACATCCTTTATATTCCTTTAGGTTGGTTGTGTCTCTTCTTGACTCATGAGCCTTACCTCTTATTTATTTTTATTACCATACATCTGGCTTACATTTTTATTTTTTATTTTTTTTTTAGAGACAGGGTCTTGCTACATTGCCCAGGCTAGTGTGCAGTGGCTGTTCACAGGCACCATCATAGCACAGTGCAGCCTCAAACTCCTGGTCTTAAGCAGTGCCCCCTGAGTAGCTGAGACTACAGGACTGCACCACTGCACTGGGCTGCCTTACTTTTGAGTCTCCCTTTGATACTTAAGAGTTCTGCCATAGGGCCAGGCACGGTGGCTCACGCCTGTAATCCCAGTACTTTGGGATGCTGATGGATCACAAGGTCAGGAGATCAAGACCATCCTGGCTAGCACGGTGAAACCTCGTCTCTACTAAAAATACAAAAAAAAATTAGCCAGGCGTGGTGGCGGGCGCCTGTAGTCCTAGCTACTCGGGAGGCTAAGGCAGGAGAATGGCGTGAACCCAGGAGGTGGAGCTTGCAGTGAGCCGAGATCACGCCACTGCTCTCCAGCCTGGGTGACAGGGTGAGACTCCGTCTCAAAAAAAAAAAAAGATTTCTGCTATTGCACCCTTTTCTGTAGTCTTTCCCTCACCTCCTGGTAAAATTTTACTTACCTTTGAAGCTCAGTTCAAGTCCTCCCTTTTACATTAATCCACTGGAAAGCTAACCCATGATAACTCATTCTGCTTCATAACTCATAGCATTAATTTCTACCACTCATTTGCCAGTTGACCATGAAATGCCGTGTATCGTCACTTGTATTTTATTATTTGTTATTTAACTTATCACACATTTGCCCAGTTAGATTGTGCTGCTTGGGCTCATGGTGATTTATTCTTTCTAGTCCCAATTTTGCCTAACACAATGTCCTACATTTAGCAAGTACTCAGTAAATGTTGATGTGATTGGATTTTGTTAGTACTTCACACCCTTCTAAAGATCAGGTGCTTAGAGCCGGAAGCCTAAGGGAACACTTACCTGGCTGACATCATCTTGGCTGCCTGTCAAGATGGGGTGTGTGCCTGAGAGAACTGCCCGTAAATGAAATACTTGTGCAACAGGTTATGTTTTCTCCTTTAGTGGGTGGGATTCAAGACTTCACATTGGGAAAAAGAGATAGTAAGTGTAGGAAGAGGGCTGAAAAGGGGATGGATGGGAGGATGCTACCTTGTGAGAGGTGGGGATATGGCTTTATTAAAAACATAAATATTAAAGGCTGGCGTATTGCAGAGAGAAGCTTCTTGGAACCAGCAGGCTAATTAGGCAAACTGGCTTCTCTGGTGCAAACCAGTTGTTAATTGCCATTTATTTTCTTTGCTATAAAACTGTACCAGCCATCTACTTACTTTCTCATTAGAGTGAATCTGGAGAAAAGGCTTAGGTTAGATTTAGGAAATCCAGGAGAAAAATGCAGGACAGTCAGAGTAAGACCAGGGATGGGCATAATCCTTTCTCTCACTTGTCTTACCAGCCCTAGACCTTAAGGGTGGCCAGGACCTCCTTGCATTTGCCAGTAGAGGTTGCTATTGAAGTAGTGTAAAACCTCTTGTTTCTATTCCTGCTAACTCCTTTTGCCCCATCTTATTTTTCTCCTTCACTGACACCCTCCTATCACACACACATTATTGGTTAGTTATCATTCCCATCTCTGAGGTTCACATATGCAGTGGACCACCCTGCCTTTAGCTGTCCAGACTTTGACTGCAACCTGTCTTTCTATTCCACTCCTCCTCCCCTCCCCCAAATGATTTGAAATGGAGAGGAAAGGAAATGGAGTTTGATGGTTTTAACTCTTCTGTGGCTGTGGCTTAGGGAGCAGAATGTTTTGATTGCTTGATTTAGGGGTCTTGAGGTCTCCTAATACAATATTCTTTTTGTTAATAGAAAGGCCCCACTCCATTTTTTTTTTCTCTGAGTATTTTGGACTCAAAGTCTTGTGTTGAAATGTCGGTACCTGCCCCCGAAGGGGAAAAGATCCCTTTCAGAGTTTATTTTTCCCCCCCATTCATGGGGAATTCTTCTCATTATCAGAAGATGAAGATTACTGGTCCTTTGAACAGAGTATAAATATAGCCAACACCCTAATATATTTCTAATGATTGGGCTTTAGCTTTAAAAACATTAGGCTAGATGCCTCCCTATTTTTTGTGGCATGATTTAGCTGTAACTAGCCTGGAGGCAATAACAATACTAAATGACCTTTTGTAGTCACATTAAACATTGAAATGGTACTGAGACTGCCTTGGTGGGGAGTTTTGGCCTATGGGAATGATGTGAGTTTTGGTTTCTACTCCTTTCTCTGTTTTCAGATAAATCCTCCTACATGTCCCATTCTCTGGCTCTGGGAAGTACTGACAGTAGGGAAAAGTTAGTACACTCATCTCATTGTTCAGATCAAGTTTCCTGGGTGCGGTTTTGCAGAACTTCCTACAAGAGCTGACTCAAGAGTTCTCTTCTATTGTGGAGATGTTCCTGCTCTTATATGTCATACTAATTTATATCCTTGAAATTTTGAGCAGCATCATTTGGATGTGTTAAGTTGGGAATGAAGAAAGTGAAAATATTTTCAGAGATTCCTTGAGAAAAGGGTTCCTTTTGCTGGGTAAATCAACGTTCCCTAGATGCTGTGGCTAAGAAGTGAAGAATTCTAAGCCAACTTTTTTTTACCCCTTTTCTTTTCTTTACTTTTTTTTTTTTCGAGATGGAGTTTGCTCTTGTTGCCCAAGGCTGGAGTGCAATGGTGTGATCTCGGCTCACTGCAACCTCCGCCTCCCGGGTTCAAGCAATTCTCCTGCCTCAGCCTCCCGAGGAGCTGGGATTACAGGCATTACAGACGTGTGCCACCATGCCTGGCTAATTTTTTGCATTTCCAGTAGAAACGGGGTTTCACCATGTTAGCCAGGCTGGTCTCTAACTCCTGACCTCAGGTGAACCACCCACCTCAGCCTCCCAAAGTGCTGGGATTACAGGTGTGAGCCACTGCGCCCGGCCTTTTTTTTTTTTTTTTTTTTTTTTTTTTAAGAGACAGAGTCTTGTTCTTTCACCCAGGCTGGGGTGCAGTGACATGATCATAACTCACTGTAACCTTGAACTCCTGGGCTAAAGCGATCCTCCTGCCTCCATCTCCTGAGTAAGCTAGGAATACAGGCACATGCCATCATGCCCAGCTCAGTTTTATTATTTTTTTTTTTTTTGTAGAGACAGGGTCTCACTATGTTGCCAAGGCTGGTCTTGAACTCCTGGCCTCAAGCTATCCTCCCACCTAAGCCTCCCAAAGTGTTGGATTATAGGTGTGAGACACCTTGTCCAGCACCTGTTTTTCCTTTTTGATGTCAGATCCCTCTGAATAACAAGTTATTTGCCTTTTTTTCCCTCCATAAGACTGTGAGCACCTTGAGAGCTGCGAGAACATCTCACTTATCTTTGTATCTCTGATGTTTAGGACAGTGTCCAGCTCAAAGTGTCTATAAATGTATGTTGCATTGAATAGTGGAGGGAAGCTTTAAATACATTTACTGCAGACAGATGTATGCTTAGCATATTTAATTGGGAGACATTATTAGAAAGTGGAGATGGATAAAGAAAGGAATTTTTGTGGATATGATATAGAGAATTTTTGTTTCCTAAGGATTTAAAATTTTTGTTTGTTTATTTATTTGTTTATTTTTTAGAGATGGGGTCTTGCAGTGTTGCCTAGGCTTGTCTTGAACTGCTGCCTTCAAGTGATCCTCCTGCCTCAGCCTCCTGAGTATGTGGAATTACAGGCATGAGCCACTGCACCCAACTTGCCTAACAATTTTTAGAGTAACAGTTATTTTGCGGTTCCTTTACGTGGAGAACCTTTAGAAGTGTTCCATCTGACTACCTTGGACAAGGCACTGTGACCTTCTTTGTAGCAGAGACTAAAGACACCTGCCCATTTCCCTCAAATGGAGGGATATCCCTCAGTAAAGGAAGGAGCTCAGAATTAGATTGGGGGTAGAGAAAGGAAGCATTGAGTCCCTCCTAGCCCTGCACTGTGGAAATGTAAAGCTATTATTATGATAATTGCTGTTGGCAAACAAGAAAATTCTCAGCCTCTGGTTTGTACCTACACCCAGTCACAACCTCAGGTTGGGTGGATGCAGACTTTAAATATTGGGGTCACCTGTAGCTGTTGGAAAAGGTCCCTGTGGTTTCTCTGGGTGTTGTGCAAGCATTACTTTTTTGGCTCTTTTCCCTGTATCCATCAGTAAAAAGTAGGAAGTTTGAGGAGCTGTGCTTTCGGTTGGCATTAGGCATTGGAGTGCCTTTATTTCCTACATTTAACTGGTAAATATCCAACACTCCATAACAGGATGGCCCTGCTTGGAAATTCTTACCTAGGGAGTGACTGAAGCCTAAGAGGAACTGCACAGCCCCCTGTATTGAAAACGGAGTAGTCATTTCCTAGAGCATGGCTTGGATCCTGATCAGCTGATTTCCTGTCTCTACAGGGATGTGATGTGATTCCTCCCCCTTCCTTCTGGAAGAAATGGATATTTTTTTTCATTTCCTGTTTGATAGCATATTTTCTGAGTACCAGGAGACACTTGATGACTATAAAACATTTGATGTGTGGGGGGTGGGAAGGAAGGAGGCTTTTGTTTTCAGCAGAATGGCTTTCATTTGAGGAATTCAAAGCACATACATGAACCCAAGCTGTTTTGTTCCCATGGGAGAGACACAGGCTCTAAGAAGATTGTTTCGAATCCCTTTCCTGGGCTGTGTCTACTTGACCTGCACTGGTAGAGCCCCTTCTCCCCCATAGGTTAGAAAAGCTCGGTCCCTCATGGAGCTCTGCATGCTGTGGATTCTGCTCTTGCCACATCCGCTACTCAGCCCTTTTTGTGCCTAAATCCGCTGGAGAGCAACTATTAGTCCCTGGGGGAAGTGACACCACCCTTGGAATGGAACCTGGCTGGATGCCCCTTGATCCCTGACTGAGTGACACAGACTGGGACAGGAATCTGGCTGTCCAGATTTCCTGTCCTCTGTCCTCACTAGCCGACTTGGCTGCTTCCACCCTGGGGCTGGGGGTATGGGGTGTGGTGGGAGCTGGTTGCTAACAAGCAGCGCCGCCTGTGGACCTGCACAGCCACTTGTTTTCCTAGCCAAGAGCTACCCGTCCAGTCTGGCCTGTTCCTGATCCATCTGGAGTGAGAGCAGAGACCTGGAAGAGAGATCAGTGGGGAGGCAGTCATTGTGATCCCTTTTGTTTGTAGTGAAGCTTTGCTTAGTGTTTGAGGGCCTGGGGTTTAATTTTGTAACAGACTCTTACTATAGTTGTGTGTGTTTAACTATAAGATTTTCTTTTCTTCTCTTTTCTCCTTCCTCGTCCTCCTCCTCATCCTTTCTCCTCCTCCTCCTCCTCCTTCTTCCTGTCTGTTTTTATTTTTCCCAACTTTATAAAGGTATAATTGATATATAAAAATTGTATATCTTTATGGTGTACAATGTGATGTTTTGATATATGTAAACATTGTGGAATGATTAAATCAAGCTAGTTAACATCTGTCACTTCACATAGTTTTGTGTGATGAGAATATTTAAGATTTACTACTTCCAGAATTTTCAAGTACGATACATTGTTTGCTGTACAATACATCTCCAGAACTTATTCATTTTTTCTAGAGTTGCTTTTTCTTAAATAAATTATTAGGTTTCTTCTTGACCTTGAAGAAGTCCAGAAAAATTCTTACAAAATAGGGAATTGCATGGTAGGTAGGTTATGAGAAGTTTCATTTTTGGGTTTTGTGAATACTACGAACAGCTTTTCCTAGTTTGCTAGGGATTTGCGTGGCCAGGTATTTGCTGCATTTAAAGTTCTTAGATATTATCATCAGAAGAACAGTCTTTTTTTTTTTTTTTTTTTTTTTTGAGATGGGGTCTCGCTCTGTCCGCCAGGCTAGAGTGCAGTGGCGGGATCTCAGCTCACTGCAAGCTCCGCCTCCCGGGTTCATGCCATTCTCTTGCCTCAGCCTCCCGAGTAGCTGGGACTACAGGCGCCCGCCACCACGCCCGGCTAATTTTTTTTTTTTGTATTTTTAGTAGAGACGGGGTTTCACTGTGTTAGCCAGGATGGTTTCGATCTCCTGACCTCGTGATCCGCCCACCTCGGCCTCCCAAAGTGCTGGGATTACAGGCATGAGCTACCGCACCCGGCCAGAAGAACAGTCTTAACAAGAATAAGTGGAATCAGGGAGCATGCCTCTAACATTTAACAGTACATTCTTCCTTTTACCTCTGTTGTTGACCATGTGCCTTCTTGCTCCAGGGGTTTTCAGTTTTCTTTTATTTTGTTGTATCAGATACATTTTCCCTCTAGGGTAGAAAGCAGCATCTTACAGTGGAAAGGAACCCTGGCTTTGGGTCTTACTGGCTCTGTGGTCTTAAACAGTCATGTAACCCCTTTCAACTGTGTGCTTTTCCTAATTCCCCATTTGTAAAATATTGGTGGTGATAACCATCTTGCAGGGTTTTTGTAAAGGTTAAATGAGTTAATATACGTAAAACACATTGGTTGGCACATAGTATGTAATTGTAGCTTGTTTTTTATTAGTAGGAGTCATAATAACAATACGCTTGATTTTTTTATGATAAAATACACTAATATAACATTTAGCATTTTAGCCATCTGTAAGGGTAAATATAGTGGCATCAAGTACATTCACTTGATTGTTGTGCAGCCGTCACTATTATCTATCTCTAGAACTTTTTCATCTTCTCAAACTAAAATTCCAAACCCATTAAACAATAACTCACCTTCCCCCTCCTTAGCCCCTGGCAACCACAATTCTACTTTCTGTTTCTATGCATTTGACTACTCTATGTACTTCATATAAGTGGAATCATACAGTATTTGTCCTTTTGTGTCTGGCTCATTTCATGTAGCATAATGTCCTCAAGGTTCATTCATGTTGTAGCATGTGCCAGAATTTCCTTCCTTTTTAAGGCTAAATAATATTCCATTTATGTATCTACCACATTTTATTTATCCATTCATCTGTTGATGGATACTTGGCTTGCTAATAATATGATTATTTTTGGGTTTTTTTGACATCTTATTTAATTAATTAATTTATTTAGACAGCGTCTTGCTCTGTTGCCCAGGCTGGAGTGCAATGGTGCGATTTCCGCTCACTGTAATCTCCGCCTCCTGGGTTCAAGTGATTCTCCTGCCTCAGCCTTCCGAGTAGCTGGGATTACAGGTGCATGCTACCATGCCTGACTAATTTTTGTATTTTTTTAGTAGAGATGGGGTTTCACCATGTTGGCCAGGCTGATCTCGAACTCTTGATCACCTGTTTCGGCCTCCCTAAGTGCTAGGATTACAGATGTGAGCCACTGCGTCCGGCCAGATTATTTTTAATAGTAATGAATTGATTGTCTAAGGTGCGTTCAAAGGCTTCAAAGCTGGGGAGAAGAGGATGAAGTAGAACAATATCCTTGTTTGTGTGTTGACTTTGTCTCTCTGGGTTTTGCTTGCAAGACCTATTTTGATAGGAGTCTGATGAATGATGGACCTACTGAACCCTATACAGAGGGTCCAGACCTGGCAGAATTCTAGGAAAAAAAAATTGCCTCCTAGTCTAATTTTTCTCAGTGATAAACTACTCTGTGTGCTTACAGTTTGTCTATCTTGCTTCTCTCCCTCTCTCCTTTGCTCCTACTATGAATGGGATTCTTGGAATGGTGACATATCTAGACTCTTGGATTGTTTTGCAGAGGTCGAAGGCTGAGAGAGAATTGCTATATAGCTGAGGGGTGATGAGTACAGCGAACGGCCAACTGTGTGCCAACCTGGCTTTCCAGGGCAGTATTTTTAGGATATATGTACCTATATGTGTACACACATATCTCTACACACACATACATACATATGTACACACACACAAATATCCCATTATTGACACTTGACACAGTAAGGGAGCTACATGTTCTTCTCTGGGTTCCCCTCAATGCAGCCCACCACCAGAATGCATGCATTGGAAACGGGTCCAGGATAATGTGAGAGGTCTCCAAGGAGTTCCAAGTATAAAGAGCCTTAGCAGAAGGGCCTTGACAGCTTAGACAGTCTCTTACAATGTCTACCAAAATTCTGAAGAAAGACTGCTATCCAGCTGTGATTTTTCTGCCTTCCAGGTTAGACCTGAAAAAGTCCAGGAGCCTAGCTTCTGTGTCCTGTGCTTATGCTGGACATGGGTGGAGGGTGAGGAGAGGCAGTAGTCCCTCCAAACCCTTGTATCTCCAACTGTGGATTCTCCTGTTTGTTTATAGGGTGGAAGGCGTGGTTTATACTGGTTTGTCCCCAGTTCCTGCTCTGTGCCTGAGGGGACTGCAGTGGCATTAGGATTTTTTGCCCAGTTGCTCATGGACATAGAGACACGTCACCTCAGTGCACCCCCCTGTGCAAATTGGCCTACCCTCATATTACCTGCTTTTGTACCTCCAATGCCTAGAGACCAGTTGTCTCTCAGAAGCTACTCAGGATGATTTTATGCTGTCAGCATAATAAAAGTGAATTAATTCTATATTAAATTAATAAAGACCATATTTAGTATTAGTCAACTAAGGTTGTATATGTACATATTACTAAAGAAAAATGAATTTTAAAAAAGAATCTATTTTAGAGAAACAGATTAAATATGAACGACAGTAGGGGGCACTTGTATGACAGTAGAATAAAGACAAGCGTGAGAGTGTTCAGTTTGAAATTTGAAGTTTAACTTTTACTTGTTTCTTGGAAGTTCATGTTTTTTCCTCATGCAACTTTCTGCAAAACTGAAGGTTGGATTTTAAATATAAAATATTTGACATGACCAAGTTATATTTACCCTTTGTCAACTAAAAATTGACTTTTTTCAAAGTTTGTTATTTTTTTAATTTAATTTAATTTAATTTTATTTTGAGACAGAGCCCCCTCTGTTGCCCACGTTGGAATGCAGTGGTGCGATCTTGGCTCACTGCAACCACCACCTCCCAGGTTCAAGAGATTCTCATGCCTCAGCCTCCTGAGTAACTGCAATTACAGATGTACACCACCACGCCTGGCTGATTTTTGTATTTTTGTTAGAAACAGGGTTTTGCCATGTTGGCCAGGCTGGTCTCGAACTTCTGGCCTCAAGTGATCTGTGTGCCTCGGCCTCTCAAAGTGTTGGGATTACAGGCGTGAGCCACCATACCCAGTCTTTTTTTATTTTTTTAAAGACAGGTTCTTGCTCTGTCGCACAGAGTGGAGTGCAGTGGCACAATCATAGCTCACTGTAACGTGTCTACCAGGCTCAACAGATCCTCCCACCTCAGTTTCTCAAGTATCTGAGACTACAGGCATGTGCCATTACACCTGGCTAATTTTTAAATTTTTTGTAAAGACGAAGTCTCATTTTATTGCCCAGGCTGGTCTCAAACTCCTGGGCTCAAGCCATCCTTCTGCCCTGGCCTCCCAAAGAGCTGGGATTATAGGCATGAGCCACTGTGCCCCAATTTATTTATTTTTTATTTTTTTACCTTCAGATGCTCTTTGGCAAGCAAGTAAGGATTGCTCAATTAAAAGTATTGCATTATCTCATTCAACTATATGAACATACAAAACTTAAAAAAATTTGTCTGAGGCCAGGCGTGGTGGGTCATGCCTGTATTCCCAGCACTTTGGGAAGCCGAGGCAGGTGGATCACCTGAGGTCGCGAGTTTGAGACCAGCCTGGCCAACATGGAGAAACCCCATCTCTACTAAAAATACAGAAATTAGCCGGGCATGGTAGCACGAGCCTATAATCCCAGCTACTAGGGAGGCTGAGGCAGGAGGATTGCTTGATCCTGGGAGGCGGAGGTTGCAGTTAGCCGAGATTGTGCCACTGCACTCCAGCCTGGGTAACAGTCGAGACTCCATCTCAAAAAAAAAAAAAAAAAAAAAAAGTCTGAAACAGTATTGGAAGCTTTAATTTCTATTTCAACAAATTTGTGCTACTCTGGATTATGTGCTACCTGTCACTCAAGGATCTTGTTGAAATACTTTCTTGTACAAAAACAACGAATCAAAACAAAACAAAACAAAAATGAGTGTACTTCATGTTGTATTTGAGTAGAGGTCCTAACAAACACTTGAAAAATGGCTGGTGGTAGGCTGGACGCGGTGGCTCACGCCTGTAATCCCAGCACTTTGGGAGGCCGAGGTGGGCAGATCACAAGGTCAGGAGATCGAGACTACCCTGGCTAACATGGTGAAAACCTGTCTCTACCAAAAATACAAAAAAAATTAGCCGGGCATGGTGGCGGGTGCCTGTAGTCCCAGCTACTCTGGAGGCTGAGGTGGGAGAATGGCGTGAACCTGGGAGGCGGAGCTTGCAGTGAGCAGAGATCGCGCCACTGCACTCCAGCCTAGGCGACAGAGAGAGACTCTGTCTCAAAAAAAAAGAAAAATGGCTGGTGTTAGATGAACACAGCTTTCTCTCATTTCAATAATGATATTGAAAGGTTTTAAAGGCCAAATAATTTTTTTTTTGGAGACAGAGTCTTGCTCTGTCACCCACGCTGTAGTGCAATGGCGCAATCTCAGCTCACTGCAACCTCCGCCTCCCAGGTTCAAGTGATTCTCCTGCCTCAGCCTCCTGAGTAGCTGGGATTACAGGTGAGTGCCACCATGCCCGGCTAATTTTTGTATTTTTAGTAGAGATGGGGTTTTACCATGTTGGCCAGGCTGGTCTCGAACTCCTGACCTCAGGTGATCCACCCACCTTGGCCTCCCAAAGTGCTGGGATTACAGGCGTAAGCCACCGCGCCTGGCCTAGGCCAAATAATTTTTATGAACTGTCTGGAGAAGCTTTGATGAGGAATAACAGTATCATTTTCAAATTGGCTTCTGCACAAACTACGTAATTTTGAGTATTCCATGTTAATGCATATGATGTAGCTGGCTCTTAATCACCCTATGAAAATGGAGTACAAGGCATGCTGAATACTTCAAATTCACAGATAACTACTAAAACTAATTTTAATCAACTGTCTCGTCATTTATTCCTACTTGAATTACCAAAGATGCTTGCTTATGGGGGGAAATTGAACAGATTTTTTTTCCTCTTGTTTACCCTTTACCTTTTTTAAAATGTTATCTGCCACTGTTTTTTTTTTTTTTCAGACAGTCTCGCTCTGTCGCTGCAACCTCTGCCTTCCAGGTTCAAGCGATTCTCCTGCCTCAGCATCCCAAGTAACTGGGATTACAGGTGTCCCCTACCACGTCCAGCTAATTTTTGTATTTTTAGTAGAGATGGGGTTTCACCATGTTGGCCAGGCTGGTCTCAAATTCCTGACCTCAAGTGATCCTCCCATCTCAGCCTCCCAAATTTGCCACTATTCTTTATATTCCAGCTAAAATGAACTAGTGCTTTCTGCTTTTTTTTTTCCTAGCTTTCCTGCTTTCATGCCTTTGCTCATGCTGTATCCTGTGCCTGCATTTTCCTTTAATTTCTACATTATATTTGGTCCTTACATATCCATCTCAAATGTTACTTTTTGTGGATCCTTCCCTGATTATCTCAGATACAAGTTATATCATCTTTCTGAACTGACATAATATTATTGAAAGAAATACACTTAAAAGTAATAGTAATAACTGACAACATTCAGAGTCTGTTACAAAATGTTTTCACATGTATTAGCTCATTGGAACCTCACAGATGTTTTTCATCACTCCTGTTTTACAGCTGAGGAAATTAAGGCTTAAGGAGATTAAGTAACTTGCCTGAGGTTACCCATAATTAGAACTAAATCTTTTTTTTTTTTTTTAATTTTTTTTAGAGACAAGGTCTTGGCTGTTGCACAGGCTGCAGTGCAGTGGTGTAAACATGGCTCACAGCAGCCTCAAACTCCTGGGCTCAAGAGATTGTCCCACTCCAGCCTCCTGAGTAGCTAGGACTATAGGTGTATGCCACTACACCCAGCTAAATTTTTGTGTTTTTTGTAGAGATGGGGTCTCACTGTGTTGCCCAGGCTGGTCTTGAACTCCTGACCTGAAATGATCCTTCTGCGTTAGTCCTCCAAAGTGCTGGGATTACGGGCATGAGCCATCATACCTAGCATAAATCTAAATCTTATGACCTCAAATCCCATGTTTTTTCCACCAAACAGTGCTATCTTACGATTCTTATCACTTGCTACTATGGGTTAGAATTACTTGTGTAAATGTCACATCTGGCCTACTACTTTGTACTGTCCTTAGATGAAGAGTTAATGCCTTATTCTTTGTCTCTGACATCCCATAGCACAGAGTATTGCGTATAATAAGGCTTCAATAACCATTGCTGAAAGGCTGACAAGTTGAAGAAATGTTGATGAATGCATGTGTCTAGCACAGTGCCTCGCACATAGATGCCTAATAAACATTTATTGAATTTAATTGTAAAATGGATCAAAGACCATAGTTAATAAGAGCTTATAGGGCACTTAATAAGTGCCGGGCAACTGGGCACGGTGGCTCACGCCTGTGATCCCTGCACTTTGGGAGGCTGAGGCAGGCGGATCACGAGGTCAGGAGATCAAGACTATCCTGGCCAACATGGTGAAACCCCGTCTCTACTAAAAATACGAAAATTAGCAGGGCTTGGTGGCACACGTCTGTAATCCCAGCTACTTGGGAGGCTGAAGCAGGAGAATCTCTTGAACCCAGGAGGCGGAGGTTGCAGTGAGCCGAGATTGCACCACTGCACTCCAGCCTGGGTGACAGAGTGAGACTCTGTCTCAAAAAAAAAAAAAAAAAAAAAAAAAAAAAGTGCCAGTCACTGTTATAAATGCTTTATGTCAAATTAACTAATTTAATCCTTAGAACCTATCTCCATTTTACACTGGAGTAAACTGAAGAACAGGAGGGCATAGTGATTTGCCCAGGGACACACAGCTGTTAAGCAGCAGAGTTAGGTTTCACAATTTGCTCTAGAATTCTCATGTACTCAAACATTATGCTATAATCAGTTGTTCATAATATTTTCACGCTGTTAAATTCCTCCTGAATGCCTGTCTGTCTTGGGTGTAGCTCAAAGAATGAAAAGCAGAAGCAGCATAACTTGTTGAATATACTCTTGAGCCTGCGTCAGAATCACCTGCAGGGCATGTTAAAACACAGATTGCTGGGTCCCATCCTCAGTTCTGATTCAGTAGGTCTGGGGTGGGGCTTGAGAAATTATATTTCTAACAAGTTCCCAGGAGATGCTGATGCTGCTGGTCTGGGGACCACTTGGTGTAGCATATAGGTGTTAAGAGCATGGACTCAAGCTGCTGAGGTTTGAATCTCAGCTCTGCCATTTATTAACTGAACTTGGGCAAGTTCTTGAACCTTTCTGTGCTTCAGTTCTCATCTGTAAAGTGTTTTACTGTTACCACATATATCATAGGATTCTGACGGAGATTGAATGAAATAACATGTAAAGTGCTTAAAATGGTGCTTGGTTTGTAGTAAGCATGCAGTCTTAGCTACAGTAATGGGGATAGGACATGTTTCTTGCCTTGTAGATTTTAGAGTCTAGTTATTAGACTTAAATCTAATAATTTTAAAAAGTACAAATTCAGGTATTAGTTTACATGGTTCTGATTCTACCTTAGATTTGGAAAGATGAAATGCGTGTATCTTGGGGGATATGGTGGGTAGTGGGAGACCAGGAGGAGGAAAGGTACATGAAACTAGAAGATAATGGAAAGTTATATAGTCAGAATTTAGAAAGGTTGGAATTGCCAGTGGTTTTGGTATTATTACCTGAGAACTTGAGGGAGATAGAGGAAGGTGCCTGTGCTCTCTGTTTGCCAAAGAGATAACTGACTCCTTTTCCCATTTCTCTTTCTTAGAGCTGGTATCTGGTCTGCAGGCAGTTCCGGCAGCATTTGCTTTTTGTGGGGAACAGTGGCTAAGGAAGTGATTTGCTACTGGCTTCAGAAGTTGGGCTCTGCTGCCTTTATCCTCCACAGCTGCCTCACATAGTTTTGATTCTTCCTGAGAAAGGCAGTTGTTAGGTTTGGAAGTCTTCAGATTCCAGAGACAGCTGGACAGCTGACCCTCTGGTAGCTATTTCCCAAACTGCCAGCCTCCTGTTGCCTCATCTCCCTGGGCCCCTTCTTTTTTGCTTTGAAGCAATATCCTATATTTAGTGAACTAACCAATTTGAGGTTAGAGGAAATTTGATGGGGGAGTCTCTCCCACCTTAAAATCCTGGATGGATGGAGTATTTGGGCCCAGGAACAAGATGTATCCTGTTAAAAAAAATTTAACACCTTCATCAAGTATACTCCAAATGACAGCTTACAGTGCTATGAATGTACCTCTAGCTCATGGGTAAGGAGCAGTGTTTATTTTTGGGTGCCCTGAAGAAAATATTTGGGGGAAGGAGTGGGGAGAAGCTCAGGCAGCTCCATTTATGGTTGAGCAATGCTTGGTATTCTACAGAAGGGACCATATGGACAGTGGAAGAGAGTTTAGCATTCTGATTGTTCACCTCTTGCTCCTTCCATTCTGATGGCTAATTAGGGACACCTCATTAGCTATCAGAGTGGAACAAGTATTTGCCAGGCTGACATGAGCCTCAGCCCTGCATCCTGCATCTTCTGCTTTCCCAACCTGCTGAGTCACCACCTAGGAATGGCAGTAGCCAGGTTACCACCTGGAGCACCTGGAGCACTCTTGGCATAATGCACTGTTGACTGGTTTTGGTCTCCTAGACACAGCTTGGGCCTCTCCAAGCCTGTTGGAGTGATAGGCTGGGTCTTAGCTCTCCTTCCAGCTTGTTCCACAAGGCGCTGACCTACTTTTCAGGGACAATTAAGTGTTTGTGAGCAAAGGAAGGCGGTGACCCGAGTGAAGGTGAACCAGAGCTGCATTAAACAAACATTTGGAGTCACTTTTTCTATCTTACACAGGAGGGCCCATCTCAGTCCAAATGGAATGGCAGATCAGGCTGATTGTGGTAGCCACATTCTAGATGCTTATCAAGATAGTCAACTAACCCTTGAATTTTTATTCTTTCTATCAATGTACCTTAATATCAGAAGTTACTTTTCATAATCATTGTACCCCTTGTCTGTGGGCTATACGAAAAGATTTGGAAGCAAGTTGGGGCTCTTAGAGTGAATTATTGATACAAGCTAGCTTTTGATATACCTTTTGGTGTATCAAAGATACACTTTCTGGTGGCAATGTCTGGTTCATTTGTAACATCTTGGAGAGGATTGGAATCTCTTTTCCTTTTTGTATCAGGCCAGGATAATAGGATAGAGGAGAGGCCAGATCTGTAGAGAATGAGCAAGTGGCTTGTTTAGGGTTTCCTGCCCTTGTGAGGTAAGGGCTCAAGGATTAGATTCAGTCTTTCCATTTGCAGTGAAAGGAAGTAAACTCACTTTCCCACCCTCATCCTGGAGGTTACTTATGTTATTTGCAGACCCCAACTTCTGCCTCTCTGTTAAGTATACTTCTTATGCAGGTTGCCCTTACTGTTACATCTTACCACTGGGGGAAAGATCCAAGGCTCTGGGAAGGACAGTGACAGTTGTCCTACATTGGCTAGTTTCAAGACCCTGAGGGAATTGCCAAGCCAGCAATTAGGCAATTTCTTTTTCTTTTCTTTTCTTTCCTTTTTTGAGATGGAGTCTTGCTCTGTCGCCCAGGCTGGAGTGCAGTGGCGCGATCTTCACTCACTGCAAGCTCCGCCTCCTGGGTTCACACCATTCTCCTGCCTCAGCCTCCTGCCTCAGCCTCTGGAGTAGCTGGGACTACAGGCACCAGCCACCATGCCTAGCTAATTTTTTTTCATTTTTAGTAGAGATGGGCTTTCACTGTGTTAGCCAGGATGATCTTGATCTCCTGACCTCGTGATCCGCCCGCCTCGGCCACCAAGGTGCTGGGATTACAGGTGTGAGCCACGGCGCTTTTTTTTTTTTTTTTTTGAGACGGAGTCTTGCTCTGTTGCCTAGGCTGGAGTGCAATGGCACGATCTCGGCTCACTGCAACTTCCGCCTCCCAGGTTCAAGCGATTCTCCTGCCTCAGCCTCCCAAGTAGTTGGGATTACAGGTGCCTGCCACCACCCCCAGCTAATTTTTGTATTTTTAGGAGAAGCGGGGTTTCACCATGTTGGCCAGGCTGGTCCCGAACTCCTGACCTCAGGTGATCCACCTGCCTCGGCCTCCCAAAGTGCTGGGATTATAGGGGTAAGCCACCGCCCCCAGCTGGAAATTTCTTAAACTTTTATTTTTAGCAACTCCATATTCATGAGAACTCTCATAATCTTCTAGTCAGTAAAAAGAAAAGTTATTGAAGTTATTGATACTGCACCCAGAGATCCAGATCAAATCTTAAGGAAGGAAGAAGCTTAGAGGAGAACTTCACCCTGCCACTCTCTCATTGGAATTCCCTTCTAACAACGTGTGAGGTGTCAGCCCCATTTGAAGAACTAGTTTATATATCAGAGCATGGCCTGGAAATCAGCGTGGCATCAATTTTGGTCTTTTTTTTTTTTCAAATAGAGACAAGGTCTCACTATGTTGCCCAGGCTGGTCTCAAACTCCTGGGCTTAAATGATCCTCTCTCCTTGGCCACCCAAAGTGCTGGGATTACAGGTGTGAACCACTGTGCCTCACCAGTTTTGGTCTTACAGATGACTAAGTTTTTTGGGGGAGGGTATTTTAGGTGACGTGCAATTGCTCCATTCCTCCTAGACATCCCAGAATCTGGT
The DNA here is from genome assembly GCF_000001405.40 of Homo sapiens. NCBI lineage: Eukaryota > Metazoa > Chordata > Mammalia > Primates > Hominidae > Homo > Homo sapiens. The sequence continues at coordinate 39,144,885 of NC_000001.11, forward strand.
CACAACCTCCTTTTTTCCACTTATCCTTTCCTTTATGCACATTAAACCTGTTCTCTGCTGTTTCCCAGTCTGTCAGCCCCTTTATGGTGTCAGTGCTTCCTGACCTATCATGTACAATAGGGCTCGTACTGGCATTCTCAGATCTCTTTTTTTTCTTCCACGCCTTTTCTATCCCCAGTGCTGGACCTGTGTTCATTTTCTCCACTGAGCTACTGAGTGCCACTGCATAACAGTGTGCTGACTGACTCTATTACAGATTTATGAGCTCTAGCCACAGCCTGGCTCTCAATCCTATCCTGAAACCTTTTTATTCTCTTCTGGTTGACTGCCATTCATTTTTTTCTGCAGCAGCCATTCCAGTCTTTCACCATTCTCTTCAAACTTGTTGCTCCACCCCACCTTATAAACTCTCAATAAGTAATTTAGTCTTTTACGTCTCAATTTATCTGTAGGCTTTACCAGTCCTTACCACATTCCCTCCTATTTCAGAGGCAGGTCTCTGGGCATATACATATATATTTTGTGTTCTTAGTTCCTCCCTTCCTAGTGACTCTTTGTAAAGATATTCAGGTTTTCTCCATCCTAAGATAAAAATTCCTTTAAGCTTATCTCTTCTTCAGACTAACTCTCTGTGCTTTTTTTTTCTTTACCACCAAACTACCTCAACAGCCTTTCTTCTACTTCTTTAGTCATCGTGAGCCACTATAGCCAAGGTTTGTGCCCACCATCCCAATGAAAGGCTCTTGTTTGTGATGACTTGCTTGCAGAACTCAGCAGCCTCTTTTTGTTCTCACGCTGTTTCATCTTGTCACAGCATCTGACACCATTTGGACCTCTTTCCTTCCCTGACTGTGTGCTATCTCTGGATGAGTTGACCTACTCTGGTGATTTCATTTAGGAATTTCATCTGTGTGTACAGTGATGACTCTCTTGTCAGAATCTGTAACTACCTATTGTATGAGCTTTTCCCCCAGGTCCAAACTTGTATTTCCAAATGACTACTCTCCTTTTCCACTTTGTAGCCTACAGAAATTTGCATGTAATGTATCCAAAATTCAGCTTATACAACCACTATGGAGAATGGTTTGGAGAACTAAAAATAGAGCTACCATACAGTCCAGTAACCCCACTCCTTAGGTTTATACCCAAAAGAAAGGAAATCAGTATATTGAAGAGCTATCTGGACTCACATGTTTATTACAGCACTGTTCACAATAGCCAAGATTTGGAAGCCACCTAAGTGTCCATCAACAGATGAATAGATAAAGAAAATGTGGGCCGGGCACAGTAGCTCACGCCTATAATCCCAGCACTTAGGGAGGCTGAGGTGGGTGGATCATTTGAGGTCAGGAGTTCAAGACAAGCCTGGCCAACATGGCGAAACCCCATCTCTACTAAAAATACAAAAACTAGCCAGGTATGGTGGCGCACACCTGTAGTCCCAGCTACTCGGGAGGCTGAGGCAGGAGAATTGCTTGAACCTGGAAGGTGAAGGTTGCAGTGAGCTGAGATTACGTCACTGCACTCCAGCCTAGGTGACAGAGCAAGACTCTGTCTCCTCTCCCAAAAAAAAAAAAAAAGAAAGAAAGAAAGAAAATGTACATATACACAATAGAGTACTAGTCGGCCATAAAAAAGAATGACATTCTGTCATTTACAACAACATGGATGGAACTGGAGGACATTATGTTAAGCGAAATAAGCCAGGCACAGAATGACAAACATTGCATGTTCTTACTTATTTGTGGGAACTAAAAATTAAAATAATTGAACTCATGAGGATAGAGAGTAGAAAGATGGTTACCAGAAGTTGGGAAGGGGGGATGGGGTCACAGGGAAGTGGGGGATGGTTAATGGATGCAAAAAAATAAAAAGACTAAATAAAACCTAGTATTTGCTAGCACAACAAGGTGACTATAGTAAAAATAATTTAATTATTCATTTAAAAATAACTAAAAGAGTTTAATTGGATTGTTTGAAACACAAATTGCTTGAGGTGATGGATACCCTATTTACCCTGATGTGATTAGTATACATTGCATGCCTGTATGAAAATATCTCATGTAACCCATAAATATATACACCTACTGAGTACCCACAAATATTTGTCTTTGTTTATTTTCTTCTTCTTCTTTTCCTTCTTCCTTCCTTCTTCTTCTCCTCCTCCTGTTCCTCTCCTCCTCCTTCTCTCTCTTCCTCTCCTCCTCCTCCCCTTCCTCCCTCCCTCCTTCTTTTCTTCTTTTCCCTTTCCTTTCCCCTTTCCCTTTTTCCCATTCCCCTTTCCCCTCCTTTCTTCTTTCTCCTTTCTCGTCTCTCCTCTCCTCACCTTCCCCTTTTCCCTTTTCTTCCTTTCCTCTCTCCTCTCTCTTTTCCTTCCTTCCTTCTCTTTTCTTTTTCCTTCTCTTTTCTCTTTCCTTTTCTTCCTCTTTTTTCCTTCCTTCCTTCCTTTTCTTTTTCCTTCTCTTTTCATTTTCCTTCTCTTTTCTCTTTCCTTTCCTTCCCCTTCTTTCCTTCCTTCCCTTTTCTTTTTCCTTCTCTTTTCCCTTTCCTTTCCTTTCTTTCCTCTTTCTTTTCTTTCCTCTTTTTTCCCCTCCCTTCCTTCCTTCTTTCCCTTCTTTCTTTCTTTTCCTCCTTTCTTTTCCTTCTTTCTTCTTCAACAGGGTCTTGCTCTGTTGCCCAGGCTGGAGTACAGTGGCACAATCATAGCTCACTGCAACCTGAACATCCCAGGCTCAAGCTCTCCTCCTGCCTCACCCCTCATGTAGCTGGGCCTACAGGCACACACAACCAAGGCTGGTCTCGAACTCCTGGCCTCAAGCAGTCCTTCTGCCTTGGCCCCTCAAAGTGCTGGGATTATAAGCATGAGCCACCCCACTTGGCCCTATTTATTTTCCACATCTGATTGGACACTAAGTTCTGTTTGTCTAGCTGAAAAATATCTCAACAGATATTGTTTCCTGGCTAGACTCACTGCCCTATTTTAGACCCTCGTCTTCTTTGATTTATGCCAGTGGTCATGCCACATTTCCTCTTAAAAACTGATGATCAGTTTCACCCCTTGTTTATGTTGTTTTCTATGCCTTGAATGATCTTTTTACTTTTTCTGCCTCACAAATGCTTGTTCATACTGTAATCTTTTGTCCCAACTCAAAACTTAATAGATTTTAATGGTGTTCCTGCTTCTTTCCTTCTACCCCAACCAGTAAAAAATTTCACTTACCTTTTCATCTGAGTTCTTATGGTAGGATGTACATCCTTTGTGATAGTATTTATCATCTTATTTTACAGTTTTCTGTTTAATTGTCAGCCTCCCCTAGACCATGAGTTCAGTGACTGCAGGCTGTACTTTCTTCATCTTTGTTTTTTGGTGCCATAACAATTTGTAGAATTGTTGGGCTGTATATAGAGTTCCTGCTTTCTCCAGATAAAGAATGTTTAGAAAAATCTGAAAGAGTTATGCTACTGTTGGATATTGGTTGTGGCAGAATCTCCCCTCCCCTTTTTACTTCATAAAATATTCATGTTTGTTGTAGGAAGATTTTAAAATAATAAATAAAAATATAAAATTAAAGTGACCAAAAATCCTACCATTTATAACTGCTGTAAATATTTTGATGTTTTCTTTCAAATATTTTCATGTGCAAATATGCATGCAATACATATTTGGAAAAAAACAGTTTGTAACATGTTTCTTCACTTAGTGTATGTTGAAAGTCTTTCAGTGTCAAAAATATGTATCAGCATCATTTATTAATATGTTGCTATCAGTATTCTCTTGTATGGATGCATTGCACTTGAGACAGTCTTCTGTTGTTGGACTTTTAGGTAATTTTGCACTGTTTGGTGTTATGAACAATGAGATCAATATACTTACATGTATATATTTGCACACTTAACTGTATTTTTAAAAAGATAAATTCCTAAGAATGGAATTGCTGAGTCAAAAGTTATTTGTATACTTTAAAAAACTTTTGCCAAACTACTCTCCATAAAAGTTTTACCATGTGGTTGGGTTTTACATTTCATTGAGATTTTTTTCCCCCTTTGGTTGATTTTATGTTGCCGTTGGAGGTTTTATACATTGGAATGATTTAATTAAGGCTGTGTTTCTAGGAATATTAATATAGCAGCATGTGCAACATGAATTGGATAAGGAAAGTCAGTTTTTTTGAGGCTGTTCTAACAATCCAGGTCAGAGGTAATGAGGATCAGAAGGGAGAGGGTGACTCTTGAATGCCGGAGAGAGTGACTCTTGAATACAGAAGAGGATGACTGGGAGAGGTATTTGCAGGAACTGATAGGATTTGAGAATGGGTTGGGTAAAGGGTAGTGCCATTACTTGAAGTGGGAAATTAAAAGGAGGCATTGGCTGGATGTGGTGGCACACCTGTGATCCCAGCACTTTGAGAGGCCGAGGTTGGGGGATCACTTGAGGTCAGGGGTTCGAGACCAGTATGGTGAAACCCCGTCTCTACTAAAAAGACAAAAAATAGCCAGGCATGGCAGTGCGTGCCTGTAATCCCAACTACTCGGGAGGCTGAGGTGAGGCAGGAGAATCACTTGAACCGGGGAGGCGGAGGTCGCTGTGAGCCGAGATCGTGCCACTGCACTGAAGCCTGGGTGATAGAGTGAGACTCCGTCTCAAAAAAATAAAAATAAAAATAAAAATAAATAAATAAAATAAAATAAAATAAAAAATAAAAGGAGGCATTGATTTTGGGAGGAAAGATACGGATTCACTTTTAGTAATTTCAGTTCTGTTTGCTGTGACATGCTCCGGTGGAAATGTTCAAGCACTTGGCACTACAGAGCTGCAATAAGAAGAGAGCCAGGGTTCAGTCATCCCAGCCCGATATTTAAAGTCCTCCATAATTGCCTCTCTAGCCTCCTCTCCAACCACTTTCTCACTTCTAAGCCAGACAAAACTGTCTTAATCTTATCCCATTGTTCACCACCTGCCTCAAAGCCCTGTAGGAAGTCTTCTTTGATCTCTCCACTGGAAGTTAGTTCCAGTTTTCTAAACTTAATGCTAGTTGTATTTTTTTTCCATATCATTTGTATTATACTTTAACATCCTATTTGTATGTATGCATTATTTTCTTCTACAGGATTTTAAACTCCTAGAACCTGGGACTATATCATGAACTTTTTTTTTTTTGGAGACTGTCTCCCTCTGTCACCCAGGCTGAAGTGCAGTGGTGCAGTCTCGGCTCACTGCAACCTCCTGCACTCAAGCAATCCTCCCACCCCAGCTTCCCAAGTAGCTGGGGTTACAGGCGCATGTCACCATGGCTGGCTAATTTTTTTGTATTTTTACTAGAGATGGGGTTTTGCCATGTGCTCAGGCTGGTCTCAAATTCCTGAGCTCAAGCGATTCGCCCACCTTGGCCTCCCACAGTGCTGGGATTACAGGTGTGAGCCACCGTGCCTGGCATAAACTCTTTTTTGTCTCTCACATTACTAGTTCTGTATTTTGCACAGTGTCAAAAAATATTTGGTGATTTACAAAGTAAATGGAATCTGCTTAAAGTAATGGTAATAATACAGTGGATTATTGTCATTCTACACCTAATACCTACTAAATGTTAACATTATTTTATGTGCATTTTCCTCTTTATTTTTCTTAAATACTCAAACATATTATGGGAGGGGGAGTGGAAAACAAAAGATGTTAAGTGAGAATCCCCTTTCACAGCCGTGTTCTTTGTTTCCTCCAAGATTCTTGAAGAATGGTATATACCTGCCTTTTAGCTTCCAACCCTCTCTGCTACACTGAAATTGCAGTTGTCAAGGTCACCAGTCACCTCCTAATTGCCAAATCCAATGGTAAATTTTCAGCTCTGATCTTACTTGACCTTTCTGTGGTACTTGACACTATGAAACACTCCATTCTCCTTAAAAGTTTCTCCTTCCCTAACCTTTTGTGATTTTATCCTCTCCTGATTTTCTTTCTTCCTCATTTTCGTATTTATCTTCCCTTTGTTCACCTTTAAAGAAAGATACTTTCTAGGATTTTGTCCTTGGCACTCTACATAGTTTTCATGAGTGATCTTATTTGTACTCATGGCTTCAACTGCTGTGGTGACTCTGGGCCAGTTTTCTCTTCCGAGCTCCAAGATTTTATCTCTGAGAGCTAGAGGACTTCTTTTGGATATCCTGTAGGTGTCTTTGACTCAACATGTTCCAGATGAAACCCTTCACTCTGGCAAACCTGCTTTTCTCTCTCTTACTCCTTACTTTATTTAAGGTACTATCTTCTATCCAGGCACACAAATGAGATATTTGGGAATCATTTGATAATCTTCCTTCTCTTTGTCCATACACCCTACCAGACCCCAATTCAAATAAAACAGCGATCAAATGCTGTATAATTTCGTTTCAAATCTGTGTCCTTTCCTTTGTTTTGATAACAGTAGTACTTTCTTAGTTCAGATTCTGTATCTATAGTGTCCTAATTGGTTTCCTCCCTTCCTTTTCGTTACTGCCAGAATGCTCTTTCTAAAATTAAAATCTGATTATAAAAATAGTCACTCGGAAGCCCTTGCAATGGGTTTCCATTGTCTTTGGGGTGAATCTGGTTTCTTTAGCATGGCATGCAAAGCTTTCATTTCCTGCCATTATTCTTCCGAAGTAGAAAGCACCCTACATTCTAGCCATATTAAATTGAGTTGCTTAAATGCTTCATGTTTGCTCATGTTTCTACTTTGTTTCCTCTGTCTGAAACACCCTGTTCCCCTCACTCTTAATTCTCTGTGGCCCTGAGGTCCCAGTTCAAGCATCATCTCCTTTGGAAATCCTTACCTAGGCCACTAGGCTTCCTTTTTGCTTTGCTTCTGTATATCTTTATCTGCATTAGTTGTACCATATTATGTGTTAGGTTACTTGTTTGTCTCCCTTACTAGATTATAAGCTGAGAGAGGAAAGAGACTGAGAGCTCTTCATTTCCATCAGTGCTCTACAAATTTGGCACAGGGTAGTGAATAAAAAACTGCTTGTTGAGTATATGAATGATTAAGAAGGGTATGTGTTCAGTGGCAGTACTGGGATCAGGATTCAGAACTCACATTCTTGTCTTTTATAAAATATATATATTTTTTATTTTTTTTTAAGACGGAGTTTTGCTCTTGTTACCTAGGCTGGAGTGCAATGGCGCAATCTCAGCTCACTGCAACCTCCACCTCCCAGGTTCAAGCGATTCTCCTGCCTCAGCCTCCCAAGTAGCTGGGATTACAGATGCCCACCACCATGCTCAGCTAATTTTTGTATTTTTAGTAGAAATGGGGTTTCACCATGTTGGCCAGGATGGTCTGGATCTCCTGACTTTGTGATCCGCCCACCTTGGCCTCCCAAAGTGCTGGGATTACAGGCATGCAACACTGTGCCCGGCGTGCACAGTGTATATCTTTAGGTAAAATTCTTAAATGTGAATTGCTGTTTCAAAAGGTATGTGTACTTGTAAATTTGATGGATAATTTGATTCATTGCTTTAATTTTTTTTTCTTTTTTAAACTCCATGGAATATTTCTAGTCACATTGCTGTAATTGTTAATTTTGTATATTTCAAGCATATAGACAAGTACAGAAAATGTATAGCAGATACATATGTACCCACTACTTTTTAAACAGATGTTGACACCCTCATTGACGTTCTCCCTGTTAGGTGCTTTTAGCACTTCCTCAACATTGTGATGTTCTCCCACAGAATTTTATCTTAGACGTCACAGTAAAAAAGTTCCTCAGAATTCATACACTACCATTCTGGAGGTGCCACCATACATTCTATCTTGGACTTTCTTTTTAAATATAGCCTCATTGTTAGCAAAAGGCAGCTTCAGAGGAAAATTCCGTTATGTTATTTTTGGTGTCTGGAATCTGACTTTTGAAAAATGTTTATTTTGCCTTCTTCCTCTACTCAAAAGCAACAAAAGAATGCTACCAGAACTTTATCACAAACCAAGTGACTTAAACAAATTAAAAAAAAAAAGGCAGTTGGTGGCCTATGTTTCTAGAGACTTGTTTGATTTGCTGGCAGAACAGCCCAGGTGAGTTGAGCCAGTAAGCACTTTTCTTCCACTAGGTTTTTCAGAATAACCAAATGTAGTTCTCCTAAGCAGGCACTGATCTTTAGCTGACTTAGTGGTGCAGCTGTATCCTCTGGGTTTTGATGGAGTTGATGAGAGAAACTGTTCTTGCGGGTGGTAGGAAGCTGTTGACCTGACCTCTGTTACACCTGACTGTTTCAATATGCCTTTGTGGAAATCAATTTCCTACCCTTCCATCTCTCTGCTAGAGATCTATAACCTTGTTCCAGTGGAAGGTGACTCTTACCTCTGATCTTTTCCTAGGTCCTCAGAATGCCTGGCAGTGAGGCTTTTAGGTTATTTTGGGATTTTATAAACTGAGAGGGGAACCTTAGTCTCAGGTGGGGCTAGAATCTGAGGTCCTATAGGTACAGATTTATCCTAAAAGCAAGTGTTTTTGCCTTCTCTCTCAGTTGCTCAGTGCTTCTTACCTCATTTGATCTCTTAGTATTACATAAGCACCTTAGGGAGGAAAGGACTCAAAGGAGCCAACCATTTCTCCTTGGACCCACAGCCAAAAAGAAAAGGCTCAACGAGAGTGAGCTTATTCGAGGGTCTGTAGCCTAAAGCATGGGCTCTTTTAAAGCCTCTTGTTGGGCCGTGAAGCATAGGTCTAATCCACGTGAAGTAATTACCCAGGCCTGGGGTGGCCACAGGGTGAGCAGAGCTCTTCGTACCCTTTTTGCCAGACCTACACTTAATTTCCTTTAAAGCCTCACTTGGTCTTGCCATTTCAGCCCTTTCCTTCGAAGTATGAAGCCTGACTTTTTTTGTCTTCCTTTCTTCAGCCCTGCAGAGGCAGCTGTGGCCCTGGGGACAGCCCTTTCTTCAAATGGCAAACTCATTTTCTGTCCAGCAGACCAGAAGGACAAGGTGTAATTCAACGCTTCTCTCCACCAGACACTGCTGCCAGGGGGAGACAATGAAGAAAGTGATCTTTGTTGCTCCCTGAATAGGTCCCTGAACCTGGCACCTGCTTTTGTTACTGGCTCCTTAAGTCACTGGAGACATTTTTGCTGTTTCCTGGGTTAGCAGCTGCTTTGGGATAATAGTAGCAACTGGTTGTCAGGATGTCAGTTCTGCCTCAAAGAAAATCAGTGTATTTATATGAGGAGAGTTACCTTTTCTGTTCTTAAATTTCTTCAGGGTTTGTCTGAAGAGTGAGCAGTTGGAAGTCAGCTGTGCCCTTAGTTTGATGACCCCATGACCCTCATCTTTGAATCTGAGGAGACACTGCCATTTCTACTATCCAAGTACTAACCAGGCCTGGCCCTGCTCAGCTTCCAAAATCAGACGAGATCAGGCGTGTTCAGGGTGGTATGGCCGTGGACGAGACACTGCCATATTTTTTTCGTCCTGCTCTCCCTCTGGTGAGACTCTGAGTTCTGGGTTCTAGCATGTAGGTCAGTGCCTCCTACCTGGTAAGCATTCAACAGATATATGTGGGATGAATGATTGAATGAATTCCTTGATCTTGCTGTCCAGGTTCAGTTTCTCTGACACTGATACGTGGGTGCTCTATGGGAGGGGGACCTTTGTTTTTAGGAGAAAGATTGCTTCAAAGGAATTATGGAAGGTGTTGATTTCTAGGGGGCTTTGGGGGAACTATGGGAACTCTAAGATATGATTCGTTCTCGCCTCATTGGTCTAGATCTTTCTCCTCGATAGTAACTGTCTGCTGACAGACTTGCCCTGTTTCAGGAGCAGTATCCTGAACCTGACTCATCTGGGCTCTGTCCTTGAGCAGGGTAAGGGATTTTTTTTTTTTAACAGCCATCCTGTCACTGTAGATTCAGAAGCCCTCAGGACCACATCTCAGGCACTGTAGTCTTGGACTTCCTGATCTGGCTGCATTCAGTCAAGTTCCACTCAGCTCTTAGGTGTCTGTGCCTTTGTAAGGGCTGTTGGAGACAGAAGGGCTTTTTTTCCGCTTTGTCAGCAGCTGGCCAGAGAATGCCTATTAGTCTGCCAGATCCTAAGTCTTTCACGTTTCCCTGTCTGTGTCTGGAACTTAGGGCAGAATCTCTTACCACCTGAGGTTACATCTCACTATTTGCCTTTGTGGGACCCATTGGAGGATAAAAGATGAATAGCCATGAAAGGCATGCAGAGTTATTGAACTATGGTTCTTTGAAATGCTGTGACTCTGAGGAAAGATCCCTGGTCTCCAAGAATACAACTGGAGCCAGACCATTGCACCACCACCCTCCTTTCCCAAGAGCCTCTTTGGAACCATCACTCATTCCATAGTTCCAAACATCCTTGTTTTTGTTTAATTTTTATCTGATAAATGTTATGAAACAATTTTAATGGTGAAACACACAGAGGAAATGACAAACTAGCATGTGTTGTCTTTTAAATGCACTTAGTTCAAGTGGTTAAGTCAGTTGTTCCTGTTGTTAGATTGCTGTTGTGTAGTCGACTTTCCTTCTTTAGGTGGGAAGAGTCTCTGAATAGACTTTAAAAAAGCAAAAGGAACCAGCTCTTCTTTAGCTGATTGATCATTCCTTTACATCTGACTCTTTTCAGCACTTAAATTCAGATTGTACTATGCTGATTGCTTTCAGATCATGACACAGAAGAGGTCTTAAGGTCATTTCAGGAGTTCTTTAGCTGAGGTCCATGTGATACTTCTCCACTTGTAAACAAAAGTTTGTATGTAGGTAAATATGTATATTTTTATAGGGAAAAGTATCCTTAGTTTTCATCAGATTCTCACTGGAGTTTATGACCTAAAAATAGTTAAGACTTAGTATTTTATTTATTTATTTAAGATGGAGTTTTGCTCTTGTTGCCCAGGCTGGAGTGCAATGGCACGATCTTGGCTCACTGCAACTTCCGCCTCCGGGTTTCAAGCAATTCTCCTGCCTCAGCCTCCCAAATAGCTGGGATTACAGGGGTCCACCACCGTGCTCGGCTAATTGTTTTGTTTTTTTTTTTGAGATGGAGTCTTGCTCTGTCGCCCAGGCTGGAGTGCAGTGGCGCGATCTAGGCTCACTGCAAGCTTCGCCTCCCGGGTTCACACCATTCTCCTGCCTCAGCCTCCCAAGTATCTGGGACTACAGGCGCCCGCCACCGCACCCAGCTAATTTTTTGTATTTTTAGTAGAGATGGGGTTTTATCGTGGTCTCGATCTCCTGACCTCGTGATCCGCCTGCCTCGGCCTCCCAAAGTGCTGGGATTACAGGCGTGAGCCACCGTGCCTGGCCTATTTTGTATTTTTAGTAGAGATGGGGTTTCACCATGTTGGCCAGGCTGGTCTCGAACTCCTGACCTCAGGTGATCCACCTACCTCAGCCTCCCAAAGTGCTGGGATTACAGGCATGAGCCACCACTCCTGGCCTATGACTTAGTATTTTATAAGAATTTGGGGGCTTGGCATGGTGGCTTACGCCAGGCCCCCAGCACTTTTGGAAGCCAAGGTGGGATGATCACTTGAGTCCAGAAGTTCGAGACCAGCCTGGGCAACATGGTGAAACACTGTCTCTACAAAAAATACAAAAATTAGCGAGGCATAGTGATGTGTGCCTGTAGTCCCAGCTACTTGGGGGGCTGAGGTGGGAGTATCGCTTGAGCCTGGGAGGTCAAGGCTATGGTGAGCCAAGATTGTGCCACTGCACTCCAGCCTGGGTGACAGAACAAGACCCTGTCTCAAAAACAACAAAAAAAGAATTTGGGGCTCCTGCCTCATATAACTAGTTAGTGGCAAAGTTGAGATAGACTCTGAAATCCTGGGATTGACTCTACAAGAATCTATATTTGTGTTTTTTACTATATCCTACTGTCTAATTTACGGTCTTTAAGCACTAAACTCCTTTTTAACCTGTTAATCTTGCCTATCAAGTTGCATTTTGAGAAAAATGAACCATGTATTTGTGTTTCTCCATAACTCCTAATACTCACATCTGCACAAAGTAGTACCTTGCTGGTTCTGTTGACTGACTAGTAGCATTGGAAGGCACAAAAGCTTGGGTTGGTTATTACTTTCCCTTTCCATTATCTTTTTTTTTTTTTTTTCCTCTAAGTTGGGGTCTTGCTCTGTCACCCAGGCTGGAGTGCAGTGGCGCAATCACAGCTCACTGTAGCCTCAACTTCCTGGGCTCAAGTGATCCTCCCACCTTAGCCTCCCCAGTAGCCAGGACTACAGTCATGGGACAGCACACCTAGTTAACATTTTTAGTTTTTGTAGAGATGAGGTCTCACTATATTGCCCAGGCAGGTCTCAAACTTCTGAGCTCAAGCAGTCCGCCCACCTTACCCTCCCAAAGTATTGGGATTACAGGTGTGAGCCACCACACCCAGCCCCTTTCCATTATCTTAGCAGCTGTCACAATTATTTAGCCTGATCTTTTTAGGTGGGCATACTCCCTTTTCTCTCTGTTTTTACAATGCTACTTACACAGTTTCTCCACCTGCATCCAATCTGTAATTGGGAGTTTTGCAGAGCAGTGTATTTGGTATGCTGTGAACTCTTCCCTAGGTCACCCAATGGCATCTTGTGAGCCAGGTTGTCTGAAAAACTTCAAATCTTGGTGGCAGTGTGGTGGGTGTATCTCCCATATGAGGGATTGTTCCAGGGATCTGACTCAATTGACAGCTCCTGAATTTCTAATATGCCAAGGCTTTTGTGGTAAGATGAGCAAGAATTTTTCAAGCTCAGATTTGGGGAACATAGCTTCTTGCCATGCTATCTCATTGGCATGATGTGTGACTTTTGGGCAGATTACTTAACCTCTGTCTATTTACTTTTTCTTTTTTTGAGACAGGGCCTCACTTTGTCACCAAGGCTAGAGTGCAGTGGTGTGATCTTGGCTCACTGCAGCCTCAACTTCCCAGGTTCAAGCGATCCTTCATCCTCAGCTCCCCAAGTAGCTGGGACTGCAGGAACGTACCACCACACCCAGCTAATTTTTTGGAGTTTTTGTAGAGACGGGGTTTTGCCATGTTGCTCAGGCTGGACTTCTGTCTGTTTTCTCATCTGATAATGAAAAGTTGCAATTATTTTCACAAGATACTTTCAAAGATGAGTCTAATAATGCAGATGAGCCATTTTGAGTTCCTTACAACAAAGATGCTGTGGAAATTTCAGGATTTTCCCCCTTTAGTTATAATATGGGTAGCTTATCCTAAGAACCTGTGACTATTGGGATGGTCATCTTTTTGAGGCCAGCAGTAGAAAGAAATTTGCAGTAGTGACTGACACATTAAAGCAACCCCGAAACAAATCAGAGTGAAATAGTGTCCTGGAGTTGGGGATATGTGGGTGATATCTGGGCTGCATTTTCTCTCTAGGTATCCATGGAGAGGGTCCTGTCTCCCTGAATGGTTGTGCTTTCAACAGTTAGGGAATGAGCTTGACAGTTTCTGCTTCTTCCCTCCCCTTGCCTTGAACTGCCTTGATATGCAGTGCCTCCTCTGTTGTGTGGCTGTATTCCAGTCCGTAAACATGACTGCTGTAAGGAGAGTACAGAGTATTGTTTATTTTGTAAAACTTGTCTCATTGCCATGTAATATTTGCTCAAGAGCTCCTGTTGTGGTGATATTCTTGTGGTGAGCATGGCCCTTTAAAGATTTTGTTCTCAAATGTTAAATGAGCCCCTGACTGGTGTCCTGAAAAGCATTTAAGCTTCTCTCCCTAGAGTTTAAGCAAGAGGAGCAGTAATCCCAGTGGAGCCTGGGCTGGGGTCTAGAGAGAAGGTGGCAGATGAGGTGGCAGATGACAGGCAGGGGCGGTTGTGGTCCCGTAGCTCATTTGCACAAAGGAGGGGCTGGCCTCTCCTGGGGAGGTATTTCCGCTCACTGGAACAAATGAGGGCGCTCAAAAGGCTGTAATGTAATGAGGCTTCTCTGGTGACGTCACTTGTAAATGTGGTCAAAGTCCAGTTCTTGGGGGCTAGTAGAAGCGGGAGTAGAGATCATTCGGTTTGCATGCTTTCACTTCTCAGCTGTCACTGTGCCATGGTGCCTACTTTCAGCCAGTGAACCAACTCAACTGGGCCGGGCATGAACGCTTACAAGTATCAGAAGTTCCTGGAGGGACTCAACAACCTTAGAGGTATTACAAGGCTTCAGGCTCCCTACCCTTTGTCCTTGCTGATCGTGTGAGCACTTATTATGGTGTGTATTGTATAGGGTCTGTAAAACCCTCCTGCTCTGAGCTGGCCCTATTTTTTATGCGTTTAGGCAATTAAACAGAAGGGATAGAGTTTGTAAATGCAATCCTAAGTGAGTAGGAGAGAATCTCCTTAGGTACTTCAGCAACAGCCTGTTGTCTTGCTTGAACGGACAAGTAAGAAATGTCCCCTGTATTCTTGAGCTCAGAGGGCTCAGGGCACTCCCTGTTTTCTTTGAGGTGGCCAGACAGTGTGGGTGGAGGGCTCTTGCCATAGGGCCCTGCAGCCTCACCTAGGTGTAGTTATGTTTCTTGGGCCAGGTTTTCCAGTTGCTTGTGTCTACAGTGAGTCAGAGTCCCATTTGGAGAGAACTGGAGTTGGGAGTGGGGAGGAGGGTGGAGGGAGGAATGCAGGTTGATGGGCTATTTGTAAGCCCATTGTAAAGTAAGCCTTTGTAAAGAGTAAAACAATGACTTTGAAAGAGGAAGCTTTTTATTAAAGTTTTAAAGGAAATAGTGTTTTCTTTGCATCATGGGCAAATTCTTCACTGACCAGACATGAGAAGAATGTACTCAGATGTGATGTAGGACTCTTTTTGGATATTAAAGAGAAAAATGAATGAAATCTTTTTACTTTCCCTTCTCTAATTAATAAGTGGTTTTATTTCCATTTGCAGAGGAGGGTGCTTAAACCATTTTTCTTTCATCAGTAGTTAGGATTCTGGACCCAGAGCAACCATGGGGTGTGGAGAGAGTGGGAGGGGGTAGAGGGAGGAAAGGAGTAAACTGGGTTTTTTCAGGGATGAGGAAAGTGGCAGACAGGGTGTGGGCAGGAGATCTGTACTCCCTTCTTGCCAGGGTATGTAGATGTTTTACTTTCTTTCACTATCTGTTGAAGAACTCTGGTTCTAAGAAATATATATGGAGAGCTTTGTATGCTATAAAGGGATATACAGGTCGGGCATGGTGGCTCGCACTCGTAATCCCAACACTTTGGGAGGCTGAGATGGGAGGATCGCTTGAACCCAGGAGTTCTAGACCAGCCTGGGCAACATAATGAGACCCCCATCTCTACAGAAATGTTAAAAAATTAGCTGGGCATGGTGATATGCACCTGTACCCTTAACTACTTGGGAAGCTGAGGTGGAAGGATCACTCTGAGTTCATCTTAGAGGTACAGAACCCAAATAACACAGCAAAGAGCCCCAGAGTCTGGAGTGAGAAGAGTGCTGCTCTCTGGTGCTAGAGACCATGTGAAGAAGGGAAGAATACCCACATCTGACTAAGCATATGTGTAAATGCACCTTCCTCTCTGAGACAAAGAGCTGTAGTATGGGGCTTTAGAGTGAAGGTAATAGATCTTTTCTCTCCACACTACTACTCACCTTGAATGGAGTTCTGTTTTCTAATCTTTCATTCACTATTGTTTGCTTCATTCACTTATATACACTGTATAATAGTCTTTATAGCATAAAACATACAATATATAGCAGTTTCTCTTGTTGACCCAAAGAAAGGATCAGATTTAAACTCTTCTTTGCTCCTGCAACCTGAGTCTTTTTCAGGTGGGAGAAGTTCCTGGAAAGAGGACATGTAGTTTTTTTGGTTTAGTCCTTATCATTTTTTGGAATGTTGCTATAGGTCTTAGACAACTATTCCCCCAATTCTGGGCTGCCAGGCAGAGAGTTAGATACAAACCATTGCCTTTGTCAAATCCTCCTGTGGGTTGAGTTTCACCCACTGTGCCCCCTGATTAAGGTGAATGGTTACTTCCCTTCTTCTTTTCACTTAATATCTTTGTGTATTCCAGAAGGGCTGATGGAAAGAGGTAATTGGCTCCCCTCTTCATTTAGTTACTGACTGTTGCTTTTCTTGGCATGGTTCAGCTTGTAGACATTCCTCCATCTAGTGGGTAACTGTTGAAGGGAATCCAGTGGGAGAATAGAGACATTGTACAAGTTTTTGAAGTTCTGATCCCCAAATTCCTATGAATTTTTGGTGTTTTGATCCAGAATTGGGGTGCAATATTTTCCACTGCTCGTGCTTTTTCTGGAGGGCTTTAACTTATATTTCTCAAGCCTGTCAAAAACCTTAGTTATTGGGGTGATTTCTGGCCAGATGGACCTCTCTCATGGGTATGACAGGCTGAACTATTGGCCCGAGTCCTGATTTTTGGCAGAGTCCAGACCTGTGCCATGACTGGGATAAGTAGGTAATTAGGGATTAATTAGGGAAGCAGAGAGGTAGGTGAAGTAGAGTGGTGAGAAAGTGGTTCACTAGCCTTTACTAAGAAAAATTTATGATAGGACTATGAGATAACTGACTTTTAAAACAGAAATATAATGGCCAGGTGCAGTGTCTCATGACTGTAATCCCAGTGCTTTGGGAAGCTGAGGCAGGAGGATCAGTTGAGGCTAGGAGTTTGAGACCATCCTGGGCAACAGTAGCAAAACCCTGTCTCTAAAAACAAGCAAACAAACAAAAAAACAATACAAAAACTAGCCGGTGGCTGGGCACGGTGGCTCACACCTGTAATCCTAGCACTTCAGGAGGCTGAGGCGGGCGGATCACAACGTCAGGAGTTTGAGACCAGGCTGGCCAATATGATGAAACTCCGTCTCTACTAAAAATACAAAAAAATTAGCCAGGCGTGGTGGCGGGCGCCTGTAGTCCCAGCTACTCAGGAGGCTGAGGCAGGAGAATGGTGTGAACCCGGGAGGCAGAGCTTGCAGTGAGCAGAGATCGTGCCACTGCACTCCAGCTTGGGCGACAGAGCGAGACTCTGTCTCAAATTAATTAATTAATAATAAAATAAATTAAAAAAAAAAAACTAGCCGGGCATGATGGTGTGCGCCTATAGTTTCAGTTTCAGCTACTCAGGAGGCTGAGGTGGGAGGATTACTTCAGCTGGGGGTTTCAAGGCTGGAGTGAGCTATGATCATGCCACTGCACTACAGCCTGGGTGACAGAGTACACCCTGTCTCTCTGTCTTTTTTTTTTGCAATCTCCGCCTCCCGGGTTCAAGCAATTCTTGTACCTCAGCCTCCTGAGTAGCTGAGATTACAGGCATGAGCCACTGTGCCTGGCTAATTTTTTGTATTTTTAGTAGAGATGGGGTTTCGCCATGTTGGCCAGGCTGGTCTCAAACTCCTGACCTCAAGTGATCTGCCCGCCTTGGCTTCCCAAAGTGCTGGGATTACAGGCGTGAGCCACTGTGCTCGGCCTCTGTCGCTTAAGTAAATAGATAGATTAAAAACAAAAAAGAAGTATACCCCAACATACCTATGTAATTTTACCCTTCTCTTCCTTTGCATATACTGTCTTATTTCCTCTGCCTGGAATCCCATTATTTTTTTCTCTTTGTACCAAATTTCTGCTCATCTTTCAATGCCTAGCTCAAGTCTCACTTTCCTTCCGTAAGTTTTGTTTTTGTTTTTGTATTCCCAGTAGAATTATTCTCTCTCCCTCATCTATGTTGCCATGGCACTTTAAACATACTTGTTTTAGAGCATATCACATTATGTTTTAGTTATTTTATTAAACATTTGATTTTCCTGCTAGTCTTTACTGCTTGGTCAAGTTTTCTATAACTTTCATAGGCTTCAGTTTTTTCATTTGTAAGAAAGGGGATGATAGAATTTACTTTACAAGATGTTGTGGGGATTAAATGAGATAGTGAATATAACATCTGATGCAGACTAGGAGCCTGATAGATGTTAGCGATACTGTTTCTAAAGGCGGGAACTGTGTCTCATTTATCCTTGAGTCTCCTTTACCTAGCATAGTGCCTGGCACATAGTAAGCATAAAAAGAGTATTTGGGGGAATTGAATTGAACTAAACTCATATATTTAAATGTCCTTCAGTAGTCACCATAGGAGGTTAAAAAAATATTCTAACAATGGTGCCTATGCTGCATACTTTTATTTAAGCATGCTTTTTGTGGGTTTTCTCTTCAGTGCCAGGTTATGACCCTCATAAGAAACTCCATAGTCGCCGGGCATGGTGGCTCACGCCTGTAATCCCAGCACTTTGGGACGCCGAGGCTGGCGGATCACGAGGTCAGGAGATCCAGGCCATCCTGGCCAACATGGTGAAACCCCATCTTTACTAAAAATACAAAAATTAGCCGAGTGTGGTGGTGCGTGCCTGTAGTCCCAGCTCCTCAGGAGGCTAAGGCAGGAGAATCGCTTGAATCCAAGAGGCGGAGGCTGCAGTGAGCTGAGATCATAGGTGAGCCTGGGTGACAGAGCAAGACTGTCTCAAAAAAAAAAAAAAAAAAAAGAAAAGAAAAGAAAAAAAGAAACTCCATAGTCATTTTATAGTCATACCTAATTTTTGGTCAAAAGATGATATTACCCAAGACAAAATTAAACCCAATCTCAAAGAATGAAAATGCACTACTATTGAAAACATTGGAAAGATGGTACTACTAGTCTGTAGGTAGTTCCAGATGAGGGGTTCCAGGTATTTTGAACAGCAACAGTATTGTTGAATAAGTGGAAAAAGTGACTACTGAGAAAGAACATGGTCCTTTTTGGTTCTCTTAGTTCTGATACATTTGTCAGATCATGTTTCTCATTATCTTAGAGCTTTACTTGGGACATCCACTTAGTCTGCCTTCTGAGAAGCCTGTCCCCTGTTACCACATACAGTCAAGCAGGACAAGCTTTCACACCCCAACATACACCCTCAGAGAGTGAATTCTTTTTTTAAGGGGGTGCTTTTTTCCCCTCTTCAACTTGGCTTGGAAAAAAGACTTTTTTGACTTTTTTTCTGATGTTAAATGATGGACTACATTGTCCTTATAGAAAGCAGGGAAAAATAAACTAATAAAATCACCGAAATCCTACAAATTACTAGGCTCATATTTTGCTGTATTTCTGTCATCTTTTCTCTATCCATGTGTATATAATGTTGCTTTTATATATATCTGTTGTTGTAGTTCTCTGTCTTGCTCTTTATTATTTTGTGAGCATTCTTTATACCTTTATCTACATCATGATTTTTTACAGTTTTATGGAATTCCATCAAATGGAAGGTTCATTTATTTAACATACTCCAGTAGCGGGGCATGTACATTGCTAATTTTTCACTGCTATGATAACGAACATCCTTGTAAATAAATTTTTCTGTGCATTTCTGATTTTTTTTAAGGATGGATTTCCACAAGTGGAATCACTGGGTCTTAATACATATATTCAAAGCTCTGGATGTTGGCTTTTAATTTTATTTCACTTTTAAAGGCTACTGAGGGTAACAAGAGGCTATCTGTAACACTGAATACCTCTCTGATAGCTCTTGGCCCCTTGTCCTCTAGGGATGGCCCTGTCTTCAGGCTTAGTGGCCAGTTGGCTCAGATGTTTTATTATCCAGTTAATTTCATGGTAGAACAGGGGCCAAGTGGCCTTCTCACTTAGTCAGCAGCTCCCATCATGTCATCATCATATCACTGCACTGCTTTACTCTGAAGCTTTTCTCACAGCAACTCTAGGCATTTAAATAGCTTCATTGATCCTTCCAACCCTAGTACCCTTTTCTCTTGTAGTGGTAAGGGACCCATTAATGTTGATTGGGAAACTGCAGTAGCAAGAATGACCATCAATATTGTACAGGAATCCCACATTGGAACCCTGGATTGGTACCAGATTGAGATTCTCTTTGTTTTCTTGCTGTTACTGAGCTAGCACCGAGGTAATAAATTGGGCCAGCTTAATTTGATAAAATAGGTTGACAAACTTTACTGTGTCAACACACCCCTGCTTTGGTAGATTTCTGCCTCTGGAAGAACTAGAACTGGTGCTGTGTTTTAAATCAATGTATTACAGCCAAGTGCAAATCAGCTTCTGTTATGTGGGACTGATAGCCTTAGAGTAGAATTATAGACTTGATGAGAGTACATCCTTGTTTCTGACTTGGAGTGGACATCCTGGAGCAGATAACGTGAGGTTTTGTAGCTGATGATAGACTGGGGATATTTGGAGGTTAGCTGGAGAACTGAAAGAAGGCACATGTGTAGGACTTTGTGTGTAGGGGGCCAATAAGAAAGTCTCTGCAGCAGTTAGGATAGTGGAAAATGGCTTGAGTCACTGACAGGCTTGCGTCCTGCATCCTTCATAGTGAGAACTGTGTGCCTTTCCCATTCCCAGAGCCCTTAAGCAAAGCTGTCATAAAAGGGCGATTCTCTCCACTGCAGGGAATCTGGAAGTCTGCATGCTTCTGGGGTGAGGCCTGTCAACACCTTTTACAGCACTAGGCACCTAGTAGACCATGTGCTTATTTGGATAGTTGATAGTTTTGTCCTGTTAAAGTTTTTTCTCTCCTTAATTGTATACTTTTTAGGCTTACTGCATGTCACTGGGCTAGAGAGGGTCATCAGCACAAACTCACTTTGGGGTTGGTTTCAGTTGCTGCTGTTTTTGCAATGTGTATTTTTTTTGTTACAACTGGAGATGGTTGTTATACGATCCCTATTTCTCAAAGAGTGAGCCTGTATAGCTAACAAGCATACAATACCATTTTCCCCTCATCCTTGATTTTGTTTTCTTGTCATGTAGGCATTAGTATTGAAAGGTTAAGGCCTTCATCCTCACTATGCTGCTGTGGTTTCTATTGGTTGTTGGAGAAACCCCAGGCTGATAATACTACTTTTATGTTGATTACTCATTGTAACAACTGTGGGGATGGTACTTTCAATGAATACCAGTTGTTAAATAGCATCTTTTGCTCATTGTGGAATGGCAGGAACCTTTTGGACTTCTTGGTTTGAAATCCTTTGATTTGGAAGATCACTTTTTTACAATCTGTTATCAACTTAATTGCCTCACTCCCTGATCATGTTCCATGTTTCCTGTTGCATTTACTGGAAGTCTCCATCTCCTTCCTTCCTTTCATTGAGAACTTTCTGACAGGATACAAAGATTATTGATAGTCCCTGTCTTTGAGGGATTATCAGCCCCATATAGTTTAGTGGGGAGACTGTAGAGGGCACTAGATTTTTTTTTTTTTTTGAGATGGAGTCTTGCTCTGTCACCCAGGCTGGGGTGCAATGGCATATCTCTGCTCACTGCAACCTCTGCCTCCCAGGTTCAAGTGATTCTCCTGCGTCAGCCTCCCGAGTAGCTGGGATTATAGGCGTGTGCCACCATGCTGGTCTAATTTTTGTATTTTCAGTAGAGATGGGGTTTCACCGTGTTCCCCAGGCTGATCTTGAATTCCTGACCTCAGGTGATCTGCCCACCTTGGCATCCCAAAGTGCTGGGATTACAGGTGTGAGCCACCATGCCCTACTGGCACTAGATATTTATTTATTTATTTAACCATGCCCTGCCAGCACTAGATATTTATTTATTTATTTATTTATTTATTTATTTATTCATTCATTCATTCATTCATTCGAGATGGAATTTCGCTCTTATTGCCCAGGCTGGAGTGCAGTGGTGCGATCTTGGCTCACTGCAACCTCCGCCTCCTGGGTTCAAGCGATTCTCCTGCCTCAGCCTCCTGAGTAGCTGGGATTTGCCCACTACCACACCTGGCTGATTTTTTGTATTTTTAGTAGAGACGGGGTTTCACCATGTTGCCCAGGCTAGTCTCAAACTCCTGACCTCAGGTGACCCATCTGCCTTGGCCTCCCAGAGTGCTGGGATTACAGGCGTGAGCTGTGCCTGGCCAGCACTAGATATTTTTAAGACAGAGGAATGACATAAACAACTAGGGTGGGTATTTTTTGAGGGGTGGGGTGGGGAGAGATAACTGGCAGCAGTGTGAAAGATCATTTATAGGGATCATTTACAGGGAAGTGGGGATATAGCTAAGCCAGTAAGTATGTACCTGATTTTAGTTTGTTTAGGATGCAAAGAGGTGAGAGAAGTAAAGAGCAGGGATGTTAAATCTTTCTTTTTGATGGAGTTTCGCTCTTGTCACCCAGGCTGCAGTGCAATGGCACAATCTCGGCTCACTGCAACCTCCGTGTCCTGGGCTCAAGTGATTCTCCTGCCTCAGCCTCCCGAGTAGCTGGGATTACAGGCGCCTGCCACCACGCCCAGCTAATTTTTGTATTTTTAGTAGAGACAGGGTCTTGCCATGTTGGCCAGGCTTGTCTTGAACTCCTGACCTTGGGTGATCCACCCACCTCGGCCTCCCAAAGTGCTGGGATTACAGGCTTGAGCCACCGCACACAGCCAGGGATGTGAAATCTTTCTAAAAGAGAATTTGGGCTGGGTGTGGTGGCTCATGGCTGTAATCCAGCACTTTGGGAGGCTGAGGCGGGTGGATCACCTGAGGAGTTCAAGACCAGCCTGGTCCAACATGGTGAAACCCCATCTCTACTAAAAATACAAAAATTAGACCGGGCGCGGTGGCTCATGCCTGTAATCCCAGCACTTTGGGAGGCCGAGGTGAGCGGATCACCTGAAGTCAGGAGTTCAAGACCAGCCTGACCAACATGGAGAAAACTTGTCTCTACTAAAAATACAAAATTAGCTGGGCGTGGTGGTGCATGCCTGTAATCCCAGCTACTCAGGAGCCTGAGGCAGGAGAATCGCTTGAACCTGGGAGGCAGAGGTTGTGGTGAGCCAAGATCATGCCATTGCACTCCAGCCTGGGCAACAAGAGTGAAACTCTGTCTCAAAAAAGAAAAAAAAAAATTAGCTGGGTGTGGTGACAGGCACCTATAATCTCAGCTATTCAGGAGGCTGAGGTAAGAGAATCGCTTGAGCCAAGGCTTTGGAGGTTGCAGTGAGCTGAGATTGCGTTACTGCACTCCAGCCTGGGCAACAGGGCGAGACTCCGTCTCAAAAAAAAAAAAAAGAGAGAGAGAGAATTTGGTTTTTAAAAATATTTTATGTTGAATGTTAGCTGGAACTGGAGATCCACTTTACCCCCACAGCTCAAGTTCAGCTTGACCCTTATGTTGTGCAATGCTTTGTGTTTGGGTTGGTATTTCCTGGGACTGGTCAGGTGATGCACTTCAGCATGAGGCCTGTGTAGTAGCTGAAGAGTAGTGACCCAAGGTGTCTATCAGTGATAAGAGGAGAGAAGAAGCCCGTTTAGCTCTGGACAGGGCCTCTGTTTCCTCTGAGATCTCTTGTCTACTCTCCCTGGTCCAGGGCTCCATCTTTGCATAACTTTTTACAGATAGATTTGAAGTGCCAACTTCATTCTGTTTTGGAGTACTGGCATTGGACACAATTGATTACATCCCTGCCTGTTTAAAATATTCTCTTCTTTTACCTTCAATGAGAGTATTTCATGGTTTTCCTTAACCTATCTGATTGCTGTTTGTCTGCTTTGTTGGGTCTTTTTCTTCTTCTGACTCTTAACTGTGGCAGTTTTCTAAGGGGTAAGGCAGTGTAGTGAAGTGGGAAGAACATGGGCTTTGGATCCAGGCAGGGCTGGGTTCAAATATATGTTTTTTGTGTGTGTGCGTGTGTGTGGAGAACGGTCTCGCTATATTGCCCAGGCAGGTCTCGAACTCCTGGGCTCAAACTATCTTCCCGCCTCTGCAGAGCTCCCTGAGAGCTGGGATTACAGGCGTGAGCCACTGCGCCTGGCTCAAATCTGTGTTTCTACATTTATCAGCTGAGTGACCTGGGGCAAGTTACTCACTTTTCCTGAGCCTCAGTTTTTTCATCTGTAAAATGGGGATAATAATATCTTCCATATAAAATTATGAGGATTAAACAGAGTAGTATAAGTAAATTTTCTTATTGCCTGATTGATCGGTTGATCGTAGAGATGGGGGTCTCTGTGTGTTGTACAGGCTGGTCTGAAACTCCTGGGCTCAAGTGATCCATCCCCTTGGCCTCCTAAAGTGCTGGGATTACAGGTGTGAGCCACTGTGCCCAGCCCAAACTCAGTATTTTCAAACCAAGCTTAAATTTGGCTTTTCTATCCTAGTCCCCATTTTTTGACAGTTGAACTCACATTCTTCCAGTCTCTGAGATTAGAAACCTTGCAGACATCTGTTAACTCTTTTCTCTTCATCAACCCCATTTTCAATCTGTCATTGAGTTCTTTTGTTCTTCAGAGTTTCTCTTAAATTTGTCTTTTTCTCCCCATTCTCTATTCCATGACTCTAGTCCAGTCACTTATCACTTTGTACCTGAATTACAGCAACCGCCTCATATTTTGTTTTCTGTGTCCTGTTTCTCTCTTCAGTTAACACCGAAGTAGCAGCTACTTTCCTAGTATTTCCTATTACTGAAAGTCTAAATTTGTTACAAAGACCTTTTATGGCTGGACCTGGTGGCCCATGCCTGTAATCCCAGCACTTTTGGAGGCTGAGGCAGAAGGATTGCTTGAGGTCAGGAGTCTGAGACCAGGCTAGGCAACATAGGGAAACTGTGTCTCTACAAGAAAAAAACATTTTTTTTTAAGTAGCCAGACCTGGTGGTGTGTGCCTGTAGTCCCAGCTACTCAGGAGGATGAAGTGGGAGGATTGCTTGAAGCCCAGGAGGTCCAGGCTGCAGTGAGCCATGACCCTGTCACTGCACTGTAGCTTGGGGACAGAGCAAGACCCTGTCTCAAAAAAAAAAAAAAAAAGACATTTTATGCTCTCATCCCCTTCCTACTTAACCAGGCTTATCTCACTTATTTTCCTAGAACACACCTTCAGTTCCACACAAACCCTGTTCCTCATTGTGTCTTATCCTCCCTCATTCATTCTCTCTCCTTGCCCTTTCTTTCTTTCTTTCTTTTTTTTTTTTTTTTTGAGACTGGAGTCTCGCTCTGTTGCCCAGGCTGGAGTGCAGTGACGTGATCTCGGCTCACTGCAAGCTCCACCTCCCAGGTTCACGCCATTCTCCTGCCTCAGCCTCCCGAGTAGCTGGGACTACAGGCACCTGCCACCATGCCCAGCTAATTTTTTTTTTTTTGTATTTTTTAGTAGAGATGGGGTTTCACCTTGTTAGCCAGGATGTTCTCGATCTCCTGACCTTGTGATCCGCCCGCCTCTGCCTCCCAAAGTGCTGAGATTACAGGCGTGAGCCACCGTGCCCAGCCTCTCCTTGCCCTTTAGTTCTC
This sequence comes from Homo sapiens, assembly GCF_000001405.40. NCBI lineage: Eukaryota > Metazoa > Chordata > Mammalia > Primates > Hominidae > Homo > Homo sapiens. The sequence continues at coordinate 39,170,102 of NC_000001.11, forward strand.
TTTACCTGGAATGCCCTTGTTCTTTATACTTAACTGAAATCTGTCTATTCCTTCAAGTTTCACTTCAGGTCTTTCTTCTGATGAAGACTTCTCTGATTATCGTAGTCCAAGTTGATGTATCACTTTCCCAAGCTAGTTTTATCTATCTATTGAAATGGTAAGCTTTTTTGAGAGAACTGTTTTATAGACATTTCTATTATTCCCACGGTGCCTCGCTCATGCCTAGCCAAGTTTAAATGCTCCTTACAGAGCACTTATAAAATGTGGTGACCAAAGCCAATCACTCTTTCATTCGACAAATGTGTATGAGCACCTACCATGTGTGCTGTGCTCTGCACTGGGATCCCAGCAATAAACAACACAGAAACAAGACAGGTTATACTGTAGAGAAGGAGACACTAGACAAATATTTGTTGGTCAACAGAATTTGTGGAAGCCAGGCAGGACTCTAAGTGAGGACAAATGACAAGAAGAGGGAGAATTTAGAAAATAAGATATCAGTGAAACGACTATTATAGGAAAAAGGTGTTTAATGGATTCATTCAGCAGGTAATTTATTGAATATCCACTGATACAAATGTATTCCCAGGTATTAGGGATATACCAGTAAATAAAGCAAAGTCCTTTCCCTTGTAGAGCTTATATTCTATCATTTAGAGGCATTTTTGAAAAGCAAAGCACCTAATATTGGATGAAGCCCATCTGTGGGAGGACAGCAGTGAAGGAGTTAAAATGCTTCTAGGGCTCCAGGCTTTGTTGAAACAGATGGTTTCTTTGCACTAGGGAATGTTTTTAAGAGGGATTAGAGGACTGGGCTGAGGAAGGCCTGAGACCTCTTTCCCTCACGCCATAGCACACACACCTGCTGTTCTGGCGCCTGGTAGCTATGTAACTTGTCCCCCACTTGGTAGGCACTTGTTTGCAGGCTTGTGATTGTGACTGTAGGGCTGGCTCTAAGCTTCTGACATTTTTATTTTCCTTTCGTGATTTTTATTTGTGGTCCAACAGCAATGAAGTCCCATTTGAATTTAACAGACGTTGGGACTTGTCTGCGTTCCTTTCTGGTCCATATTTACTTTTACATAATTGTAATCTTTCTGTTTGTGTGTGTGTGTGTGTGTGTGTGTATGTGTGTGTGTATTTTTCTCCCGATCCAGTTTTATTGTGGTAAAATACACATGACAAAAAATTGATCATTGTAAGTACTTTAAAGTGTACAGTTCATTGACATTAAGTACATTCACAATATTGTACAAACACCATGACTATTGAATTGCAGAACTTTTTCATGATCCCAAATGGAAATCCCATATCCATTAAGCAGTAATTCCCCTTCTCCCCAACCCCTGGCAACCACTAATCAGCTTTGTGACTTGCCTGCCCTGGATTTGCTCATTCTGGATATTTTATATAAATTTAGTCATGTGGCCTTTTGTCTCTGGCTTCTTTCACTTAGCATATGCACATATTTACATGCCTTTTCCATGTAACATTATAAGGATTTTTTAAGTGTTTCGTTACAGACATTATAATTTTCTTTTTTGGACACAGTCTCGCTCTGTCGCCCAAGCTGGAGTGCAGTGGTGCTATCGCGGCTCACTGCAACCTCTGCCTCTCGGGTTCACGCCATTCTCCTGCCTCAGCTTCCCGAGTAGCTGGGACTACAGGCACCCGCCACCACGCCCGGCTAATTTTTTTGTATTTTTAGTAGAGACGGGGTTTCACCATGTTAGCTAGGATGGTCTCGATCTCCTGACCTCGTGATCCGCCCGCCTCAGCCTCTCAAAGTGCTGGGATTATAGGCGTGAGCCACCACGCCCGGCCCAGACATTATAATTTTAAGTTATCTTGTTGATAATGGCTTCATTTAGCCATTCATTTATTGTTGAATATTTGGATTGTTTCAAGTTGCTATTATTTTTTAAAATGCTACGGTGGAAACCTCCCTGAGTGTGCTCTGCCATCTTTCAGGGGACTCTGAATGTTGCACATCAGCTGCAGAAGAGCCATTGTGCTTGATTTAGGATAGTGTGGACTGTTATCCAGCTCTGTGGGAGGACAGTCAAGTAATGAATTTTATATAGAAGGGAGCATTATTCTTTGCAAAATAAGACCATGTTATCCAGGGAGTGGCAGGGAAAAGTTTTTTTTCCCCACTGCCTAGAATTCTCTGATAATCCCTCTATCCCTTTGGCTGTAGGAAAGAATTGATTATAGCAGTTGAAGATGAAATGTTTTATTCATTTATTCATTCAACAAATATTTGAGAGCCTACTATATGCCAGACATTTGAAACTTGCTCATGGGTTGAGCTTGGCTAAACAGTGCCTTTCACTCCCTGGGCCTTTCATACCTGCCTGGGAACAAGAATAGGACCTACTTCCAGAGTAATCAGAGAGGATCCAGAGGTCAGAGCCATGTGGGGCCTTATTACCTCATGGTTTAACTCCTCAAGATTTGGTACCATTATAGATACTAATCACACATTAATTTGTCTGCTCACTCTGGGGATTTCAAGGCCAGGCTGCCACTTTTCATACGTGGCTGTTCTTGTTCACCACTCTAACAGAGTCCTGGCTGCTAGGAGATGAGCCATCAGGCCTGTGCCCTCTTAGTAGTTTTGTTCACTATATCCTGGGCAAGGCAGCAAGGAGAAGGTGCTTACTGACTGAGTATAAAAGCTTCAGAGACTTTATTATAGTAACGTTACTGTGTTCATGCAAGGGGTGAGGTTGGCATGTCACAGATTCTGAGTTAGCCCAGATATACTTGGGTTAGTGCTGCTGGGGCCTTCTTGCCTTCTGGCAGACAGCCCTCCTCCCTTTTTTGTCCTTGCTGACCCATTTAACAGAATACTTTTAATTTCTCTCTACCTTGCTAGGAAAATAAAGACCACTTAGGACCATTCAGGGCCACACACTGCTTACAAAACCCAGTGTGGAGTAGAAAAAGCACTGGAGGCCGGGCGCGGTGGCTTTGCCTATAATCCCAGCACTTTGGGAGGCCGAAGCGGGTGGATCACAAGGTCAGGAGATCGAGAGCATCCTGGCCAACATGGTGAAATCCCGTCTCTACTAAAATGCAAAAAATTAACTGGATGTGGTGGCGCATGCCTGTAGTCCCAGCTATTCGGGAGGCTGAGGCAGGGGAATCACTTGAACCTGGGAGGCGGAGGTTGCGGTGACCAGAGATTGCACCACTGAACTCCAGCCTGGTGATGGAGCCAGACTCCATCTCAAAAAAAAAAAAAAAAGAAAGAAAGAAAGAAAAAGCACTGGAAACAATTGCTAGATCTTAAACATTCACTTAGGAAATGCCAAACCTGTAGATTTGGAGTAAGAAGCAGAGAGGCTAGTGAGAGAGTTCAGGGTTTAGGCCTGATTTCTATCCTCTTCCACCTACCACTTGTTGCATTTCCTTCACTGTCAGAATTTGATTGTTCTGTGTCTGTATCTTCAGATGTGTTTTTCCTAGTGTATTTGAAAAACTGTTGAACAGTCCCCTCTGGGCAGGGAGGGAAGAGGGTTAGACAATCAGGAGTAGAGACTCTGTTATTTCTCTCTCCAGACCTAGACCCTGGAGTTAACTGAAGGTCCAGAGTTACTGAGGGGCGGCTGTGTTTGTTTTTCAGTAGGCTGGCTTTACTGAGTGGGATACAAGAGCCCAAAGCACAGGCCATTCCCAGAAGCCTAACATTTTCATATTTCTTTCTCTGCCAAAGAATCTTTGGTTAGGGTTAAGAATAACTAGTCTGTCTGTGGAAATACCAAGGCCTTTTGTTTGCCAGAAGAAAAGCGCTTTTGATTAAGGCTGCCTTTTCTCTCTCTCTTTTTTTTTTCTTAAGCTGTTGTGGGAAGACTTCAGAGCCTCTGAAGGTGCCGTATTTAAGGGGTGTAGGGGAAGGAATGATAGCTAAATAGAACTAAGGGAGACTTAATCGTGCTTTACCGCACATTTGTGCAGAGATTAACAACAGCAACAAAATCTACCCAGTTTTTGGTCATTGCTTCTACTAGCCTTTCTTTCTTCCTGTCTTTTATGAAATCTACCCAAAACAGTAGTTCCCAAAGGACCTGCTGTACTGATCTGACCTTGAATCATACTCTATCACTTAGTGTGATTTGGGGCATGTTACTTAACTTTTCTCTTTAGGCTAGAGTTTTGCAACTATAAAATGGGGATTATAGTAGACCATTTTCATAGGGTTATAATGAGAATTGAATGAGTTAATATGTGGAAAATACTTAGGACAGTGCCTGGCACATAGTAAGAGCTTATCCCAGTAAATATTACTGCTACTGTGTATGGCAAATGCTGAGTGTAGCTTTATTTTTTCGATTAGTAATTCCAAATGTGGCTTTCTAGGGTTAGCAAAGTCAGGGCTTTTTTTTTATAGAATGAAAAGGAAGCAGACATTCCCATTAGGCATTAACTTTTTATCAGTCAGAGGCAAAGGGAAAGATTTATTCTCTGTGTGGACGCATCATAGAGGCTCAGTGTCTTCTTAGTTGAATGTCAACAAGGGAATCAATTTCATCATGAAGAACTACTCTTTGGCAAAAGCAAGGGCGAGGGTTGGGTTGTGTACTTTCGTAGTCTTTGTCTGAGAGTAGTGATGTTTCTTGTGCCCCAGGAAAGCTTGAACCAAGGTATAGAGAAAGGGCCCCTGATCCTCCAAATTTACAGTAGTAAGAGAAGCAAGAAATATCTTAGTAGGAAAAGGGGAAACCCTCAGGGCTGGGTCTCGTCCCAGTGACTCTACTACCAGGTCTGGAGAATGTCACTAGTGGAGGCTCTGGGCAAGTGCCTGGCCACTGCATTTCCCTGGCCATAGTAAGAGATGTGCAGAATGACCTGCCCTAAGTCTCTGGGCTGTTTGTTTTATAAACTGCTACCTTCTTCCCCAAATTGCTGGGAGTGGCTAAGGAAGTGGCACAGAAATTTAGATTTTTGTGTCTTTCTTGCCCTTTTCTGTATTGTCTTTAGTTTTTAGAAGGACTTTCTTGGCTGCCTTCTCCCTCCCCCACCTTGCTCCATCCTCTCTTGCAAAGTAAAATCTCATCTTCCTGCAGGAGGTTAGGTTGTAAAGTTTACACATAAAGTGAGGATTCCAAATAATCAAAATTATCATGGAAAATATCTCAAATGACCCAGAAATTAAAGTATATAAACATGGTTTTGTGTATATGCCAGAACAAAGTTGGAATACCATATGAAATAGTTGGCCTGTAATTAGGAGACATTTTATATGAAAAAATAAGTATTCTCAAAAACTAGAATCATGTACAGCATTCAGAATGCTCACAATGTGAAGAGGCACACCGGACTTAGACATGCTAAAGTCTCAGATTCAAGTCCTCTCATCTCATGCTCATGTTCATCCTGGTAAATAACTTCACTTTGGTGTAAAACCTCATTGAGTGGAATTGTGAGCAAACTTTTGTACTGTTTATTTTTCTCTTCCTGGTCAAGTTTGCATAGTTAAATGCAAGTATGTTGTGATTGTATTTTATCCTTCTTTTCTGCTTTCTGTTTTTCTAATTTCTTCTTCCCTTTTAAAAATCCTCACTGCCGGGGGCAGTGGCTCACACCTATAATCCCAGCACTTTGGGAGGCTGAGGCAGGCGAATCACTTGAGGCCAGGAGTTTGAAACCAGCCTGGCCAACGTGGTGAAAGCCTCTCTCTACTAAAAATACAAAAATTAGCCGGGTGTGGCCAGGTGCAGTGGCTCACGCCTGTAATCCCAGCACTTTGGGAGGCCAAGGAGGGTGGATCACAAGGTCAGGAGATCAAGACCATCCTGGCTAACATGGTGAAACCCTGTCTCTACTAAAAATACAAAAAAAAAAAAAAAAAAATTAGCCAGGTGTGGTGACGGGCACCTGTAGTCCCAGCTACTCGGGAGGCTGAGGCAGGAGAATGTCATGAACCCGGGAGGCGGAGCTTGCAGTGAGCTGAGATTGCGCCACTGTACTCCAGCCTGGGCGACAGAGCGAGACTCCTTCTCAAAAAAAAAAAAAAAAAAGCCAGGTGTGGTGGCAGGCGCCTGTAATCCCAGCTACTCAGGAGGGAGGCTAGTGCAGGAGAATCACTTGAACCCGGGAGACCCAGGTTGCAGTGAGCCGAGATCACACCTCTGCACTCCAGTCTGAGTGGCAGAGTGAGACTCTGTCTCCAAAAAAAAAAAAAATTCTCACTTTCTTCTTCTAAATCCATTTTATAGCACACAACAATTCTTCTCTTACCCAGAATGCTTATTTGTGTGTTAGCTTGTCCCATTTCTTAGTCATTTTCGTTATTCAAAATTATTTAAAGGAGAATTGAGAGTAGGAAGGGAAGACTTCTAATAGTCCTCTTCGTTTAAATTCTGTAATCATAGCTTCCACTCTCCTCCTTTTAGGTCCTCTAACTTTTGATTCTTATACCTTGCATATGAGGCTCTTTCCTTCTTTTTCCCCCCATTTTAGTCATTTTTCTGTAGAAAATTTCTGCTTATGCTTGGGGAGCTAGATATGAATTCTTGTTATACTTACTAAGCATCACTGGTTCTATCTCTAGATGTTTAATAGTCAGGTTTTTAGATCAATAGGTTTTTAGATCAATCCCAAATTCATAGTGTCATGAAAAGATAGATGAGGAACTGAGCCCACCTGGAGAAGTCAAAGGATACTTGGGCCAAGTGATATAACTAGTTATTGACAAGCTTAAACCATGACCCAGGGTTCTGATGTACAGTTGAATGCCTTTCCTCCAAATCACATTGCTTGCTGTTGAAGCCTTGGCTAGGAGTAATCTTTAGTAAGATCCTTGAATTGTGACTTTTTTTCTTTTGTTTAATTTTATTACAGTTCCTTCCTTTAACAAAAATGCTAAGTAATATAAGCTTTAAGAGGGTTAAAATTAGTCCGGTTTCAAAGATATATTTGAGAATTATGTAGTATCTCTTGAGATAGTCTAGAGATCTTAGAGCTACGTTGGGGCCTAAGGACTGAGAATCGCTGTCATCAGACTAGAGGTTTGAGAAAAGGAGATTTTTATTTATTTATTTTTGAGACCTAGTTTCGCTCTTGTTGCCCAGGCTGGAGTGCAATGGCGCAATCTTGGTTCGCCACAACCCCCGCCTCCCAGGTTCAAGCGATTCTCCTGCCTCAGCCTCCTGAGTAGCATGTGCCACCACGCCCAGCTAATTTTGTATTTTTAGTAGAGACGGAGTTTCTCCGTGTTGGTCAGGCCGGTTTCAAACTCCTGACCTCATGTGATCCACCCGCCTCGGCCTCCCAAAGTGCTGGCATTACAGGCGTGAGCCACCTTTCCCGGCCTAACTACTGTTTCTATAGAAGGAGTTTTCCAGATTGATGCCTAATGTACAAATAACTGCATCATCAGTCCCTGGCTGTCATCATTTTGCTGTGCAAAAAGGGAACATCAGAGAGGGGTCCAGGAGCCACTCCACATATCATTCGTAAATGTTATTGCTAATGGAGAGAGGGATGATGGTGGGGGCAGGCGTATTTGTGTTCATAGAGGAAGGTAGGACTGTAATCTCCATGCCTAGTTTCTGATTGGCATTGATAATATAACCATCTTTCAGAGAGTCAGCTCCAAGAGGTAACTGGGAAACATCTCAGTTTTGCTCCGGGCACTATTTCCTTTGCCATCTATACCAGAAGCTGTGGTGAATGGGAAAGCCATTGCTTTCTGAAGTGCCCTTAGGCCTTTCTCAGTGACTCTTAAGTTTTAAGAATCATTTGGGTGAGCATAATGCTGAAATCCTGTAGCTATGAAAGCTGCACTGCCATGGCAATAAAACTCCCCATTGAATAAGTAAAATGGCAATTTCCAGGAATCTGGGTGGTAGTTATTTCAATCAAGTTGAGAAATGGGATCACCGAGAGGGGGATTTCCGCAGAATCTGGGCTGTCAGGGAAATCTTTAGGCTGTCAGGGAAATCTTTATTCCCCATTGTCTTCTCCTTACAAATTCCAGGAGAGGAGTATGAGGTTATATTTGTGTCCTCAGTAAGCCCATAAAGGTCAGCCAGTGTGCTACCTTACATTGTAATTTTCCTTTTCAACATTCTTTTTTTTTTTTTTTTGGTTAAATTTTACTTTAAGTTCTGGGATACATGTGCAGAATGTGCAGGTTTGTTACATAGGTATACATGTGCCATGGTGGTTTTCATTCGTTTATGTACTGAACATAATCTTAGTACCTCACAGACAGTGCACATGTACTAACACCTTTCCTGAAACCTTAAAATATAAGAAATATAGAAATACAGGTAGTTTGTAAGTCTTTGCTCTTGGGGAAGCCAATTTTGGATTTCCTTTGTCTTTTTGTCCTATCATACTCCTTGAAAGGGGTAGTAAAAGCATTTTTCTCTTTTTCCCTCTCTGTAGTTCACCCCAGTGGGGCACATAGTTGCTGGATTCAGCAACGTTCTTTCCCAAATGATTCTTAAGGCATGCGGGTCACTGAGGTTTATTTTTAAATCCATAACCCAGGGTTCAGCAGTTGTCCTTACTGAATTCCCGTGTGGAGGCTTTCAGCTGCCCAGACACCCCCACGTCTTTACTGGGCACATTCCAGCAGTCCTAAAGTCCTGACCCTCAGGAGTGAAATTCTGGTCTGGTGTCTCACTCCTGGAATTCCTTCATGAGGCATGGCTATGGCATGAATCAGGTGTCAGATTGGAAAGCCAAGAGATCAGGTGGCTTGTGATCATAATATAAAAAATTTCTAACTGGTAAAATGGTTTTGGAGACTTAATGCGTATTGAAAGTTTCTTTCTGCTTTATTGTCAGCCTTAGCCGCCTCTTGATGGTCTCTTTAGTTCCTTTCCTGGATTGTCTAGGAGCATGCTGGAGGCAGTCAGAACATAAGGAGTTAAATTGCAGTGAACTTATGGAGAATGATTAAACAGTGATTAAGTGATATTTTAACTTCTGTTTACAGGGGAGAAATGGATGTCATCAGGAAAAGGGTTTGTTTGCAGTTTTGACTGAAGTCATCTTATCTTAGCCAGGGCTGCCTGCCCTTATTCAATTTCATTTTTAGCTGCAAGGTGAACTCCCCCACACACTTATTTTCTGATGTCCATCTTTGTCTTTGCTCATATTCCACCCCTTCCTTTCTTTCCCCAGACCCCGTGTTGCTCTAGGAAAACTTGCTCCACTCAGAACAGAGTTGGGGTGGGACTTAGCTGCCCTTCTGCATCTTCTGTTTCTGGAAGTCTTTGGGATGAACCATACATGGGAGAGTCAGGATACTGGAATGCCATTGAACTAGTGGAAAAAGCACTAGATAGGCAATTGAAGAGGCCTGGGTTTGAATTCCAGCTCTGCTACTTATTAGCTATGTGATCTTGGACAAATTACTTAATCTCTGTAAGTCTTAGTTTCCTGTTCTGTAAAATGGAGGTGATAATTTCTACCTGAAAGAATAGGAATTAGAGAGGATTAGAGTTATATATGTAAAGAGCATTGCCTGACACACACACAGTAGGCATTCAATTATGTGTGATCAAAGAGGTCAGAGTTGATGGTAGAATTTAGACTGTCTCGGTTAGCCTTTTGCCTGTTTTTCCCAGTGCTAATTGTATAGTTTATATATTATAGTTTAAAGTTATGCTGCCAGGCGCGGTGGCTCATGTCTGTAATCCCAGCCCTTTGGGAGGCCGAGGCAGGTGGATCACTTGAGGTCAGGAGTTCGAGACCAGCCTGGCCAACATGGTGAAACCCCGTCTCTACTAAAAATACAAAAATTAGCCAGGTGTGGTGGCACACACTTGTAATCCCAGCTACTCACGAGGCTGAGGCAGGAGAATCACTTGAACCTGGGAGGTGGAGGTTACAGTGAGCTGAGATCACACCACTGCACTTCTGCTTGGGTGACAGAGCAAGACTCTGTTTCAAAAATGAAATTTTAAAAAAATGAAGTTATGCTCTCCTTTGCTTTTATTACAGTCTAGTAAGGAGCTTGGAGGGCTTTTAGACCCCCATAATCTCCATCACCCTCCTCAAAGCTGCTCTAAATAAACAAATTTAAGTAAAAAGTATTTGTTATATAAATGCAGGATGAAGACTTATTATGATGGCTTTTCCTCTTTCAACCAGATTGCAAGATACAAGCCTATTTTTAATAAAATTTCTGGTTCCCTACTCTGGTACTAATGCAAAGATTTATTTTTCTTAGGGATGAGTTGTGGCCAATTGATATAAAAGGAGATATAGGCCAGGCATGGTGGCTCGTATCTGTAATCCCAGCACTTTGGGAGGCTGAGGCAGGTGGATCACTTGGGGTCAGGAGTTCAAGGCCAGCCTGGCCAACATGGTGAAACCCCATCTCTACTAAAAATACAAAAATTAGCAGGGCGTGGTGGCTCATGCCTGTAATTCCAGCTACCGGGGAGGCTGAGACAGGAGAATCGCTTGAATCTGGGAGGCAGAGGTTTCAGTGAGCCGAGATTGCGCCACTAGACTCCAGCCTGGGCAACAGAGCGATACTCCACCTCACACGCACACACACAAAGAAGATGTACTTTCTTCTTTTGATACTTTTTTACATATTTGACGCATTTGTGATAGAGAAATGGATTATGATTATTCTATCCTTCTTCCTTTTACTAAGGTAGAATGAGCCAAGGTCAGTGGGGCCTGACGGATCTCAGGGCCTTTGCTGTTCCTCTCATCCCTGGCTATGGTTGGCTAAGTCTCTTTTTCTTAGGTCTCAGGGTGTTCAGCTGTTTTGGGAACTTGTTGAAAATTGTTGCTTTGCAGTACAAAAGACACTCTGTTACTTTTTAATCAATATCTTTTTTTTTGAGACAGGGTCTGGCTCTGTTGCCCAGGCTCGACTACAGTAGCCCATCTCTGTTCACTGCAGCCTCTGCCTCCCGGGTTCAAGTGATTCTTGTGCCACAGCCTCCTGAGCAGCTGGGACTACAGGCGCGTGCTACCATGCCCAGCTAATATTTTTGTATTTTTAGTAGAGATGGGATTTTGCCACGTTGTCCAGGCTGGCTTCGAACTCCTGGCCTCAAGCGGTACACCCGCCTTGGCCTTCCAAAGTGCTGGGATTATAGGCGTGAGCCACTGCGCTGGGCCAGTAATCAGTATCTTTTTAGCATATTACTTATTTTGGGGGGATCCTCCAAATCAGGGGTCTCCAGTGTGCTAAATATTTGATAGAGCATAGGGAAATTTGAGTATTTTAGTTTCCGAGTATTAGTAAAGAGTGGCTCACATTGCCTTTTACTTTATACGTTCATGCATTGGAAGACTTAATATTGTTAAGATGGCAGCACTCCCCAAACTGATCTATAGATTCAATGCAATCCCTGTCAGAATCCCAGTGGGGTTTTTTCTTCTTCTTTCTTCTCCTCCTCCTCCTCTTCCTCTTATTCTTCGTCTTCCTCTTCCTCCTCCTCCTCTTCTTCCAGAAATTGGCAAGCTGCTCCTGAAATTCATGTGAAAATGCAAGGGACCCAGAATAGTCAAAACAATCTTGAAAAAGAACAAAATTGGAGGACTCACACTTCCAGATTTGAAAACTTACTACAAAGCTACAGTAATTAAGACAGGATGGTACTGGCATAGGGATAGACATATAGATCAATGGAATAGAATTGAGAGTCTAAAAATAAACCCTTACATTTATGGTAAATTGATTTGTGATAAAGGTGCCAAGACAATTCAATGTAGAAAGAATTGTCTTTTCAACAAATTATACTGGGACAACTGGATATCCATATACAAAAGAATGAAATTGGCCAGGCGTTGTGGCTCACGCCCATAATCCCAGCACTTTAGCAGGCAGAGGTAGGTGGATCACGAGATCAGGAGTTCGAGACCAGCCTGGCCAACATTGTGAAACCCCATTTCTACTAAAAATACAAAAATTAGCTGGATGTGGTGGCGGGCACCTGTAATCCCAGCTACTCGGGAGGCTGAGGCAGGAGAATCGCTTGAACCCGGGAGGCAGAGGTTGCAGTGAGCTGAGATGACGCCATTGCACTCCAGCCTGGGCAACAGAGCAAGACTCCACCTTAAAAAAAAAAAAAAAAAGAATTTAAACCCTGACCTCACACAACATATAAAACTTAACTCAAAGTGGAACATAGACCTACATATAAGAGCTAAAATTACAAAACTATTAGAAGAAAACTTAGGGGTAAATCTTTGTGACCTTGGATTAGGTAGTGGTTTCTTGTAGCTAACACTGAAAGTATACACAAAAAAGAAAAAAATAGAGAAATTATACTTGATCAAAATGTAAAACCTTTGTGCTTCAAAGGACACTACCTAGAAAATGAAGACACCTCACAGAATGGGAGAAAATATTTGCAAATCATATATCTAATAAGGGACTTATATCCAAAATATATAAAGAATTCTTTGAACTCAACAGTAAAAAGAAAACCCAATAAAAAAATGGGCAAAGGATTTATATAGCCATTTCTTCAAAGAAGATATACAAATGGCTAATAAGCACATGAAAAGATGCTTAGATGCTTAACATCATTAGTTATTATGGAAATGCTAATCAAGATCACAATGAGATACCACTTCATACCCACTAGAATGGCTTTAATAAAAAAGAGAGTGAGGATGTGGAGAAATTGGAACACCCCCAACATTGCTGGTGGGAATATAAAATGGTGCACCTGCTTTAGAAAACAGTTTGGTGGTTCTTCAAAAAGTAGAGTTGCCACATGACCCAGCAATTCCAAAGTATATATCCAAAAGAAATATTATATTCATAGAATATAGAAAACATATATTCATAGAAAACTCGTACATAAATGTTCATAGCAGCATTATTCATAGTAGCCCCAAAGCAGAAACAGCTGAAACATCTATCAACTGATGAATGGATAAACACACTGTGGCATATCCATACAACAGAATATTATTTGTCAGTGAAAAGGAATGAAGTACTGATTGATGCTAACATGGATCAACCTTGAGAACATTAGACTAAGTGAAAGAAGCCAGACACAAAAGGCTTGTATGATTCCATTTATACCATTTATACATAATAGGCAAATCCATAGAGACCATAAGTAGATTAGTGGTTGCTAGGGGTTGAGGAGGGGCGAATGGGAAGTGACTGCTAATTGATATAGGGTTTCTTCAGGGGGTGATGGAATGTTCTAAAGTTAGATAATGGTGATGGTTGAACAACTCTGTGAACATACTGATACTTAAATATCCATTGAATTGTTTACCTAAAAAGGGTGAATTTATGTTAACCAAATCTCAGTGAAGCTGTTATAAAAATATTAGGCTGATTTGTAGGTATGAATAGTATTTGTCTGTTTGTATTGGGCCCCTTATTGCTGCCACTGAGAATCTTGAAGTTGTCTTGAATATTTTGCTTCAGAACTGTCACTGTCTTGAGCAGGCAAGTTACTGTTGCCCCAAATCTTCAAGGTGAGAAACAGGTTTGCAATCATTTTTTTGCAGGAGAATACATGATGGCACTTTATATCAGGAAGCGAACTTTTAAGGTGAGCACTCTGAAGTTGAAGCATTTCCAAGTTTTAAGTGGGACTGTGCCCTACCTTAGTTCTTACTTCATCCTTTAAACTGTGTGTCACACTGGAGTAGGCAGTTTCCCAGCCCCATACCCAGCTCCACCAAGATCCTCACTTCTTTCATCATTTGCCCATTTTTCCCCAGGCTATGTTTGATCTTGCTCTGAGGCCTTCTTTCTTGGGAGGTATAGCGAGAGTAGCTGCAGAAACCTCTGGGTGGCACCCTGCCCCCACAGGATTACCAAAGAATGACATGTGTGGAAGAGGCTCAGGCCTGTGTTGGCAGGAAGAAGTGACTCATTTTTCATCAAAGGAATTTCAAAGAACATATAATGACAGGATGATGTCACAGGAGCAGGTGGAGACAGGAACCTTGATTGAGCTGCTGGAAGATATTAAATGGTGTGGCTGCCTGGGCAGTCAGAATGATTGACCAGCATAAATCACAGGAAACATCACCTGTTTTTTAGTTCCTATTTCATGAGCCCTGGTGTGGGCAGTGCTGTTCATGTGCCCTCAGAGCATATGGTTGAGTCTATGCATGTCTTGGGTATACTGTGTTTGTATCTGGGTGAGATGGCTCACAACATCCTGTGCTAGTCATGGACTTCTTTTTCATGCAGGGCGGCGTGTGTGGGTTCCTGCACTGTGTGCCTCAGTTCTATAGCTAGCAGGGTCTGTGTCTTGGAAATGAGCCTCACATGGTCATACTGGCTGGTTTGAAGGCATGACATTTCCTCTGACATATTTAGAGAGGGGAACTTGCCTTGACATCAGAAGGTCAGATCTCAGAATTTTTTACCTTATTGCCAAAAGTACCCTAGTTCCATCTAGTATTTTGGCAAGAGCTAGATCTTTGCTCAAAGCCCAGTTAAGTCTTGTGGTGGTGGTGTTTTTCTTCTTTGAGTAGAGGGCCCTCCAATGGTGTTGTATGGTTGAAGCTGATAAGGTGAGGCGGAGTGTGGTGGCGGGATGGAGAGTTTCAGTCAGGATAAGTCTTAGTATCTTTTCATATCGCAAAGCAGTAAAGTTGGTTAGGTTATTCAGGCTGTTATTTATATTAAGATTGTGAAAGAGTGCTCCTGGTCATCATCATGCACCTACCAGAGTCTGTGTGATTATGAGGTTGGAGGCTAAATTAGCCATTTACACAAAGATAAAAGAGAGGCTAGCATTGATAATATTCTGCCTCAGGTTTCAGGCCTCTCAAGGAAGGTCTTAGGAGAGATGGCTTAGCAATATCAATTGCTGCCTTTGTGCTTATAACTCGTTCATCTGAAGATGGCCTGGAAAAAGGGACTTTTAGGCTGCATAGGACACCACCAAAAAAGTAGAAGATACTACCTCTCTTTAAGATGTATCAGGGCTGGTGCTGGGCGTGGTGGCACACGCCTGTAATCCCAGCACTTTGGGAGGCCGAGGCAGGTGGATCACGAGGTCAGGAGATCGAGACCATCCTGGCTAACACGGTGAAACCCCATCTCTACTAAAAATACAAAAAAATTAGCTGGGCGTGGTGGCGGGTGCCTGTAGTCCCAGCTACACGGGAGGCTGAGGCAGGAGAATGGCATGTACCTGGGAGGTGGAGCTTGCAGTGAGCCGACATGGCACCACTGCACTCCAGCCTGGGCGACAGAGCGAGACTCCGTCTCAAAAAAAAAAAAAACAAAAAAGGAAAAAGAAAAGAAAAAGATATATCAGAAGAGCTGGGCATGGTAGCTCACACCTGTAGTTCTAGCTACTCGGGAGGCTAAGGCAGGAGGATTGCTTGAGCCCAGGAGTTCAAGGCTATAGAATAGTGCCATGATTGTGCCTGTGTAGTCACTGTACTCCAGCCTGGACAGCATAGAGGCCCAGTTTCTTTAAAAAAAAAAATTTTTTTTTTAAATAAACCCAAGATATATCAGAAGCAAGAAGGAAAAGTTAAAAAACAACAACTATAATTTGAAAGGGAGGAAGGAAAGCTTTATTTATTTCTTGACACAGTCTTTAATTGTTACGTTCTTCTGGCTGATCATGAGTTTTGTTTTTAGACAATATTACTAGGTACACTGTAGGATGTAAACAGATCTTTGGAGTAGGATAAGAAGGAAATGAGTCAGATAACTTACTTCTTAGAGAAGGGTGCTGGACTTTCCGGGGGCTTAGTTAGCAATATTCCTCCTCCCTGCTAGCAGCCATCTCCCTGTATCTCTTCATGAAATAACAAATCATTAGAAGAGATTTTTAACCTGAAGTGCTGAAGGACCCAGGGAAGAAAGTTCCCTAGGGTGTATTTGATTTGGGAGCCCCCTGAGGGTAATCTGTGGTGATGCTGTTTCAGAAGTCACCACCTGACTCGTTGTCAGATGAGTCTGAGCCCAAGACTCGTACCTGCCACATAATATATACAGGTCCTCTCTCCCTTTGGTTATGAGCTAAAGGCCTTTAATCATGAGGTAGAGGAGTGGATAAGGGAGAAATATCTGAAACCCAATTAACCAGATTCCAGAATGTTAAGGGAATCCATGTGGGGGCTGGGATTCTGAACATCTCTCTCTCTCTCTCTCTCTCTCTCTCTCTCTCTCTCTCTCTCTGTGTGTGTGTGTGTGTGTGTGTGTGTGTGTGTTTTGGTGGGGGGTGAAATGACTTTTTTTTTTTTTTAATTTGAGACAGAGTCTCACTCTGTCACCAGGCTGGAGTGCCGTGGCATGCTCGGCTCACTGCAACCACCAACTCCCTGGTTCAAATGATTCTCCTGCCTCAGCCTCCCGAGTAGCTGGGATTACAGGCACGCGCCACCACGCCCGGCCTAGAAATGACTTTTTTAGGGGCTCACCTATAGGATAAAATCCAAACTCATCTTGTCATTTAAGATCTTTCATAATCCAGTCCAACTTTCTATAACATTAAATCAAAATTATACATGTTCTTACTTTAAAAGGTTAAAATATTACTATAAGGCATATGACAAAAATAATCTGTATTTTCCACTATTTTTTTTTAAGAGACAGGGTCTCACTCTTCCACCCAGGCTGGAGTGCAGTGGTGTGATCATGGCTCACTGCACCCTTGAACTCCTGGGCTCAAGGGATCTTCCCACCTCAGCTTCCTGAGTAGCTTAGACTATAGGTGTGTACCACTGCGCCTGGCTAATTTTTTTTTCTTTTTGTAGAGTTGGGGGTCTTGTTTTGTTCTCCAGGCTAGTCTCAAACTCCTGGCCTCAAATGATGCTCCTACCTTGGCCTCCCAGAGTGCTGGGATTGCAGGTGTGGGCCCCCACACCTGGGCCACATTTCTGTTTCTTTTTTTTCTGCACACACAAACAGCCAGAATATATTTCTTTCTCTTTTACTAGTGATTCTTGATTTTTTTTTTTTTTTGGTTTTGAACATTATCTGTTGATATTCTACTACAGAAAATTAGGGTTTAGTTTTTTTATTCTTACCCCCTTAACGTACACACTTTCTCTTCCCCCTTCTTCCCAAAGTCACACGTTATTGCCGTTATATTCAGTGTTCAGATTATTGTGATTATATAAATATTGCTTAAAGGTGAGCTATGTAATATACTATGATTACATTTCCTTTTTGGACCAACTTTTAATTTTTCCTGGAATTAATAATTGCCATATTTTGTCACTTGTTTACTGATCTATGTACATACCTTCAGACTCTCTCATGGGACTCTAAGACTTCTCTCTCAGTATGTTGAAACATATCAAATAATCTTTTAGTTCAATAGTCTATTTGGAGACATCCCCCAGGAGCTTTCTCTTATTCACTCTGGATGGGTTGCTCTTAAAGCCTTTAGTAAAGCTGTCATCCTGGCACTTCCCTTCACTATCATACGGGGAAATTCCCTCACCTGTCTTCCCTGTTGGATTTCATGTTTCCCAGAGCTGATGTCGTATTTCATGATGTACTCCATTTTTTCATTGTGGTATATCCTAGCTTCCTGAGAAAGGATACAAGGGAGGTAAATGTTTTTGAGACTTTGCTTATCTGAAAATGTCTTATTCTACTTTTCATTTGATTAAGAGTTTGAGTATAGAGTTCTAGGTTGCAAATCACTTTCTAGCAGATTTTTTAAAAAATTATTTAAAATTTTTTTGTAGAAATGAGATCTCGCTATGTTGCCCAAGCTGGCCTCAAACTCCTGGCTTCAAGCAATTGTCTGGCTAATACTGCCTTTTAAGTCTCTCTAAGGATATTAATTAGAGGCTGTCTTTCTCTCTCTCTCTCTCTGTCTCTCTCTCTCTCTGTCTCTCTCTCTCTCTCTCTCCTCTCTCCTTCCTTCCTTCCTTCTTTCCCCTTTCCCTTCCCTTCCCTTCCCTTCCCTCCC
Organism: Homo sapiens; assembly: GCF_000001405.40. Taxonomy (NCBI): domain Eukaryota; kingdom Metazoa; phylum Chordata; class Mammalia; order Primates; family Hominidae; genus Homo; species Homo sapiens. The sequence continues at coordinate 39,187,963 of NC_000001.11, forward strand.
CTCCTCTCCCCTCCTCTCCCCTCCCCTCCCCTCCCCTTCCCTTCCCTTTCTTTTCTTTTTTCCTCTGCATCCAGCATTGTCTCTGTTTCTTCTGAGCTCCTTCTATTTATTTTGGTCTCTGTCTTTCATGTTAGAAGTTCTCTTAAAATGTCTGATGTTTCTTGGTGATCTTCACATTTAAGACTTGGGCCCTGGCCAGGCACAGTGGCTCACACCTATAATCCCAGCACTTTGGGAGGCCGAGGCAGGTGGATTGCTTGAGCCCAGGAGTTCAAGACTAGCCTGGGCAACCCCATCTGTACAAAAAATTACAAAAATGAGCTGGATGTGGTGGCGCATGGAGGCTGAGGTGGGCAGATTGCTTGAGCCCCGGAGGTTGAAGCTGTAGTAAGCTGAGACTGCGCCACTACACTCCAGCTTGGGCAACAGAGTGAGACCCTGTCTCCAAAAATAAAAAAAGAAAGAGCTGGGCCCTAAAATGCTGATTGGTGGGACTCGTTAACTGGTATACTCCTAATGAATAACCAGGTAGAGGAGGTTGGTTTCCCCAGGAAAGACTGGCCAGTCTCCCATCTGGGGGCCAATTCTGGTAGCTAGAGCTCTGGGCCAAGTGGAGCAATTGGCCAGTCTGGAAGGGCCTCATCGTTCATTGTCAAAGTTTATTGATTGATTGATTGATTGATTGAGACGGAGTCTCACCCTGTCACTCAGGCTGGAGTGCAACCTCTGCCTCCCAGGTTCAAGCAATTCTCCTGCCACAGCCTCCCAAGTAGCTGGGATTACAGGTGTTTGCCACCATGCCTGGCTAATTTTGTATTTTTAGTAGAGGCGGGGTTTCACCATGTTGGCCAGGCTGGTCTCGAACTCCTGAGCTCAGGTGATCCACCTGTTTCTGCCTCCCAAAGTACTAGGATTACAGGTGCGTGCCACCACACCCAGCTAATTTTGTATTTTTAGTAGAGGCGGGGTTTCACCATGTTGGCCAGGCTGGTCTCGAACTCTTGAGCTCAGGTGATCCACCTGCTTCGGCCTCCCAAAGTGTTAGGATTATAGGCGTGAGCCATCATGCCCGGCCCATTGTCAGATTTCATTTAATATCCCTGTTTTCACTGAGACACCTGGCTCCTGACCTCACACGGGCCTGAAGACTTCCAACCAATCTTGTTTTCAGCCTTACTCTGCAGCATGCCTTCTCCTACCAAGTCTTCAGAGGTTCCTGGTGCTTCCAATTTCTGAGCCTTTCTGGGATTCTGCAGTACAATTTACCTTGTTTCTTATTGTTGCCCATTTCCTGCAGGCACTTAGCAGAGAGAAAGAAAGCTGACATTTAAGTTTTCGACCATTTGTTTATCCACACTCCAGTGTATCAAACTTTTGTTGCTATTTCTTATTCTTATTTTCTGTGGGTTTGTGCCATTTTAATTCTCTTACTGTCACTTTTCTGAGGTTTCTGAAAGGGAGCTAAATGTGCTTATTAAATTTGTGATGGATACCCCAAAGTTGGCAGAAGTTAATCTTCCCAATTTACTTACCTCTCTCTGAGCCTCCTCAACCCCAACCCAAATACACAAACCCTGTGGTTCATTCTAGTGTCACTTGTACTTTCTGTTTTTCATTCTCTTCCTCATGCTATCTCTCCTCCTGGAGTGTTTACTCTTCTTATTTCAGACTGTTGAAATCCTATACATTCTTCTAGTCCCAGGTTATATTTCTTATCTATGGAAGCCTTTTTTTTGACTTCCCCAACAGGAAATGACCATTTCATTGACTGAATTTCTGAAGTTCCATTCACTGAGTTCTTATAGTCTTGCCCTCCTGACACAGCCTGTACTGCTTTATGTTAAGACTATCTGTATACATATTTCTCCAGTTAGATTGTAAGCTCTTAAAGGATAGTAGCATAAGACTGGCTTTGTAATTTTTTTTGTTATTGATAACAATCAACATAGTACCTAGGCAACTAAATATTTCACAGAACCACAGAATTTTAGAGCTGGAAAAGAATTTAGAGATCTAGAATGTGAACTCATTTTATGAATGAGTAAACAGATCCAGTGTAGTTAAACGATCCTGAAGTCATTTAATAAGCCAAGAACAGAACTGGACCTATAATCGTCTCTAGTTCTGTAATGTCTAAATGCATTGATAAAATCTGATATGTGCTTATTTAGATATTCTGGTTTATCAAAGGTTAACCAGAGAGTGCTTTTTGTTTCATTCTTGTTGAAAATTTTTGTCAATATCTTTTTGGTTTTAGTAATTAGGTATGCCATAGGTAATTTCTTTTCTTTTCTCCCTCCTTCGCTGCCTCTCTCTCTTCTTTCTTTCTTTTTTCCTCCCCTCCCCGCCCCTCTCCTCTCTCTTCCTTTCTCTTTTCTTGTCTTTTCTTTCTTTCTTTCTCTTCTTTTGTGTGTGTGTGTGTGTGTGTGTTTGTTTTTGTTTTTTTTTTTTTTTTTTGATGGAATCTTGCTTTGTCACCCAGGTTGAAGTGTAGTGGCGTGAGTAGCTGGGACTACAGATGTGCATCCCCACACCCAGCTAACTTATTGTATTTTTTCATAACAACAGGGTTTTGCCATGTTGCCCAGGGTGGTCTCGAACTCCTGGGCTCAAGAAATCTGCCCTCTCGGCCTCCCAAAGTACTGCGATTACAGACGTGAGCCACCGCCTTGTGCTGTCTCTCTTTTTCTCTTTCTCTCTCTTTTTGATAAAAATCAGGATCTTGAGTATTCTGGATTTTGTCAAAAACTGAGCTGGAGGTGGTGCGGTGGCCTGTAATTCCAGCACTTTGGGAGGCCGAGGCAGGTGGATCACTTGAGGCCAGGAGTTTGAGACTGGGTTGGCCAACATGGCGAAACCCCGTCTCTACTAAAAATACAAAAATTAGCCGGGCGTGGTGGTGTGCCTGTAATCCCAGCTACTTGGGAGGCTGAGGCACGAGAATCGCTTGAACCTGGGAGGTGGAGTTTGCAGTGAGCTGAGATCGCACCACTGCACTCCAGCCTGAGTGACAGAGTGAGACTGTGTCTCAAAAACAAACAAACAAAAAAACCCCAAAACAACAACAACAAAAACTAAGCTGGATAATAGTTTTCTTCCCAGGCATATATGAGCATCAGAGACCCAAGGATTATAGGTAGGGAAAAAATGTAGGCAACTGTATTGAAGGTGCTCTGATTTTTAAGAAAATTTTAAAAATTCACTGGATATGATGTATTTGGGGTGATTCTTTCTTTCTTTTTTTTTTTTTTTTTTTAACCTAGCAGTAAAGTACAGGCCCAGTTGGGTCCTACTTAAAGTTTTCCTGTTTGACAATTTATCAGGAATTATTATTGCTTAAGATAGCTTTGAAGTAAATTGTCTGTGTCAAAGACCTTCCTCCACTTCTCTCACTTACCTAGCTCTTGGCAGCTGTTTCCAAAATGTTTGCACTAACTCCATAGATTCATGTCTGAAGGATTAGATACTCCAGGAACATCTATTGGGAGAAAGTTTAACTACAACTGTTGTCCATTTTTCAATTAATGTGCCAGTCACTAATCAAAAAAACAGATGCTGTCGTTTTCCTCATCCACTACTTGGGACACCTAAGGATGGATGGACAGATACTTAAGAGGCTGCCTCCTTCTTCTGAGATTGGGCTTTTCATCAGGGCTGTGCCACAGGGTGTGATGCTGTGTGATAGCAGATGGCTCTGCTTCATGCCCATTACTTTTTGTTTTATCCAAAGTAGAAGCTGTGGTCCCCAGATTTTAGAGAGTAAGGGCTTAATCATACTCATTGGCTTTTCTGCCTTTGCCTGTTTCTGCATTGCCACCTGGCTGCCATTAGAGGGAATTCATTACAACTCTGAGTCCCTGCAGGGAGCTGAGAGGAGCTATCCTTGTGTTTAGGATGGGACATGTGTTCTTAAAACTGGGCCAGGCACGGTGGCTCCCAGCACTTTGGGAGGCCGAAGCAGGTGGATCACTTGAGGCCAGGAGTTCGAGACCAGCCTGGCCAACATGGTGAAACTCCGTTTCTATTAAACATACAAAAATTAGCTGGGTGTGGTGGTGTATGCCTGTAATCCCAGCTACTCAGGAGACTGAGGCACAAGAATTGCTTGAACCTGGGAAGTGGAGATTGCAGTGAGCCGATATCTCACCACTGCACTCCAGCCTGGGCGACACAGCAAGACTCTGTCTCAAAAAAAGAAAAAAACAAAAAACTTAAAAATGGTTACCCAGATTTCCTTTTATGACTTGTTCAGTCAGAGGCAGCTGGGAGGATGCACGCTGGGGAAAGCATTACTCACCAGGCACACATAGTGGCCCTGACTGCTGGCAAGTAGTCTGGGCTGTGTTAAGAGTGAGTCACCTCGGGGAATGGAAAAATTGCAAGGTACTGAGGGGTAGGAGTTGTGTGCCAGTGACTGCTCCTTTTCTGTCTGCTATTTTCTCTATAAGGACTCATCACAAAACCATAAATACTGACGATCCTGTTGAGGCAGCCGTGAAGCCAACCAACTTTATGGTGATAATGTTTCCCATAAAAGGAATGAGCTGACTGGACATAGCATTGTTGCCTTCTATGTTACAGGTGTATATAGATTTTGACACAAGCTTGAACTTGTATAATGAAAGTTCCATGTGTGAGAATTTCATCAGAATAAAAGCAACACAGTTTTCTTTGTTGTTTAAAAACTTAGTCTTCTGTGTCTATCTATCTTTGTCCAGTAGGGGTCACTGAGGGTTAGGCTCTCAATAAGAGAAACACTAATCTAGTGATAAATGAGCTGGATTCCTTGTCTATTGTGACATCTTTGTATATTCAGTACTATGTTTTTTAAAATATTAGAGCAGAAACAAAAGGCGTGAACTTGTATTAAGAACTTTATGGGCGAAGCGCAGTGGCTCATGCCTGTAACCCGAGGCGGGTGGATATCACCTGAGGTCAGGAGTTCGAGACCAGCCTGGCCAACATGGTGAAACCCCGTCTCTACCAAAAATACAAAAAAATTAGACGGGCATGGTGGCGCATGCCTGTAATCCCAGCTACTTGGGAGGCTGAGGCAGGAGAATTGCTTAAACCCGGGAGGCAGAGGTTGCAGTGAACCGAGATTGTGCCATTGCACTACAGTCTGGGCAACAAGAGTGAAATTCCATCTCAAAAATTAAAAAAAAAAAGAATATTTCTGGACAAAAATAACAATCCTGGGCAAGATTCTGGAACAGTCCCCATAGACAGGGCTTCTTTTCTTCGTATCATTTTTTTCTCCATTTCTTTAAGATGTTGGCTACCAGAGTTTCCTGGAAAAAGCTTACTAGATAGATATTATTTCATTGGGGAAAAGGGTCAAAATGCCAGAGAGAGAGATTACTTAAAATGGTAATATGGCTGTTGAGGTTGACTAGATATTCTTGTCCTTTCCCTTTTTGAAGCAATGCTGTCGAAGCCTAATTTGACTTAGTCATTGAGCTGTTCAATACCACACATTACTTTCACTTACCTTCTTGCATTTGCCACTGAGGATGACTTGATGCCCTGCTAGGAGGTCTCTTGTGTGGTAATCATAATAACAAGAGTTGGCATTAATGAGTCAATGTTTAATGCTTTTTAAATAGTTAATGCTTACTGTGTGCCAAATATATTATGCATTTTCTCACTTAATCCTCACTGTAACACTGTGAAGAGGTAATTTTATTATCCCTTTTTGACATGAGATAACTATGGATTAAAGAGATTAAGTAATTGGTTCATAGATACACAACTAGAGATTGTGAAATCAGAATTTGAATATAGGTTTGGCTCACAAATTATATTTACAGCCCTGGTAAGAGAGAGAGGGAGAGAGAGAGAGAGAGAGGCAGGCACTTGGGTTTAAGAGTGAGTTTTCTTTTTTCTTTTTTTCTTTTTTTGAGACAGTTTCGCTGTTGTTGCCCAGGCTGGGGTGCAGTGGCATGATCTCAGCTCACTGCAACCTCCACTTCCTGGGTTCAGGCAATTCTCTTGCCTCAGCCTCCCAAGTAGCTGGGATTACAGGCACTCCTGGGTAATTTTGTATTTTTAATAGAGATGGGGTTTCACCATATTGGTCAGGCTGGTCTCGAACTCCTGACCTCAGGTGATCCAACCACCTCGTCCTCCCAAAGTGCTGGGATTACAGGCATGCGCCACCACACCTGGCCAAGAGTGAGTTTTCTAAGTGCTGTACCAGAGCATCTCTCACTTTATTTTCTGCCCCTCCTCTTTAGTGTTACTTTCCCTTTTCTTTCTTAAGGGTAAGACCTTCAGTTGCTGAGCTTGATAGGAAGGCCATCTAGAGTTAGATCCTGGGCAGAATCCATATCCGGAGGGATTTCCAGAAGTGGAATTTCTTTTCTTTTCTTTTCTTTTCTTTTCTTTTCTTTTTTTTTTTTTTTTTTTTGTGATAGAGTCTTGTTCTGTTTCCCAAGCTGGAGTGCAGTGGCGCGATCTCAGCTCACTGCAGCCTCCACCTCCCGGGCTCAAGGGATTCTTCTGACTCAGCCTCCCAGGTAGCTGAGACTACAGGCACATGCCACCATGCCCGGCTAATTTTTGTAATTTTAGTAGAGACGGGTGGCCAGGCTGGTCTTGAACTCCTGACCTTAGGTGATCCACCCCGCCTCAGCCTTTTAATGTGCTGGGATTACAGGCGTGAGCCACCATGCCCAGCCAAAAGTGGAATTTCTTTCTCCCTGCCTTCCTCTCCCCTCCCCTCCCCTCCCCTCCCCTCCCTTCCCTTCTCTATTGTCTTGCTCTGCTGTCTAGGCTGGAGTGCAGTGGTGTGATCATAGCTCACTGTGGCCTGAAACTCCTGGGCTGGAGTGATTCTCCTGCCTCAGCCTCCCAAGTAGCTAGAACTACAGGTGTGTAACCACTGGGCCTGGCTAAGTGTTATTATGTTTTGGAGAGATGGGGTCTTGCTATGTTGCCCAGGGTGGTCTTAAACTCCTGTCCTCAGGCAGTCCTCCTGCCTCAGCTTCTCAAAGCGCTGGGATTACAGGGGTGAGCCACTGCTCCCAGCCAAGCAGTTTAATTTCTGAATTAATAAACTATCTTCCTTCCAGCTCCAAGGAAAAGCAAAACTTACACTTGTGTTCTTGGAGACACTTTTTTCTTTTAAATTCCCAGGTAGATTTGGAAGTTCACTGTTAAAGATGGTTCGACACCCTTGTTAGTGTATGTTACCTACTAGGCCTCTCTAGAAGAGCATTTTGAGTTATTTCTGCCATAAGATGAATGGTTTTCCAGGCACTTGTTCTCGGTTGTATGTTTTTGTGGTCAAAAAAGATGCATTACCAGAAGAAATGTTTATATTTTGGGAGTATTCATAATTCACTGGGCCCAGCTTTGCCCTTTCTAGTGTGCACCCGCCCCCATTCTTGCTCTTAAGCAGTTCTCAGATCCTCTCATTCATTTATTAATTTGCTCATTCCACAAATAGTTATTTAGTGACTAAGATTTTATAAAGGAGAGCAGACATTTATCTAGCTTCAAAAACAGTCTAGTGAGGGAGTAACAATATGTGCTCAGCTGTATTATAAAGCACAAAGTGCTAAACTTTATGAGAGAAACAGATAAAGTATAATAAAAGCTCAAGGGAGGGAGAAGTTTACTTCTCACTGGGATGGAGGGAGGAACTGGAGATAATTCTGTGGAAGTACTGGCTTTAAGCTGGTCTATAGAAATAGGAGTTTAATATCTGGAGATGGGAAGGAAAAACGTGCCAGGATAATGAGGGAAATATTGTGAAGCCAGAGAGTTTTGGATTTAATTTGCTGATAGGGAGAAATGTAAAGTTTTACAGTGAAGTTATAAATAAACATTTATTAAGCATTTAAAATGTGCCAATCATTATACATGCTTCAAGGAGATTACTGTTGTGGTGAACGAGGGCAGGGTTGGTAAGTTGGAGACTGAGATTAGACAGATTAGGTAATTTAGGTGAGGTAAGTTATCAGTTGCCAAGGTTTCGTACAGTCTGAGCAATATTCATAGTCTTTGTGGTCAGATGTAGTTTGTTTGCTGCTCCTCCAAATAATGACAATTATAATCAGCAATTATTGAGCAGGTATTGAGCACCTGAAACACATTAACTCATTCATCCTTACTACAACTCTGAGACAGATGCTATTATTATCATCATTTTACAGATGAGGAAATTGAGGTTCCATGAAGTTAAGTAACTTGCCCAAAGATGCTAAATGTGATGTATACATAGTAGTATGGATTTAAACCCAGGCAGACTGGGCTTATAATTTCCATGCTACTATAATACTCATGGCATCTATGTATACGGAGCAATAAATATGGAGATTTTCCTTACTTTATTGTATTCAATGACACTTTTGTATGTAGAATGTTCTTTGTAGACATTCTGGGCCTTTGCAAGTTGTCTCAATACCACATTGCCAAACCTTAGAGGCAGAGTCATGGATGTCTCCTAATTAAGTTATCTGAAGCCCACATCCTCTGCCTGTCTTCAGTTAGATGCCTAGTGTACTCATGGGAGGGGACAGATGACAAGAGTTTCAGGGCCAGGCTTTGATGTCTGCATCGTGCCATTTCCAGAAACCCAAGGTTTTCAGTCCTATCGGTTATGTGCTATTCCCTCTACCAAATTTATAATCTTAGGTATATTTATTGTATTTTTTAAAAGACTTCTCTCTTTGTAAGCATTATTTTTCTAGATTTGGCTTTTTTAGTTACGGTGTAACGTAAATTTTTAGTCTGAATCTGCTAAAGTTATGATGCTTGTGGATATCAATTATTTTGAGACCAAGTAAATCTCAATGACATTTGAATAAAATGTCCAGCATACCTTTGCACAGGCTTGTTTTGCTTGCAAACATTAAAGTAATTCTGGGGTGTTGCCTTGTGTTGAGATTTCTTGTGGGTAACAGTTAGGGGAGACCATCCCAAATTCCTGTGGGTAATCCCAAAGAGAGGCAGATCTAAAATCTTAATGAAGTTCTGAGTCTGTCTTCTACAAGGCTTCTTTCATGGTTTGGGGCCCTGCCCGTTGGCTGTTAGTAAGGGATATCCTGGGGGGTGCTAAATGTGACTTTAAAAAGACTGTTCTTTGTATGATAAATGATCTCTTAAAAAGAAAACTAGTCACTCCCTCCTGCCAGCCTCTAACCACTTCCTGTAAATGACAGCACACAGATCTTAGTTTCACCAAGTGAAAAAATTATTTTATTTTCATGAAAGCAGTTCCCCTCTGCTTCTTCCTTCCAACATACATATATATAATAAATATAAATATAAATATATACACACACACACACACAAGCTGCAGATAGGCAGGCTTTTTACCTGTAATATCAAGGTATAAAATGACATGTTTTTATGATCTTATGAGAATAAATTACTTTGGTTATCTTTCATTGTCTTCTCTAATAATAAATGTAGGTTCAGAACATATCTTGGTATTTGAGTACTTTGGATTTTTTCCCCCAAATTTCCTAGGTGTTTTTGAATGACACAAACATGGTATATGATTTTCTAATTACTGATGCCAGAAGCTCCTATAACAGCTTTATGATGGCTTCAGGTAGCAAATAGGGCAGGGAAATGGCTTTCACTTTGGGAAACGAAAATATGGTGAAGGTATTTGTAAGACTGTGAAAAGACGGTTGTGGTGGCTCATGCCTGTAATCCCAGCACTTTGGGAGGCAGAGGCGGGAGGGTCACTCTTAAGGCCAGGAGTTTGAGACCAGCCTGGACTACATAGTGAGACCCCATCTTCAAAAAAAATTAAAAAATTATAGCCAGCATGGTGATGCATGTTTATAGTCCCAGCTCCTCAGGAGGCTAAACCAGGAGGATTGCTTGAGCCTAGGAGTTCAAGGCTGTAGTGAGCTATGATCACACCACTGCATTCTGGCCTGGGCGACAGAGCGAGACCATGTTTCGAAAAAGATGGTTGAGAAATGGTGGACAGATGCCAAGTGGAGTGGCTCATGTCTATAATCCCTGCACTTTGGTAGGCTGAGGCAGGCAGATCACTTGAGCCCAGGAGTTCGAGACCAGCCTGGGAAACATGGCAAAACCCCATCTCTGCAAAAAACACAAAAATTAGCCAGACGTGGTGGCACATGCCTGTAGTCCCAGCTACTCGGGAGGCAGAGGTGGGAGGATTACTTGAGCCCGGTAGTTTGAGGCTGCAGCGAGCTATGATTGTGCCACTGCATTCCAGCTTGGACTACAGAGTAAGACCCTGTCTCAAGAAATGGTGATAGAAACAGCACTAGCAGGCTGGGCGCGGTGGCTCATGCCTATAATCCCAGCAGTTTGGGAGGCCCAGGCGGATGGATCACCTGAGGTCAGGAGTTGGAGACCAGCCTGGCCAACATGGTGAAACTCTGACTCTACTAAAAATACAAAAATTAGCTGGGCGTGCCGGGCGCGGTGGCTCACTCCTGTAATCCCAGCACTTTGGGAGGCTGAGGCGGGTGGATCATGAGGTCAGGAGTTCGAGACCAGCCTAACCAATGTGATGAAACCCCGTCTCTACTAAAAATACAAAAATTAGCCGGGTGTGGTGGTGTGTGCCTGTAATCCCAGCTACTCAGGAGGCTGAGGCAGGAGAATTGCTTGGAGCCGGGAGACGGAGGTTGCAGTGAGCTGAGATCACGCCATTGCACTCCAGCCTAGGCAACAGAGCAAGAGCGAAACTCCGTCTCAAAAAAAAAAAAAAAAAAATTAGCTGGGCGTGGTGGCACACACCTGTAGTCACAGCTACTGGGGAGGCTGAGGCAGGAGAATTGCTTGAACCCAGGAGATAGAGGTTGCAGAGATCGGAGCATCACTGCACTCTCCAGCCTAGGCAACAGAGCAAGACTCTGTCTCAAGAAAGAAATAAAAGGGAAGAAACAGCACTAGCAATTAATATATACTGTTGTTGAGATTCTTTTCTTAAAGCCAGGTGGAACTATTATATAAATAAGTCTTGTAACGAGGAAGTATAAACACCTCAAGTTGCTTACCCTAAAGTTAGTGTACTTATTTTGACAGAATTTTTTTCTTTTTTGAGATGGAGTCTCGCTCTGTCGCCCAGGCTGGAGTGCAGTGGCGCGATCTCGGCTCACTGCAAGCTCTGCCTACCAGGTTCACACCATTCTCCTGCCTCAGCCTCCCAAGTAGCTGGGACTACAGGCGCCCACCACCACGGCTGGCTAATTTTTTGTATTTTTAGTAGAGATGGGGTTTCACCGTGTTAGCCAGGATGGTCTCGATCTCCTGACCTCATGATCCGCCCGCCTCGGCCTCCCAAAGTGCTGGGATTACAGGCGTGAGCCACTGTGCCTGGCCTGTTGTGACAGAATTTTTTAACAAAGGGATAAAATATATTTATTTGGAATCAGGCATAATAAAAGTTCAGACATGGGCCAGACACAGTGGCTCACGCCTGTAATCCCAACATTTTGGGAGGCCTAGGCAGGAGGATTGCTTGATTCCATGAGTTTGAGACCAACCTGGGCTGTAACATAGTAAGATCCTGTCTCTACAGAAAAAAAGACAGAAAAAGCTCAGGTGTCAGCTCATCCTCTTTCTTGGATGACCTTGGCAAAATAACTTGAATTTCTGGAGCCTCAAGTGCTTGATTTATAAAATGGGGTAATAATATATAGTTCCCAGGGATATTACAGGGATCAAATGAAATAACAGATGTAAAGATGCTTTATAGTAGCTGCTTAATAAATTTTAGTTTCCCTTCCAAGCAAGTCCATCTTCTTCGACCATCACAGCCCAGGAGCTTCTTCACTTCTCCACAGCAAGGGGTGTGTCATAGTCATCTTGGTGTCCATGGTATCTGGCACAATGCTCTGCATCTTTTAATGAAATGAATGAAGTGCTTTGTTTCAGAAGAGAGGGAGCTCCAGCTTAGTCTCCACTGGACTATGTCATCAATTTTTCCTTTCTAATTCTTATTCCCTTCAGCAAACACTATTACATTTCACATATCAAGAATTCTCTATTGACCCTACATTGCTCTCTCTGCTCCTGTTTACAGCAAAGTTCCTTGAAGGAGTTGTTTTTCCCTGTCCTTGATTATTCTTCTCCCATTCATTAGTTCTTGAATCGCTCCAGTCAGGCTTTTTCTCTACCATGCCATCAAAACTGCACTTGTTAGAGTCACCAGTGACCTCCAGAATGCTAAATTCAATGGTCAGTTCTCAATCCTCAACTTGACATATTAATAGCTCTTGCATGGTTAATTGCTACTTTTTAGAACGCTTTCACCTGGCTTCTGGGATAGCTTACTCTTTTGGGTCTCCCTCTAATCCACTGAATCCTCTTTTTTAGCCCCTTTTGGTTGTTCTTGCTCTTCCCTAGATAATGTTGAAAGGCTTCCAGGACTTAGTCCTTGAACTTGATCTCTTCTCTATGTTTACTCACTAAATAATGCCATCTAGTCTCCTGGCTTTAAAATTCCAGCCTGGGCCAGGCACAGTGGCTCACACCTGTAATCCCAGCACTTTGGGAGGCCGAGGCAGGTGGATCACCTGAGATCAGGAGTTCGAGACCAGCCTGCCCAACATGGCAAAACCGTGTCTCTACTAAAAATACAAAAATTAGCCGGGCGTGGTGGTGGGCACCTGTAATCCCAGCTTCTTGGGAGGCTGAGGCAGGAGAATCACTTGAACCCGGTAGGTGGAGGTTGCAGTGAGCCAAGATAGTGCCACTGCACTGCAGCTTGGGTGACAGAGCTAGACTCCATCTCAGAGAAAAAAAAAAAAAGAAAAAAATTCCAGGCCAGGTCTCTCCCTGAACTCTAGATTCATATATTCAATTGTCTATTCAAAGTTCCACTTGAGGGGTGGGCATGGTGGCTCAAGCCTGTAATCCCAGCACTTTAGGAGGCCAAGGAAGGAGGATCACATGAGGCCAGGAGTTTGAGACCAGCCTGGGCAACATGGCGAAACCCGGTTTCTACCAAAAGAAACAACAAGGAAGTTTCACTTGAATGTCTTTAGGCATTTCAAACCTAATGTTATTCAAAAGGACATTTCTACCCTGCCCCCCCAAAAAACAGACAGCCACAGCCACCAATGAATCCCAAACCCTCTGCATCTCTGGTATCAGTCTTCCCCATCTCAGGAAATAGCAGTTCTATCCTTTCAATTTCTCAGGCCAACATTTTGGAGTTATTTTTTATTCTTTCCCTGCTCATTCCACAACCAATCTATAAGCAAATCCAGATGATTCCTTCTTTGTAATTACAGAATTTGAACACATCTTACCACCTCTGTGGCCACACTCTGGCTCTACCCATCATTTTGTAGCCACCAATTTTCACTTGAATTATTATACTGGCATTATAGCTGGTTTCCCTGTACCCACTCTTATCTCTCAGTAGTATGATCTCAACATAGGAACAAGAATGATCCTTTTTTTTTTGAGATAGAGTTTCGTTCTGTCACCCAGGCTGGAGTGGCGCGATTTTGGCTCACTGCAACCTCCGCCTCCTGGATTCAAGCGATTCTTCTGCCTCAGCCTCCTGAGTAGCTGGGACTACAGGCGCGTGCCACCACGCCCGGCTTATTTTTAGTATTTTTAGTAGAGACGGGGTTTCACTGTGTTAGTCAGGATGGTCTCGATCTCTTGACCTCATGATCCACCTGCCTCGGCCTCCCAAAGTGCTGGGATTACAGGCGTGATTCACCGCGCCAGGCTGAGCAATCCTTTTAAAACCTAAGTTAAATCGTGTTACTGTCTCACACAAAGCCCTCCAATGGCTTCCCGTTTCACCTAGAATAAAAGCCAAAGGCTTTACAATGATCTGTACAGCCATAGGTGATCTGACCTCGTCTCTGGCCTCCTCTTCTGATACTCTTTCCTTTCCTCTTTCAGGTCCAGCCATTCTAGGTTCTTTGGTGTTCCCTGAACATAAGAAACGTAATTCTGCCTCAGGGACTTTGCACTTGTTCTTTGGCTTATCCATTCTCCAGATAGCCACATGACTTGTTTGCTCATATTCTTTTTTTTTTTTTTTTTTTTTTTTTTTTTGAGATGCACTCTCACTCTGTCTCCCAGGCTGGAGTGCAGTGGCGCAATCTCGGCTCACTGCAAGCTCTGCCTCCCGGGTTCAAACCATTCTCCTGCCTCAGCCTCCCAAGTAGCTGGGATTACAGGCGACCATCACCACGCCCAGCTAAGTTTTTGTAATTTTAGTAGAGATGGGGTTTCACGGTGTTAGCCATGATGGTCTCAGTCTCCTGACCTCATGATCCACCCGCCTCCGCCTCCCAAAGTGCTGGGATTACAGGCGTGAGCCACCACGCCCGGCCTCATATTCTTTATCTGCTCAGATGTCACCTTATTAGACGAGCCTTCTCTGACCATCCTATATATAAAACCGTAAACTTGGCTAGGTGCTGGCCGGGCGCAGTGGCTCACACCTGTAATCCCAGCACTTTGGGAGGCCAAGGCAGTTGGATCACGAGGTCAGGAGTTCGAGACCAGCCTGGCCAATGCGGTGAAACCCCATCTCTACTAAAAATAGAAAAATTAGCTAGGTGTAGTGGCACGTGCCTGTAGTCCCAGCTGCTCAGGAGGCTGAGGCAGGAGAATCGCTTGAAGCCGGGAGGCACAGGTTGCAGTGAGCCAAGATCATGCCACTGCACTCCAGCCTGGGCAACAGAGCAAGACTCTGTCTCAAAAAAAAAAAAAGTAAACTATCCCCCATTGACATTGACACTCCATCTCCTCTTCGTCTCCTTTAGTATTCTCCATAGCATTTATGTGACAAGCTATGTATTTACCTGTTTATATTTCTTTTCTTTCTTCTCCTACTAGTATGTAAGTTCTGTGAGAGCAAGGTCTTTGTTTTGTTTACTGCTATTGTTTCTGGTACCTGGAACATGACCTGGCACATAATATGAAGTAAATATTTGATGAATGAAATGTAGGTTAGCACAAAATTGTAGATGATCCTATTGCCAGATTTAAAAGTTCCCATTGTATTAGTGGTCCCGTCAAGGCCCCTTTATTATTTTTCTGGGTAGTAGGTTATGCACATCTAAAACTCTTTCCTTTTGCTTCAACAAGCTCTAGAAAAAAGCAAAAGGAAAATAAATAAATAAATAAAGATTTCACATAGAAAAAAAAGTAAAACCCTTCCCTATTATTAGAAAAAAATAAACTTGACAGATATATAAAGCAATTTTCATTTTTTAAAGCTTGTGAGACTATAGCATCTTCATCTATATCATAGTGTAATAGGTACTTTAGAAGTAAGTAAACAGGGTCTCACTTTGTCTCAAATAAAAAGGCTGTAGTGCAGTGGCATGATCATGGCTTGCTGCAGCCTTGATTCCTGGGCTCAAGCCATCTTCCCACCTCAGCCTCCCCAGTAGCTGGGACTATACACACATACCATCTCATCTGGCTAAATTTTAAAATTTTTTTGTAGAAATGGGGTCCCACTGTGTTACTCAGTCTGGTCCTGAACTCCTGGGCTCAAGTGATCCTCCTGCCTCAGCCTCCTGAAGTGCAGGGATTACAAGCATGAGCCACTGCATCTGGCCTGATTTAGTGAGTTTGGACAAATGTATACAGTCATGGAACCACCACCACAATCAACAAAAGGAACATTTCCATCCTCTTACAGTTATTTTGTGATCCTTTTAGTCAATTTCCTTCCCTCATTCTCAGCCTCTTCCATTTCTAGTTGTATAGTTTTGCTTTTCTAGAAAGTTATATAAATGGAATCATATGGTATGTAGCCTTTTGTGTTTGGCTTTTTTTATGTAGCATAATAGTTTTGAGAATCATCTGTGTCGTCGTATGTATCAGTAGTTTTATTCTATTTTATTGCAGAATAGGTAGTCCATTATATGGATGCACAATTTGTTTATACATTTACCAGTTGATGGACATTTGGGTTGTTTCCAGTTTTTTATATTATGAATAATGCTGCTGCAAACATTCATATACAGGTCTTTGTGTGGATATACGTTTCTCTTTTTCTTGGATAGATACCTAGGAGTGAGATTGCTGGGTCCTCTGGTCTAAGGCCGGGCACAGTGGCACATGCCTGTAATCCCAGCACCTTTGGAGGCAGAGGCGGGAGGATTGCTTGAGGTCAGGAGTTCGAGACCAGCTTGGCCAACATGGTGAAACCCCATCTCTACTAAAAATATAAAAATTAGCTGGGTGCGGTGGCATCCACCTGTAATCCCAGCTACTCAGGAGGCTGAGGCAGGAGAATTGCTTCAACCCTAGAGGCGGAGGTTGCAGTGAACTGATATCGTGCCTTCCAAAGTGCTGGGATTACAGCCATGAACCACTGCGCCCAGCCAGACGGATTTTTTTAACCCTTGAGAAGTACCCCCTAAATGAGCAGTTTGCTCTCCTCGCTGATCTTCATCACACCTAGATGTCAGGTCTGCTTCATGGGAGCTTGCTCTGTATGTATCCTCCCTGGACTGATGTTCAGGCTCCTTGCTTCTCCTCCCGGGTTGTGGGTATGGAGGGTTTGCCCTCTGACAACTCCAGGGTACTTGTGGTGCTCATACATCCTCATGTACTTTGCTTTCTCCCCGCAAGAGGTTCCCTAATGCTTCTGTGACTTTTTTCTTCTGGCTACATCCTGAAGTCTGGCCTTGCAGGCAGGCTGGGAATGGAAAGTTAAGAGTGTGACGTCCTCTGACACCCTCCCTTCTTGTAGAAGGGTCTGAGGTTTGTTTATTTAAGCTGAGCAGAGGATGCCAAAGATAGAGGTTTGAGTCAGCTTGACACTGGCTTAGGCGCTCCTTTTCACTCTCCTTGTTCCTTCTTCCCTTTCCCCTCCCCCGCTGGCCAGTTGTTTCCTGGGCTTTGTCTGAGATACACTGTACAGTTTTAGTCCCAGTCTACTAGCGCCTGCTGAAAAACAGTCAGAAGTGAGATGGAGGAGAAGCTGCCAGGAAGTTTCTGACAACACTAAGCTCCGGCCTCTGCCTCTGCTGATAGTACAGGACAACAGTAACCTCAGGAGAAAGGCATCCAGAGGCCTGCGCTGAGCTTGTGGCTAACTCAAGGGAGGAGAAAGGACGGGCCTGGAAATGCCCCTCTTAGATTCATCTTATTTACCACCAACCATCTTTATTTTGACTCACGTTCTTGGAGTTGCTGGTGTTCTATACTGGAAGAGGCATGCCAGAGGTAGAGCAGGTAACTAACTGGTACCCAGTTATTCTTTAAATCTACTGTGGGGCTTTTGAGGGTGGGGTGAATGATGGAGGTCTTCCCAGTTGCTTTCCTTAAAGGGCCAGTACGTCCTTCAGCTGGGGTGCTGTCAGACTTAAGAGTGTGTGTGTGTGAGTATAATGAAGAAGCTGGTCTGCCCTGGGGCCACTTTGGGATGGGGGTGGTGCTCTTTTCTGTTCTGTGAGTCTGTCTGGAGAGTGCTGGTTAGATGAGGTGATGACTGGGCTCAAAACTGAAGGGAAGTGGCTGCTGTGCTGACTTAGTCTTTCCTCAGAGAACTGAGCTCTTTCTTTCTCAATCTCAGAGTGGTTTCTTGGAACCTTGTTTTTAACTGAAAACATACAGTAACTCTTTTACCCTCCTCCAGGTATAGATTTGGGTTGGAGAAGTTTCTGTTAACTTGGTGTGTTTTGGGGTGAGAAAAGGCAGAGGAGGAAGGGTCAGTCAGTGGAAGGGGTCGTGCGATGTCCTTGCCGAGGGGCATCCTGGAACACTGGGTGTCTGTGTTCTCTTTGATATCATTGATACTGTTCCTACACAGTTTGGCTATGTGTATCCAAATCATCTTGTTCAATGCAAGGAAGTTAATCCCTCTCTTCCCTAGGGAATCAGGCTTTGATAATTAAAAAAAAAATTTTTTTTTGTAATGGCACCAGAACCCTCATTCTTCCCATATTGCTATTAGTTATATTCTGTTGACTTCTAAACACTCAGAGCAGGGATCAGCCCTGAGTTTGGCTGATTCTGAGTCTCCATGGTTGAGGATTCATATGGTCTAACTTTTACTGGAGTGTATACCCTTGGGTCTCATTGCCTTCAGTACTCTCATTGTGATGGGCTCACTACCTTCAAACTTAGGTATGTAGACACTTTTTATAGTGTATCTTACAAGTTAAGGTGGGGATTTGATGGCTTATTATTTAGCTTTCTATTAAAAGTTCACAAACGCCTGACAGAATTAGAATTAGATTCAATCATTCCCCAGTGTCCTTTCCAGTACGTCCCAGAAAAGCTTTTGACTAAATATTCAGATCCTAGTGTGCATCTATAGCAGCGGAAACAAAGACAGACATTTTAGAAGTGTGTTTGATTGTGTGGTGGTGTTTTTAAAAAAGCCACCTCAAAGTGGCTTTCCTGTATTTGAACTTAGAAAGAAAGAGATAGGCAGGCTTAAGTTGTTTGGTCCTATTTACTATTTCACATGTAATGAGAAAATAAATACAATATCATTTAGGTAGAGGCTGCTGCTTTTCTTTCCTTGTGCATTATGGTAATGTCATTTTTAAACATTAAATAACTAATTAGTTGTTAATATTTTTAAAGTTTATCTTCAGTATAGGACTTTAATGGAACTTAAGAGCTATCACTGTATTTTAAGTGCTTTCTTTTTTATGTTTAGAAATGTTAATTTCATAAACAGCCATAAAGTAATTGAAATAAAAAGATACATTGTAAAAGCTTTTTATTTCTATGAAACAACTTTGATTCTAATACCAAATAGTTATATCGGGAATGTGCTACGTTTGCTTTATCTGTAAAATGAGAGATGTCATTTTTCAATTGGAGGCTATGGATTCCAAATCTTCCATGGAGTTACTTACGAGATTCTGTACCCATTTTATTATAATTGCAATTTTAAGATGCATTTCATTTATTTAAAAATGTATTTTTAAAAATAATATGTACACTCTAATTACCTGCCAGTTGGACATCACAGAATAAAGTTTTTCCACCATCTCTGTGTATATATTTGTACTATTAATAAATGTACACTTGATTAAAAACACAAAGATCGCTTCTTCTGATGTAGTCTTTTTTTTTTTTTTAATTGGAGTTACATACAGTATTGCAGAACAAACTATAGCACATAGGTCTTGTGCCTAATAATAGTAATAATAATGATTCAGGCAGAGCTCAGTTGTATGAGCTCAGGTGTTAACTGAACTATTATAATAGTGAAGTGGGTAATTAATTCATCTCTATGTAGTAATACTGTATTACTGGTTTAGTATGTGTACCAGAAGTTTCTGTTCTTTTGTCTCACTTTTCTATTTGTGTTTACATATTATGAGGAATGTTCATAGTTGTTTTTTTCTTTCTTTCTTTCTTTCTTTCTTTTTTTTTTTTGGAGACGGAGTTTTGCTCTTGTTATCCAGGCTGGAGTACAATGGAGCACAATCCTGGCTCACCGCAAGCTCCGCCTCCCGGGTTCAAGTGATTCTCCTGCCTCAGTCTCCTGAGTAGCTGGTAATACAGGCATGTGCCACCACAGCCGGCTGATTTTGTATTTTTAGTAGAGACGGGGTTTCTCCATGTTGGTCAGGCTGGTCTCGAACTCCTGACCTCAGGTGATCCACCTGCCTCGGCCTCCCAAAGTGCTGGGATTATAGGTGTGAGCCACCGTGCCTGGCTGAAGAATGTTCATAGTTTTAAACACTGAAGGTAACTGGCTTTGAAACAAATATTTGTGCTATTCTTTCAGGCTCTCGTCTCAATTTATTTGAATAATGTCCTGAGATTATTAGGCAAACAGTGAAGCTGTTATTATTTGTTTCTATTTATTTGTGTGAATCAGTTCTTAAAAATTGATTCTTGTCTACGGCCATACCACCCCAAACATGCCCAATATCATCTAAAAATTGATTCTCTGCAATAAAACACAACATAGAAATAAACCAGATGCTGGCTGGGCGTGGTGGCTCACACCTGTAATTCCAGCACTTTGGGAGGCTGAGGCAGGTGGATCACCTGAGGTCAGGAATTCGAGACCAGCCTGGTCAACATGGTGAAACCCCATCTCTACTAAAAATACAAAAATTAGCTGGTGTGATGGCAGGTGCCTGTAATCCCAGCTACTCGGGAGGCTGAGGCAGGAGAACAGCTTGAACTCAGGAGGTGGAGGTTGCAGTGAGCTGCGATCACACCACTGTATTCCAGCCTGGGCAGCAGAATGAGAGTCCGTCTCAAAAAAAAAAAAAAAGAAAAGAAATATAAAAGGGTTTTTTTTTTTTAATTAAATCTACTCCGTTCCTGTTTCACTGGTTTTATTTCCTATCTTGGCCTTATAAGCATCCAGGACTCCAGCATCTTTTAAAAACTCACAGCTCTACTAATGGATGCTTGTCCTTTAGGGTAAGTAGTTAACTGCCTCTGGAAAGCCTTCCTTGACTGAAATACGAGTTCCTATTCTGTGCTGCAGTAGCACCCTGTTAACACTACTTATTCAAACCTGTATTGTCATCTTACTTAACTTGCCCTTCTCTCCTTACTAATTAAAAACAGGGACTCTTTTTTTTTTCTTTCTGAAACCGAGTCTCACTTTGTCACCCAGGCTGGAGTACAGTGGTACGATGTTGGTTCACTGCAAATTCTGCCATCCGGGTTCAAGCGATTCTCATGACTCAACCTCCCGAGTAGCTGAGACTACAGGCGCCTGCCACCACGCCTGACTAATTTTTTATTTATTTATTTTTTTGAGACAGAGTCTTGCCCTGTCGCCCAGGCTGGCGTGCAGTGGTGCAATCTCAGCTCACTGCAACCCCCGCCTCCCGGGTTCAAGCGATTCTCCTGCCTCAGCCTCCTGAGTAGCTGGGATTACAGGCGCACGCCACCACACCCTGCTAATTTTTGTATTTTTAGTAGAGACGGGGTTTCATCATGTTGGTCAGGCTGGTCTCGAACTCTTGACCTTGTAATCTGCCCACTTCTACCTTCCAAAGTGCTGGGATTACAGGCGAAAACAGGGACTATTACTCATCTCAGTATCTGCAGTGTCTGAGGCAAAACAGATGTCAGTAAATATGGCCGTGCGCAGTGGCTCACACCTGTAATCCCAGCACTTTGGGAGGCTGAGGCGGGTGGATCACCTGAGGTCAGGAGTTCGAGACCAGCCTGACCAACATGGAGAAACCCTGTCTCTACTAAAAAATACAAAATTAGCAGGATGTAGTGGCACATACCTGTAATCCCAGCTACTGGGGAGGCGGAGGTTGCAGTGAGCCGAGATCTCACCATTCCACTCCAGCCTGGGCAACAAGAGTGAAACTCCATCTAAAAAAAAAAAAAATCAGTAAATATTAACTTGAATAAAAAATTAAAGATGGCACTAGCTGTAAACTGTAGCAGGAACCATGCCCTGTTCATTTGTCTATTAAGAGGGTTTGGTTGAGTTTAATGTGTGATCTAAGGTAGGATGCTCAGTATAGGTTAATTAGATGATACAGAGTTGCCCTGTGTTTTATTTTATTAAATCTCACATTGTGATAGTGTAAACAGGAAAAGAGCTTTATGGTTTTTTTCCTCTCTAGGGTCTTGTTTTCCTTACCTGTAAAGTGAAGGAGTTGGATAATATGATCTTTTAAAGTTCTCTCCGTTTTCAGCATCCCACTAGGAGGAACAGCCATAATCCCTGGATCCAAACTATATGAAATACAGTCTAAGATTGTATTCCATCACCTCCCCATCCTGGGTTTTTTTTTATTTAAAGCAGTTCCCTTTATCATACTATTGGGTTATATTAAACCTAAGATCAATTATAAAATGGCCAAACCTTGTACATGAATTGTTGTTGTCTCCCTTCTAGTCGCTGCTATGCCCTTGGTTTTCTTGAACTTCAGCATAAGACTTATAGGTATCCTAGAGCCAGGCATGGTGGTTCACGCCTGTAATCCTAGCACTTTGGGAGGTCAAGGCATGGGGATCACTTGAGGTCAGGAATTTGAGACCAGCTTGGCCAACATGGTGAAACCCCATCTCTACCAAAAAATAAAAAAATTAGCTGGGTGTGGTGGTGTGCGCCTGTAATCCCAGCTACTTGGGAGGCTGAGGTGGGAGAATCACTTGAACCCAGGAGGCAGAGGTTGCAGTGAGCCAAGATTGCACCCCTGCATTCCAGCCTGGGCAACAGAGTGAGACTCCATCTCAGGAGAAAAAAAAAAAAAAGACTTACAGGTATTCTAGTTAAATTTTGTCCTGTGAGATTTGGTGCAGGCTTCTAACCTTTTGAGATTTCTTTGAGCTTTAATTCTTCCATTTATGGCAATAACTGTGTGTCCTCCATTTGTGTCATCTACAAACTAGTTAAGTGCATAAAAGGAACTCAGATATTTGAATAAATGGTCATATATCTAACATATCTTTGCTCAAATAGCTAAAGCATTAGAATGTTTAATCAAGGTAGAGTCTTTGTCTTTTCCATTCCTTTCCTTTTTTTAAAAAAAAAAAAGAGACGAGGTTTTGCTATGTTGCCCATCCTGAACTTGAATTTCAAGCCTCCTCCCACCTTAGCCTCCCAAGTAGCTGGGACTATAGGCACCCTCTACCATGCCTGGCTCTTTTTCTTTCCTTTGCATTTTTTTTTTCTTAAAGATTTGTATGGTGTAGTAGAAAAACCACTTAACTTGGAATCAGAAGATCTAGGCTCTAAGCTCTTGCTCTTCTGCTTACATGTTGGACTGGTCACTTACTTCCTCTGGTCTTCAAATTTCTAGGCTGTTTGAGAAGAAAAAAGACTAAGGTCTCTAACTTTCTGTGATTCTGATTCAGTTCGATCATCTGGCCTGTTCTTGGAAGTCATATGGAATTGTGGTTGAGAGCAGGTTGAGAGTCTGGAGTCAGATTGCCTATGTTTTTATCCTAGTTCTGCCACTACTGGCTGAGTGACATTAGTTTATCTGGGCCTCTGTTTTCCTCATCTGCAAAATGGGTTTAATTATGCTGCTTGGTTGTTTTGACTTAGTTGTTTTCCCCTCTCTCCCTCCCTCCCTCCCTCTCTCTTTCCCTTCTTTCCCTCCTTCCCTCCCTCCCTCGCTCCCTTTTTTGATGGAGTCTTGCTTTGTCGCCCAGGCTGGAGTGCAGTGGCATAATCTCAGCTCACTGCAACCTCTGCCTCCTGGGTTCAAGTGATTCTCCTGCCTCAGCCTCCCGAGTAGCTGGGATTACAGGTGTCTGCCACCACACCCAGTTTAATTTTTGTATTTTTAGTAGAAGTGGGGTTTTACCATGTTGGCCAGGCTGAACTTGAACTCCTGACCTCAAGTGATCCGTCCATCTTGGCCTCTCAGAGTTCTGGGATTACATGCATGAGCCACCACGCCCAGCCTTGACTTAGTTCTTAGAACACATTCTGCATGTGGTAAGGAATATGTGATTATTTACCATCATTATTAGAATTTTTTCACATAAGATAACATTGAAGACATAGTGCTTTCCTGTGAACTGTTGGGATGAAACAGTAATTGTCCTTATTTTTTAATTTTTTAAATTTAAAAAAAATTTCATATATAGAGACCGGGTTTCTCCATGTTGCCCATGCTGGTCTCGAACTCCTGGACTCAAGCAATCCTCCACGTCGGCCTCCCAAAGTGCTGGGATTACAGGCTTGAGCCACCGGCACCCGGCCTGTCTTTATAGTTAGTAATTAAGAAATGTGACATGCCGGGCATGGTGGCTCACGCCTGTAATCCTGACATTTTGGGAGGCTGAGGTGGGTGGATCATGAGGTCAGGAGCTCAAAACCAGCCTGGCCAAGATGGTAAAACCCTGTCTCTACTAAAAATACAAAAATTAGCCAGGTGCTGTGGTGGGCGCCTGTAATCCCAGCTACTTGGGAAGTGGAGGCAGGAGAATCGCTTGAACCCGAGAGGCAGAGGTTGCAGCGAGCCGAGATCAAGCCACTGCACTCTAGCCTGGGCAACAGAGCAAGACTCTGTCTCAAAAAAAAGAAATGTGACAGAACCCAATACAGAGGTATATAAAAAGTAGGTGATATATTATGATCACTGTTTTATACGTTAAGAAAGATGTTTGTGTCTTTTATATCCTTAATAGTGGGTGATTTTGGCATTTTAGGAAAGACATTAAGTATATACCTTCAATTTTCTTTGTTTCTGTAAGAAAGCCAGTAGCTGTCAATTCTCAGATAACTTCTGACCACATGTGGAAATACTGGCCTGAACCTCTTCCCTCCACTCACCCTTTTCAAGATCTGCAGGTAGCAGCCAGACTTAAACTTTTTCCTACCTTTAACAGGAAATGACAAAAGTTGGGAAAAAAAGAAGGGGAATGGCTCGGATGACTCTACTGGCCCATCTCCTCTGGATAGTTAAGAGCTGACTGTCCTAATCAAAGTCCTCTCCTCCATTGCAGCAGAACTTGCCTCTTTTTGAGGCTCAGGACCTCTTGGGAACTTGAAGGGAAGGCCTGTCTCCTGTAGGTAGACTGACCTTGTCCCCAAGACTCTACCCTACTTTTCTCAGTCTGCAGTGCCGTT
The DNA here is from genome assembly GCF_000001405.40 of Homo sapiens. NCBI lineage: Eukaryota > Metazoa > Chordata > Mammalia > Primates > Hominidae > Homo > Homo sapiens. Next base: position 39,212,438 of record NC_000001.11, read on the forward strand.
AGGAGAAATAGGTTCTGCTTGAGTGCCAGGGAATTTAGGAGATGGCAGATTTTGGTTCACTTTCCTCCAACTTCACCCAGTAATTATTATTTTGATTTTTAGAGACTGTGAATTCAGTATTTCTAGAAGTTGCCACATGTGTTCATTTTGGATGTGTCCTAAATCTCTGGTCAACCAGTTAAGTATTTTTTATTTTTTATTTTGAGACATAGTCTCATTCTGTCGCCCCGGCTGGAGTGCAGTGGCGCAATCTCGGCTCACAGCAACCTCTGCCTCTGGAGTTCAAGTGATTCTCGTGCCTCAGCCTCCCAGGTATCTGGAATTACAGGCATGTGCCGCCATGCCCGGCTAATTTTTGTATTTTTTTAGTAGAGGTGGGGTTTCGCCATGTTGGCCAGGGTGGTCTCTAACTCCTTACCTCAAGTGATCTGCCCACCTTGGCCTCCCAAAAGTGCTGGCATTATAGGCGTAAGCCACTGTGCCTGGCCGAGTTAAATGTTTTTATTTGTTACCCTTCCCAAGAATATTTCACCTTCTTACATATACAACTCCTATGCCTTTGTTTGTTTATTCTGGTTTAGGTCCTTCTCAGAGACAGCAGGGTATAACAGGGAGCACAGCTTTGGAGCTGGACAAATGGACATGTAATCTTGGTCAAGTTATTTAACCTTTTAAAGTCCTAGAATTTTTATCTCTAAAATGGAAATGATAATATCTTTCTTGGAGAATTGTTGGGATTAAATGAAATGATATTTAAAGTTTTTAGCACATTAACTGTGAACTAACAGTTATAGTAAATGTTCAGTTAATTTTAGCTTAGGTTATTGAGTACCTTCTAAATGTGATAGAGATGGGGTTATGGAGACAAAAGAGTCCCTACACTCAGATAATTTATTTTTTTATTTTTTATTTTTGAGAGAGTCTCGCTCTGTGGCCCAGGCTGGAGTGCAGTGGCACAATCTCGGCTCACTGCAACTTCTACCTCCCGGGTTCAAGCAGTTCTCCTGCCTCAGCCTCTCAAGTAGCTGGGATTACAGGCATGTGCCACCACGCCCAGCTAATTTTTTTTGTATTTTAGTTAGAGTCGGGGTTTTACCGTGTTGGCCCCAGGGTGGTCTCGAACTCCTGAGCTCAGGCAGTTTACCCGCCTTGGCCTCCTAAAGTGCTAGGATTACAGGCGTGAGCCACTGCACTCAGTCTCACTCAGGGAATTTAAATCTGATAAAGGAAGAGGTTACTAGATATGAGTCAGGAAATGTTCATTCCTTTTTTTCTCTCTTCCCTATTTCTTATGCATTCCTTTTCCCAGTACGAGGCAAATTCTAGGAGGACCCTTCATCTCCAAGGCTAAAAAGAGTCTTATAAGAGGGACAAACTGAGTACAGTTGTCACAGGTTATCAGGGTGACTGAGAGCTTAGTCTAGGCGGGATAAAGTCAGCTGTGAGAACCTTTATTAGTAAGCAGTAACAGGATTATTAGCAGTTTGTAGGTGGGAGGGATACCCACTTGGGAGTGAAGTTGTCAAGCAACTGAGGCAGGTCATAGGGCTTGTTTAAACTGAATGGTCTGCTAGGAAAGCTTGCATTTACTTTTTTTCATTTGTAGTCGTTTGGGCTAATCTCTGGAAACTTGCTTTCCTAGGTGCTGCCCCTCCTCCCTCCCTGCCTTCAGGAACAGGATTGAAAGCAGCATTAGCCTGAAGAAGTCGTTCTATTTAGGGAGCTAGAGCAGAGGGCCAGTGATTAGGCCCTTATCTGCAGCGGGGCCTTTTTGAGTGGTGTGGGGCAGGGCTGCAGTGTCTGTCCTGACACCCACAGAGGCTGGACTTTTCTGTCCCCTGGTTGGGTTAGAACTGTGAAGAACCAATAGAAGGGCTGGGCCAGCTGAATGAAAAAGCCCTTCATTGTGTTTCTTCAACATTCCAGTGTCTGGTACAATTAGCCAAGACTCGGAAAACAAGTTGGACAAACAAGCAGGCAGCCTTCTACTGATGGATGAAAGGATTTCTGGCACAGCTGAGTTAAGTGCACTGACTGTAAAGACAGAGTAGGAGGATCTGGGAAGAAGAAGGGGACTTTGGAATGCCATTCCTGGCTGTGAGGGGAAAGAATGGAGCAACAAGCAAACGGTATTTTTGAAGCTGATAAAATTTGCTGTGATAATCTACCTGGGAGGCTGGCTGAGGCGAGGCTGGCTGAGGTGGGGCTACTCTGTAAAGTAGGTGGAATCACTGGGGAGTTACTGACTCTTCCCTTTTGGCAGCTGTAAGTGCGGGGAAGGGAAACTTTCTTTGGAATCTAGGGATCTGTTCACAGTGGACGGTGAGTGTATGAGCTTGCTCCATTATAGTCTCTCCCATCATGAGACCTTCTCATTTGGTTAACACTATATGTACTTCTGCCTGAGAAGAGGCACACCTGAGGAGCAAGTTGTTGGGCAATGGATGCACTGTTCCTGACTTGGCAGTAAACCACTTAGCTCACCAGCTCTCCTGCAACTAAGATTCACCACATTACAAGCTTCTGCTCTGCAAATGGAGGGTAACTCAAAGACCAGTTTCTTCCTACTCAGGTTTACTCACTTCATACCTTGACTGGACTTTTGCATATGGAGCTCTCCCCTCTGTACGCTCTATTGGTCTGGAAACACAGAGTTGGTGCTACTTTTGAACAGCATGCAGCATGCTATATGCCTGAGACATGGACCCAGTTTTTGGAAGTGCCCTAGGGAGGAGCTTCCTCTCTGACCTCAAGGGAAGAAGGAGGTCAGTAGGAAGTGGTGGGTGGAGCCACTTCTCTGTTCTGCTGTCTCCTCTCTACACCTCACAGCCCTTTTTGAGGAGCTGCGAAGGGTGCACAGGCCAGTAGCTGGAGGTTCTTTGGTACCCCCTCCTTTTAGGTGGGGTCAGCAGACACAGGGGCGCCATGTGGCCGAGTTACCAAGATGAACACGAGTTCAACGCCCACCTGGTTTGTCGCATGTGCTGTATGGGTTAGTATGTGAAGTTTTTTTTTTTTTTGCTTGTCCGGGCCTGAGGATCCCAAATAGCCCTTGCTCTCATTGACTCATAGGAATGCATGGACTTCGAAGCCTTGTGGTGTTACAACCTTTAGGCTTGTTAAAATGTGCAGTGGAATAGATTGGGGTGCCCTACTTCCTGGGGAACTTCTTAAGCTTGCAGTAACTGGCAGTTAAGAGCCCAAGCTTTGGGTGTAGAACTTTTTTTATAGAGACTGAATTCATGCTCATGCTTCTGCCTGTATCAGGAAACCACTTTTAAGGTATGTTGCATAGTGCTGAAAGTCCAGAGTGTATTTTTAGCAGAAGTTGGTTGGTTACGGAGTCCACCTCTGAGCAGACTGGCGGGAGGATGGGGGGTGGGAGGGAGGAGTCATGGCCTATGTTTCCTCTTTGGGGCTTATTGCTAGTTCTTTTACACTTTACTCTGCCAGCTGTGACAGAGAGAGAAAAAGACTCAAAGATGATCTGGGGTCAGGGACCTAAATAAGAGAGGCTAGGGGAAGAGTCATGTTAGCTGTGACTTAGATCTCTCTTGATAAGGCATCATTAAATAATGATTATTTAAGTAATGTCCTGTGGCCTTGAACAAGTGACTTAACCTTTTTGGCCGTAGGTTTCCTTGGTTTCAAAATTGTAGGGTATACAGACTGGTGCTAGACTGAGAGACATCAATTCTCTGTAAAATGAAAAAAGATAAAGAAAATGTAGTGTGTCTTTCATAAAGCTAAACTTAAAGAATTGTCTTTTATTCTGAAATTGTCTCTCCTACTTTCTAATGTTAAAATATCCTTTATTTTATGAAAGAATTGTTATTATATGGTAGTGTGTTTTTAAGATATCCCTACTTAGCAAAATGAAAAGTGACAACTTCTGTTAGGCTTTCTGATTTATTGTGGAACATGTATTTGTCTATGAAATCTTAGTTTGGGAACCACTGGTTTGGTAATCTACTATCTTTTGATTTTATACTTTGAGTCTCTAACAAGGAGCAAAATTGTGACCCAAATAGGCAGATTTTCATTAAAATTGAAGTAACTAGTTGTTTGATGAAGAGGAGACCTTAGAAAAATCTCAGAGAAGGAGAGCAACAGAACTAGGGTTCTGATCAGTCTCCTGACTCCTAGGCTAGTGCTTGCAAGTATTTAGGTGCTTTTTGAGGAAAAAAAGCTGCCATAGCAATAATGCTTGGGGCACAGAGGGGGCAATTTTAGTGGTCTACTTTTTTTTTTTATCTTTCCTGTATCATTGAGATTTCTTCCCTGGAACCTAGAAGAAAGAATTGCCTATATCTAAAAGTGCTTGGAGATAAACGTATAGCAAAAGGGCCTTTCCTGTAACCAACAAAGAAGTATAGGAAAGTCTAAAATCTTTATTGAAAGTTTCAGGGCAAAAACGTAATGTAGCCCCATCTCCCCCAATCCCACATAATCCCCTAAAGGCACTGTAGACTAATAGCTAAGAAAATGGGCTTGGCATCAACTGTCTACACGGGGTTCCTACTCCACCACTTAACAACAAAACCAACTGGGGACATTGCTTAACCTTTCTCTAGCTCGGTTACCTCATTTTTTATTTTTCTTTTTTTCATATCACCGTAAAATAAAATCACTTGTATAGGGAGAATGAATGAAGATTAGCAGTGGATTTTCATGTTATATACTTTTCACATTATATTACTACTGTAACTACCAGCTAGCATTTATTAACTTATTATGTGTGAGAGACTAGGCTAAGTGCTTTCATATCATATACTCCTCACAATCACTTCATGATTTAGGGTCTATTTTATTTTATTTTATTTTATTTTATTTTATTTTATTTTATTTTATTTTAGAGACGGAGTCTTACTCTGTTGCTCAGGCTGGAGTGCAGTGGTATGATCTTGGCTCACTGCAGCCTCCACCTCAGGGGCTCAAACGATTCTCCTGCCTCAGCCTTCCAAGTAGCTGGAATTACAGGCACGCATCACCACACCTGGCTAATTTTTGTATTTTTGGTAGAGATGGGGTTTCGCCATGTTGCCTTGGCTGGTCTTGAGTTCCTGACCTCAAGTGATCCCTCTCAAAAAAATAAAAATAAATAAAATTACTATTCAAACCTCATTGCTTAAAAAAGGGATTAAAACAGACTCTAAATCAGCCGGGTGTGGTGGCTCATGCCTATAATCGCAGCACTTTGGGAGGCCAAGGAGGGCGGATCAGTTGAGGTCAAGAGTTCAAGACCAGCCTGAGCAATATGGTGAAACCCCATCTCTACCAAAAATACAAGTTAGCAGGGTGTGGTGGCGTGCGCCTATAGTCCCAGCTACTGGGGGTGGGGTTGGGGGCGCGGCTGAGGAGGGAAGATCGCTTGAGCCTGGGAGGCAGAGATTTCAGTGAGCCGGGATCCACTCCAGCCTGGGTGATAGAGCAAGACCCTGTCTCAAAAAAAAAAAAAAAAAGAGGTCGGTCACAGTGGCTCATGCCTGTAATCCCAGCACTTTGGGAGGCCGAGGCGGGCGGATCACGAGGTCAGGAGATCGAGACCATCCTGGCTGACACGGTGAAACCCTGTCTGTACTAAAAATACAAAAAATTAGCTGGGCATGGTGGCGGGTGCTTGTAGTCCTAGCTACTCGGGAGGCTGAGGCAGGAGAATGGCGTAAACCCAGGAGGTGGAGGTTGCAGTGAGCCGAGATCACACCAGTGCACTCCAGCCTGGGCGACAGAGCGAGACTCCGTCTCAAAAAAAAAAAAAAAAAAAAAAGCTTCCCAGATGATTTTGAGATGGCTGGTTTACAGACTGATATTTAGGAACTATTGGCCTAACTCCTCATTTTATTTGCAGAGTTGGAGATAAAAATAAAATTTTAAAAATAACAAAGGACAAATGCCTAATTTTATAGATGAAACTCAGGCTCAAAGAAGGGAAATGAATGTCATGCAAAGGTATGAACCATAGACTAGACACCAGGAAATCCAAGTTATAGACCTAGTTCTGCCCCTGTGTGACCTTGTCTAAATTATTTAATCTCTCTGGGCCTTGGTTTCTTCATCTTTAAGATGATTTTTGAGGACTCTTAAAACTCTCTCTTTGTATTTATGAAATGCTTCGTTTTTCTGACTGTGATATTCCCGTGAATTCTCTAAGAACTATTGAGCTTTTCTTCCTCTTGTGTTCTTATATGTGCCTCCCTCTCACTGTGGCTCTCTTCTTTTGTTACCGTGCTTACCCCTGGATTTCTTTATCTTACTTCTTTCCTTTATTCTGTGATTCTTAATAGTCCAAAGAATTATCATTATAATATTAGGTTTTCCTAAGAAATAAGGTAAATTTTTGTTTTGTTTTGTTTTTTGAGACAGAGTCCTGCTTTGCTCTGTTGTCCAGGCTGGAGTGCAATGGGGCGATCTCGGCTCACTGCAACCTCTGCTTCCCAGGTCCAAGTGATTCTCCTGCCTCAGCCTCCCAAGTAGCTGGGATTACAGGCGTGTGCCACCACACCTGGCTGATTTTTGTACTTTTAGTGGAGACGGGGTTTCACCATGTTGGCCAGGTTGGTCTCGAGCTCCTGACCTCAAGTGATCCACCCATCTCAGCCTCCCAAAGTGCTGGGATTACAGGCATGAGCCATCACACCCGGCAGAAATAAGGTAGAATTTTAATTTTGCATTGAAGCTTCTACAGTTGTCACTTCCTTAAAACCCCAAATCTCAATCCTCATTGGTACTTTCTCAGCCTACACCAGTCATTGGTGATAAATGCCTTTCATGAATCCCTATTATAGTTAGTACTTTTCCTTTAACTTGATTATATAGGACTGCATTGTATTGTCTTCTAATAAATTTATGGAGGTTAAAAGTCTATGATCTGACAGACTTGGATTTGAATCTCAATTCTGCTGTATACTGCGTGACTTTGGGAAGATTACTAACAAGTCTTTCTGAGCATGAATTTGCTGAACCATGAATAAGCATACTTGAGAGAGTTGTGAGGATTGTCAAATACTAAATGAGATAAGCCTCAAACAGCACCTGATACATAATAAACACAATAAATATCGAGCTCCACCTTATCTCCCAAAGTAGACTTTTGTAGCCTTCTGAGGATAGCAATCATTTATAATGTTTGTGCCATTATACATTATTGCTGAACACATTTTAATTGCTTGACCTCCAATTTCACCAATTTCCTTTGCGCTTACATTGGGAACATTAAGTGGTTCAAAATCCCCAGGATCAAGATGTGGCAAGGAGAATTTAGGAAAGCTGAATCTGTAGAGGGAATATCTGAGTGGGAGTACCTGCTCCCTGCTGAAAAGCAGTCTTTTTTTGAGATGGAGTCTCACTCTGTCACCCAGGCTGGATTGCAGTGGTGCCATCTCAGCTCACTGCAACCTCTGCCGCCCGGGTCCAAGCAGTTTTCCTGCCTCAGCCTCCCGAGTAGCTGGGATTACAGGCTTGTGCCACCACTCCCAGCTCATTTTTGTATTTTTAGTAGAGACGGGGTTTTGCCATGTTGGCCAGGCTAGTCTCGAACTCCTGACCTCAGGTGATCTGCCCACCTCAGCCTCCCAAAGTGCTGGGATGGCAGGCGTGAGAGCCACAGTGCCTGGCCTGAAAATACCATCTTAATGTGTCTTGTAGCTATAACCTTGACACCTAGAGGACTGTGATTATATATTTGTTAAATGAATATTTTTCAATACCTATGGTTGTCCTAAATGTTGGATATTTAATGAAAAAAAAATTTTTTTTTGAGATGGAGTCTTGCTCTATTGCCCAGGCTGGAGTGCAGTGGCACAATCTCAGCTCGCAACCTCTGCCTCCCAGGTTCAAGCCATTTTCCTACCTCAGCCTCCTGAGTAGCTGGGATTACAGGAGCGCACCACCTTGCCTGGCTAATTTTTGTATTTTTAGTAGAGATGGGGTTTCACCATATTGGCCAGGCTGGTCTCGAACTCCTGACCTCAAGTGATCTGCCCACCTCAGCCTCCCAAAATGCTGGGATTACAGGTGTGAGCCACTGCTTCTGGCCTTTAATGAATTTTTTTTTTTTTTTTTTTAAGACAGAATCTTACTCTGCCACCCAGGCGGGAGTGCAGTGGCGCAATCTCAGCTCACTGCAGCCTCTGCCTCCCGAGTTCAAGCGATTCTCCTGCGTCAGCCTCCCGAGTAGCTGGGATTACATGCGTGCACCACCACACCTGGCTAATTTTTGTCTTTTTTTGGGTAGAGTCGAGGTTCCCCATATTGGCCAGGCTGGTCTTGAACTCCGGACCTCAAGTGATCCACCCACCTCGGCCTCCCAAAGTTCTGGGATTACAGGTGTGAGCCACTGCCCCTGGCTGGCCTTTAATGAAGTTTAAAGCATGGATCTTGACTTGAAAGAGCTCAATTCAGATACAGAAATGGACTTAGATACAGAGCTTTCTAATGATAGGTTTTATATGCTTAGTGCTAAGTAAATTGAAGAAACTTTAAAGTGCCATAGGCATCCAAAGGTGGCTGACATGTCCGGAAAGGTGTAACAGAAGCAAGACTTCAGCTGGACTTTGAAAGGAGGTTCTAAGTTAGACAAGCCCCAAGAGAAGAGGGTAGATATTCCAGTTGGGGGAAAGGTTGCTCCTAGTAGAGTAGGACAGATGCGAAAGGTATGTTTGGAAACAGTAAGAAGATCGGAATGGTTGCAGTTGAGTCATGCAGGGGAGAGTGAAAGGTAGATAGATTGTAAATTTCTTCAGGTCAGAGACCAGTTCTTTATCTTCTTGAACCACCGAAAACGTAGTGAATAAAAACTGCAATTGAATTTTATAGGGTTGTAGAGAGCTTTGAATTCTAAAACTAAAGTGATCAAATCCGTAAAGGATTTTGAATAGAGAGAGAGGTGATGTGGGCTAAGTGGTGATTAGGAAGATTTGTCGAAATAGGCTGTTTGCTCTCTATTTGCCACAGCTATCAATTTTTAACTCCAATTCCTTATCTTCAGTTCTGACTGCTCTTCTGAACTCTAGACCAAAGATTCCAACTGTCTGTGAGAAGATCCTCCTAACACCTCACTCTTTGTCTTCTCCTTTACCCAATGTACCCTCACCAAATCGGTAACCTCTTTCTGTTTTCATTATCTTGAAGTTCTACTCTCCTCCCAGTTGCTGTGGCTAGAAGCATGAGAATTGTCTTGAACTCTGCCATTCCTTACCCGCCACCACATCTAAAGGCTATTTAAAAGGCTATTTAAAATAGCTAAAGGCTATTGTTTCTACCTCTACATTGCATGACAACGTAGAGGTACCTGCCCTCTTCTTTACTTTCCTGCTGCCTCTGCCCTAATTCATGCTATTTCAAGATGTTTCTCCTGGTCTGTCACTGGAGACTTCTAACTGGTTCTTCTGCCTCTTAGTGTCTTTCTGGTATAATGTGGCCTTCAGTCCAAAGCCAGATTAGTCTTCCCAAAACATACTGTGGGTCAGAAAATTTCAGTGGTTCTGCTTTGTCTACTTAATTAAGTACGTACTCCTTACTCTAGCTTTCTGGGTCCTTTGTGATGTCAGCTAGCTGTTCTGTTAGCCTGGTTGCTCATCACACTGCTAACTGCATGGTATGGTCATGCATGTAATAGCCATACTGTTCCCTAAAACACATCCTGTATACTTACATGTCTCCAAATCACTACTTGTGCTTTGTAAATTAAAAAAAAAAAATTTCTTTTTGAGACAGGGTCTTGCTGTCACCCAGGCTGGAGGGCAGTGACACAATCTTGGCTCACTGCAACCTCTGCCTCCTGGGCTCAAGTGACCCTCCCACCTCAGCCACCCAAGTAGCTGGGACCACAGGCGCAAGCCACCATGCCTGGCTTATTTTTGTATTTTTTGTAGAGACAGAGTTTTGTCATATTGCCCAGGCTGGTCTTGAACTCCTGAGCTCAAGTGATCCACACACCTTAACCTCTGAAAGTGCAGGGATTATAGGCATGAGCCACCATGCCCAGCCTACTTGTGCTTTTTTTAAGTTTGGAATCCTTTGACTCCTTTTTGGGCTGCCAGAATCCTACTCGTTATCCAAGGTTTAGTTCAGACACCGTTCACTTCGTAGCCTTTTGTCTAAGATCAGGTATAGTTCTATCACGCCTTCCATGAACACCTCCTACCTCTCTGTGAGGATTAATCAACTCTATGCTTGTGCTATAGTGTCATTTTGTGCAGCTTGTGTCTGGTGTGTTATTTGCTTGGTGTTATTGTTAATTATTTACATGTTGTTCTCCACCACTAGATTGTAAACTTCATGCGGTCACAAAACAGGACTATTCCAACTCTACTTCCCTTCTGTGTCAGCTGTGGTATATCCTTTTTAGATTTCCAGGTGGTTGGTGTTTCTGGGCTTCTTGAAGCACTTGTCATTTTTCTGTGGCCTTTGGAAACAGGAGAGGCTCTTCTCTCACTTGTTTTTTGAATGGTTCGTAATGTACTGGGACTATGTGGGTAGGCTATGTTGGATCAGAACATAGAATTTTGCCCCTCAAATGCAGGCTTTCATTTGACGTCAGGCCTACTCTCAAATTTCTCCTAGTAGAGTAGGACAGATAAACAAGTAAACAGTGATACCATGCAATAAGCACACAAACTAGTGTGTGTAAGAGATGGGAAAAGCTCCTGGAGGAGGGGATAGTTGAGTTGAAGGCTGAAGAATGAGTAGTCAGAGAAGGGGAGAGCTATATTCACAGAGTATGTGCAAAGGCATGGAACTGAGAGAAAACCTGCCCCATTTGCAGGAAATTTTTTAAACAAGGCTGGAAGTTTTTATGGAAAGGTAGAGGGATGAGTGGAAGGTAGGCATTCCATCATAATGGATCTTAGCTCCCAAGCTAAAAAGTTTGACTGTTATCCCAAATGGAAGCATCAGGCTTTGGAACTGGGTAGAGCTGGGTTCAAGTTTGACTTCATGACTTACCTTGTGATCTTGGGCAAGCTGCTTCATCTGTCTGGACTTTATTTTTCTGGCTAACTTACAGAGTTGTTGAGCATTAGAAAGAATAGATACAAGGTGCTTAGCACCTAAGTAGGTGCTGAATAAATGCTATTTAATTTTTTTTTTTTTTTTAAGACAGAATCTCACTGTCATCTAGGCAGGAGGAGTTCAGTGGTGCCATCTTGGCTCACTGTGACCTCCGCCTCCTGGGTTCAAGTGATCCTCGTGCCTTGGCCAACCAAGTAGCTGGTATTTTACAGGTGCCTGCCACCACGTCTGGCTAATTTTTGTATTTTTAGTAGAGACAGGGGTTCACCAAGTAGGCCGGGCTGGTTTTGAACTCCTGACCTCCAGTGATCTGCCCGCTTCTGCCTCCCAAAGTGCTGGGATTACAGGTGGGAGCCACTGCACCCAGCCTAAATGTCAACTATTAATAATATTGGGAGAATAAGGGCTCACTGAAGGATTTTAAGTTACAAGATTAACCTTGCCAGAAAGGTTGCTGACACCATTGAGAAGGATGGATTACAGCAGGGATATCTGTCAGAAGCAAGGAGAAAAGAAGAGTTCAGTTTTAGACAAGTTGAGTTTGAGATGAGCATGGAAGTTTTAGGAGGCCATTGGATATATGAGAGTGGTAAAGGCCTGAGCTAAAGATACAGATTTGGAAATTATCATTGTATAGGTCACAGCTGAAACTATGGATGTTCATTAAATCATTAAGGGAGAATGTAAAGAACAGCTATTTTTAATTTTTATTGAAAAGCTATGGACATCCCCCTACTCCCCCCCATACACACATGACACAAAACATTTTGCATGTAATTTTAGGTGGTTCCTGAACACTCCCTCTCCAAAACCCATTAGTGGACTCTTGGGTCCTTGGACATCTGAAGAAGCTATAATACAGAATGAAAAGAAAAGAGGGCTAAGGATGAGTAATGTTTAAGGGATGAACAGAAGAGAAGAAACAACCAAAGAAGAAGGCAGAAAACTAGGGTAGAATGGAATCTCAGATTCAAGAGAGAGAGTCAATTTAAAAGGTGAAGGAATGATCACCAGTGTCTTCTGCTACAGAGAGTTTAAGTGAGATAGAACTCAAAACTATCCATTGGGTTGGCAATTAGGTGACTGTGGGGAGAGCAATTTCAGTGAATTTGTGGGGCTGGAATCCAGGTCACATAGAATAAATAGGAGGTGGGGAAGTGAAGTCTGAGTGTTGTCATCATACTTGTTCAGAAGCCAACAGGAGAGAACCAGGAGAGAGAGAGAGCAGTTGAAGATATACAGACTAGGGAGTATTGTTGGATTAAGTTTCCTATGGAGAAGAGCAGCAAAGAGATCCAGATTTTAGGTAGAAGGACTGACTTAGATTCTGAAAAGGGACAACTCTGGCAATGAAACTAAAATAAAATTAGGATAGGTATTGATAGCATGATGCTCAGAGACCCTTGTTGACGAAGATCAGTAAAGTTGGAAACAAGTATTAAATCCTTCTAATTAGGCCGGATACAGTGGCTCATGTCTGTAATCCCAGCGTTTTGGGAGGCTGAGGTGGGAGGATCACATGAGGCCAGGAGTTTGAGATCAGCCTGGACAACATACTGACACCCTGTCTCTACAAAAAGTTTAAAAATAGCCACACATGATGGCATGCACCTGCAGTCCTAGATACTTGGGAGGCTGAAGCAGGAGGATTGCTTGAGCCTAGGGGTTCAAGATTATAGTGAACTATGATCATGCTGCTGCATTCCAGCCTGGGAAACAGAATGAGACCCTGTCTCAAAACAACAACAAATAGCAAATTTTTCTTTTTTCTTTTTTTTTTGAGACGGAGTCTCGCTCTGTCGCCCAGGCCGGACTGCGGACTGCAGTGGCGCAATCTCGGCTCACTGCAAGCTCCGCTTCCCGGGTTCACGCCATTCTCCTGCCTCAGCCTCCCGAGTAGCTGGGACTACAGGCGCCCGCCACCGCGCCCGGCTAATTTTTTGTATTTTTAGTAGAGACAGGGTTTCACCTTGTTAGCCAGGATGGTCTCGATCTCCTGACCTCATGATCCACCCGCCTCGGCCTCCCAAAGTGCTGGGATTACAGGCGTGAGCCACCACGCCCGGCCATAGCAAATTTTTCTAATTTAAGCCTTCTAATTCAGTAACCCCCAAGTAATTAATAAGGTTTAAAGTGTTAAATCTGAAACTTAGATGGACAGTAGGGTTCTCTGCTTCTGTAGAGATGCTGGTGGTGGGGAGTGGGCTCTCTCTTGTTTGTTTATAGCCTTTGGTGGGGCTGAGATTATAAAGAACATTAAAATGAATATTGCCTTTTCTTTGCCCGTTTTCCTCTCACATAAGGGTACTTTCTGAGACTTTTACCTCAGTTTTATCTTTCTGCCTAACCTTCAATGTTAGTCAGAAAGATCTTTGCTAGGCCTGGGTTAAACTAGGGATTTATGTGCAAGGAGCCAATATAAAACTTATTAAATAGTTTGAGAGTCTGAGCTATTATTCTGAAGGTCAGCATAATTCTTAAGGTTGCTTCTTGGATTTCCTTGCTAAAAATTAAGATATTAAACTCCAGGCACTGTAATATTCTTTTATCCTGAAGTTTAAACCAGGAAAGAACTTTCATGTAATTGATGGGCATACCAACATAGGATCCTAAAAAATGATCTTCCAGCTCTTAGGGGCAAAGGAATTCTATAAAACCCTTTTCTGAGGAGCTTATGGCTCAGCTCTAAGCAGGCTAGCTAGTCTTGGGAAGGGCTTGTAATCATGTTGCCTTTAATGATTATATTCACAATAAGTACTTAAACGTCTTTCTCCTGAGCTTAAAGTCAGCTTTTTAGCTTTTGGAAGCATGATTGGTATGAGGCCATCAGGTTTCCTTAGTACATTACCGTTATGGAAGGGCTTGGTAGATGAACAGAATAATTTATGGATAGTATTTTTTTTTTTTTTTTGAGATGGAGTCTTGCGCTGTTGCCCGAGCTGGAATGCAGTGGCACGATCTCAGCTCACTGCAACCTCCGCCTCCCAGGTTGAAGCAGTTCTCCTGCGTCAGCCTTCCGAGTAGCTGGGATTACAGGCGTGTGCCACCACGCCCAGCTAATTTTTGTATTTTTAGTAGAGACGGGGTTTTACTATGTTGGTCAGGCTGGTCTCGAACGCCTGACCTCGTGATCCACCCGCCTCAGCCTCCCAAAGTGCTGGGATTACAGGTGTGAGCCACCGCGCCTGGCCTATGGATAGTAAAATTAAAAAGAATCATGCTACTCACATATTCAGGTCTAAATGAAATGAGGCAGTGGACTAAAAGGAAACCGAATGAATTCCACCTCCTTTAAATACTTACTAGTTTAAAAGAAAATCTGTTAACTTTTTCCTTTTTCATCTGTGTGTTGTTTGACCTATTACAGCAAACATACATAGCTTTTATAAAAAAAAGAAATTATAAAAAAAAGAAAAAACACTTCTATCTTTAGAGTGAGAATTTTTAAAATTAGAATCAGACTGTTTTTGGCTATGAAGGTAATGAATATAGTGAAGCACAGTGGGCCTGATATCGTGTGAAAATGTAATGGACACAACTTTAGTTAGCTCTGATTTTTCCACCCTGCCTTCTTATCTCAGCACACAAGTGATACTGGCGTGTTGTGATTTTGTTTTTTCAGGCAGGGTCTCAGTCTGTTGTCCCTGCTAGAGTGCAGTGGCACAATGATAGCTTGCTGCAGCCTCAAACTCCCAGGCTCAAGTGATCCTTCTGCCTCGGCCTCCCAAAGTGCTAGGATTACAGGCATAAGCCACCTTGCCTGGCATGGTTTTGAGGTTTTTAGATATTGAACTGGATTCTTGTAGGTAACTCAGTTCTGATTTCATTTTGTGTGTTTCTTTTACCAATCTTCTAATCATACTTGGCCAATTGAGAACGCTCTCCGGTGGTTTTATGTTTTAGTTCTTACTATGTAGAACTTTAGGTGTTGCAAGTTGTGGGAAATACAAAAAAGTAAATCATGTTCTCTTCAAGGAGTTAATGATCTCCCTGGTAATATAAGAATAAGCATATTAAAAGTTCAGAACACTATATAATTATATAAGTGCTGATTGAGTGATTAGCCCAGTAAGTAACATAGATATTTGGAGGACACAGAGACTGTTGAGAACTGGAGTTGTCAGAAAAGGCAGCCAAAATTTTTCTTAAACACAAATCTGAGCATGTCATTCTCCAATTTAAAATCTTTCAATGCTTCCCCTTACCTATAGGATAAAGTTCGGGTTCCTTAAGCTTGTCATGAAAGGTCTTGATTTGGCCCATACCATCCTATCTCGCCACTACCTAGTTGTCTTTCAGCTATTCCTAATTATGTGCAGTTCTTTGAACATAAGCTTTTTCTTGTCTCCATGAATTTGCATTAGCTATAACTTTATGTAGCAACTTTATTCCTTCCCTTCTCTTTCTGGCTTATACTCATCTTTTAAGGTTAGATAGAGTCACTCCTCCTTGAAACTTCATTAAGTCCCCCATATTTCCTGTCCCTACCCAGGTAGGCTTAACCTCTTATGTTCATGAGCACTCTGTGCTTACCTGTTATAGCACTTAATCAACCTGTTTTGAAGTTGTTTCTCTTATTTAAAGAATAAATGAGGCCAGGTGCCTGTAATCCCAGCATTTTGGGAGGCCAACGCGGGTGGATCACCTGAGGTCAGGAGTTTGAGAACAGCCTGGCCCATATGGTGAAACCCTGTCTCTACTAAAAATAAAAAATTAGCCGGACGTGGTGGGTGGGCACCTGTAATCGCAGCTACTCTGGAGGCTGAGGCAGGAGAATCGCTGGAACCCAGGGGGCAGAGTTGCACTGAGCCGAGATCGCACCATTGCACTCCAGCCTGGGTGACAAAAGCGAAACTCTGTCTCAAAAACAGACAAAAAAAGGGAATGAACGAGGTGGATTTTAAAGAATAAATACCATTTGGAGAGATGAAGAGGAAGAGAAGTAGCCAGTCATGAAGGGAAAATAAGTAGTATGAGCAAAGAGTCAGTGATTTCGATGAGACTATAGTTGGAAGCTGATTCTGATTCAGTCTGCAGATGACACGGGCTTGGAAAGGTTGATGAAGATGTTGGATAACTGAATCAGCATCTAAAAAGATCAAAATATGTTGGAATGACAGTGATCAAATCTAATGAGAATCCTGGCTTTAGATACTTTCAAGACTCCATTAAGTGAAAGATGGATTAAACTTTTAAGTCTAATAATAATACTTTTTTATTTTTTTGAGATGGAGTCTTGCCCTCTTGCCAGGCTGGAGTGCAATGGCACGATCTCAGCTCACTGCAACCTCCGCCTCCTGGGTTCAAGCGATTCTCCTGCCTCAGCCTCCCGAGTAGCTGGGATTGCAGGCATGCGCCACCATGTCCAGCTAATTTTTGTATTTTTAGTAGAGACGGGGTTTCACCATGTTGGTCAGGCTGGTCTTGAACTCCCCACTTCAGCTGATCTGCCCACCTCAGCCTCCCAAAGTGCTGGGATTACAGGCGTGAGCCACCACACCCAGCCTAATAATAATACTTCTAACAGTCCCAAATGAGAGTCAATAGGCAGAAGTTACAAGGAAAGCAGATTATGACATTTTATAGAATTATTACATTGGTACTTTGTCTTATGAATTAGTGAATTCTCTATTATCCTAAATTTTAAACATCAAGAATATTGTAGATTTATGGGAGATTTGGAGAGACCTTTCAATGTGAACTTATGATTCTTTGTTGTTGAAGGGATTTGTGTGTCAGCAGAGAATTAGACTATATAATTTCTAAGGTCCATACCTTAGTGCTGTAGTTTATAGTAGGAAGAAAATTGTTCCTTGCAAAGCAAGAAAGGATTCAAGGCCGAAAAGAAGGATGTGAGGATAAAACCAGAGACCAAGATAAGAAAGTACTTATTGAATGGCTATAAACTCAAAAAAAATAAATAGATAAATATATTCACCTGGGATGTAGAACAAGCATTGACATTGTTTGGAATGGCAGTATGTTGGCTTTTCCTAGGGGATCAATAAGAAGAAAATAACTGGGCTTGGGGAGAGAACCTGGCTGAAGCTTGTATGAATTACTAGTGAACCAGATTTATATACCTCTGCAACTTTCTTCCGAAATGTTCTCTGTCTTGGAAAAGATATGGAAGAGTCAAGCAGCGGGCAGTTATGGTAATTTAGGTTTGCAGATTGTCATGGTGAATGTAGTAGTAGGCAGTTAGGCAGGGGGAGTTCCTGGGGTATTAGTGAGGGCAGCTTTGAATTGCATAACCATGTTGTCTAGCATGGACTGGGATAATCTTAGATGTTCTTTTTCTTTTTATGAGATTGTGTCTTACTCTGTCACCCAGGCTGGAGTGCAGTGGTGTAATCACGGCTCACTGCAACGTCCACCTCCCAGGTTCAAGTGATCCTCCCACCCTCCCACCTCAGCCTCTTGAGTAGCTAGGACTACAGGTGCACACCACCACCTGGCCAATTTTTGTATTTTTAGCAGAGGTGGGGTTTTACCATGTTGGCCAGGCTGGTCTCCAACTCTTGAGCTCAAGTGATCCACCGGCCTCAGCCTCCCAAACTGCTGGGATTACAAGGCATGAGCCACTGCAATATGTGTGTCCCAAATGCCAAGGCCTGGCTGTAGATGTCCTTAATGAATAGGGTAAAATAAGAATGGAGTGATTGAAGGTTGAGAATGATTAGGAGAGGGTATGAGAGACTGATAATGGTAAGTGCTAAATAGGTATGTTTGGGGAAGGAATAAGGCCCAAAATGTGGCAGTGTGGTGGCTGGACATGAATTGGAGATGAGTGCCAGTGGAGCCAAGTAGGCACAGATGCATTGTCACATATATCTTCACGTATATGTAGAGATGATAAATGAACCAAGTCATCGGGGAAGGCTAAGGTAGATTTGCCATGTGGAAGGGGATAGGCCACGGAGCATGGTCAATGACAGTGAGGATGATTTGAACAAGAGGTTATATGGGATGGTGTGGGCTTTCAGAAATAGAAAAGGACCAGGACTGATGGCTCACTGGTCTAGAAATGGCTCTGGGGAATTGGCAGGAGTCGGAGAAAGTAAGTCCTTTACAGGATAAGGCCTCTGTGGAGCAGTCATTGTCAAGCATTGACAGTCATGTTTTTGTTAAAGAGGTAAAAAAAAAAAAACCTGGAGAAAAAAGGAGTTTGCTGCTGTGACAGGAGAAGGTAGAGAGGGAAGAGATGTGCAGTGGGGGTAAGCTGGGCAGCTTTGAGAGTTTGATTGTTTTGATAATGGCTGGTAAAGAAATTGGAATGAAGGAATTCCTGGGGTAGGAGAGGGAGGGAGTTGGGCATTCCTCAGGCAGATCAGCACATGAAGAGTGAAATTTAACCACTGCAATATGTGTGTCCCAAATGCCAAGGCCACCCTGTCTGTTGGTGGTATCACGGCTTTGGCTTTTTGAAGCTTGTTGTGAGGGAAGTGGGGAATCAGTCTGCTCCCTGCTCTGCTCAAATTATTGTGCTAAGGAGACTTTGCCATGGTATGATTTTTGAGGCACGTGGTGATTCTGTCTGATTTGTAAACTGACAACGTGATCAGGGCCAAAGAGGAAGTTCAGCTAGGCCAAACCTTCCTAAGAAGAAGTCACTGTCCCACAGTTATGTGGGTAAGTTGTTCTAGAGAAACAGAGATGTGGGCAGGGCAGCAGCGTGGGAACCTGTTACCTGGGTAGCACTAAGCCAGTGCCTTCTCTGTGTTTCCTTTACAGATGAACGGGACCGGGTTCAGAAGAAAACGTTCACCAAGTGGGTCAACAAGCACTTAATGAAGGTAGGACCCTTTCATATATATGCTGCCCCAGCACCTCTCACTGCTCTCATCTGGATCTGTCATTCCTTCTTTCAGATGGTTTAGATTGCTTGCTGTGTGCTCAAGTCTATGAAGATACACATGTGACTTTTCTTTTCTCTTCTTTTCTTTTTTAATAGAGAAGGGGTCTTGCCATGTTGCTCAGGCTGTTCTCAAACTCCTGGGCTCAAGCAATCCTACTGCCTCAGCCTCCAAAGTGCTGGGATTACAGGCATGAGCCACCATGCCCAGCTTTTTGAAAACTAATATAGTCATAATGGCATGGAAACTTGTATTAATCTGCTTCTTGGTGAAGACATTATTACCTACCATTACATCAGGAGGCAGAGGCTGAAGATACCATGGGATGATTTTAAAAATTCGAAGAACAGTTTATTCCTAGCTTTATACATTGCTTTATAAGCCTGTTTCTTTTTTTTTTTAATTTATTAATTTATTTTAAAATAGACACAGGGTCTCACTATGTTGCCCACTCTGGTATCAAACTCCTGGGCTAAAGCGATCCTCCTACCTCTGCCTCCCAAAGTGTTAGGATTACAGGCGTGAGCCACTACACCCAGTGTATTTTTATTTTTTAATCTGAATACTATGGAAGGATGATAGAGGGGGATTTTCTCTCTTTCTCTTAAAGTGCATGAATCTTAAATGTTTAACTTGATGAATTTTTACATGAATTTTACCACCAGGTAGTCTAAAATACAGAATATTTCCAGAATGGTTAGGGCTGAATGAAGATTATTATTATCATTATTATTATTTTAAATAGAGGAGAAACCATAACAGAGGCATGTTAAGACTCACCTAAAGATAATAATAATAATTGTTATATATTAGATATATAAAATATAATAATAATATATTATTATGGTATTATTATTTTAAATAAAAGAGAAACCAAAACAGAGGCATGTTAAGACTCACCTAAAGATAAACAGTATGACTACTGTGGCAGTTAGAATCTGAAAACAAAGTTTTTGAATTATAATAATAATTAGTGCTTCTCTGGGAAAGGGAAAGGTCACCAGTGATCCCTTAATTGCCCTATCCAGTAGCCTAGTTTTATCTTCCTCTTATTTGATTTCTCTGTAGCATTTGATACTGTCGTCTACTCCTTAAAACCCTCTCTTACAATGACTTCTAGAACATTGCTTTTTCCTGAATTACCTCTTTCCTCTATGAATGCCTTTTTTTCTGCCTGTTTCACTGGCTTTTCTTCCTCTGTCTGACTCTTCCATGATGGTGTTCCCCAGGATCCTAACCTTGGCCATTTTTTGGTTTTGTTCTCTGTATTCTTTTTGGGCAGTCTCATCCATTGTAGCTGCTGGGATTGTTTTGTTGCATGGGATGCAAAGAAACATAAGTAGAAATGGATATGGGATGATCTCACAGAATCTGATGTCTAGATGCAGCTGGGCTTTATGAAAACTAAACAGTTATCAGAAAACTACTCTCATACTCTCTTTGTTTTTTTTTTTTTTTTTTTTTTGTTTGTTTGTTTCTTTGTTTGTTTGTTTTTTTGAGACAGAGTCTTACCCTGTTGCCCAGGCTGGAGTACATTGGGAAGATCACAGCTCACTGCAGCCCTAACCTCCTGGGCTTGAGTGATTCTCCCACCTCATCCTCCTGAGTAGCTGGAACTACAGGCATGCACTACCACACCCGGCTAATTTTTAAATTTTTTTGTAGAGATGGGTTCTCACTGTGCTGCCCAGGTCTTTCTTGTTTTTGTTGTTGTTGTTGTTGTTGTTGTGTTTTGTTTTTTGTTTTTTGAGATGGAGTTTCACTCTTGTTGCCCAGGCTGGAGTGCAGTGGCACGATCTCGGCTCACTGCAACCTCCGCCTCCTGGGTTCAAGCAATACTCCTGCCTCAGCCTCCCGAGTAGCTGGGATTACAGGCATGCACCACCACGCCCGGCTAATTTTGTACTTTTAGTAGAGATGGGGTTTCTCCACGTTAGTCAGGCTGGTCTCGAACTCCCAACCTCAGGTGATCCACCCACCTAAGTCTCCCAAAGTGCTGGGATTATAGGCGTGAGCCACTGTGCCTGGCCAACCCAGGTCTTTCTTGTTTATGGGGCCTTGTGTTCTTTCATTTTACTTCTGTGTGCCTCCTATATTCATTTCTCTGCTTTTCGTTTATTGCTACGAGTGAGCCATGGCGGCTGTGCCTCAAACAGTGACGTAAACCCCTGAGGCCACATGATTCTGGATGCACAAACACAGAAAGTCTGATGGGCTTAGGTCTTCTTTTCCTCCATGGGCCAATTGTCCATCTATAGTTCAGTAAACCGTGGGTAAGGAGGTGGTTACATAAATCACACATGTCTTCTTAGGGCCACTTGTTTAGTGGGTACTGCAGGTGAGCATGATTTTAACACTGCAAGATCTGGATAAGGAGGCAGTGATAGAGCCTTTTCTTGGATTCTTGCCTAAGCCAAAGGCAAGTGTCATGGTGTATTTTACACATTCATCTGTATGTTACCTAGCCATAGCTTTTTTTTTTTTTTTTTTTTTTATTTATTTTTTATTGATAATTCTTGGGTGTTTCTCACAGAGGGGGATTTGGCAGGGTCATAGGACAATAGTGGAGGGAAGGTCAGCAGATACACAAGTGAACAAAGGTCTCTGGTTTTCCTAGGCAGAGGACCCTGCGGCCTTCCGCAGTGTTTGTGTCCCTGGGTACTTGAGATTAGGGAGTGGTGATGACTCTTAACGAGCATGCTGCCTTCAAGCATCTGTTTAACAAAGCACATCTTGCACCGCCCTTAATCCATTTAACCCTGAGTGGACACAGCACATGTTTCAGAGAGCACAGGGTTGGGGGTAAGGTCACAGATCAACAGGATCCCAAGGCAGAAGAATTTTTCTTAGTACAGAACAAAATGAAAAGTCTCCCATGTCTACTTCTTTCTACACAGACACGGCAACCATCCGATTTCTCAATCTTTTCCCCACCTCTCCCTCCTTTCTATTCCACAAAGCCGCCATTGTCATCCTGGCCCGTTCTCAATGAGCTGTTGGGCACACCTCCCAGACGGGGTGGTGGCCGGGCAGAGGGGCTCCTCACTTCCCAGTAGGGGCGGCCGGGCAGAGGCGCCCCTCACCTTCCGGGCGGGGCGGCTGGCCGGGCAGGGGGCTGACCCCCCCACCTCCCTCCCGGACGGGGCGGCTGGCCTGGCAGAGGAGCTCCTCACTTCTCAGTAGGGGCAGCCGGGCAGAGGCGCCCCTCACCTCCCGGACGGGGCGGCTGGCCTGGCGGGGGGCTGACCCCCCCACCTCCCTCCCGGACGGGGCGGCTGGCCTGGCGGGGGGCTGACCGCCCCACCTCCCTCCCGGACGGGGCGGCTGGCCGGGCGGGGGGCTGACCCCCCCACCTCCCTCCCAGACGGGGTGGCTGTCGGGCGGAGACGCTCCTCACTTCCCAGATGGGGCGGCTGCCGGGCGGAGGGGCTCCTCACTTCTCAGACGGGGCGGTTGCCAGGCAGAGGGTCTCCTCACTTCTCAGACGGGGCGGCCGGGCAGAGATGCTCCTCACCTCCCAGACGGGGTCGCGGCTGGGCAGAGGTGCTCCTCACATCCCAGACGGGGCGGCGGGGCAGAGGCGCTCCCCACATCTCAGACGATAGGCGGCCGGGCAGAGACGCTCCTCACTTCCTAGATGTGATGGCGGCAGGGAAGAGGTGCTCCTCACTTCCTAGGTGGGATGGCGGCCGGGCGGAGACGCTCCTCACTTTCCAGACTGGGCAGCCAGGCAGAGGGGCTCCTCACATCCCAGATGATGGGCGGCCAGGCAGAGACGCTCCTCACTTCCCAGACGGGGTGGCGGCCGGGCAGAGGCTGCAATCTCGGCACTTTGGGAGGCCAAGGCAGGCGGCTGGGAGGTGGAGGTTGTAGCGAGCCGAGATCACGCCACTGCACTCCAGCCTGGGCACCATTGAGCACTGAGTGAACGAGACTCCGTCTGCAATCCCGGCACCTTGGGAGGCCGAGGCTGGTGGATCACTTGCGGTTAGGGGCTGGAGACTGGCCTGGCCAACAGAGCGAAACCCCGTCTCCACCAAAACCAGTCAGGCGTGGTGGCGCGAGCCTGCAATCGCAGGCACTCGGCAGGCTGAGTCAGGAGAATCAGGCAGGGAGGTTGCAGTGCTAGCCATAGCTTTTATTTAACACACCCTAAATTGTTAAGTATTTTCACTCATGTAGCCAGTTGTTCAAGTTAGGAACCTATTTGATTCAGTACTGCCTATAATCTCTCCCTTGTTACCAAGTCCAGTTAATCACTTGTAGCTCAGAAAGATTGCATGCATCTGTCTTCTCTTCTCCATCTCCATATCGCTGCTTTTGTTCAGGGCCTCTGTGTCTGTTGCCTTGACCATTATAATAGTTTCCTAATAAAGTTTTCTATAATAACAATGGTAGTAATAGTATCTTGAAGACTTCCTGTAAATCAGACGTATTCTCTCTCTGTGTGTGTGACAGGGTTTACTCTGTTGCCAGGCTAGAGTGCGGTGGTACAATCATAGCTCACTACAGCCTCCAACTCCCGGGCTCAAGTGATCCTCCCACCACAGCCTCCCAAATAGCTAGGTTTATAGGCACATGCCACTGTGCCTGGCTAATTTTTGTGTGTGTGTTTGTAGAGATGGGGTCTTGGTATGTTGCCCAGGCTTGTCTTCTACTCCTGACCTCAAGTAGTCCTCCCACCTTGGCCTCCCAGTGTCTTGGAATTACAGGCATGAGCCACCATGCCTAGTCTAAATCAGACATTCTGTATACTAAGTCCTTTACATGGATTATTTCATTTAATCCTTCAGTGATCTTATGCTGTGGGTTCTGTTAATATCCCCATTTTATAAATTACTTAGAGAGGGTAAGTAATTTGTTCAAGATCATGCTGCTAGAAAAAGGCAGAACTGAAATTTTAAAATTCAGGCAACCTAAAGTCTAGAAACCGTGCTCTTAACCCATGCAGAACTGGCTCTGGTTGCTGCCTACCTTTCCAGGCTCATAGCACCAAGTTTCCCTCATACCTTGAGTTCTTGCTGAACTATGTGCCATGCTATTTTATGACTCTGTATCTTTGTTCATTCTGCTCCCTGTGCTTGGAATATCTTTCCCAAGTTTGTTCTGCCTGGATAACACAAACTTAACACCTCTTCAGTAAGTATTTTCCTGACTTCTCTGATGTGGAACTGACTAGCCTTTCTTTGTGCCCCTGACTATACTCCTTATGTGCTTTTGTTAAAGCATCCAGAGTGTTTATATACATGGTGTATCTTTCAGCTATATTATCACTGGAGGGCAAATATTGTGTCTTATTGTTTATAGTGTTAGGACAAAGAAGAAAGAGAGAGAAGTAAGGAGAAAAGAAATTGTAATTTCCTTTTTTTTCTTTTTGGAGATGGAGTCTTGCTTTGTTGCCCGGCTGGAGTGCAGTGGCGCAATCTCAGCTCACTGCAACCTCTGCCTCCTGGGTTCAAGCGACTCTCCTGCCTCAGCCTCCTGAGTAGCTGGAACTACAAGCATGTGCCACCAAAGCCTGGCTAATTTTTGTATTTTTAGTAGAGACAGGGTTATACCATATTGGCCAGGCTGCTCTCCTGGGCTTGTGATCTGCCTGCCTCGGCCTTCCAAAGTGATGAGATTACAGGCATGAGCCACCGCGTCCAGCCGTGATTTCCTTTTGTAAATTTCTTCCATGGCTACTAGTTGCCTCTAGAGTTTGATGTCACCTAACTCTTTCCTGATGTAGAGCACTTTGCAGCGTTTCCAACCCACCTGTCTAGCTTCATTTCTAAGCACTCTGTTTTTTGTAGCTTGCGCTATAGCCACATGAGACAACTCACTGCCCCCTAAACACTGTGTACTTTCACACCTCCTTGCTTATTTATTTCTCTCCCTAGAATGCACGTCCCAGCCTCCTCTGCCTGACCATCACCCACTTCACCTTCTAGGCCCAGCTCCAGTATCACCTTCCTGAGATTCTGACCTCTGTTCCTCAGATTAAATCAATTGCAACTCCATCTGTATTTCATACTGCCTTGAAGAGATGCCTGTGTGTTCACTCATCGATGTTCTCTGTTACAGTACTCATTGAGGACTGGGATTGTATTATGCTACTTTCTCTGTTAAGTGCTGCACATAGCACATGAGAAGTATCCAATAAGTACTTGTTACCTTGAGTAACTAATATTTCAATAGTGTTATAGCGTATGAAGCACATTCTTATCTGTCTTAATCCTTAAAATAACCCTGAAGTAAGTAAAGGTGTTTTATCCCCTTAATTTTAACAGCTAGGGAAAATGAGAATTAGAGGAGTGAAGTGACTTTGCCAAAACGATACAGCTAGTGAGGGATGGAGCTAAGGATCAATCAATCATGAATCTTCTGATCAAAATTACTTGTTCTTCCTGCTAACTATGCCCCCAGCTGATTCTTTTTTTTTTTTTAGACAATACTGATATTAATTAAACGTAAGGTAAACTCCAGGCATCCGTCATCTTTCAGCCTAAAAATTAGCAAAAACTGTTGAAACAAGGCAGTTTTTTCCCCATTATTTCTTACGTTGTGGCTCCAGTTACAAAAAAATTTTAATGAAAACGTTAAACATAAAAATAGAAGTTTGAGATTTTAAAAAAGTATATAAAAAGCCCCACAAAACTTGTCAATGTTGTTCCTTATTCTACAAAATAGCACCAGTAAGAAGAGTAAAAGGTGTTAAAAACCATTACGACAGCATTTCTGAAATACAGCTTGTCTCAACTCCCGTTCTCCCTAAAAACGACTTCTCATGGAATAAAAAAGGATTTAAAAATTGCCAGAGGGAGCACCGAGCTTTGACTGCAGTTTTCCCTGTCATCTCTTAGATGAAGGGAAGGTGTGAGAAATGTGCGTCTGTCCCTGACTGCTGTCACCGCTTCTGAGTTTAGTAAAAAGATGAGAAATGAAGGTAGCAGACTTCTCATCTGGGGACCTGTGCCTGTGGAGGGTAGGTCTCTTGGAGAGGGAATGGGTTTGAGGGGTTGTCTTATCTAAGCTCCTTCCTTCACACTTGTCTCCTAGGGAAGAGGGAGATACAGAGGAGCCAAATATATGACAGCTTATATTATAGAACTTAGCACACCCCTTCCTGAGCTCCCCAGAGGGTTCTATTGCAGTCACTGGGAGGGATTTAGCTAAGAGTGGCCCCTGCCCTTGGGTTTGGCCCCTAGCTGATTGTTTCATACTTTGTCTCTAACCGTTGGAGGAACTGAATCAATCCTACCTTGAGCTTGTCCCCTGAACTTTGTAGTTGAATTCCAGTGCTCTGGCTCCTTGCTGCCTGTTTGTAGCTGATGCTGCCTGTTGGACCTCTGCCTCAGTGCTGTGTGATGACAGGAAGCTCAGGGAGGGAGAAGCTAGAGGAACACATCATAGCATTGTTAGAAATTGGAGGCCAGCCAAAGCTTTTCTTAAATCCTTGGTGATTTTTCATCTCTTCCCAGGCCCCCAGCCTTACAGTTTCAATAACATTTGCTCATCTTGGGATATTTCAGAGAGAGATTCACTGCTAATCAGAGTTATTGCTCTAAATTGGAATTATTTGATTTTGGGCTGAGAATTAGGGATTGAGATTTTTTTTTGCGACTCAAGCATCCTTTGCTTTGCTCCCCAAGTACACCCCAGATTAATGCCATCTTTGGCAGGTAGACCAACGTAAGGACAAAACCAACCAGGTGGCTAGGCATGGTGGTTCATGCCTGTAATCCCAGCACTCTGGGAGACCGAGGGGGTGGATCACTTGAGGTCAGGAGTTCGAGACCAGCCAGGCCAACATGGTGAAACCCCATCTCTACTAAAAATACAAAAATTAGCTGGGAGTGGTGGCTGGCGCCTATAATCCCAGCTATTTGGGAGGCTGAGGCAGGAGAATCGCTTGAACACGGGAGATGGAGGTTGCAGTGAGCTGAGATCGTGCCACCGCACTCCAGCGTGGGTGACAGAGCGAGACTCTGTCTCAAAAAAACAAACAAACAAACAAACAAACAAACAAAAAACACCACAAACCAGGTCTCCCAACTTCTAGATTTAGTTGATCTTGGAATCTCTTGGATTCCCTGATAACCTTTTGGGAAACAGCTTACTTTGGGATAAGCAAATTAATTCCTCCTTATTGAGAACACTTCTGATCCAATCTTAAAAGAGATTTGTTAAGGATATAAGCATCTGAAATAAACAACCTAATTTAGAATGTAAACATACATATGTAAGGGTTCTGCTTATATACCAGAACCATCAAAAAGAGAAATCTAGGTTTCTAAATGAGGTCTTATTTAAATTATCTATGCCATATCTCTGGGTGCTGTTAGCTGATAAAGTGTATCCCCCTAAAGAGAACATGAAAGTATGAACTCCTTAGGAGGGAGAAAAATGCTTTTTCTGGTCAGTTCCTGTTGACTTCACAGGTTAGTAGTTAGAAAGGAAAAGCCCAGTATTTAATCTAGCAGATAGAGCAGTTCTTTCCATTTTTGTATATGCAATCTAGAAGCCCCTGGCTTTCCTGGAATTTTAGATAAAATTTCCATATATACCAGCAAAAGTTTTCAAATTTTTAATAATGCTTACAACCAACCCTTCCTTCCTTCCTTCCGTCCGTCCGTCTTTCTGTCTTTCTGTTTTAAGAGACAAGTTATCCCTATGTTCCCTAGGCTGGTCTCAAACTCCTGTGCTCAAGGAATCTTTGGCCTTCCCGAGTGCTAGGATTACAGGCATGAGCCACCACACCTGGCCCACTTACACTTTCTCTATTTCTGTTTGAGACTCTCTAGTTGAATATGGGGTAGCACTGATTCCAGGTATTCTGTCCTATACAGCCTCTGTTTTGGCCACATGAGTCAATTCACTGGCTCCCTAATCACTGGGTGGAACTTCATACTTTTTGCGTATTCATGTCTATGGGAAATACCAGAATGAGACGGGCAGTGGAGTTTAATTTAAGAAATTGACAAAGTAGTGCTGGTTAGATGCTAAGGAAAGGAGTGTTACCTTTGTTGCCTACATGTGACTATATGGTAGTGGTTTGTGGCTGTCTTTGCCTGGACCTGATTTTTTAGGGCTTAATTTCACTCTAAATGCTTCTCAGGTCTACATATGGGCCTATATTTGGACTTGGGCTTTACTCTGGATTTTCTATTCCCTGTGCTTAAGTGCCTGCCTATCAAAGTAAAGCTACATTTTGTGGATTTTATTTTTTTAAGATGGAGTTTCACTCTTGTTGCCCAGGCTGGCATGCAATGGTGCGATCTTGGCTCACTGCAGCCTCCGCCACCCGGGTTCAAGCGATTCTCCTGCCTCAGCCTCCCGAGTAGCTGGGATTACAGGCATGTGCCACCACGCCTGGCTAATTTTGTATTTTTAGTAGAGAACAGGGTTTCTTCATGTTGGTCAGGCTGGTCTCGAACTTCTGATCTCAGGTGATCTGCCCATCTTGGCCTCCTAAAGTGCTGGGATTACAGGCGTGAGCCACTGCACCCAGCCTGTGGATTTTAGAATCATCCACATTCTTAGAGAATCTGTTAATCCGGGTTGACCGGTACCACTGTTAAATTTCTCACAATTTAGGGAATTCTCAAAACAGAGATATGATAAAATTCTTATATGCAAAGAACCTCACACTTTGTTCCCCTCCCACCCCCGCTCTCCAACAGGGATTCCCAGCTGCTACTTTTATTCCCTGCATTTAAGCATAGTTCTTTCCAGAGTAAAGAAGTCTAGGACAACTATAATCTGTTTTTTTTTTTTTTTTTAGTGTTGGGCTTTTCCTTGAAGACAAATTTGGCCAATGAATCAATATCGGTTTCTGTTTTTACAATTTGGAGATCTGCCATTCAGAAATCTATCTGAAATTACTAGGCTCACTTTCCCTTTCCCTGTATCTTTTAATAAGTGTAGGAGAGAGTAAATAACATTACTTTTCTCTTTAAAACTTTCTCCTCTGCCCTATATATTGCTCTTCAACATAGTTTGAGTCAAGGAAATTGGGCTGCTTACGTTTCCTTTTAATTGTTTAGAGGAAAGATTTCTAGATCAAGTTTTCGGCAGGTGTCAATACTACGAGGCCAGGCATGGTGGCTCACGCCAGTAATGTCAGCACTTTGGGAGGCCAAGGTGGGTGAATCACTTGAGGTCAGGCGTTCGGGACCAGCCTTACCAACATGGTGAAACCCCGTCTCTACTAAAAATACAAAAATTAGCCGGGTGTGGTGATGCATGCCTGTAATACCAACTACTTGGGAGGCTGAGGCAGGAGAATCGCTTGAACCCTGGAGGCAGAGGTTGTAGTGAGCTGAGATCACACCACTGCATTCCGGCCTGGGTGACAGAGCGAGACTCCATCTCAAAAAAAAAAAAAAAAAAAAAAAGAGTACTACGTGACAATCCTTGCTCTTTTTTGTGTATGTATGGCGGGGAGGGGGGACTCTTATTATTTAAAATTGATAATCTGTCATTTTGACCCTCCAAGCATCATAGAAGCCTTGTTAAGAGAGTCAGGAGACAATGATCTGGACCCAGCTCTGATACTTTCCAGCTAAGTGATCTTATACAAGTTATTTAGCTTCTCTAGGCAATGGTTTTCTCATCTGTAAACTGAGGGTATTAGAATTAAGTAATCTTTAAAGTCCCTTTGGGCTAAGATTAGGATTCCAAGCACGTAAGTGTAACTTACTCCTTTTGTTAAAGCCACTGAGAAATTGAGGGAAGCTGTTTATTTTTTCATAGCTTTAAGCTAATCTTTAAAAAATGGAGGCCGGGTGCAGTGCTCACGCCTGTAATCCCAGCACTTTGGGAGGCTGAGGCGGGTGGATCACTTGAGACCAGGAGTTCAAGACCAGCCTGGCCAACATGGCGAAACCTTGTCTCTATTAAAAATACAAAAAAATTAGCTGGGCGTAGCAGCGCATGCCTGTAGTCCCAGCTACTCGGGAGGCTGAGGCAGGAGAATCACTTGAATCCAGGAGGCGGATACTGTAATGAGCCGAGATAGCACCACTGCACGCCAGCCTGAGCAACAGAGTGAGACTCTGCCTCAAAAAAAAAAAAAAAGCAGACAGCAGACCCCTCCTTGACTTATTAATGCTTGGGCACTGGGGAGGATTGGACTTGGTCTCTCAAAATCTAATTATTCACTAATTTTAAGAAATCACTATATGGCTGGGTGTGATGGATCAAGCCTGTAATCCCAGCACTTCAGGAGGGTGAGGCTGGTGGCTTGAGGCCAGGAGTTCGAGACTAGCTTGGGCAACATGGCAAAACCCCATCTCTACAAAGAATAGAAAAAACTAGCCAAGCATGGTTGTATGCGCCTTGGGAGACTGAGGTGAGAGGATCACCTGAGCCCAGGAAGTCGAGGCTATAGTGAGCTGTGATCGCGCCACTGCACTCTAGCCTGGGTGATGGAAGTGAGACCCTATCTCCAAAAAAAAAAAAAAAAAAAAACTTTATGGCCAGCACAGTGGCCCACACCTGTAATCCCAACACTTTGGGAGGCTGAGGTGAGATGATCTCTTGAGGCCAGGAGTTTGAGACCAGCCTGGGTAACATACTGAGACACCATCTTGCCCCCGCAACCCCTGTCTCTATGAACATTCATTTACAAGTTTTTGTCTGGACGTATGTTTTCAGTTCTCTTTAATTACATACCTAGGGGCAGAACTGCTGGGTCGTATGGTAACTTGTGTTTAACCTGTTAGTAACCATCACATTATTTTCGAAAGCAACTGCACCATTTTACATCCTCACCAGCAGTGTATGAGGGTTCTAGATTCTCTGCTTTTTTGCTAACACTTATCTGTCTTTTATAATATAGACATCCTAGACAGCGCTAATCACTGCGGTTTTGATTTATGTTTTCCTTATGGCTAATGATGTTGAGCATCTTTTCATGTGTTTATTAGCCATTTATATATCTTCTCTGGACACATTTACTAATTTTGACAATGATTTTCTCAGGGAGTGCAAACAGGCAAGGCCCTGAATTGCAGTTTTTTACTCATTTGTTGACAGAATGGTATAATTATTTGTTAGAAAGAAGCATCCTTATTGATGATTCCTGAACAGTCTTGCTTCAGTTGGCTGCTTCTAAAACTTTTTCTTTTTTTGAGACAGGATCTCACTCTGTTGTCCAGGCTGGAGTGCAGTGGTGTGATAATAGCTCCCTGCAGCTTCAGTCGGCTGGGCTCAAGCAACCCTCCCACCTCAGACTCCTGAGTAGCTGGGATTGTAGGCATGCACCACCACACCTGGCTGACTTTTAAAATTTTTTGTAGAGATGGAGTCTCACTGTGTTGCCCTGACTGGTCTCAAACTCCTGGGCTCAAGTAATCTTCCTGTCTTGGCCTCCCAAAGTGCTGCAATAACATGCTTGAGCCACCGCACCTGGCCTTCTAAATTTTGATGCTTAGTCCACTGGTCATTTTCCTAAGAGATTTGTGGAAAACTTCACAGGCAAACTAGTATGAGCAGAAGAGATGAGGATTTTAGGATGGATAGATCTGGATTTGATCAGCCTGGCAATTTAGTAGATGTGTGATTTTGGGGATGTTAATTGAGCCCTCCAAATCCGATCTCTGTGTCTGAAAAATTCCTGACACAGAAGCACCCAGTAAATGTTAGCTAGTTCTTTACTCTTCTTTAGGTAGAGCTGTGTCTAGTATGCTTCAGAAACAGACTGCTGTTTTCTTTATTGACAGTTTTCCAGGCAAGGAAAAAAAAATCTCTTTGCATTCTCCTCTCCCATTACCTCTCTCTGTATCTCTTTGATAGTTTTATTTATTTATTTTTTATTAAAAA
The DNA here is from genome assembly GCF_000001405.40 of Homo sapiens. Classification (NCBI taxonomy): domain Eukaryota; kingdom Metazoa; phylum Chordata; class Mammalia; order Primates; family Hominidae; genus Homo; species Homo sapiens. Next base: position 39,244,111 of record NC_000001.11, read on the forward strand.
TTTTTTTTGGGGGGGACAGAGTCTCACTCTGTTGCTCAGGCTGGAGTGCAGTGGCACAATCTCGGCTCACTGCAACGTCTCCCTCCTGGGTTCAAGCAGTTCTCCTTTCTCAGCCTCCTGAGTAGCTGGAATGTAAGGCGCGCCCCACCACGCCCCGCTAATTTTTGTATTTTTATTTATTTATTTTTTGAGGTGGAGTCGTGCACTGTCACCCAGGTTGGAGTGCAGTGTCGTGATCTCGGTTCACTGCAACTTCTGCCTCCGAGGTTCAAGTGATTTTCCTGCCTTAGCCTCCTAAGTAGCTGGGATTACAGGTGCCTGCCACCACACCCAGCTAATTTTTTGTATTTTTAGTAGAGACGGGATTTCACTATGTTGGCCAGGCTGATCTCGAACTCCTGACCTCATGATCCACCCGCCTTGGCCTCCCAAAGTGCTAGGATTACAGGTGTGAGCCACTGCACCCAGCCATTTTTTTTTTTTTTGAAATGGAGTCTCGCTCTGTTGCCCAGGCTGAAGTGCAGTGGCGCCATCTTGGCTCACTGCCACCCCTGCCTCCTGGGTTCAAGCAAATTCTCCTGCCTCATCCTCCCCAGTAGCTAGGATTATAGGCGTGTGCCACCATGCCCAGCTAATTTTTGTATTTTTAGTAGATAAAAGGTTTTGTCATGTTCACTAGGCTGGTCTCAAACTCCTGACCTCAGGTGATCCATCTGCCTCGGCTTCCCAAAGTGCTGGGATTACAGGCGTGAGCCACCACCCTGGCCAATTTTTGTATATTCAGTAGAGCGGGGGTTTTGCTGTGTTGGTCAGGGTGGTCTCCAACTCCTGATCTCAGGTGATCTGCCCACCTCGACCTCCCAAAGTGATGGGATTACAGGCATGAGCCACCGTGCTTGGCCAGTAGTTTTATTTTTATAGTTATTTGGTTACTATAGTCAGACAAAGATTGAGAGGCATAATAAGCTAGTTCTCATCTAAATTTCTTATAATATGTACAAGTTTTGCTACCACAGGTATAACACATAACCAGAATTTTGAGAAAGAAACATTAGGGCCTTGGTGTGAAATTAACTTTACATTTCAAGTTGCCTCCTTTGTCTTTTCAGTACTCTGTAGTGTTTAATATCTGTTGATAAGATGACCTCACTTGGTCCTCAAGACCAACTGCAATTTATTTTTATTATTATTATTTTTGAGATGGAGTCTTGCTCTGTCACCCAGGCTGGAATGCAGTGGTGCGATCTTGGCTCACTGCAACCCCCTCCAGCGCGATTCTCGTGTCTCAGCCTCCTGAGTAGCTGGGACTACAGGCATGTGCCGCCATGCACAACTTTTTTGTATTTTTAGTGGAGACAGGGTTTTGTCATGTTGGCCAGGCTTGTCTTAAACTCCCAACCTCAGGTGATCTCCCAGCATCAGCCTCCCAAATTGGTGGTATTACAGGTGTGAGCCACTGCGCCTGGCAACAGCAATTTATTTAAATATTTATTCAGGTTGGGAGTGGTAGCTCACACCTGTAATCCCAACACTTTGGGAGGCTGAAGTGGGAGGATTGTTTGTACCCAGGAGTTCGAGACTAGCCTGGGCAATATGGCAAGACTGTGTCTCAATCAATCAAGCAATATTTATTCATTCATTTATTTATTCATTCATTCATTCAGTGTCCTCCTGATTTTTATTCCCTATGTTCAGATCTTATCTATCAAAAATAAATCCCTCATTTAACTTAGTTCTCTTCTTAATCCTTAATGTCAAGTATGTAATATTTTCTGACTTTTTAAAAAACCTACCATTAATTTATAATCTGATTTTCACTCTACCACTCTCTTGAGAAATAGTCTCACAAAAGCACTCTTACTTATTTGTAGGAAAGTTAAAAAACTTTCTTAGTCTTTATCCTCCTTGACTTCTGCTGTAGTATTTGATACCGGTGATCATTCCTATCTTGATTACACTTTCTTGTATTTTTGCTTACCTCTTTCACTGTTATTGTTTTGTTTTGTCTTTTTCTTCTGTCCTTTGTTGATTGCTTTTCCATCTCCTGCCTTCTAATTTTGGCTGTTCCCTGAGGCTCAGTCCTTAGCACTCTGCTCTTCTATCTTACTCCTAATCCAGAAAGCCCATTTCCATGTCTTTAGCTAGCACCTCTGTGCATGTGACTTCTAAAGTTAAGTTCTCAGCTGACCCAAACTGAATTCTGGTATTTCCAGCTGCTTCAAGAACATTTTCATTTGTAACTTCTTTGCTGCCATTTTAAATTCAACATATTTAAAATTGAATTTATCAAATCCACTGCCCTTTTAACAAACCTTATGACCTGCCTATTTCTGTTAATGGTCCACTACTGTTGTTCCACACTGCAAACTTGAAACCTTGGGTCTATTTGAGGGAGGGGTTTTTGTTTTTGTTTTTGAGACAAAGTTTCACTCCTGTTGCCCGGGCTGGAGTACAATGGTGTGATCTTGGCTCACTGCAACCTCTGCCTTCCGGGTTCAAGCGATTCTCCTGCCTCAGCCTTCTGAGTAGCTGGAATTACAGGCGCCCACGACCACACCCGGCTAATTTTTTGTATTTTTAGTAGACACGGGGTTTCACCATATTGGCCAGACTGGTCTCGAACTCCTGACCTCAGGTGATCCACCCACCTCAGGCTCCCAAAGTGCTGAGATTACAGGTGTGAGAGGGAGGGGTTTTGAAATCTTGGAGCCCCTGGTATGCTGGAGCCAGCTTATGGACTCATGAGAGCCAAGTGTTAAATTTTCAGCAATTTTGTGAGCTGGTTGCTAAACATAGCTTTTTTTTTTTTTTGAGACAGTCTTGCTCTGTTGCCCAAGCTGGAGTGCAATGGTGTGATCTTGGCTCACTGCAACCTCTGTCTCTGAGGTTCAAGGGATTCTCCTGTCTCAGCCTCTCGAGTAGCTGGGATTACAGGTGCATACCACCATGCCCGGCTAATTTTTTTTTTTTTTTTTTTTTTGAGACGGAGTTTCGCTCTGTTGCCCAGGCTGGAGTGCAGTGGCGCGATCTCGACTCACTGCAAGCTCCGCCTCCCGAGTTCACGCCATTCTCCTGCCTCAGCCTCCCGTGTAGCTGGGACTACAGGCGCGCGCCACCATGCCCGGCTAATTTTTGTATTTTTAGTAGAGACGGGGTTTCACTGTGTTAGCCAGGATGGTCTCGATCTCCTGACCTCGTGATCCGCCCGTCTCGGCCTCCCAAAGTGCTGGGATTACAGGTGTGAGCCACTGCGCCCAGCCACAGCTATTATTAAAAATTAAATTATGTAAACATACAATTAAATAAATTATATTTAAAGTAAATGTAATACATCCTCAAAGCTGTTCATTTCATAATTGTTTTGCTGCATGTTAGTATTGTCTGTACTCTTGAGGTTATGTCTGTTGTGTCTCTGTGATGGAAATACTGTACATAATGGTGTGCTACTGTATATTTCTTCCCAACATTGCATTTAGTGATATTATATTAGTAGCTTGAAATTGGTTGTATTGGGAATATTTACATCATGGAAATCAGCAAATTCTACAAGTTTGAGTTAGATGTCTTGTTTTGTTTATTGTTTAGACTTAAGAAAGTGATGGGGAAAATGTTAATATTGCAGATTAAATTTAAAAGTGTGGGCCGGGTGTGGTGGCTCACGCCTGTAATCCCAGCACTTGGGGAGGCTGAGGCGGGTGGATCACAAGGTCGGGAGATTGAGGCCAACATGGTGAAACCCCGTCTCTACTAAAAATACAAAAATTAGCTGATTGTGGTGGTGCGCACCTGTAATCCCAGCTACTCGGGAGGCTGAGGCAGGAGAATCACTTGAACTCGGGAGGCAGAGGTTGCCGTGAGCCAAGATTGTGCCACTGCACTCCAGCCTAGTGACAGAGCAAGACTCTGTCTCAAAAAATGTATATATTCTTTCAGTTTTTAAAGCTATTTTCCAGTTCATCATGAACCATCTTCCCCAGTTGTATAACGTACCTGTCACCTTCTTATTTCTTTACACACATACATACACACATACCTTGCATATGTCCATCTCTATGCCAAGTCTTATGTGGTTTTTCCGTCTTCTTTCTACTAAAACATTTGCTAATCCTCCAAGTCCCGTTTCTTCGAGGAAGTCTTTACGTATGTTTCCATTCTTTATCTTGTCCAGTTTCCATTCTTATCCTACTTTCTTTTTTTTTATTATTTTTTTCAGACAGGGTTAAAAAAGAAACCCCTCATTACAAAAGGGTCTTGGTTTGTCACTCAGGCTGGAGTGCATTGGTGCAATGATACCTTACTGCAGCCTTGAGCCTTAAACTCCTGGGCTAAAGCAGTCCTCCTGTCTCAGCCTCCCAAAGCACTGGTATTACAGGTGTGAGCCATTGCACCTGGCCTCCTGCTCTACTTTCAGAGCTACTTTGAATATTATAATTGGAAAGGACTTCAGTTTTCCACTCAAATGTAAAAATCCCCAAATCCCCAGCCTCTACTCAAAATTATAGTAACTAAAATTCTACTACTTCTGAAAGTAGCCCTTTCTAGCGTTGTCTGGAAAATTAATATATTAAAAATCAATCTTCCTTATAATTTTCACAAGTCTTCCCATTCTGTGTTGTGAACATCACCTTTTTTTTCGAGACAGAGTCTTGTTCTGTCGCCTATGCTGGAGTATGGTGGTGTGATCATAGCTCACTTGCAGCCTTGATTTCCTGGGCTCAAGTGATCCTCCCACCTCAGCCTCCTGAGTAGCTGGGACCATAAGCATATACCACCATGCCTGGCTTTTTTTTTTGTTTTGTAGAGAAGGGGGTCTCCCCACATTGCCCAGGCTGATCTCGAACTCCTAGGCTTATCTCAAACTCCTAGGGTCAAGGGATCCTCCTGCCTTGGCCTCCTAAAGTACTGGGATTGCAGGCAGAAGCCACTGCACCTGGCAATGAGTATCACTTAATGAAGTCGTCACTAGACTGGGACTGAATCAGAAATCCAATTGCCACTTAACTTATAGCTAAGTGACCATAACATCTCAGAACCTCAGCTTCCTTGGTTTCTTTGATGGAATGGTGGTAATAAGTAAACTTCACAAGGTAATTGTTTGGATTAAATAAATAGAATGAGATGATGGCTGATTATAAAGCATAGTAGTTAATGGCAAAGACTAAAATCAGATGAAACTGAGGCCGGTTTTTCCACTTGGTGACCTTGGGCAATTTACTTAACCTCTTTGTGCCTTATTTCCTCATGTGTAAAATAGAAATAATAATACTACTTACCTTAGAGATGTGAGAGATAGATAACATATTAAACATTTAGTACCATGTTTGATATTAACCACACTTTCTCCCAAAGTGAGATCTGTTTTTCCATAGTTCCAATTTTAAAGTTAATTGGAATTTCCCACAAAGAAAATTATTCTGAAATTCGCTATTAGAAATATTTGGTGTAAGAGAAGGGTTAAATTGGAAATACACCCCAGGAAACACTGGGTGCCTAGCATTTAGTTTCCTTTGCAGCACTCTAGAAGGCTTTTCTGACTCTGGCTGGACTCATCTACCCATCATTCGCCATGCTATTACATTTTGGCTCATAGTAACTCCTAAGATGTCTCAGGATAATTAAGACTCCCCATCTTCTTGTCCAAACTTTCTAGGACGTTGTTGCATGTTGGTTAGAGTGTGTAATAGATCTGGCATCAATTTAAAAAACACACACGTTTCTGGTAAAGTATTATCATTTCACATGTATTTTATTCCAATCTGAAACTTCCTGAATTTTATTATTTAATTGTTGCTTCCACTTTTAAATTCTTTAATTTGTGTTTACCTAGAACCAGAGATTTTTATGTGGATAGTATAATAATTCAATATCAAATAAAAATCTGTCTGTTTCACTCTCATTCACAGGTCCGCAAGCACATCAATGATCTTTATGAAGATCTGCGGGATGGCCATAACCTGATCTCTCTGTTGGAGGTCCTCTCAGGCATCAAACTGGTGAGCTTCTCCTAATGAATGGCCTCACAATTGTGGCCCTACAAATGACATATTGGTCCATCTCATTGAGTGCAAGGGCAGCAGCCATCACTGTTTCATCTATTAGAGGGGAGGAAGAAGTAGAAGGAAATGTTGGGGGACTTTATTTCTAACTCAGACTTAGAATTTACAAATTATATAATTTAAATTGATGTATTATATGTTCTCATTTCTTGATGAAATGAGAAATTAGTTATAATCCTTTTTATATCTGCATGTTTTTGCATTACTTTTTCTTTATTTTCTAGATACTAATATTTCAGAAACAGTAGATTCATGTTTAAAGGTTTTTTTGAATTAGGTGTATTTTTCTTCCTAGAGCTCTAGTCTATATAGACGCCTCTCATTTTCCAATCTATTGTGAATTTTTAAAATTTTATGTATTCAGCTAAAGACCTGAAGTTTACATTTAAAAGCCCAGGTGTATGAAGTTATTTTTTTTTCCAAATCATCTCACTTTCTCCCTTCTGTGATTCATTGAGTCTTACAGATTTGGAGAGCTGCCAAAGTTGTCTGAGCATAGCCTTGGATATAGAACATCTGGGCTCCTTGATTAATTAATATGCCTGCTTCTTCCCAAAATGTTCTAACATTGATTATGGGAAACACCTACATATCTGAGGGCAAATCCTGTCTGAGCTTCTTGCCTTGCCAAATGATAGTTCTTCTACTTGCTTTGAGGGATGGAAATCACCCACTTGTAGGCCTACTGTTTTCTATATTTGAGCCTAATGGGAGCAGGTGATTCCATATGGTTCATACTCTTTCTCTCATGCCATAGACAACATAATTTTCATTTAGAAAAGTCCAGGGTTGAATACTGGAAATATCTGTGGAGAAATAGAGAACCAAAGAGATGTATAGCTCAAGTAGTCTGTGAAGACCAGCCCACTCACTGCCTTTCTTAGTCATTGTTTGTTGTGTTTAAGTAACAGAATTTGGCACATTTGATTTTACTGCCTAAGTGATATTCAGCTCCTTCTAGGATTGGGGCTTGGCTTCCCTGGGTCCTTTGTTTTGGTTTCGTATCTTTTTTTTTGCCTTGCAATAGAATTAATTATATATTTTTTAATGGCCTAAAATTGACAGAAGCTTTTATTAGCATAGCCGGCACATTTAATTTCTAGTTCTTGCTCTCTGGCTCGTGTTTATAAGTCTAATAAGTAATCAGAATTTTACTTTCATTGTGCTGGACTTTATTCTTCACCACTCACACAGTTACATTTTGGGCAATGTGTCTGGTACATTTAATGAATTTGTAATGATTTTATATTGAAAAGTGATCTTTTTTGGTTGTATTGCTTACGTAATAAGTTGAAACTATGTCAATCTAATTTCTTTTCCTAACCTTTGAAAACCTTTAAGTGTTTGTGGAGATACTGATAGGATATCATCTCTTCACCAAAAACCATCCAGATATCTCTTTGACAGTTATTCTCACCATGTTTTTTCCCCATAGTTGACTTAGAAAAGCAGAGAGGGTAGGAGGCTAAGGAGAATTGAAGATGTGTTTCATCATAAGAAGTGTTCAATGTAACCATCTGCTCTGGTTTTGATTTAGTTTTGTATCTTTTTCGGAGGTGGGAGGGTATTTTCATATTTGTTTTTCCTTTTTTTTAAGTGTTGCATTCATTTCCTTTCCATCTTTTTATTGTGAATTTCTTGTTCCTCTATTGTGTCTTTGCCTTGGTTGGTGGCCAAAGGAGCCAGCAGGGCTGAAGACCCTCCGTCTGGTGAGCATGCCCTCCTGGTGCCATACAAACAACGAGGAGCAGGCGGAGGAAGATGATGATGATGTAGTAGGTCCTCCTGGGGATGCCAGCATCCCAGCTGGCACTGCTGGCACTGCAGGGCCATCAGAGTCTGAGGTTCTCCAGGTCTCGAAGTAGTTCAGTTACTATTTGCCACCTTCTCATTTCAACTGGGAATTTGGGTCCCAAAGAAAGTAGTTAAAACTAATTGTGCCTTTTGTCACTGTTAGGTGCTCATGGACTGGGAATTGTTTTTCTTAGCTGAGAAGGGTTGGCACAAAAAGAATAATGGTTTTTGGAGGTGTCAAGTTCTCTTCTGACCTGGAGACCCATAGCTTTCTGGTGGCCTTGCTGTGTTTTCTGAGTCCAGATTGCAGAATTGTGGAAAATTTAGTTGACAGCATGACAATTAATTGCTCACAACTCCACAGTCTAGACTAACTGGTACTCTCCACCTCTCTGGCCTCTAGGTTATCATCATACACCCCGTCATTTGTTTTCAAAACAGCCTGTTTGCAAACTCACTGCATGGAGATACTCTGGCTTTGCTCAATAATATCTAGTTGCTATAGAGGACAGAGATTTAACTTGCATGTTCTTAGGGTATTTATTTTTGGTGAGGGGTACATATGAGTAAAGATTAGAGTATAAGAGGAGTGTATTCTGCCTGCAGGCCCTAAATTATAGTCCAAAATCTTTTTCCAGAAACAAGGATTAGGCAATATCCTCATTCTCTGTCCTCTTAAAATCATTTTAAAAATATCATTTGTCTCCCTTCTCATTGCCTTAGAATCTTCCATTTTATAGGCACTATCATCTTCTAAGCCATATTCACAATTAATTTAGCTGAAATGACTGAGAAAAGGTTCTTGCTAAAAAGATTTTTCCTAAACCTTTGACTGAAGAAGTTATCCTGTGCCCAGAGAGGCCTTGACATCTCTGTGAACAGATTCTCCTATTTGAGAAGTGTTGCTTAGAAGTGTTGGAGAGTGCCCAGAAGATGCTTCCATCCTTATCTCTCCATGTGTTAGGGTACTTTTTGCCCATTTTAATTTGGAGCAATGTTGTTCTCTGCAGACACCCGCAACAGAGCTACCTTATATTTTATCAGCCTTTAATTAGTGTCAATTTGACACTTACAAAAGAAGTGGGTATAATCTAGTGAGAGTGATATTTCTCTCCAAATTTTAGTAAAATATAAGCAACGTTAGAAAGTAAGCAGAAGAAAATGTTCTAGGGGTAGATATCCCTTTCTGTGATACTCAGTAGGCAAAGAGACTGCATTCACTTTCCAACTGGTAATAGTTGAGCCTTGGACGGGGTACCAGAGGCACTGGGTAGAGATGGGGTTCTCTCCAGTGGGTTGTATGACATCTGGGATTGAGTGACTGGCATAACTTTCTCAGGAGTAATTATGTTGACAGCCCTACACTATCAAAGTTTTGTTTGCTGTGGGTATTTCATGCTGGAGTAAAGGGTGCCCTTCCTTCAGTGGCAGCTATGTTCCTGGGAAACTGGTTGCTTCCTAATTTTTGCCTCCCATTTTGGATTTTTTCACTTGTTTCTTGAGCATATGTAACTTCTCATTTCCTATGGTTAAAAATCAGCTATCTGTATTTTTTTTTTTTTTTTTTTTTTGAGGTGGAGTCTCACTCCATCTCCCAGGCTGGTGTACGGTGGCATGATCTTGGCTCACTGCAACTTCCACCTCCTAGATTTAAGCTATTCTTGTGCTTCAGCCTCCCAGATATCTGTGATTACAGGCATGTGCCACCACGCCCGGCTAATTTTTGAGGAGCCAATGAAGGGACGGGATTTCACCATGTTGGTCAGGGTTGTCTCTAACTCCTGGGCTCAAGCAATCCTCCTGCCTCGGCCTCCCAAAGTGTTGGAATTATAGGCGTGAGCCACTGCACTTGGCCAAAAATTGGCTATCTTGAGCTCCTTTTGCCATGTTTGTAATAAAGTTGGCTCCATCTACTACTATGCAATATGTAATTAGGACTTTCCACCCTTTCTCTACGATAGCATTTAACTGTGATTTTAGGAGTCATAGAGCCAAAGTCTGTTCCCATTAACCTCACATCCAGAATCAAGTTCTGCCACATGTGACTGCAGATGAACCTGAACAGAAGCTGTGGCATTGATTCGGCATTAGTGGTCAAACAGTATTCTGTGTTTGCGAGATGCGTAGTGGTACACAAGACATTTGGGGACCTCAGAGAGCCTGGTCGAAACACGTACAGGCCTGGTCTTAGGGGGTGCTTTGTGTAATGCTCCCAGGCCTGGCTTCTACTGTAAGGAATTCTTGTGTGGTCCTTTAGTCCTGGAAATAAAAGAGAAAGGGTCTGTATGGTTAAATTGTGTAGCCAGAATTAACATCCCTTTTTTTGTTTGTTTGCAGCCCCGGGAGAAGGGCAGGATGCGTTTTCATAGGCTGCAGAATGTGCAGATTGCCCTGGACTTCCTAAAGCAGCGACAGGTAAGACCATCACATGCCTTCCCCATTCTTCCAGGCTGTGTTGGCATTGGGGCCCTATTCAGAGATGTTTTTAGTGCCCCTAGTAAGCTCTCAGTAAATGCTAAATCTGATTGACCCAGTTCTGAGTCTTAACTTGCTAGTGAGCAATTGTATTCTGGTTAGAGAAATCATTCAGTACTCACACAGAACTTGTGACCTCCTTGAGAGGAAGAATGTTCACGGAGAAGAACATGATGATAAAGATGGAATTTTGTGGATGCACCTTAGGTGGGGGTCAAAATGAAGATGAAAAATAAACTAGAAAAGAGATGGAAAAAAGGTGTGGCATCCAGGAAGAGAGAGAACCAGATTGCTATATCAAGGTGAAAATGAGATAAGGGGGTAGTGTGGATTGTGGAATGCCACATCAGATCTGAGAAAAAGGTCTAAGTTGTTAAGCACTGATAACTTAAGTGAGCAGTTTAATACAGGAGAAAGATATTTAGAGTATAGTAGAGCTAGATATAGGAAGGGAGAAAGAAGCTTTTCCTTCCCTGGATGAGGAAGACAACAACCCATTTTTAGACATAGGAAGAGGAGCCAATGAAGAGAGTAAGAATGAAAATGAGCATGAGGAGGAGTATTGGTAGTCATAGAACGTTTCACCGAGAAGATACCCTAATGTTGTACTAGTCCAGTTTCTTATTATAGATAAAGAAACTGAGACCTGGACAGGTAAATGACCTGCCTCAAATCACAAGTCAGAGCAAAGCTGAGACTTTAACTCAGGCCTTCTGACATGCAGTTTAGTGCACCTTCCACTATCCATGCTGCTTTCTACACAGCACCCTTCCTCCTTTGCTTCCTAACTGAAGGAACCAAATCCAGGGATTGATGGATGAGAAGCAGAGCACAAGTGGTGTGGCCATCTTTGAAAAAGAAAAGAAAAATACCTCTTTTGAGAGACAAGGAGAATGACAGAGGGAGGGGTGAAGATACAGAGATGGTTTGTGGTAGAAAGAAGATGGATGAGGGAGTCAAAGAGTTCATCTGCTTAGAGTGAGCCATATGGAAAATATTTGGGATATCTAGGGTTGCCAAGCAACAACAGGGTCAACGTGACATTAAATGGTATGCATATTTTTGGAGTCAGTTCATTTTTGACACTCATATCAGTAATTCTCATTAACTTCTAAAATTCTCTGTTTGCTCTCATAACAATTTACTTCTGGTATAACATTTCTTATTTTCTTGTTATTTCTCTGTTTGCTCCAATGCATTATAGGCTCCGTGAGGACGGGGAATAAGATCTTAACATTTCACCTTCATCTCTCATAATGAATGGTCCTCAGTTGGCACTTAATAAATATTTGCTGAAATAAATTGATAAATAAAAGTGGTAGAAGTGGAGGTTGCTGAAGTGTTTAGGGTACTGGAGAAAGCAGCATTGAAATGCCTGTGTGTGGAGCTAGAGGAAGCTGGGGTGGGGGCCTTACTGGCAGGGTTTATGAGAAGAATTGATTAGCTAGAAGTCTAAATCAGGACAAAAAGTGGCTTTGGTTACTATGATAGAATGAAAACGTGGACAGGTAAGAACAGTGGATTCAAAGAAGGGCAGGGAGATTACTAGAGCCGTTCTTGGTAACGGTAAAGTCCAAGATGTAGCTGTGCAGATGGCCAAGGTAGGGAAAAACGAAAGTCATCAGAATTCAAAAGGCAGGCAATTTGTGCAGATAGTGTAATATTTGGGATATCAATATAAATGCTAAATTTCCAGGAAAGGTGATGATGAGGCAGGAAAAGAGAATAGGAGCTAGGTAGTGAGGTCATTGAGAAAAAGGTTAGCAGAGATTGGAAGGTGGTTTGGCCAAGGGAGGTAGACTTCACAATGAAAGGGGAAGGCTGACAGAGGTAGGACTGAGGAATGTGGACTTGGCTGGTACTGGTAACCCACCAACTGTCAACTGTTAGTGATTAGAAAAATTGAATTCTCGGGGAGGGGACAGGTTTTCCCACTTGCATCCTACTCCCACCGTATAGAAGAGGAGACCAAGATACAGAAAAGGGAAAGAACTTGCCCAGATGAATGTCATTGTAAGGGAGAAATGAGGCCTCCATTTGAGAAGGTCACTAGGGTCCTCTGGAGACACACAAGTTTCAGTTCAGTAGAAGAGATAAAGGGAGGACAGCTGAAGGACACTGTGTCGCAGGACTCTGAGGGTATGATTGAGGAGGCTAACAGAGGTGAAGTAGAAGTAGGGTGGTTTGCCCAGGACACTCCCAGTTTTAAAGTTCCACGTCCCAGGAAATTCCTCCGTTCCCAGCACACTGGGGCAGTAAGTCAGCCTGGGAAGAGGGTGTGTCAGGGCACATTGAGTTGTTGGGATGAGATTTTAGGAGTAAAGCAGGTGCTGCGGGAGGCATGGCAGGTATGGATATCTGTGACAAAGATGGGATAATGGAGGTGAGAGCAGGCCAAAGACTGGTGAGGGAAGAGAGGCATCTCTCTTTTCTGTCTTTCTCTCTCAGAACCTTAAGAAAAAAAAAAAAAAGGCAAAGAAGAAAGAAATCTTGGCCCTGATGGCAATAAAAAAGTGACCCACAATACCTTGTGCTTGCGAGGTTGCTTTTCTGGTGAGAAAGCAAAATGGCGTAGCTACTCTGATGACTTCTTATAAAGCTAATCATATATCATATAACCCAGCAATCCCACTCCTAGGAATATACCCTAAAGAAATTACTGTGCTCACACAAAAACCTGCACATGAATATTCATAATTGCCAAAATCTAGAAATAATTCACATATCCTTCGATGGATGAATGGGTGAACAAAGAGTAGCATATCTCTATAATGGAATACTACTCAGCGATCAAAAGGAGCAAACTGTTGATTCATGCAACAGCTTGGATAGGGATCTCAAGGGCATTATGCCGAGTGAAATAAAAAGACAGTTTCTTTTTTTTTGAGACGGAGTCTCACTCTGTCGCCCAGGCTGGAGTGCAGTGGCACAATCTCTGCTCACTGCAAGCTCTACCTCCCAGGTTCACGCCATTCTCCTGCCTCAGCCTACTGAGTAGCTGGGACTACAGGCACCCGCCACCATGCCCGGCTAATTTTTTGTATTTTTAGCAGAGACGGGGTTTCACCGTGTTAGCCAGGATGGTCTCGATCTCCTGACCTCGTGATCCGCCTGTCTCAGCCTCCCAAAGTGCTGGGATTACAGGCGTGAGCCATCGCGTCTGGCCGGCAGTTTCAAAATCTTGCATGCTGCATGATCCCATTTATCCAACACTCTGGAAAAAGCAAAACAAGGAATCAGGATCAGATCAGTGGTTGTCAGGAATTAGGGGTGAGAGTAGGGTTTGATTACAAGGAGGGGGCCAGCACAAGGGACCTTTTTGGGGTGATGAAACTGTTTTGTGGTGGTAGTTGCATGAATCTATACATGTGTTAAAACTCATAGAACTGTACACCAAAAAAGAAATCAGTTTAACTGTAAATCAATAATGAAGTGATGCAAAAATTTAATCAAAACAAAAAGTCCTAGAGCTCTGAGCCGTGCTTTTATTTCTTTTTCAGGTGAAACTAGTGAATATTCGCAATGATGACATCACAGATGGCAACCCCAAGTTGACCCTGGGTCTGATCTGGACCATTATTTTGCATTTCCAGGTAGGGCATGTGAAGTTTGGAATTCCTGTTGCTTTGTTTGGACATGGCCTAGAAAGTTGCACTGCCTTCCACAGACAGCATTGAGCCTTCCTTCTCTCTATTTGTCAGTGAACAAAGGTGGATGGGAGTTGGAAAGGAAAATTAAGATTGATCTGCAGACAAGCTGTTGTATCGTAAACGCAAAACTTCCTAATTATTTGCTTAATTAAATGGAGGGATTTTTTTACCCATTTGTGGTTTGGCCCTGTCCTCAGCAGTCTGGTTATTAGAGGTCTGTTTGCTCAGCTGAATCAAAATGAGGCTCTTGAAGGACTCAGAATATGAGGGTTGAGAAAAGCTGTTGGTGTTGATGCTTTAGAATGGTGGAGTGAAGGTTCATAGTCCTGCTCTAATGTAGACTTTTTCTCATCTCTAATAACCTTTAAACAAGCCTCGTTAATTAGAATACTTTAGTATCTGGGTTTGTATATGTGCTGGCAAGCACAACCTTGCAGCGGCCATCACACCCAAGAGCATCTTGAAGAATATTCACATGGTCACATGGCCTTCCTCTTCCTAAGAAGGCAAATCCTTTTTAGATCTGAATTGCTATTGGAAAAGTACAGCCCTATTTTTATAAAAAGGCTGTTCTTTTACATCCCTTTTAGGTCAGCCAAACAAAGCTATTTCTCAGACAGCTCTCTCTGATACACAGTTGCTGCACATGAGGCTGATGGATTAGAGGCTGATAGCTAGTGGGAATAGAAGGCAGGGTGCCGACTTCAGGGATGAGGCCAAGGTGACATCCTAGCTGGGGAGTTGGCGCTACCTGCTGGTTAAAGATAGAACAACAGGTGTCCCCGAATTCCTGAGAGAAAAATCTGAGTGCTTAGGCTTGTTTCTTGAGGCTCTAGTTTGGAAGCAATGCTGGCAGTCACCAGCATGGACAGGGCTAGGATTGTGTGGTGGTAATGTATTTTTGTGGAACCACAGGGTATCCTCAGGCAAGCTTTGGGCATAGGGATAACCAGGAACATGAACTTGGTAGGTGTGCTCTGTCTGGCAGGATGGGAAACTTTGTTGAGCTTTCATGGAGGACTACAGTTATCCCTTTGGAACTCTTATGAACAGAGGAGCTTTTAGAGAAATTTGTTTGTTTTTTGGTCACAAACCTGCCCTCACTGTGAGTGCCCAATGTTTGTCTCATAGGTGGGAGGTAAGGAGAATTTATTCACTGTCTCTATTCACCCCAACTACTACAACTAAATTAATTTCCTTTTTTTTTGACCGAGTTTTGCTCTTGGATTGCAATGATGTGTTCTTGGCTCACTGCAACCTCCGCCTCCTGGGTTCAAGAGATTCTCCTGCCTCAGCCTCCCAAGTAGCTGGGATTACAGGCACCTGCCAACATGCCTGGCTAATTTATATGTTTTTAGTAGAGATAGAGTTTCACCATGTTGGCCAGGCTAGTCTCGAACTCCTGCTCTCAGGTGATCCACCCACCTCGGTCTCCCAAAGTGTTGGGATTACAGGCGTGAGCCACCGTACCAGGCCATAACAAATGTTTAAATAGAGAAAACATTTTCTTTTCTTTTTTCTTTTTCTTTTTCTTTCTTTCTTTTTTTGTTTTTTGAGACGGAATTTCGCTCTTGTTGCCCGGGCTAGAGTGCAATGGTGCAATCTCCGTTCACCGCAACCTCTGCCTCCCGGGTTCAAGAGATTCTCCTGCTTCAGCCTTCCGAGTAACTGGGATTACTGGCATGCACCACTACACCCGGCTAATTTTGTATTTTTAGTACAGGGTTTCTCCATGTTGGTCAGGCTGGTCTCAAACTTCCAACCTCAGGTGATCCACCTGCCTCAGCCTCCCAAAGTGTTGGATTACAGGCGTGAGCCACCGTGCCCGGCCAGAAGAAACATTTCCTTGAAGCATTTAAAAATTTCATTTCTTTCTGTTTACTAGTTTTCAGAATAATTAGTTGGTTCGCTAAGATTCTCCAAAGGTGACCAATAATAGTTCCTTTGTTCACCATTTTTTTTTTAGTATCACTGTGACTTGTGGATTTTTAAGCAGACTTAATGTTCCAATCAAATACAGTTATTATTCTTTTTAATAAAATCAAATAGCTCCATCTTTGGCTGTAAAGAGGCTTTCAAGTTGACTCTGAGTCCTTTGGCATGACCACAGTGGTCTTTGATAATTTCCTTTATTTCTTGTGCGATGAGGTATTCCAGACTCTTTTTTTATATTTTCTGTCCCAGGCCTGAAATTCTTAATCTCCCCTAGGAACTGGTTCTCTATTTATTGACCACAGTCTGAATGCTCCTAGGTTGCCCATTATTTCTTTCTTTTTCTTTTCTTTTTTTTTTTTTTTGAAGCAGATTTCGCTCTTGTTGCACAGGCTGGAGTGCAATGGCACCATCTCGGCTTACCAAAACCTCTGCCTCCCAGGTTCAAGCGATTCTCCTGCCTCAGCCTCCCAAGTAGCTGGGATTACAGGCGTGTGCCACCACGCTCAGCTAATTTTTTTATTATTAGTAGAGACAGGGTTGTTGGCCAGGCTGGTCTCGAGCTCCTGACCTCAGGTGATCCACCTGCCTCAGCTTCTCAAAGTGCTGGGATTACAGGCGTGAGCCACCACACGCGGCTGGTTGCCCATCATTTCTAGGCTTTTTCTGTGGGCAGAGCTAGGCAATACTTGTATTATCTCTAAAAACAACAACAACAACAACAAACAAACAAAAAACCCCATGAATTTTTACTGATATTTCTAATTCAAATTTAGGATTGCAGGGTTTTGTTTAACCTCTTTGACTTTATATCATTTTTTTTCTTATACTGAAAATCTTGATCTTAACAACAGTAATGTGGTTACTTACTCTTTTCCTACACACACAGAGATCTGTAAAATCATATATATTATTTGTAATATATATGAATCCAAGTGACAATATGAATGTTATTGTTAGCAGTATGATTACTTTGAAGTCACTTGAAATAATTTCTCTCTATTGTTGTTAAGCCACAAATTCAATACACAATTAAGGTTCATTTGTTTTTATTTGCTTTCAGTTTTGGGGGGTTGCTTTTTTCCTTTCAATTTTACCTTACATTATGTAGATCATTTATATTGTTCCAAAGGGAAATTTTAAAAAGTTAAATACAAATTGTGTTCAGAGAGGTCTAGCTTCCATCTCTGCTCCCTCCATTCTGTATCTTCCCATTCTCTGTAGTTAGCTAAATGTTTTAAAACACCTTTTTGGTTATAATTTCTATTGTTTGTTTATTTTAGGAAAATGCATTCATAAAAAAAACTTTACTGAGGTGTAATTTACATACCATCAAATCAACTAATTTAATGATTTTTATGAGTTGTACAATCATCACCATAATCTAGTTTGGGGACATTTTCATCATCCAAATAAGATCCTTCTTGTTCATTTACAGTTACTGCACATTTTCATCACCAGCCTCAGGCAGCCACTAATTTATTTTCTATCTTGATAGATTTGCTTATTCTGGACATTTCATATAAATGGAATCCTATGATAGATGGTCTTTTGTATCTGGCTTTTTTCACTTAACATAATATTTTTTGGTTCATCCATGTTGTGGCACATATCAGTACGTCATTCTTTTTTATTGCTGAATATTCTGTTGTATGGATATATCATGTATTTTGTTTAAATATTAAGCCAGTTGATAGACATTTGAGTGGTTTTCACTTTTTCACTGTTATAAATAAAGTTATTTGCATACCAGTCTGTGTGGGTTTATGTTTTCATTTCTCTTGTGTATACATGTATATACCTAGGAATGGGATTTCTTAATTGTACAGTAAGCATGTTTAGCTTTTAAAGAAACTGCCAAATTGTCTTGCAAAATGGTGTATCATTTTACATTCCTACCAGCAATGTATGTGGTTTCCTGTGTCTTTACATCCTCACCAGTATTTATTGTCTGTTTTAGATTATAGCTATCACAGTGAGTGTGAAATTGTATCTCTTTGTGGTTTTAGTTTGCAGGAAAATGTATTATTTAATTGAATTCCACAAACATTGACTGGGAATGTTATGAGCAAGGTCTTAGATAGAGTGTATGGAAGATACACGGCTGAGTGCAATGGCTCACACCTGTAATCCCAGCACTTCGGGAGGCCTAGGTGGGCAGATCACTTGAGGTCAGGAGTTCAAGACCAGCCTGGCTAACATGGTAAAACCCCATCTCTACTAAAAATACAAAAATTAGCCAGGTGTGTTGGCGCACTGTAGTCCCACCTACTTGGGAGGCTGCAAAGCATGAGAATCACTTGAACCCGGGAGGTGGAGGCTGCAGTGAGCTGAAATTGTGCCACTGCACTCCAGCCTGGGCTACACGAGACTCCATCACAAAAAAAAAAAAAAAAAAAAAAGAATCTACTACAGAAGATACAAAATTGAACTAGATACAGACCATCTAGTTGGACTCTTATTGTTTAGGAGAGTGAGAACAGACATACCATAAAATAACTTGACAGAGGTTTAGAGAATGAGAGAGGTATGGGTTAGGATGATGGAACACAGTATGAACTCAACAGTGGGCAGCAGTTACTAGTAACAACTTATTATAATTATTAATTGACCTTATAACTTCCAGGGCTTTTGACACAGCCCACTGTTCTTTTTCCTGTTACCAATTTTACAGAAAGGTAATAGCAGCTTTGGCCTAGTCTGTCTTCTGCATGCATATTGGCTGCCTGCTTTTCTCTGTTATTTCAGCACAGCCAAATGCCTATTTATTTGTCTTCTTGTAGGTGGGAGCACCGCTCCCAGAATATTTTCTCAGTTTTAACTATGGATTCCTTTTCTTTGCCGTTCTGAGGGCTTGGTATTTGCCTATACTAGCTAAGTGTTCTGGTGTGTGGGGAAAGGTTCTCTGCTTGTGAAGCTTTTGATTGACTACTGAAGGATCATGTGGAGTGCCCCCCCACCCCCCGCCTCGTCTTGCATCAGATTTGGCATGGTATGTCTTTTGCTAGTTATCTGTCATTGTGGTTTTCTAGTCTTTCATTATTGAGTATCTATTAGCTGTTCTCACCAAGAACATATGCTATGTAAAGCCAAATGGAAATGCAGAGTAGAACTGTTACATGTTAGGGAATCAGCAAAATTGTTATTATGGTCAGTCTGTGTTATTGGTGTTAATGAAGTAGAATAATGATGTACCTGTAGACATGGATGGTAGTTTTCACCTCAAGGGAATATTCAGTTGAAGGAGAAGGGAGAGGCTGGATCCAGATTAAAGATTTGTGACTGCTGATGAGGCTGGTAATATTGATAACTTCATGCAGAGGTTTATGGTTTCTAAAATGCTTTAACACATTTTTTTTAATGTGCTAAATGGTAGATGTTCTTTTTAATTTTAATTTGAGTTTTTAGTTTTGAAAATCTCAAATACTCGGAAGAGTATATAACAGATCCTTATGTGTGTAGTTGCCTTCAGAATTTAACAGGTGTTCCTTTTGTTATATTTGCTTCAGGGTTTTTTCTCTCTCTTCCTCTTTAAAGTAATAAAACATCTCAGATACATCCAACTTTCTTTGCCCTCTCTGCTCCCCAGGTAAATATTATCCTAAAGTTGATGTGTATCATTCCCATACATGCTTTTGTACATTTACAGCAGATGATCTATTCATAAACAATATGTACTGTTGCTTGTATGTCTTTATATTTGACACACATAGTATCTTTGGTATATCCTTTCTTTCATCTTTTTTCTTTTTTCTTTTTTTTTTTTTTTTTTTTGAGACGGAGTCTCACTCTGTCACCCAGGCTGGAGTGCAGTGGCGCGATTTCAGCTCACTGCAAGCTCCACCTCCCAGGTTCATGCCATTCTTCTGCCTCAGCCTCCCGAGTAGCTGGGGCTACAGGCGCCCGCCACCACACCCGGCTAATTTTTTGTATTTTTAGTAGAGATGGGGTTTCACCGTGTTAGCCAGGATGGTCTTGATCTTCTGACCTCATGATCCGCCCACCTCAGCCTCCCAAAGTACTGGGATTACAGGCATGAGCCACTGTGCCCAGCATGATTTGTTCATTTTAACTAATTTAATGTAAGTGGTGACCCCTGCAGCTGTGTAACACATCTATTATTTGTAACGTATTATTTAATTGTATGAATAAAACATTCATTGCTACAGTGAACATCTGTGTATATGCATCCTTGTGCCTATAGCAAAGAGGGTTTTGGGATTGATACCTGGACTGGAATTGCTGGGTTATATACTTTCCTTCAGTTTGCCTATATTTTGCCAAATTGCTCTCAAAGGTACTGTATGACTTACAGTATTGTATTGGGTAACATTTACTACTATTTGACATATTACATGTTTACTTGTTTATTTGCTGCCTGGATGCCTGCATTAGTATGTAAGCTTAACAATGGCAGGGATTTTTGTCTCTTGTTCTTTTCTTTGCCTGGCATAGAATAGGCAGTCAGTAAATATTTATTAAATGAATGGATTGTTTCATGAATTTGATCTTCTCAAAGCTTTGGAGTAGGTAGACCAAATAAATAGGCTGTAATGTCTGTTTTCTTATGCCCATTTCTCAGATAAGGAAACTGAAACACAGAGACCGACTGACTTTTTTGGGTTACACACCCAGATAGGATTTCTTTTTTTTTTTTTTTTTTTTTTGAGACGGAGTCTCGCTCTGTCGCCCAGGCCGGACTGCGGACTGCAGTGGCACAATCTCGGCTCACTGCAAGCTCCGCTTCCCGGGTTCACGCCATTCTCCTGCCTCAGCCTCCCCAGTAGCTGGGACT
The DNA here is from genome assembly GCF_000001405.40 of Homo sapiens. Lineage (NCBI taxonomy): Eukaryota > Metazoa > Chordata > Mammalia > Primates > Hominidae > Homo > Homo sapiens. Next base: position 39,264,813 of record NC_000001.11, read on the forward strand.
ACAGGCGCCCGCCACCGCGCCCGGCTAATTTTTTGTATTTTTTAGTAGAGACGGGGTTTCACCTTGTTAGCCAGGATGGTCTCGATCTCCTGACCTCATGATCCACCCGCCTCGGCCTCCCAAAGTGCTGGGATTACAGGCGTGAGCCACCGCGCCCGGCCAGGATTTCTTGTCTTTTGGCTTTGTCCAAGCTTGTTTTAAGGTATAGGTTAAGATTTATAGTTCTTCTAAAAGATACTATAAACTCTTTATAGGCAGAATCTGACAAAACTAGTTTTCCAACCCTCAAATGTTTGTTAAATACTAGTGTATGCCTAGCATTTTGAAATTTTCAAAAAATGGGAGGTCTTAGCTGGCTAGACTTGAGGTTTACAGTTTTGTGCACTTTATGGCACTTGGTGCTTGGCATATAGATGAGGCACCATTTGTGTTTTTGGAATGAATGAATGAATGAGTTCTTTTGCTTTGGAGTCTTTCACTCTGGCTGTCTCTGTGGGAGACCTGTGGGCAGTAAACAGTTATCTACAAAAAGCCAAAGGAGAAGGCATAAAGAATGTATAGGCCTCAAAGTGTGCTTTCCCAGAAGGCAGCAAGTCTTGTGTTAAGAGACCAGGTTAGATGAGAAAAGGTCTTGGGGAAAGGTCTCGTAATCAGAATTAACTTAGTTGAAAATACATCTGATATACCTACTGAAAACTATAGTTTAGCCTATCTTAAATGTATTCCGAACACTTATATTAGCTAACCGTTGAGCATTTGGCCAAAATCATGTAACACAAAGCCTGTTTGATAGTAAAGTGTTGACTAGCTCATGTAATTTATTGAGTGCTGTACTGAAAGTGAAAAACGGAATGGTTGTGTGAGTACTTGAAGTACAGTTTCTACTGAATGCATATGGATTTCTCACCACTGGAAAGTCGAAAAATAAGCTGGACCATTTTAAGTCAGGGACCATCTATATCTTAGGATCCCCCCGGGGGCTGGGGATGTCTCATAACTTTTAGTTCCAGTAATAAATGGGAAGAAAAGAAATTTACTGTAGGTCAAGTACTGAGCCAAGTACTTTATGGACATTATCTCATTAACCTTGTCTACAATCCCAGTAAGTAGGTGGTAGTATGCACATTTTACAAGTAAGGAAACTGAACCATCTAATAAACTAGTTAGGTTACTTAACTTATGAGCTGGGAAGTTGAACCTAGGTCCACCTTACTGAAATCTCTGCTCCTTCCCTAGACCAGTTTTTCTCTGGAGCAGAAGGAAATGAAGGTCTGATTGGTCTGACATATGCAGAAATTTTAAAAAAAGAATAGGCTCACAGAAGTAAATTCTCAGAGAAACTCTACAGCAGTAGTAGTCATATTAAGCAGCTATTTCTCTTGCCTCTAAGTTTATTAGTTTCAGGATTTTGGTTTGCTTGTATGTCATTCATAAAATTCAAGTGCATCTTAAAGTTCCCATAGTTCCAGGTTTCTTCACTGGAGGAGTGAAGGCCTGGTACCTGCCTAGAGAACTTCATATTGTAATGTCAGATTCTTTGTTAATTAAATGATTTGCAGTAGCATGAGTTTCTCTCCCATGCTCTCTGCTTATTTCTTACTATAGTTTGTGATGGCCATAAGATGGTGCTGCAGTTTTGCAGTCAGCCTTAAGGATAAGGCTTAGGGGAAGAACACCTACTGCAGTTGTGAGGCAGATGGGACATCAGGAGGGTCTTAGAAGGGATTGTGTAAAAGCCGTTGCTTTAGGGCTTCTTGTTGCTTTCCTTTTGTGGTCTTTTCCTTTTTTTTTTTTTTTTTTTTTTTTTCAGGTCTCCAGGAAAGATAGTTAAGGCTATGCTAGTGTAAGTCTTTATGGCTTGCATGGAACCAGGCAGGCTACTGCTTTCTGCTGTGTGGCCTGGATCCTTTTGTTGTAGAATAAATAACTGCAATAGGAAAGAAACACATATATAATTTTATTCTCCATTCACAGCCCTTTGGGTTATAGTCTTTTCCCATATAGCAGATACTATACTAAAAAAAATTGGGGTGGAGGAATCTTCACTGACATCACAAGGTGATTTTTGAATCCGACTTTTACAGTCTGAAATTCAGACTTCCTGCCCTACTGCAATGGGAGTAAAAACCACCTGAACCTCTTTTTGGCAGCTTCTTCTCTTACTCCCAAATGGCAACAAGTGTTATCTCTTTGATTGAGCTCTTGGTCCATGCAGTCTAATTACCAATTCAGAACAGTGGGGGAACTTCTTATTTTACACAACTGGCAACTGAGTACAGATTTCCACTACTGCAGTAGTTAGAAGAGAGTAGTTGGGGTTGAAATTAAAAGTCTTAAAGTTAACAGAAGTTCATGTTCTGGCTTTGTCACTTACTAGCTGTGTAACCTAGGGCTATTAATCAACTTTCTTAAACCTCAGTTTCTTTTTTCTTTTTTGGAGACAGAGTCTTGTTCTGTTGGCCAGGCTGGAGTGCAGTGACATGATCTTGGCTCACTGCAACCTCCACCTCCCAGTTCAAGCAATTCTCATGCCTCAGCCTCCTGAATAGCTGGGACTAAGGGCGCATGCCACTGTGCCCAGCTAATTTTTTGTATTTTAGTAGAGACGGGGTTTCACCATGTTGCCCAGGCTGGTCTTAAACTCCTGAGCTCAGGCAATCCGCCTGCCTTGGCCTTCTAGAGTACTAGGATTATAATAGGCGTGAGCCACTGCGCCTGGCCAAACCTCAGTTTCTTTACCGATAAAATATAAAATAATAGTTTTGACCTCATATAGTGACTGTAAGAATTAAATGAGAAAGTCCATGTAAATAACTTTACACAGTGCTTGGCACACAGCAAGTGCAAAAAATATATTAGATGTTAGCAGTGGCAGCATCAATAATTACTATTGAACATTTTTGTCAAATATTGTTCATCAGAGACCCTGTTCATCTGTTGTATTTAGAAGTGGTATTCTTTTTACCAAGCACTCATTTACTGTACTCAAAACCAACTTCCAGATTTTTCCTGTCTGTGTCATTGGCTGGCAGAATTAACAGATCTTTCTTTTCTTTTATAGGAAAAAGGAGGGAAATAAATGCTCCAGAAGGCTAGATCTTTAAAGTCTGTGTTCCTTTTCTTAACTGTAAGAAGAAGGCTCTGGTTTCTTCAGGTTATAATTTCATTAAAATAATTTTATTGTTTTCTGACCTGAAAAAATTCAGAATATGTATATCTGCTTGATATTTTCTTTTGGGCATCTTGGTGCAACACTTAAAATCTATTTCATTTTGTAGTTTGGGAGCCATAATTGCAGCTTCACCAGGCTTGGTTCTTCTTGGCCCGGGCCCTTCCCTTCCCTTGCTGGTTAGTACCAGCCGAGCTGGTTTGCTTTTTCCCTTTTTGGTACTATTCTCCTCCTCCTTCCTCCACGTTACCTTCTGCCACGGCCTCTCTTCTTTTTCCCTCCATTTTCAATTTACACTTACATTTTCCCTCCTCCTCCTGGCCCTCCCTAGTTTTTCCCCTCCCCTGGTTTCTAGCTCCTTTTTGCTTTCTGTTTGTGTTACTGAGGGCAGTGCTCCAATTACCTCATATTTGGAGAGAGGAAGCTGCAGCCAATCCGGTTTCTGTCTGCTTTTAGGTCAAGTGATTTCTGAACTGCAGTGAGATGCTTTGAATTTGTCTTGTTGCAGCTCTGAGCCTGTAAGATGGCTGTCTGAATCGGCAGCGGCTGGAAGAGACAGAGAGAGGCGGGGAGGGAGGGAGAAAGAATTGGAGGGATTGCCGGCATAGTGCATGTTTTTAAATGTGCATCGAATCCGATGAGGCCAAGGTTGGGATTTCTGTGGGATCCCAGGACTGGCTTAGCTGCGTTTTTGCTGAGATTAGGAGAGGAAGGAAATGGGAAATTCACTGGGCTGTTTTAAGGAGCCGAAAGAGTCAATAGCTATTCCTGAGAAGGCTCCCATATCTCCTAAGAAAAGGGTTCGGTTCAAAAGGAGGTGGAGAGGGAAGAAAATCCCTACTCCAGAGGCATCTCACCAGGAAGAAACCTCAGAAGGAACTGGAGTCATTGAAGAGACTGAAACCCTAACGAAGTTAACAGAGAGTCTCCAAAAGGAAGACGGAGTGGGAGGGGTAGAGCATACCCCCCCAGATATTTTGCTGCCTGGGGACTCAGCCCCCAACTCACGGGTAGTCGATCGGGGGATGATAGTACAGGTAAAGGAGAGATTCCAAGGGGAGGTCCAGACCGCCCACCTTTTGTTAGAGAATGAGTCATCAGTTGCTGGAGGGGTCTGGGATTCCCTGGAAGAGGGGATGACTGTCATTGCTCACCTGCTTGATAACCCAGCAGAAAGGAACTGCGAGAAGTCAGTGAGCCAACTGGTGGAATTTCCTAGGACAGCATCCTGCAGCAGCAGGGCTGTGTTGCTGCCTTTGCAAGGAGAGACTGCAGTGGAGAAAGGAAATATTCAGCGTGGGTTTCGGAGCTGTGCTTTGCCTAGGACAGACTACCCCACTGATAAAGGAAATCAAGAACAATTTTCAGAGGGCTGGAGTGTGGAGGAAGGAACCAAGAGTGTTTCAGGTGCCCCTCAGACAGCTTCCTGGATTATAGAATGTTCTGTTTCTTCATTACTACTGGACCAGCCTGGAGGCCAAAGACGCACGGAGCCTTCCCATGTGGGTCAAGTGCCCCCCCAGGATTCCAGACTGCCTACTTCTCAGAGTGATTTGTCCATCAGTGGTGTGACTGTGAGCATTTTGCCCTCCTCCTCTGGCTATGGCAGTGATGGGCCACACATACATGGGATCCAGCCTAAAGATACAGAACCTGAAAAGAGCTCTACTTCCTTCTCAGAAGAGGATGGCACTCTTTCTCTGGAGGCAAGCCACACCCCATCATGGGGTCTGGAAGAGGTAGGTGGGCATGTTCAAGAGATAATCAAACTGCTGTTTGGATTCTTGGCCCTCAAACATATTAAAGCTGAGTGTGGTGAGCAGTGAGGATGTTGGTGCCTCTCAAACTTACCCCCATGTGGGTTAGTATCTGCTGGAGCTCAGCAAGCAGAATCTATTTCAGGTCTGCCCCTTGATGCTTGAAACCAAGACTTGTCTCTGGGGAATCCCTGATTCTGAGTAGCCAAGTGGCGTAATTGCTCAAGCTATCTGGTGGGATGATCTCTCAAGGTGCAATGCTAGATAGTACTTACTCTCAGGCAGGTCTGTTTACCAGCTTCCCTGCTACGAGAAGTTGTAATGTAGCACAAGAGACGATGGGGAAGGGCCTAACTGAATCTCTGGAATGAATCTCTGGAATAAATGTGGAAGGGGTCAGGCAGCTGTTGTCAGTGTACTTGCTCTTCCTCACAGGAGAGTGATATTCTTACTAGAGCTGATGCAATCCCATCCCTGTTGGGAAATTTCTGACGGCAGCACTCATTCAGTATTTGTATAGGTGGAGAGGGCTCATCCTTCTTTGGTTCCTAATTCCAGGATTAGAGGAGAGGGACAGAGTTATCTGGGGATTAGTTGAGAGAGAGAGAGGGAGGTTAGGGCAATTTGAAGGTTTAAGGCTAGAAAAGTTTGTTTTGTGACTGGATGTATTTAGGGCTTTAACATGATTTTGTTTTGAGGAATATATTGAGGCATGGATGGTGCTGCTGGTGGTGGTGGTAATGGCAGTTTCTGTGAATGTTTTAAAGGTCAAGGAGCAAGTGAGAATTCAGAGATGTGAACACTGAGATAAGGACTCAGCAAGACCATGGGTAGCACAGCATCTGGCATGTAGGTGTGTGATTGTGTGGGTGATTGAAGTTATAATTCACCAATGGCTAAAGAACTTTTACTGGGATGTTGGCCTCTGCAGCAGAAGAAATAAAAACATTAGGACTTCAAAGTGCAAAATTTATAAAATGAGGTAGGGCACTTTCCTTGCCTAGATGGGGGCCACTGATACTGTACAGGGGCCCTGATGTTTGCAGAGCAGGGATATGGTCTACCTACTGGTGCCCTGCCTATCACTAGCAGCATAAGGCTGAGGATAGATACAAATTCTGAGCAATCTGTGCCTAGAATTTCCTCTTTGGGGATACATTTTCCCCACAGACAGCCCCATCTTAGTGCCCTCTGTTATTAGAGTTTGGAGACTCCCAACAGGTTGAAGAAAAAGTGGCCATTGAAAAAATATCTATTTTATGGATGGGCAAGAGGTTTCTTGGGCCTCATATAAACATGGATATGTGTGGTGGGGAGTGTGATAGTTGTGTTATGGTAGGAAGGAAGGCAGTGAAACTACTGGGATATGGGGCGCATGAATGTATTAAGCTATTCTTGCATTGCTATAAATAAATACCTGAGACTGGGTAATTTACAAAGTAAAGAGGTTTAATTGGTATACAGTTCTGCAGGCTGTACAGAAAGCATGATGCTGGCATCTGCTCAGCTTCTGAAGAGGCCTGAGGAAACTTACAATCTTGGTGGAAGGCAGAGGAGCAGTAGGCATGTCACTTGGCTACAGCAGGAACGAGAGGTTGTGGGTGGGATGTGCCACACACTTTTAAATGACCGAATCTCATGAAAACCCACCTACCCTCACGAGAACAGCACCAAGGGGATGGTGCTAAACCATTCATGAGAAATCCACTTTCATGATTCATGATCCAGTCGTCTCCCACCAGGTCCCACTTCCAGTATTAGGGATTACAATTCAACATGAGATTTGGTAGGGACACAGATTGAAACCATATCAACAAGTATTTGGGTTTCATCAGATAAAAAAGAATGTCAAAGTCAACTTTTATCTTGTAAAAGTTGGAACAGATAGAGTAGTTGGGGGTAAAACCAGCTGTGGAACTGATTGTTGTACAACTGGCATTAAAATTGAAATTGTGTAGTCATCATAACATTATAGGACACATGCTTGTAACTGAGTGTGAGATTTTCAGAAATTTGGCATATAAAGTTTTAGGAACTCCTAGTAAAATCAATCCTAGATAATAGACCATAGATAGCAATGGCACCTTTGTATGGGCTGGATCTCCACACTGGCAAGGGAATGTTCTGCATGAGTCTGTGAGGAGTCTTAAAGAAAAGATTGTTAGGAGAAACCTTTGGACCATGATCTGTAGTGTGACCATATTGGCAACAGTATGATTCCTTTGCTGTTCAGTATGATTCAAATTGGTGTGTGGCATTTTCTGGGTAGCCAACCTCTGCATCTATTCCTTCTACCTTTTCACTGCAGACACAGTCATACTACTTATGTATAGCCAAGGCTGAAAAACTAAGTGACCGAGTCTCAGCTCAGACACCTGGCATATTTCCAGGTTTTGTGTCCATCATGTGATACAGGGACCACAGACTCACCATCCTATATGACAGATAAGAAGTAACTTATCAAGATAAGTGTGACATTCCTTCAGAATGAAAGTCCTTAAGGCCAAGAGGCTGCAACTCTCACTGGTCCCTGAAGGAACTGTCTTCAGGGAGCTGCTCCCCTCCCTAACAGGCTGTTCACAGGCTTGAGGACAGTAGCAGCCAGAGAAACAGAGAGGGCAACGCATACTGAAACCGATAGGCAGGGCAAGAGCATCTCTGCTAAAGTGGGAAAGCTGGGAGGGCAAGGGTCAGAAGAGCAGCTGCTGCTGTTCACACACCAACTCCTGTCTAAACAGGAGACAGCTGGCAGTCCAATTGAGTTGTTTTTTGCTTGCTTTTTTGGTGGTGGTTTTGTTTTTAATATGTCAGAGTAGTAACTATCCTCAGAAAATAATTTGAGTTCCAGCCAGACTGTCTCCTCTGTTGATTAGTCCAGGGCTTGTTGATGAGAGTGAGACCAGGCTATGGATAGACATAAACTTCACCATGGGTTTTGTTGCTTTTTAGGATGGAGAGAAATGGGAACTGATTGTGCTTCTTGCTAGTGTAGGGTTTAGATAGTAGAATATACATGATCTGCTTTTCTATTCACCTAGTACAGTTAATACTTCTTTTGTCAAGAAATAGTTAACACAGAAGCAAGATGACAAGGGTCAGCTGACAAATATGTTTTCAGAATGACAAGTAGACTAGGATTTGGAGCTGGATGGGAACAGGCTAATAGCAATCGCTCTTTGATGTCAGACAAAGGCCTTCTTCTCTGGCCCATTTCTTCTCTCAGGACTCCCTATTCCCAGCTGCTTTCAATATCCATACTACTAATACCTGGCTTATTTCAACAAGGAACATTTTTGAAAATCCCTTCCTCCTCCCCATCTTGACTTCTGCTGCCAAGCTCCTGCCCACCTTGTTAGCGAATCCCATTTAATGAAGCATTTACCTCTATACCAATTTTTTTTTTTTTTTTTTTTTTTGACACGGAGTCTGGCTCTGTCACCGAGGCTGCAGTGCAGTGGTGCGATCTCGGCTCACTGCAGCCTCTGCCTCCCGGGTTCCAGCTATTCGCCTGCCTCAGCCTCCCGAGTAACTGGGATTACAGGCGCCCGCCCCCACCACGCCCAGCTATATACCAGTGTTCTTGCCACAACCCTTCGAGTCTCTACAATTTTAGGTGAATAGTCAGATAACACTGGGGCCTAGAAATGATAAGAAAGAGGTTGGTTGGTGTATTATCTTCTGGGCTCAGCCTTTTCAGTTTACAAGTATCCCTCTCCCAGTTTTCCTTTTTAATTATAGGGAGAGTTGTTTTACTAATACTGGCTTTGTACTGAAAGAAGAAAGCAAAATTAACCAGATGACACTATTGGGGGAATGCAGAAGGTAAAGTTATAGTTTAGAACTTTAAGAAAGGATTTTGTTTCTTTTTCTTTTTTTTTGAGACGGAGTCTTGCTCTGTCACCCAGGCTGGAATGCGGTGGCCCTACCTCAGCTCACTGAACCTCTGCCTCCCGGGTTCACGCCATTCTCCTGCCTCAGAGTAGCTGGGACTACAGGCGCCTGCCACCATGCCCGGCTAATTTTTTGTATTTTTAATAGAGACAGGGTTTCACCGTGTTAGCCAGGATGGTCTCGATCTCCTGACCTCGTAATCCGCCCGCCTCGGCTTCCCAAAGTGCTGGGATTACAGGCGTGAGCCACCGCGCCCAGCCTTGTTTCTTTTTAAAAAAATTTTACTTAATTAAAAATGTTACTAAAGAATCATTATTTTTTAGGTGTAACAATAGTGTTGTGGTTATGTTTTAAAAAAGGCCTTTTACAGATACATACTGAAATGTTTTTAGAGAAAAACAGGAGATTTACTTTATCATAATAGGGGAAGGGTGAAGTGGGTGGGATGTAGATGAAACAAGATTAGCTATGAGTTGATAATGGTTGAAACTGGGTAATAGGTACATAGGGACTTATTATACTATTCTGTCTCCTTTTGTATATATTTGAAAATTTCCATTTCAAATAGAAAATTAAGAAAAAAATTGTATAAAAATAAAATGAAATTAAAAAATAAAATTGTATAAAAATAAAATGGAAAGTTAGGCAAAATAAGTTGTATAAAAATAAAAATGTAATAATACTGGTAAAATTATGATATAATACATATACAGTTGGCTCTCTGCATTGTGGGTTCTGCGTCTGGGGATTCAACCCATAACGGATGGAAAATATTCTGAAGAAAAACATTGCATCTGTAATGAACATGTACAGACTTCATTATTCCCTAAACAAGATAACAACTATTTACTAACATTTACATTGTATTAGGAATTATAAGTAATCTAGAGATTATTTAAAGTAGCTGGGAGGATGTACACAGGTTGTATGTGAATACTACCTCATTTTGTATCTGGGACTTGAGCATTTGTGGATTTCAGTATCTGCGGATTTTGGTATCTGAGGGAGGTCCTAGAACCAATTCTCCATGGATGACTACTGAAAAGGGGTTACTATCCTATAGATAAAGTGATTAAGAGCATGGAGCCAGATTGGCTAGGTTTGAATCCCAATTCTGCAACTTACTAGCAGTATAACTTGGAACAGGTTACTAAACTTCTCTGTGCTACAATTTCCTTATTTGTAAATGGAAGATAAGAATAGCATATGCTTGGTAGGGTTGTTGTGAGAATAATATGAATTAATACAAGTAATCACAATAAATGCTAGTTAATATTATTACTTAAAAGAACAAGAAAATGAATAAGAAAAAGACAAACACCCTTGTAGAAAAATAGGGGAAAGCCCAGGAATAAGCAATTCACAAAAAAAGGAAATCCAAATGCCTCATATACATAAGAAGACTCCTTTTTACTAATAAGGATATACAGATCAAACAACAATAAGATACTTTTTTTTTTTTTTTTTGAGACAGAGTCTCGCTCTGTCGCCCAGGCTGGAGTGCAGTGGCGCGATCTCGGCTCGCTGCAAGTTCCATCTCCCAGGTTCACGCCATTCTCCCGCCTCAGCCTCCCGAGTAGCTGGGACTACAGGCGCCCGCCGCCATGCCCGGTTAATTTTGTTTTTGTATTTTTAGTAGAGACGGGGTTTCACTGTGTTAGCCAGGATGGTCTTGATCTCTTGACTTCGTGACCCGCCCGCCTCTGCCTCCCAAAGTGCTGGAATTACGGTGTGAGCCACTGCGCCTGTAATTTTTTTTAAAGAGATGAGGTCTCAGCTATGTTGCCCAGGCTAGAGAGCAGTGGCGATTCACAGGTACCATCATAGCGCACAGTAGCCATAAACTCCTGGACTCAAGCTTGTAGCTGGGACTGCAAGCACACCACCATGCCTAGCTAAGATACCATTTTATACCCATCAGATTGGCAGAAGGTAAAAATTCTGAAAATACCAAGTGTAGGCGAGGATGAAGAGTGATGGGAAAACCTCTTCATAGCACTTAAGTGGAAGTATAATTTGCTACTGTTCTTTAGAAAGTAGTTTGACAATATTTTGTAGAGTTGAAAAATGCCCATGTTCTATTACCTAGGGTTTCCATTCTAATTATATTCCCTAGTGAGACCTCCAGGACTCTGAATGTGAATACTGAAAGGAGCACTCCCTTTTACCTAACTCTAATATTGGTAATAAACACCTTCTTTATCTCTGTTCCTCACCAACATAGCTGCCATTAGATCCCTCTAGCTGGGCATTTGTAGAACCACTGCATTGTGCCTTCATCTGCTTCTTCTTCTTCTTTTTTTTTTTTTGAGAAAGAATCTTGCTCTGACACCTGGCTGGAGAGCAGTGGTGCAATCATAGCTCACTGCAACCTTGACATCTTGGGCTTAAACGATCCTCGTGCCTCAACTTGCCAAGTAGCTGGCACTACAGGGGAGTACCACCACACCCAGCTAATTTTTAAATTTTTTGTAGAGACAATTTCTCACAGTGTTTCCCAGGCTCGTCTTGAACTCCTGGGCTCAAGTGATCCTCTTGCCTATGCCTCCCAAAGTGGTGGGATTACAGGAGTGAGCCACTGCACCCAGCCCTCATTTGCTTCTTGAAAGTTTTCAAGGTCTGATGCTTTATCTTTAGTGGGTGATGAGGTCAGCTAGAAACTTGAGGACATAATAATCAAGTACTTACTTGCTCAGAACAACTCGTCTCATCCACTGAGAGACTTACCAAGTCCAAACTCCTCAGCTGGGATAAGATAAGATACCAAGTCGAAACTCCTCAGCTGGGATAAAGATAAGATAGATTACCAGTTCCTTTGTAATCTATCTTATCTTTTCTATCGGTTCCCAATTTAAACCTTCTCATTTTAACAGATCAGTCCCTTAACTACTATTTCTGTTTCACCTTATCTCAGTTTGTTTACATCCACTTTCTACGTGGAATTCCTTTCTTCCTTGGCTTTCACCTGTTCTGTAACACCCTTCAAGGATGAGTTTATATGGTACTTCTAGAAATCCTCCAGCCCACAGTAATTTTCCATTCTGCTGAGATTCTGTATTGGATATTACTATAATTATTGGTCGTTTTTGGCTATAAATTTGTTTAACTATTTCATGTGACCTACCATAGATATGAGATTTTTTTCGTCCAGAAATTAACCTTCAGAAAAGAGATATTCTCTTTATATTTTACTTCTTATAAAGCATTTCTTGTTATTAGGCTTCCAGGGAGCTTATAGTCAGTTCATGAAAAAGGGTGAATAAATCTATGTCACCATCTGCTAGTTCAATCACTATCATTTTTTTGTAGAGATCAACTGACATAATTGATTAAACAAAAAAGAGGAATGAAAAATCTAAGAAAGTTTTAGTTATTGTTCCTGGGAATATAATCTCCTAATTTGAAGTGTTGAAAGTAATTGTATACAAGCCTTAACATTAAAATTTTTTTTTGAATCACTCACATTGCATATGAAACATACACATACATTATGGGGATCACAAATAAACACAGCAGAATGAATGAAAAAAAAAAAAAACCCTAATCCAGTGTTATGTAACTGGACTCTTGTGGTTTGAAATGAAATACCCAGAGACAATGTAGATTCAGAAAAGTGCTGTTATTAACTTTAAAATCTTAGAAAAGTAGACAGTATTTTCTAGAAAATTCACTAAAAAGATAGCTTTATTGAAGGAAAAAACATTGATGTTAAAGATGCATGTGAAGTTTGAATAATACAGTTTTTTGAAATTACAAAGGCAGAAAATACATTAATACTAAATGCTTAAATATACTGCTTAATTTTAAATATGTGTATATGTGTAAATAAATTTCTAAAAGTTTGGGTATTCAGGAGGACTACAGAGCTTCCCTTCCTGTATTCCTGTTTTACCTTCATACATCTGTTGTTATCTGGGAAAATATTTGGGATAATCATATGTTAGTTATGGCATGTCTCAACTAAGTTCTTGCAGGCCAAGCATGTCTTCTTTTTTTGTTTTCCACCTTTTTACCTGGCCAACTTCTACTTATTAAAACTCAGCACAGATGTTGTTGTTGCTGAGCAATCCTCTGGCATTGCTAGTTTGGATTACTTGCTTACCTCTGTCACAACATTGATCTCTTTGTATAGTAAATTGTCTCCCTGATTAAATTGCTTGAACTTGAGGCCTGAGGCTGTGTTTTTTTATTTTGAGATATCAAGAATTTAAGCACAGCTCCTAGAATATAATGGTTGCTCAAAAAATATTAACAGTATAAGTAAGTGGTGTGTCTTTTCTTGTTCTTCTCCATGGTGCCAGTCATAGTGCTAAGATGTTGTTCAGTCAATACTTATTGAATTATTAGGAAAACATTCAGCTTCTGGGAATACTTCAGAGAAGCAATTAACCAAGCTTTGGGAAGTGTGAGATGAAAGGAAATTCAAGTGGAATTTGCATATTCTCAGGCATACTGTTGAGGCTGTTCTCCCTCTCCAAATGGCTTCCTCCTTAAAAAGCCCAGATGAGGGAGAAAGATCTCTGAAACTAAAGCTGGATTTCTGCATTTGGGAGATTAAGGTAAAAGCTTCTGCATAGCCCAGAGCACAGTACTGTGCACACATATCATGTGTGAGTATACAGAAAGAGATTGATGAAAGCCAAATTTAATTACTGAGATGGTTGTGATGATAATCCCATTTTTCTCATCCAGTTTCCAGTCTAGGTAATGGCCCTAATCCAAACAGGTATTTTATTTTTCTTTCCCTTAGGGATCCAAACATCTATCTCATTACAACTATGTTTAAAATCTGAAGTAAAGCTGTTCATTGAAGTAGTTTTAGTGCAATATACAGAAATACTAAGAAATGAGAGATGTTATTAGAAAGATTATGGCTGTAATGAACATACAATATCAATTAACTAACTGGAATTTCATTTTTGGGTGAAGAACCCAAATACTCAGATTTTGTTTTGCTTATTCAAGTTCTGTCTTGTTTTACATCAACAAATCTATTTCCTGTTCCCAATAATGTTTTACTTTAATATGTACGTGAAGCAGCTACAGTGAAGGCAGTGGGATATATCAATGTTGCATTTAGCCAGTGAAATAGGTAGCTAGAAATGTTAAGGGGAACTGAAATAGAATTGGTACTAGGAAGAAGCTGTTTATAGGAAGAGCCGTGATCCATTATTGTGTCCTTGGCTCTGCAGCTCCATAGCTTCTCTCCCCACTACCGCCCCTCCCCCAGCCCCAGGTAGATCTGGAGTTGATTAATAGTTTTAGTAAACTGACTCACACTGATCACATTTGCTTGAGATTGGTCTATGTGAATTTATTAATTTACAAAATAAATTTTAACTGCCAAGTGATTCAAGAATTTGAATTGGCCACTTACTGCTTTTGTTGCTTTAGAATATCTATATGGGAAGCAAATAATAATCTGAAGGTTGTCAGGTGAACATGCAGTCAGAGCAGAGAGGTGGTGAGTAGAGGAATGATTTGTAGGATGGGCTTATTAGCTGGCATCATCAAAGTAGAATAGTCTGATTTCTTCTGTAGAAATGTACCTGTCAAGGGCATAAGATCCTATGTCCCTTGAATCTGCTGGGTAGGGTACAGTTTCACCTTCACAGGCATGGAGGCAGTACTTCCTGGCTTCCCTTTTCTGTACTCAATGCAAGCTTCCCATACTCTTCTATTCTCACGGTCTTTCTTCAGACATCTTAGTAATATTTAGTAGCCTGCAGCTTTCTTTTATTCTAAATATAGTGTTAAAGTTCCTGGCCCTTTTTTTTTTCCAATTTTAAAATATCATCTGATATTTAATCTCATCTATTATGAGTTTGTAAATTCAGACACTTGGAGATGACTTATTATTGACTTCTCCCTTGTATTGATCACAAGGGAAGCTACTACTTTCATGGTACTGCACCTGATAGAGACGACTAAGAGACAGGATGTTCTATTGACATGCCGGTGTTTTCTCTGCCCCAACACCCAGACCAAAAATTGTGTTGGGTATGCTGTCTTATTATTATGGGAAGGGAATACATGTACCCTCGGCACTATCTACATCATCTTATTTAATCCTTATAATGATCCTTTGAGAAAGTTATTATCCTATTTTAAATATGGGGAAAATTGGGCCAGGAGGCTTACATGGTTTGCCTGAGGTCACATTTCTAGTAAATGCCTTCTTTCAAACACATATCTGTCTGAATGAAAGGCTTAACATTTTTCCTTGTTAACAAGGATTGTTTTTATACTTTTTATTATAAAAATAAAGTGTGGTCATTACTCGAAGTCTGAAAAAAAGAAGAGTAGGAAGAAAAACTAAAGTCATTCATAGTCCCACTCCAGAGGAGACAAATATAAACTTGTTTACTTTACACAGTGCTTTGAATTAGCTAAGTAACCTGTCTACAGATTCTAGGTGGGCTTTATGCCAGAATACTTTTTTTTTTTGAGACAGAGTCCCGCTCTGTCACCTAGGCGGGAGTGGTCTCGAACTCCTGACCTCAGGTGATCCACCTGCCTCGGCCTCCCAAAATGTTGGGATTATAGGTGTGAGCCACTGTGCCCAGCCCCCAAAATACTTTTATTTGCTTATTTTTATTATTTCATTTTATTTTTATTATTTCATTCATAAACCAAGTTATTATTAATTAAAACATGTTAAGGTCCCACCATACAACCAGCACAACACTAAGTGCAATGGGCAATGCACCAAAGGACTGTGATCAATGATTCTCAGATTTGGAAGTTATTTCGTTCACAGCATCTTAGTTTCTGCTTGACACGTCCAGTGGCGAGGAGCTCTCCCACATAGGGTTTGCTGTTCAGTTTTATATTGCTCTGGTTGTTAAGATGTGGTGCCAGCCCCCCTCAGGAAACGTGCAGTCTAGGGGAGATAAGATTAAATATATGAAATAATAGTCCATAATGCAAAATAACATTTATTTATTTATTTATTTTTATGTTTTTGAGACAGAGTCTCACTCTGTCGCCCAGGCTAGGGTGCAGTGGCACAATTTCAGCTCACCACAACCTCCACCTCCTGGGTTCAAGCGATTCTCGTGCCTCAGCCTCCCAAGTAGCTAGGACTACAGGTGCGTGCCACCATGCCTGGTTAATTTTTATATTTTTAGTAGAGATGGGGTTTCACCATGTCGGCCAGGCTGGTCTCAAACTCCTGACCTCAGGTGATCTGCCTGCCTCAGCCTCCCAAAGAGCTGGGATTACAGGCGTGAGCCACTGCACACAGCCCAAAATAACATTTAATTAGATGATGATACAGACTGTCAGTGCTGTGGGAGTTAGACAAGTAAGAATCGAAGGAAGACCAGCCTTCAAATAAGGAAGAGATAAGGGAACCCTTATTTGTTGAGCATAACCCTGAGTTTGGGTTAGGTGCTTTAATGTGTAATCTCGCTGATTATCACAGCAACCCTGAAAAGGTGGTATTAGTCCCACTTTGCACACATGAGACATGCACTTTTTCCTCACCTGCATTATGATCTCCCTAAAATAGGTCTTGTGCTGTATTTTGGAGATTTCTTAAAATAGCTTTTTTCTTATTATAAAAATGTACAGGATGCAGAATATTTGGAAAATATAAAAATCCCCTGTAATGTTACTCCATAGAGGTAACTATGATTATTAGTTTGCTGTATTTCTCACATACGTACAGTATTTGCACCTGTATTGCATACATAGGTGCGTGTGTATGCCTTGTACATATATATGACTGTATACTTAAATGTATATTTTGTATGTCTTTTATACAAAATAATCAAGATTACTATATTATTTTGTTTATATTCTTTTTCTTAAATTTGGTAATCATTGTCCTATGTCATTAAAATTTTCTTTGTAAAACTTTTTTATTTACTTTTTTGAGATGGAGTCTCACTCTGTCACTCAGGCTGCAGTGTTGTGGCATGATCATACTTCACTGCAGTCTTGATCTCTCGGCTTCAAGTGATCCTCCCACCTCAGCCTCATGAGTAACTGGGACTACAGGCATGAGCCACTGCACCTGGTGTGAAATTTTCTAAAGCATAACTTTTTAGGTGCTACAAAGAATTCTATTCTGCTATAATTGTGCTATGATTTATAACCAGTCAACCCCTCATTAGAATTTAAGCTTTTTATAACTTTTTGCTAAGTCATGTTTATTATGCTTTGATAAATATTCATGCATAAAATTATTTGTTTATATTTCTGATGACTTCCTATCAAGTTGTATGTATGTTTTAAGACTTGATTCAAAACTGACATCCAGAGAAGTTATGCCATTTTATACTCTCACTAGTGGCGGTGTATGATGATACCCAGTTGTAGATCTTCTCTCCAATCGTGAATAATATCATTAAAAACAAACATTTCCTAGTTTGATAGGTGAAAAATTACCTCTCATGGTTTTAATTTGCATTTATTTGACTAGCAAGAGGGGGAATATATGTTGGAATAGTCCTCTAAAGTGCTTCCAGCCTTGGACCTTCGTTTTACTAAGAGCCATAATGTATGGAGAAGAGAAGGCTAAAAGACTTTGTCTTATTTATAATGAATTATTCTGTGTCCCATCTTTTGGCAGATCTCTGACATCTACATTAGTGGAGAATCAGGGGATATGTCAGCCAAGGAGAAACTACTCCTGTGGACCCAGAAGGTGACAGCTGGTTACACAGGAATCAAATGCACCAACTTTTCCTCCTGCTGGAGTGATGGGAAGATGTTCAATGCACTCATTCACCGATACCGGTAAGAACAGTGGAATTTCTGTGCTCCTGCAGGGCTTTTTCTCATCTCTTGTTTGTAATTAGTTATAATACTGTTTCCATCTCCTCAATCAAAAATCAAAGCTTTGATTCATTTGTTCATTTGAAAAAGAAACATTTATTTAACTACTTTTCTAGGAACTGGGTACAAGTAGCAGTGAAGAAAACAGCGAAAGTTCTTGCTCTCATGGAACTTATCTTTCAGTAGGGAGAATAGGTAATAAATGTATGCCATCAAGCAGTGGTAAATGCAATGGCAGGATTAGAAAGTGGCAGAGGTTTGTGGTACTTTGGACAGGGTGGTCAGAGATGGCCTTTTTGGTGAGCGTGTTAAAGCAGAGCCATGAGGGAGTGAGTCATCCAGGCTTCTGGGGTCAGAGTGTTCCAGTCGGAAGAAATACAAATGCAAAGGGCCTGGAGTGAGGGCTTGCTTAGAGTGGTTTAGGGACAGCAGGTGGCTGAAGTGAGGTGAGGACGATAGGAATTCTGAATGACAAAAATAAAAATTGTTGAGTTCTTAGTGGTCATAAACATGCCCCAATTTTCAGTTCTAACCGACGATATTTTTCCCATGACATTCAACAAACCTAAACTGTATGTTTAAGTTTAGCATTAGGGAGCACTGGGCCCCTGGTGTATACTTAAAAATGGAATTTGTACTCTTCTAAACCTCCTGCTTTTTCTCTAACTCACTTAGTGTTTTTCAGCTCTGGGAACTTTCAGGAGGTTTTCTTTGTGTAAACTCATGTGTGATGTGTAGATGGTGGCGTTTCATGTGCCTTGCTGGACTTTTACAGACCCGATCTAGTAGACATGGAGAGGGTGCAAATCCAAAGTAACCGAGAGAATCTGGAACAGGCTTTTGAAGTGGCAGAAAGACTGGGGGTCACTCGCCTGCTGGATGCAGAAGGTGAGAGGGAGTTTACTGAACTTGAGTAAGGAACACGTATTCAGTATTCCTTCTTCTGGCAAGTTCCTTTGTTCTGACTAAGAAATTTCTTGTCCATTCTCTCTCAGATGTGGATGTGCCATCTCCAGATGAAAAGTCTGTAATCACTTATGTGTCTTCGATTTATGATGCCTTCCCTAAAGTTCCTGAGGGTGGAGAAGGGATCAGTGCTACGGTAAAAGAACATTTTCCTAGAAGGCCTTCTGACTTTGATTCATTTGGGTGAAATGCATTGGTTAGACACTTTCTTAAGCACTTATGGTATACTCATGGTATCAAACTATATATCCAGTATCTTTATCATACATGGACATTATCCTTGGCCCTGGAAATGAGTCTAGATATTGCTAATTTTGTAACAATTAGCATAGACTATTTGGTGCTAAATGCCAGCAAAGAATGTCTCTTTCATCCCCAGCTGTAATTCAAGATGAGGAAGTGTTTTATCAGTCACTTATGTATCAGCTTGATTAGGTAGATCATGGCTCTTTTCAGAATATTTTTAGTAGCTTGGTTTGTAGCCTTTCTTAGTGTCAGGAAATTGAACCCCATCCTGAGAGCCCTTGAGGAGCTTTGAAGCTAGTACTGTGAGCATTAAACTGAGCAGCATCTAGGCAATTAAAGGAAATGGATTTTATATAGTTTGGAGTGGCCTGAGCTACTTTCTCTTGTGCTTGTTTTGGATATTGCTAATCAGGTGTGTGATGTTTACCTTCTGGCAATAGGAAGTGGACTCCAGGTGGCAAGAATACCAAAGCCGAGTGGACTCCCTCATTCCCTGGATCAAACAGCATACAATACTGATGTCAGATAAAACTTTTCCCCAAAACCCTGTTGAACTAAAGGTAAAGTCAAGGACTTAAATTTTTTTGGTAAAATCTTTCTAGGGAGTAAGTCTCCAAGCTTATCACTGCTGGCTTCTAGGTGAGGTGGTATGAAAAATTGGGTCCTATAGTTTGTGTCCATTTATTCACCAAATATTAATTTTATAGGCACTTTATAACCAATATATACACTTCAAAGAAACAGAAATTCTGGCCAAGGAGAGAGAAAAAGGAAGAATTGAGGAATTATATAAATTACTAGAGGTAAGTGAGCTTATCCTTTGCTGAGACTTGGGGTTTGCTGGTCTGTACTGTTGTTGCTTCTTGATTATAGATTCCTTGTATTCTTTTCCCAAACTGCATTAATAGAAGTACTCTCCTGGTGACAAATAATAGCACCACTCTCAGGCTGGTCTTAAAATGTTGTGGTAAAGGGGCAATGTCAGCCATCTCTGTTTTTTAAAGGGCTTATTGAAAAATGACATGTATTTATTCAGAAATCTTGAGTTTTGTGGACAAATTTTTCTGCTTCTCAGAGGGAAGCTAAATCTTTCCCTAGGGTGGAAAGAAGAGAGACTTCTATTCAGAATTTGATTCCCAGAGAATTTGAAGTTGTAGAAATGAGAATTTAACCTTGCCAGAATAAAAGTTATTGAGGGGAAAGGAGGATTTATAGAAAGTGTAAAAGGAATGGAATGACTTAGAGTAGGTAGTCCCTACATTCTAGAGGTGACTTTTCTGCTCTTTAACTCAAGGGTGAAGAACCTGATACATATTTGATTGTTTTTCCATGTTAGACAATAGGAAAAACTGCTGAATGGCTGGGTAAAGAAGCAAGAAGTGATGTGCAAATAATAAATCAAAACTGGGACAAGAGGGCATGGCTGTGTTTTTGGACTGAAAGAGTATCTGTTTCAGGTGTGGATTGAATTTGGCCGAATTAAACTGCCTCAAGGTTATCACCCTAATGATGTGGAAGAAGAGTGGGGAAAGCTCATCATAGAGATGCTGGAACGAGAGAAATCACTTCGGCCGGCTGTGGAGAGGTGGGTCCAGATCCTGAGAGTGGTCTGACATTATTTATTGAGCTGCTGTGAACCTTGCACATGACTATGGTTTTATCTTATTTCAGGCTGGAATTGCTGCTACAGATTGCAAACAAAATCCAGAATGGTGCTTTGAACTGTGAAGAAAAACTGACACTAGCTAAGAATACACTGCAGGCTGTAAGTCTCTGACTGTTTTGTCCAACATCTGTGTCACATGTTTCCTGCTTCTCACCCTCTGCTCTAATTGTTGAAGTTAGCAATCGAGGAATCCAGATGTATTATTTCCCTTTTTTTTTTTTTTTGGAATTGCAGTAGACTTCTTGGCTCCCTCTGTCCTAGTGAGTGGGGCAATGGAAGTTTTCCCACTGTTATTCTCTCTTCCTGTCTCAGGATGCTGCTCACCTGGAATCAGGACAACCGGTACAATGTGAGTCAGATGTCATTATGTACATTCAGGAGTGTGAAGGTCTCATCAGGCAGCTGCAGGTGGATCTCCAGATCCTGCGGGATGAGAATTACTACCAGCTAGAAGAGCTGGCTTTTAGGTGAGGAACAAGGGACTCAAATGGAGGGCTTGCTTGCTTACTGCTGAGGCTCATGGATCAAGAGTAGAGCAAGAGTCAGGCACTTAATCTTTTAACCTGGACATTTGAGGTCAGTGTCTCAATGGGGATACTACAGGTCTCTTGGGCAGGAATGTTTTGTCAGTAGAGGACAGTTTCCCCTTATTGCAGCTCCATCCCACTAAGTACCTATAGGATTACTTCAATCATTGTGGCCTTTTGTAACATCCCACATACTTTATTTTAATTAATCAAAGACAGGGTCTCACTTTCGTTGCCCAGGCTGGAGTGCAGTGGCACAATCATGGCTCACTGCAGCCTCGACTTCCTGGGCTCAAGCGATCCTTCCACCTCAGCCTCCCAAGTAGCTAGGCCTATAAGTGCAGGCTGCCATGCCCAGCTAATTTTTGTATTTTTAGTAGAGACGGGGTTTTGCCATTTTGCCCAGGCTGATCTCAATCTCCTGGGTTCAAGCGATCCTCCTGCCTCAGCCTCCCAAAGTGCTGGGATTATAGGCGTGAACCACTATATCTGGCCCATTCTCATATATTTTAGAACGACCTGCAGGGTTGGGACACAACACAACTTCTGATTTAGAAACATTGGTGATCCATCACATTCTTTTTATAGGGGGGAAAATTGAGACCCACAGAAGATGAAAATTATGTAAAGTCATGTGGCTAGTTTTTTTTTTCCCCTTTTTTTTTTGAGATGGCATCTTGCTCTGTAGCCCAGGATGGAGTGCAGTGACACGATCTCGGCTCACTGCAACTTCTGCCTCCTGGGTCCAAGAAATTCTCTTGCCTCAGCCTCCGGAGTAGCTGGGAGTACAGGAGTGCACCACCATGCCCAGCTAATTTTTGTATTTTTAGTAGAGACGGGGTTTCACCATGTTGGCCAGGCTGGTCTTGAATTCCTGACCTTGTGATCCACCCACCTCAGCCTCCCAAGGCTAGTTTTACAGAGCCAAGACTAGGACCCACATCTCTTGACCCCTAATCCATTGTTTATTATATTTGGGAGTTATATAAATAGTATTGTTAGCTTCCCTCCAGTTAACACTGTAATTTGGCATTTGTCTTAAAAACAATTCTGAACTAGATGAAGATGTTCATAATATCACCTTGTATTCATATAACACTTTCTAAACACTTTTCCTTCTATGATCTCATTTTTATTTTTATTTTTATTTTTATTTTTTTGAGACAAGGTCTTGCTCTGTCACCCAGGCTGGGACGCAGTGGTGTGATCTCGGCTCACTGCAACCTCCGCCTCCTGAGTTCAAGCAATTCTCCTACCTCAGCCTCCTGAGTAGCTGGGACTACAGGCATGTGCCACCACACCCGGCTAATTTTTGTATTTTTAGTAGAGACGGGGTTTCACCATGTTGTCTAGGCTGGCTCATTTTTATTTTTATCATATCTTTGTCAAATGGATAAGGAAGATTTTATTTTTAAAAACTATACTATAGATTTAAATCCTTTCCTTTTTTCTCTTCTTCCATTTCAGGGTCATGCGTCTTCAGGATGAGCTGGTCACCTTGCGTCTAGAGTGTACAAACCTGTACCGGAAGGGTCATTTCACTTCACTTGAATTGGTTCCACCCTCTACTTTAACCACCACTCATCTGAAAGCAGAACCCTTAACCAAGGCAACCCATTCTTCTTCTACCTCCTGGTTCCGAAAGCCTATGACTCGGGCTGAACTTGTGGCCATCAGCTCCTCTGAAGATGAAGGCAATCTCCGATTTGTGTATGAACTACTGTCTTGGGTAGAAGAGATGCAGGTGGGTGCATATCCAAAAGCTTATGCAGTACACTGATGTTTACTGGATCTGGAAGCTTATCTAAGAGGACCAAATTGCTTTGTGTTCCCTGTGCAGATTCCCTTAATTATTATTATTCTTTTATTTGAGTGATGGGGTCTTGCTATGTTGCCCAGGCTGGACTGGAACTCCTGGGCTGAAGTGATCCTCCTGCCTCAGTCTCTTGAGTAGCTGGGACAATAGGTATATGCCACCATACCTGGCTTGACTTTCTTAATTATTGATGCTGCCTGAGACCCAAGCCCCCTTCTCCTTAAATCTTGCATGGATGAGGTTGGCACAAATTCTCACAGTCCCGTACTGAATAGCATACAGTTTTCTCATTTGAAACCCTTTGGAATCTTTTCCCTCAGCTAACTGTACTCTGAGTGAGAGCTTGGTGAAAATTGCAATGTCTTTACATCTGTTACCTTTTTTTTTAATTAAAAAAATTTTTTGTGGGTACATAGAAGGTACATATATTTATACGATACATGAGATATTTTGATACAGGCATGTAATGCATAATAATCACATCATGGAAAATGAGGTATCCGTCATCTCAGGAAATTTATCCTTTGTGTTACAGACAATCCAGTTATACTCTTTTAGTTATTTAAAAATGTATAGGCTGGGTGCCGGGTGCAGTGGCTCACGCCTGTATTCCCAGCACTTTGGGAGGCCTAGGCGGGTGGATCACAAGCTCAGGAGATCGAGACCATCCTGGCTAACATGGTGAAACCCCGTCTCTACTAAAAATACAAAAAACTAGCCAGGTGTGGTGGTGGGCGCCTGTAGTCCCAGCTACTTGGGAGGCTGAGGCAGGAGAATGGCGTGAACCAGGGAAGTGAAGCTTGCAGTGAGCTGAGATTGTGCCACTGCACTCCAGCCTGGGAGATAGAGTGAGACTCCATCTAAAAAAAAAAAAAAAAGTACAGGCTGGGCGTGGTAGCTCACACCTGTAATCCTAGCACTTTGGGAGGCCGAGGTGGGCGGATTGTGTGAGTCCAGGAGTTCAAGACCAGTCTGGGCAACATGCGAAATCCCATCTGTATGGAAAACTAACCGGGAATGATGGCGCGCACCGGTGGTCCCAGCTACTTGGGAGGCTGAGGTGGGAGGATCACTTGAGCTTGGGAGGCAGAGGTTGCAAGTGAGCCAAGATCGCACCACTGCGCTCCAGCCTGGGCAACAGAGCAATACCCCATCTCAAAAATAAAACATTAAACAAAAAAATGTACAACTAAATTATTTTGACTATAGTCATCCTGTTGTTCTATCAGATGCTAGGTATTATTCATTCTTTATTTTTTTGTACCCATGAATCATCCCCACCTCCCTCTGATCCCGTAATACTCTTCCCAGCCTGTTTTGATTTATACATCCCACAGCTAAGTGAGAACATGCATTGTTTGTCTTTCTGTGCCTAGCATATTTCACTTAACATAATAACCTCTAGTTCCATCCATATTGTTGCAAATGACAGGTTCTCATTCTTTTTTATGGTTGAATAGTACTCCATTGTGTTTAAGTACCACATTTTCTTTCTCCATTCATCTGTGATGGACACTTAGGTTGCTTCCAAATTCTGGCTATTGTGAATAGTGGTGCAACAAATGTGGGAATGCAGATCTCTTTGATACACTGATTTCCTTTCTTTTGAGTATATACCCAGCAGTGGGATTGCTGGATCATACAGTAGCTCTATTGTTAGTGATTTGAGGAACCTCCAAACTGTTCTCCATAGTGGTTGTACTAATTTACATTCCCACCAACAGCATACGAGGCTTCCGTTTTCTCCATATCCTCACCAGCATTTGTATATTGCCTGTCTTTTGGATAAAAGCCATTTTAACTGGGGTGAGATGATATCACATTGTAGTTTTGAGTTGCATTTCTCTGATAATTAGTGACGTTGAGCACCTTTTCACGTGCCTGTTTGCCATTTGTATGTCTTCTTTTGAGAAATATCTATTCAAATCTTTTACTCATTTTTAATTAGATTATTAGTTTTTTTCCAGTAGAGTTGTTTGAGCTCCTTATATATTCCAGTTATTAATCCCTTGTCAGATAAGTAGTTTGCAAACATTTTCTCCCATTCTGTGGGTTGTCCTTTTTTTTTTTTTTTTTTTTTTTTTTTTTTTTGAGACAGAGTCTTGTTCTGTCTCCCAGGCTGGAGTGCAATGGCGCAATCTCGGCTCACTGCAACCTTTGGATTCTAAGCAATTCTCATGCCTCAGCCTCCCAAGTAGCTGGGACTACAGGCACGCGCCACCATGCCCAGCTAATTTTGTATTTTTAGTAGAGATGGGGTTCACCACATTGGCCAGGCTGGTCTCGAACTCCTGACCTCAGGTGATCCACCCGTCTCGGCCTCCCAAAGTGCTGGGATTACAGGCGTGAGCCACCACACCTGGCCTGTCCCTTTCCTTTGTTGATTCACTGTGCAGAAGCTTGTTAACTTGATGTAATCCCATTTGTTCATTTTAGCTTTGGTTGCCTATGTTGGTGTGGTATTATTCAAGAAACTTTTTCCTAGACTAGTGTCTTGGAAAGTATTTCTGGTGTTTTCTTGTAGTAGTTTCATAGTTTAAGGTGTTTATCCATTTTGATTTGATTTTTGTGTATGATGACAAGGGACAGGGATCAAGTTTCATTCTTCTACATACAGATATCCAGTTTTCCCAGCACCATTAATTGAAGAGACTGTCCTTACCCCAGTGTATGTTCTTGGCACATTTGTTGAAAATGAGTTCATTGTAGGTGTATGGATTTGTTTCTGGGTTCTCTATTCTGTTCCATTGGTCTATGTGTCCATTTCTAGGCTAGTACTATGCTATTTGGTTACTATAGCTCTGCAGTATAATTTGAAGTCAGGTAATGTGATTCCTCCAGTTTTGTTCTTTTTGCTCAGGATAGCTTTGGTTATTTTGGGTCTTTTGTGGTTCCATATAAATTTTAGAATTTTTTTTTTATTTCTGTGAAGAATGTCTTGTATTTTTTATAGGGTAAATCTGTTTTTTTTTTTTTTTTATTCTCTCATTGACAGAGGAGTTTATTCTTCGTTTTTCATTGTTGATGTAACTTTTTTTTTTTTTTTTTTTGAGATGGAGTTTCACTCTTGTTGCCCAAACTGGAGTGCAATGGCACGATCTCGGCTCACTGCAACCTCTGCCTCCCGTGTTCAAGCGATTCTCCTGTCTCAGCCTCCCTAGTAGCTGAGATTACAGGCGTGCGCCACCACGCCCAGCTAATTTTTTGTATTTTTTTTTTTAGTAGAAATGGGGTTTCACCATGTTAGCCAGGCTGGTCTTGAACTCCTGACCTCAGGTGATCCGCCCACCTTGGCCTCCCAAAGTGCTGGGATTACAGGAGTGAGCCATTATGCCCAGTCTCAACTTTTTTTTTTGAGACAGAGTCTCACTCCGTCACCCAGGCTGGAGTGCAGTGGCGTGATCTCCAGTCACTGCAACCTCTGACTCCTGGGTTCAAGCCAAGCAATTCTCCTGCCTCAGCCTCTCAAGTAGCTGGGATTACAGGCGCCCACCACCATGCCTGGCTGATTTTTGTATTTTTAGTAGAGATGGGGTTTCACCATGTTGGCCAGGCTGGTCTCGAACTCCTGACCTCAGGTGATCCACCTGCCTCAGCCCCCCAAAGTGCTGGGATTACAGGCGTGAGCCACTGCGCCTGGCAATCGTAACTCTTAAGTTTAAGCAAGGCTACTGTATTCCGCAGTTCCAAGGGGCACTATTTACATGTGTTCAATGATAGTGGTTCAAATTTGATATTGCCCTTATCTTTCTAACCCTTTTGTTTTATATTAAATTCTTCCTATGTCTGCATAATATATTCCCCATGTAACAATAAATAAAAATATCCCAAAGTAACCTGTTTTAAAATTATCTTCCATTGGCCAGTAGTTGATGTCATGAAATGAAGCTAAATATTTTCAGATACTTCTTTGTTATATCAGTTATGATTGTGAAATGAAAAGACTCCATAAAGAGAAATGCCTAAACTGTAAAGTTAAGCATTTTAAGCCTGTGAAGTTCCCTTTCCCTTTTGGTTGATTACTCCAGGAATGTATACTAATAATGCAGCAGCAAAAGGCTGCTCTGTTGTATAATTGGTGGGCTCTGTTCTCCTGCTTCTTAGCGGTGATGATGGCGTAATTTTTGTGTAAGAGGCTGTAGATTGAAGGAGATGGCCTGGATGTCCTTTTGCTCAGTCCTCTACCCCTTGGTTCCTTGTCCTAACATTGGTTCTGACCATTTTCCTACCAAGCCAGCAGTAAATTATGTCATATATATATTTTTTCTTTTTCAGATGAAACTGGAGCGAGCAGAGTGGGGCAATGACCTGCCTAGTGTGGAGTTGCAGCTAGAAACACAGCAGCACATCCATACGAGTGTAGAAGAGCTGGGCTCAAGTGTCAAGGAGGCCAGGTTGTATGAGGTGCGTAGCCTTCAGAATCCACATTACAGGAGGGACGTGGTTGGAACGGATGAAAGGACAGTACACACAATAAAGCTGTATTGAAGGAGGAGGGTGCTCTGGAAAAGAATAATGATGATGAAGAGCGGTTTATGACAAATTCCCTTTTCACATGAAGTGTATCTGTTAATCTTTGAAATAAACTTGTGAGAAAAGTATTTTTATTAACCCCTTTTTACTAAAATGAAAAGTGATACTGGAAGCTGAGGTCAGAATTAGTAAGTAGTGGATGCAGCATCCAAACTCAGGCCCTCTGCCTCTATAAATTCAGGCACTTTTTACTTCCCCATCTGCCTGCAGTTGAGCGCTGGTTTAGAGAAACTATTCACACAGTTTCCTCTCTCCTTCAGTCACTGTTCTATCTTCCCAGTTTATATTTCAACTCTTCCCTTCAAAAAAGCAGTTGAGTGGGAATCAGGCATTGGTTTTGCTTAGAAGCCTACCAGAATTGCTGGAAACACAGGATAGTGAGGTCTGTTGTTTGTAATTACCCTGCTCAACTGTTGCTCACTTAGTGCTGCTCCAAGTTATAAAATATGACTCAGAAATTTGTTGTCTAAGCTTCTGTTTTCTTAGAGCAACCAATCCATATCTCTATCTAGACATAATATTTGCATAGTTGCAACCATAACACGTAGTTTACTTACTCTTTCTCTAATGTATTTTTATTTCATTCTTTTTTAATCAGGGAAAGATGTCCCAGAATTTCCATACCAGCTATGCTGAAACTCTTGGAAAGCTGGAGACACAGTATTGTAAATTGAAGGTGAGTTTCTGCCGATTCTCTTACATTCTGCTCATAGAGTCTGGTTCCCCCCAATCAACTCTCTTCCGTAATTCAGAAATCTCCTGGTTTGGCCCTGTTTTGGTTTTCTGCTTATTAGGTTATATCATTTACTATGCACTTATTCATATCTATTATAACATTTTCCCAATTTTCTAAATGGGTCAGAAACTACTGTTCTTGAACGTTTTAAATAAATAGAACCTATCCTAGGTATTGTGCTTCAACAAACGTGTGGCTATATGTGCTTTGAGACACCAAAACTAAAAGTTTGAGATTTGTAGAGAGGGGACTTTCCCTCTGATCTGTTGTTTTTCATCCCTGTTTATCAAGATTGTCCAGAGTAGGACAGCCCAGGACCATTCTTTATCCAAGGAGCACCACAAAGGCCTTATGAATTCTGTTTTCTACTTAGGATTGAAAAGAGTTCTGGGAGTCTTATATCAAACTTGTACAAAACTTGAATCCATGGGGAAAAATCCAGAGATTAAGAGCAAATTAATTTCCTGAGTTATTCTCTCCTTTGATGTCAAATGTGCTATCTTCTACAGATACAAAGGCTGCCAGTCTAATCTTATAATCCTTGCTTTGTCTAGGAAACTTCTAGCTTCCGGATGAGGCACCTTCAGAGCCTGCATAAATTTGTTTCCAGAGCTACAGCTGAGTTGATCTGGTTGAATGAGAAGGAGGAGGAGGAACTAGCATATGACTGGAGTGACAACAATTCCAATATCTCAGCCAAGAGAAATTACTTCTCTGTGAGTCTAGCACAGTAGCAGGCCTGTCATACTTATTTAACAGCAGCAGAAGGAGACAGGGCCTAGTCTGCTGAAAGCTTGGGTGGCTGGAGTTGCACTCTGCTAGATAGAAATAGGGGCCCTACTCAATGCATCCATGCATGTGAGAAGTGTAAATGGAGAGAGGGACAGTAGAACCCTAGAGTTAATTTATCTAGAATGCATTTAGAAAGGCAGTGTCTTGGGTGAATAGAGCAGCAACCTGTAAATTGAGTCATTTCAGAAGCAATACAGCATTGTGGTTAAGATTATAGGCTTTGGAGTGCCTAAGTTCAAATTCTTATTCTTCTACTAACTAGCTCTATAACCTTGGGAAGTCATTTAATCTCTCTGGACCTCCATAAAATGAGATAATAGCACCACTTCAAAGCTACCCCCTCCCCTAATAGCACGTATTCCCCAACGGTTGCATAAAAGATTAAGATTTAATAAGCTAATCTAGACAAAGCATTTAGTCTAGTATTGTTCAACTGGGATATACTCTGGACTTTCCACAAATTTCTGAATTCTCCTTAATTCATTTATTAACTTTTTTGTTTCAATCTCTTCGTTTGTAAAAATGGGAAGGGAAATTTAACATTGGACAATAGGACACTGCTTTTTATTCTTTTCAATGAAAGATGTAGACAAGTTAGGATTAGTTTTTGCTACTTTTAGTATTTTCACACTCAGAAGATTTTTAAAGATTTTGTAAACTATGCAAATAGGGAGTTTCTTGTTTTTGTTTTTAACATGCACTTTAGACAGTTTAATTCTATTGATTTAGGGTTCTTAAAAAATATAGGCTTCTTCTGATTGGAGAATGGCATATGATTCTACTGAATTAAAGAAGGAAGATTGGATACTATAATACAATAAACAGGCTGTGTGAGAACTGAAATTAGGCTATAACAGAGATATAAAGAAAGTGCTCTGAAAGCATAGTAAGGATCAGTATCCAGCTTCACAGAAGAGCTATTTAAATTGAGTCCTGCAGTTAATAGAATTTAGAGTCAGTGGAGGACATTGTAGGCTGAATAGTCTAAGCAAAGCCAACCAGTCATTGATACCCATGTCCTGGTGTGTCATGTACTGGTGTGGGTACTGACGTGCAGGAACTGTCCACTCCAGCCAAGTTATCTCTTGTCTCTGGTCCAATGCTTATTCTGTGTTCCCCCATTTTACTCACATCTGGGTCAGGTCCCATGTCCTTTGTGAATCATTTTCCAATAATTCCAGTGTTTGTGCCCTTCTCTGCAATCCTCTGGCATGCACTGTTTATACATCTCATTTTGCCACCAATTCTATATTGTAGGTTCCTTTAAAATAGGGAACACAGCTTTTATTTATGCTATCCGCTCCCCACTGCCAAGAGTGCTTATGCTGTAAAATTGAATTCCATTTTCAGGAGTTGACAATGGAACTGGAGGAGAAACAGGATGTGTTTCGTTCTCTACAAGATACAGCAGAACTACTTTCACTTGAGAACCACCCAGCCAAGCAGACAGTGGAGGTGTGTGACTTGAGAATGTGTGAAGGTCAAATGCTGAGAGGTTGTTGTTATAAAAGTATTCAAATTAGAGACTTTGTTCCACTGAAAGACTTGGAGGAAGTGTCAGGGAACATTTGTCTTGGGTCTTCTCTCTTTTCATTCCTGACTGTTCCTATGTCCCTCAAAAGCCTGCAAACATTTTTGTTAGTCTAAGGAAACTACTAAGAGAAACAATAGAAGGGGCATTGGCTCACAGCTTTCAGAGGAAAAGTGACTTGGACCATATTTCTTCAAATAACTATCCAGACAGATCCTGACTTGACTCTTGTTGGTGTGGTGCCTTTGCCAAAAGAAGAGAAACAGTGGAAGAATTCCAGAGGAATTTATTTATGCCTGGGTTTTGCTGCCTAGATCATTTACTTACAACTGAGTGTGGAAGAGACCTTTTCTATGTAACCCCCTCTAACAAAACCATTTTGGATTAAAGGAACACCTCTTACTCGTGGGAAGCATTGAGCAGATGCCAGTCAAGTATCTCCACATCTTTTCTGTTGGCTTCTCTATCATTAGCAGAGTTGTACTTGGAAAATAGTATTGCGCATATATATTGAGTCTGTTAAACTCAAGCCCTTCTGTCTGTGTGCTTGTTTATTGCAGGCTTACAGTGCTGCTGTCCAGTCCCAGTTGCAGTGGATGAAGCAGCTGTGCCTGTGTGTTGAGCAGCATGTGAAAGAGAATACTGCTTATTTTCAGGTGTGATGGATTTCTGTGTTTGTGTGTGTGTGTACATATGTATGTTAAAGGTGAGGTTACAAACACATCTGCGTTAGTGTGCTTTTGTTGTATAAACCACCACCTTAAAATTTAGTTGCTTAAAACAATAGTCATTTAGATAGCTCATGATTCAGTAGGTGAGCAGTTTGGGCAGGGCTCAGCTAAGTGGTTCATCTTATCTTGCCTGTCTTACTCATGGCTGCAGACAGGCTGGGGGCTGGTTGGTCCCAAATGGCATTGCTCATGTCTGAGAGTTGGCTAGGTGCTGAAGCACCAACCCATGTGTCTCTAGCATCCAGCAGCTTTCTTCACAAAGTGGCTGTGTTTCATAAGCAGCAAGAGAGAGCGAGTCCTAGAGCACAAGTCCTTTTTTTCTGCTTGTGTCACATTTATTAATGTGCCTTTGGTTAAAGCCAGACATGTGGCTGTGCCTGGCTTCAAGGTGAGGAGAAATAGACTCCACCTCTTGATGGGAGTAGCTGTAAAATATTATGACCTTTTTTTTCTTTTTTCAATCTGTCAGAACATGAAAGAGTGTACTGCTGGCCGGGCACCATGGCTCACACCTGTAGTCTTAGCACTTTGGGAGGCTGAGGCAGGCAGATCACCTGAGGTCAGGAGTTCAAGACCAGCCTGGCCAACATGGTGAAACCCCTTCTCTATTAAAAATACAAAAATTAGCTGGGTGTGGTAGCACACACCTGTAGTCCCAGCTACTTGGGAAGCTGAGGCAGGAGAATTACTTGAACCTGGGAGGCAGAGGTTGCAGTGAGCCAAGATCACACCACTGCACTCCAGCCTGGGCAACAGAGCAAGTGTCTAAATAAAAAGAAAGAAAGAAAGAAAGAAAGGAAGGAAGGAAGGAAGGAAAAGAAAGAAAGAAAGAAAGGAAGGAAGGAAAAGAAAGAAAGGAAGGAAGGAAGGAAGGAAGGAAGGAAGGAAAAGAAAGAAAGAGAGAAAGAATGTACTTCTTATTTTCAGGTGAGGTGGGAGGAGAAAATAAGCTGTTACCTCTGTTTTTGCCCTAGATTTTTTTTTGAGACAGAGTCTCACTCTGTCGCCCAGGCTGGAGTGCAGTGGCACGATCTCTGCTCACTGCAAACTCCGCCTCCCAGGTTCATGCCATTCTCCTGCCTCAGCCTCTCGAATAGCTGGGACTACAGGCGCCCACCACCACGCCCGGCTAATTTTTTTGTATTTTTTTAGTAGAGACGGGGTTTCACCATGTTAGCCAAGAAGGTCTCGATCTCCTGACCTCGTGATCTGCCCGCCTTGGCCTCCGAAAGTGCTGGGATTACAGGCGTGAGCCACCGCGCCTGGCCTTTTGCCCCTAAATTAAATAGTTTCCGTGATTATTTCATAGTATGAATTGAAACATTTGATCACTCAGCCTTAGGTTTTTCATGAAATACACCCCACAGCCAAATGCTGTACCTAGCCAGAAGTCAAGAGGAAAGAGCAGTGATTTCTGAGGGGGTGAAACAGGCTAACTTTTCGGTAGGGTAGGGTTTGGGGTAGTCAGCACTAATATTTTGCTGCATGGCTTTTTAAGCCCTTCGGTTTATGTTTCAGTGGTCCTTGTAATAAACTGTCACTAATGCAGTAGGGTGTAATCAGCTTTGCTAAGCTCTGCACAGTAAAATTGTTCTTTCTTAGTTAATATTCCGGTGTTCTAATGTTTTGAGCAGAAGGCATCCTTACTTTGTATTCCCATAGTTCTTCAGTGATGCACGAGAGCTGGAGTCATTCTTGAGGAACCTCCAAGATTCCATTAAACGAAAATATTCCTGTGACCACAACACCAGCTTATCCCGCCTTGAAGACCTGCTCCAGGACTCCATGGTGGGTGTTGCCTCAGTGGGGATGATTACTTCTGAGAAAGAGAGTAAACCATATCAGCTGCTGCTGTTTATATCCTTGAAAGCTCCAGGGCAATGGGCCATTGTTGTAATAAAGTTTGGCTTACATTCAAATAGAGTTTAATCGATGTTGTTCTGTCTCTTTCCTTTTTTTCCTTTTCTTTTCTTAAATAAGTTGCTAATAAGATTTCTTTGGGTATGTTATTGAAGTAAAGGCCTAGTCTTCTCCTCTGAGCCACTTTGAGCTCATTGTACTTTCTTTGCATTTTTCTTATTTTAATGTAATAGTTGGAGCCAAGGATGAGGTGTTGAGCATGAAGAAAAGGTTGAAGGGGATTAGTTGATATCAAATTCTTTTTTACTCTCTTATGCAAAAAAAAAACCAACAACAACAACAAAGAAATACACCTGAGTCAAAATTTTCCTCCTTGGTAGTTTTCTTTTGGATGATAATTAAAATTGATTTTAATTCAAAGAAACATTAAAATCTTATTTAGATGTAATATTTGTGCAGTTATTTATGAAGCAATATTAATTTTTAAGAAATAGTTTTACATTTAGTATTTAGTTCAAATCAATTTTATATTCTTTTTCTCCAATGAATTATTTCTTCAGGAGTGCTGGTAATTAAATTAGCAGAAAGACTACTTATATTTAGTGAATGTATATTACACAGAGTTGGCAAGACAAGGCTCAAGCTACATCTCAAATTAAAATAGAAATGTATATGCAATAGGGAACTTACTTTTCCTTTGTGAGAAGTAAGGGGAATCTCGCATTTCAATAGAAAAGTCTGAATAAGAGAACTAGAATAACCCAAAACAGTTCATTTTTTTTGTCGGTAAAATTTGAGCATTTGTGAATTTAAGTTTTTTTATTTTTATTTTTTTACACTTTCAGGTATTGTAAACCTATGAGTGGTTTTACATTCACCTGGGCAAATAATCTGTTAATTTAATTAATTTGGAATGAAGGATGAAAACCTGACTTTTCAGATGTTGTCTCTAAAATGTCTCTCTCAGAGGTACTGCAAGTATGAAGGAGGAATATAATCATTGGCTATTATCTCCTCCCTCCCACAGAGTACCTTCTGTCATAGGGTAACTCCTCTGCAGTGGTTGTCATATCTTCTCTTCTCGAGGGTCGCTGCTCTGTTCCCTCCTCTCCAGGTCAGGGTCATCGGGTTGGCGGCGTCATCGGGGCATGGAGTCACCTGGGTCTGCTCCTCAGCTTGTCCGTCAGGTTCGGGAGCATCTGTCCTGGCTTCTGGTTCTTTTCAGAACTTTTACCACGCTGAGCACTTGGTCTCTGGAGCTTGAGCTGTTTGGCTGTGGGTTAGACAGAAATTGACATCTTATTGCAAGGAAACTGAAATGGGTAGACCAGCTCTCAAGTATGGAAATGTGGCTGTCTCCCTGATATATTCCATTCCTCTTTCTTAACTAATAAGTTAAAGTTGTATTTCTTCCAATCATGCTCCCGGGGACAGGCACAGGTAGTTTATTTAAGCATTTCTTTTTCTTTACTTGCATATTCTTAGTTCTTTAATGGCATTTCCTAACATTATTAACTCTTTACTCTCATCGCATCTACATCCATCCTAAGAAAGCCCTCTTCTGGGGAGACTTTTATACCTCAAAATGGGCTTGAAACATCCGGGTTAATGGACAAAGTTTATCTTTTACTCTTTAATGGAATTGGTAATGGTTTACTACCAATTTTGTTAACAAGAAGTTTATTCATTTTTAAGATTATTGGATTTGCAGAGATTTGAGAGTTTCAATTTTGCATGATACTTCTTTCTAACCAATCAAATTTATATGAATATAGCACAGCAAATACTAAGAGGTAAACCCTAAATCATTTGTCATGATACCTTCACCAACAGCATTGTTGGTTGAAGAGCTAAGATCTTTCTCTAGAAAGCTTGACTCAATTTAGGAAAATAAAATATTTGGAGTAGAGCTTGGGAGATATAATTATTTTTAAAAATTTAAATAAGTATAACTAGCTTCTCCTAAGCAGAAAGGGAAGAACTGGTTTCTACCAGTGAGAAATTGACTAATAATAATATACCTATTATTGATTTTAACTTTCATGTTCTCTGAATCATGTTTAGATAGATTTTTTATTAGCTTTGTAGCTGTATTTGGAAGCTAGAAGTATTTGTTTTTATTTTGATTTTTGCATGTGACTTTATGGTTCATTGAAAGTGGCACAGGGAGAAAGCTGCAAAGTTTGAGTGCGAAAGCACTTGGTAGAAGACAGAAGCATTCTCTCCTTTTTTCTTTATCATTGTCTAAGTCTTTAAGATGGCTCCACCAACCATCCCTACTTAACTGAGAGATGACATTCTCTGAGGGAGTGGAGTATTCAGTTTTCTTTGTTGACTTAGTCACCCTGAGTAGCAGCATTAATGTCATTTTGTTTTTCTTATCATTTTGTAGGATGAAAAGGAGCAGCTTATACAGTCCAAGAGTTCCGTTGCCAGTCTCGTTGGGAGATCAAAAACCATCGTTCAGCTAAAACCACGCAGTCCAGACCATGTGTTAAAGAACACCATTTCTGTCAAGGCTGTCTGTGACTACAGGCAGATCGAGGTGAGGAGGTAGAAAGGGTACCTCTGGGCCACAGGGGGAAGGAAGAAAGAAGGGAAGCCTTCAGTTAGGGTTATGATGATAAAAGATCAAATTACAGCGTTTTTAAAATTAGAATTTAAACATGCTGAAGTCTCTCCTATCATTTAAAAAAAAAAACTAAACTAAAAACTTCAACACTATAATCTTGACCTGCTCCCTGCCTCAGTGATTGGCATCATTATCTACTCAGTTGCCTAAGTGTTGACAGAGATGGTACTTTGTAGCACTTGGGAGATATCCTTGACTCCCCCACCCCTCTTATCCTCCACAGCTAATAGGACCATCAAGTTTGTACTAATTTGTAAATATCCCTTAAACGTACTTTTTCTATCCCTGCTAATATTACCCTAAGAGCATAAGTGGCTGGGTGGAGAGGCTCATGCCTGTAATCCCAGCACTTTAGGAGGCTGAGGCACATGGATCACTTGAGCTCAGGAGTTCAAGACCAGCTTGCGTCTCTGCAAAATATACAAAAATTAGCCAGGTACAGTGACTTGCAGCTATAGTCTACTCGGGAGGCTGAGACAGGAGAATCGCTTGAGCCGAGGAAGTGGAGGTTGCAGTGAGCCAAGATCGCACTGTTTGCACTCTAGCCTGAGTGAAACTCTGTCTCAAAAAAAATAAAAGGCATAAGTTTCTTTCACTTGGATTATTGTGTCAGCCTCCCCATTTAGTGCACAAAGGATCCTACCACCAGCATGTTCTTTTTTTAATTTTAATTTTATTTATTTATTTATTTATTTGAGATGAAGTCTCGCCCTGTCGCCCAGGCTGGAGTGCAGTGGCACGATCTCAGCTCACTGCAAGCTCCGCCTCCCGGGTTCATGCCATTCTCCTGCCTCAGCCTCCCAAGTAGCGGGGACTACATGTGCCCGCCACCATGCCCGCCTAAGTTTTTGTATTTTTAGTAGAGATGGGGTTTCACTGTGTTAGCCAGGATGGTCTCGATCTCCTGACCTCTTGATCCACCCACCTTGGCCTCCCAAAGTGCT
Source organism: Homo sapiens (assembly GCF_000001405.40). NCBI lineage: Eukaryota > Metazoa > Chordata > Mammalia > Primates > Hominidae > Homo > Homo sapiens. The sequence continues at coordinate 39,301,394 of NC_000001.11, forward strand.
GGGATTACAGGCGTGAGCCACCGCGCCCAGCCTATTTTATTTTATTTTTTGAGACGGAGTCTCGCTCTGTGGCCCAGGCTGGAATGCAGTGGCGCCATCTCAGCTCACTGCAACCTCTGCCCCCTGGGTTCAAGTGATTATCCTGCCTCAGCCTCCCAAGTAGCAGGGACTACAGGTGTATGCCATCACGCCCAGCTAATTTTTTGTATTTTTAGTAGAGACGGGGTTTCACTGTGTTAGCCAGGATGTTCTCGATCTCCTGACCTCATGATCTGCCTGCCTCAGACTCCCAAAGTGCTGGGATTACAGGCATAAGCCACTGCGCCCAGCGTTTGTTTGTTTTTTTTTTCCTTTAAATAACAATCCTATGCTTAAATCTTATAATAATTACTCATTGCTCTTGGGAAAAAGCCGAAACTCCTTAATGTGGCTTTAAGTTCTTGAGTAATCTGTCTTTACCTCTCTAGCCAAGACTGGGTCATATCCTTTATTGCCTGGTAAATTGCATTTGTCACACAGTATTATAACTACATACACCACCAGAATATGTGGAAATACAGACTATGCTTGTCTGCTTACCACTGTACCTATTTATTTATTTATTTATTTATTTATGTTTTGTGACAGGGTCTGACTCTGTGGCCCAGGCTGGAGTGCAGTGGCACTATCATGGCTTACTGCAGCCTTGACCTCCCTGGGCTCAGGTGACCCTCCCACCTCAGCCTCCCGAGTGGCTGGGACTACAGGCATGCACTACTATACCCGGCTAATTTTTGTTATTTTTTGTAGAGATGAGGTTTTACTATGTTGCCTAGGCTGGTCTTGAACTCCTGGGCTCAAGCAGCCTGCCTACCTTAGCCTTCAGAAGTGCTGGGATTATAGGTGTGAGCTGCTGTGCCTGGCCAATTGTACTGTTTTTATCTCCAGTGTCCTAGCACATAGTAGACACTCAAGAAATATGTATTATACAAAAGAATGAATGAATTAAGAAATGGAAAAAAAATTTAAAAATGGGACTGTGCTTTTGTGTGTCTCGATATTTCTGCCTGTAAGTTAGGGATAATAGTCTTGATCACTTGCCTCTAAGAGAAAGACTTGATAATTCCAAAATGCTTAAACATTTTCAGGGGTTTGGGTGGGATGATAGGAAGTAGGGAGAGGAAATATCATAAAAACAATGTTTTGATTATTCACCTTCCATTAGTTTTTACTCTAGTAGATTTTTGTGCTGAGATCGCTCTTGAGCCTTTATAGTCTTATTATAACTTTCATAGTCTGGGTTACTTGACATGTAACAGGTATTTAATACATACTTATTTCCTTGATTTATTTGGTGTCACAGTTTTTCCTGTGTTGTAGATTTATACCCATTATCTTTTGGCAAAAATCAGAAGCCCTCACTAAGTGATAGCAGATCTTTTCTTAAGCAGATTTTTTTCTTAAGGATTTGATAGCTTTGGGATGAGGCACCAGGAAATAATGGGTTGTTGGTTTATCCATTAGCAATCACTGGTAAATTTATCTCTTCAGATTACTATTTGCAAAAATGATGAATGTGTGCTAGAAGATAATTCTCAGCGGACCAAATGGAAAGTGATCAGCCCCACAGGGAACGAGGCAATGGTGCCGTCAGTCTGCTTCCTCATCCCCCCACCCAATAAGGATGCCATTGAGATGGCCAGCAGGTAACTTGGCTCAGCTGCCACTGGTACACCCACCTCTGCTGTTGGCCTCGGTGAACCAGTGGAGGGATGAGTGTGCATTTGTGATGTTTTTGAACACAGTGGTAAAGTTCCTCCTGGGAGAGGCTTCTCATTGGAGATATCAAGTCTCCTACTACCAGCCACATAGTAGATCTTCAATAAATACTTCTGTTCAGCTGGAGTATCTTCAGTGATATTTCTTTTTTAAAGAACTCCTGGTTATAAATAGTTTACTCTCAGAAGATTGATTTTTTTACCAGCCTGGTCAACATGGTAAAACCTCATCTATACTAAAAATACAAAAATTAGCTGGATGTGGTGGTGCACGCCTGTAGTCCCAGCTACTTGGGAGGCTTAGGCATGAGAATTGCTTGACCAAGGAGGCGGAGTTTGCAGTCAGCTGAGATTGCGCCACTGCACTCTAGCTGCCTGGGCAACAGAGCGAGACTCTGTCTCAAAAAAAAAAAAGATTGGGCTGGGCACAGTGGCTCATGTCTGTAATCCCAACACTTTGGGAGGCCGAGGGAGGCGGATCACTTGAGGTCAGGAGGTCAAGACCAGCCTGGCCAACACGGTGAAACTCCATTTCTACTAAAAATACAAAAAAAAAAAAAAAAATTTGCCGGGCGTGATGGCAGGCCCCTGTAATCCCAGCTACTCGGGAGGCTGAGGCAGGAGAATCAGAGAATCGCTTGAACCTGGGAGGTCGAGTTTGCAGTGAGTCGAGCCGAGATTGCACCACTGCACTCCAGCCTGGGCGACAAAGGGAGACTCCGTCTCAAAAAAAAAAAAAGGTTGATTTTTTTCTGGGTCATTAGTTATCATTAGTTTATTATAAAAGAGATATGGAAATTATTTACATGATGAAAGATTTCAGAACTTCAGTGGAATGGGCAGCTTCACGTTGATGCCATTTCTTTCTTTTTTTTTTTTTTAATTATACTTTAAGTTCTAGGGCACATGTGCACAATGTGCAGGTTTGTTACATATGTATACATGTGCCATGTTGGTGTGCTGCACCCATTAACTCGTCATTTACATTAGGTATATCTCCTAATGCTATCCCTCCCCCCTCCCCCCACCCCATCCCCCCACCCCACAACAGGCCCCGGTGTGTGATGTTCCCCTTCCTGTGTCCAAGTGTTCTCATTGTTCAATTCCCACCTATGAGTGATGCCATTTCAGTAGTGACTTATTTCACTCTACGTGCTTTCCAAGAATGTCACCGTCTCTAAATAGGAAATAATCCTTGTCATCTAGAACTACTTTGGTGCCTCCATATTGTGGGAGAAGAACTTTATCTCCAACTTTCCTGCTAACTGGTTGACCCTCTCCACCCTTTCCTTTAGAACCTGATCCAACAGCGACTACTGTTGCTTGAAATACTTTTCCTTGAGATTTTTCTGGAAGCATAATGCCTCCTTTGGTTACAGTTTCAGCAACACTCCTTTCAAATTTTCTTTTCTTTCTTTTTTTTTTTTTCTTGAGACAGAGCCTTGCTCTGTCGCTCAGGCTGGAGTGCAGTGGCACTATTTCAGCTCACTGCAAGCTCCGCCTCCTGTGTTCACGCCATTCTCCTGCCTCAGCCTCCTGAGTAGCTGGGACTACAGGCGCCCGTCACCATGCCCTGCTAATTTTTTGGATTTTAGTAGAGACGGAGTTTCACCATGTTAGCCAGGATGGTCTCGATCTCCTGACCTTGTGATCCACCCACCTTGGCCTCCCAAAGTGCTGGGATTACAGGCGTGAGCCACTGTGCCCGGCCTGAGTGGAAGAAACTTTCTAAACGTTTGTCCTGCCATGACTGTCTCTGTCTCAGACTCTGAATTTTTTTTTTTTAATGGCAGCTGATTTTCTTTAATTTTTATTAAAGTAATATATGGGCCGGGCACCATGGCTCACGCTTGTAATTCCAGCACTTTGAGAGGCTGAGGTTATTGGATTACTTGAGGTCAGGAGTTCGAGACCAGCCTGAGCAACATGGTGAAACTCCGTCTCACTAAAAATACAGACAATTAGCCTGGCGTGGTGGTGCATGACTGTGGTCCCAGCTACTTAGGAGGCTGAGGCAGGAGAATTGCTTGAACCCAGGGTGTGGAGGTTGCAGTGAGCTGAGATAGTGCCACTGCACTCCAGCCTGGGTGACAGAGTGAGACTCTGTCTCAAAAAAAAAAAAAAAAAGTGTGTGTGTGTATATATATGTATATATGTACATATTTTAGAAAGTTGGGTTATACTGCAAAGTTTATTATAATAAAAATTAGCTATCACCTCTCCTTTCCCAAAGTTCCACATTCCAGAGTCAAGTGTTTTCAGCTGTTTTAGCAGATTTTGCTGGGTTATAAATCCACATTTCCAAATGTAATTTTTTCCTGCTATTTCCTTGTTTGTTTTCAACTTCAGAAATTATCTATTAACTTCTTACTCTAGGAAATTAACATTTAGCTTTCTATGCACACATATATGCAAACACTTCTTCCGTTTTCCAAATGTGGTTATGTCACAGTTTTTGTTTAAGTTGCTATTTTTGTTTTATTAGTACATGTGTTGTTTAAAGCTGAGCCACATCTTACTCTAGGGGACTATTGTGAGGCGACTGTGCCTTACCTCTCTGAACTCATCCTCTGCTACTCTCCTTGCTTGTACTTAGCTGCAGTCACTCTGGTCTTTCCTCTGTTTCTCACACACAGACAGCATATTCTTGCCTCAGGGCCTTTGGACTTCCTGCTTGCCTCTGATATTTACATGTTTCACTCCCTCACTTTGTTCAGTTTATCTTAGAACCCTCATGGACCACCATCCCCACTAACTGCATGCCACTCTCTGTCTTCTTTACTCATTTTATTTTTCTTCAGAACTCTTAATACTGCCTAACAGATTGTGTGTTTGTTTATTCTCTCCTATTAGAGATTTTTGTCCATTTTGTTTACCTCTGTATCTTTAGCACTTAGAACCATTCCTAGCACATAGCAGGTATTCAATAAATGGTTATTGAATGAAAGAATGAATGAGTAGGTGAGTGAATATATTTATGAATAAATTATTTTATTTACTTTCTTTACTTTTTTTTTTTTTTGGTTTGAGACGGAGTCTCCCTCTGTCGCCCAGGCTGGAGTGCAGTGGTGCAATCTGGGCTCATTGCAACCTTTGCCTCCCGAGTAAGTGGGATTACAGGTGTGTGCCACCACGACTGGCTAATTTTTGTATTTTTAGTAGAGACGGGGTTTCACCATGTTGGCCAGGCTGGTCTCGAACTCCTGACCTCAAGTGATCCACCCACCTCGGCCTCTCAAAGTGTTGGGATTACAGGCGTGAGCCACTGCACCTGGCCCCTGTTTTATTTACTTTCTTATATAATTTTTGTTTCCTTGGAGTGGGTAATTGTTTTGTTTTTTAGTTTGCTTAGTTGTCTCCAAACTCTCCTACATTACTGTAAAAGGATTCCCAATATGGCCAAACACCACAGGCAATTTTCATTTTTCTTTTGGAAACATTTATTCTGGACCATTCTATCTTTTTTTTTTTTTTTTTTAGTCCGGACCTGTTCTGTAGGCCTGATTCAGTCAGTACTGTCTCTGTGATACGTGGACCCACTAATTACTAGATTCCAAGTCTTATTTATTAGTGTACTCCCTGGTTTGGTGGATTACACTCTCCAATGCCTTACTGAAAAAGGCTGAGTAGGAGGTAAATTTTTTGAAACCTCTTATATCTGAAAATGTCTGTCTTCTTCTTCCTCTAACTGGCAAGATACATTTTTTGAAATTATTATTATTATTATTATTATTATTATTATTGAGATAGAGTCTTGCTGTGTTGCCCAGGCTGGAGTGGAGTGCATGGTCTTAGCACATGGCAGCCTCCACCTCCTGGGCTCAAGTGATTCTCCTGCCTCAGCCTGCCAAGTAGCTGGGATCACAGGTGCATGCCCCCATTTCCGGCTAATTTTTATATTTTTAGTAAAGACAGGGTTTCACCATGTTGGCCAGGCTGGTCTTGAACTCCTGACCTCAAGTAGTCTGCCCGCCTCGGCCTTCCAAAGTGCTGGGATTACAGGTGTGAGCCACCATGCCCGCCTGGAAATTATTTTTACTCTGAACTCTGAAATCATTGCTCTATTGCTTTCTAGCTTTCAGGATTTCTTGTTTAGATGTATAGTGCCATTTTCATTCTTTCTCTTTTTTTTTTTTTAGATTTACATAATAGTAAAACTCATCTTTTGTCATAAGCAGTACTATTGGTTTTGACAAAGGCTTAGAATTGTTTATCGTTCACCACTATCATGATACGGAACAGTCTGATACTTTTACCTTTTGAAAGAAATCTTTATTTCTCTGCAAGTGTTTAAGTGCTTCTCTTTGTCTCTAATCTTTAAAAGGGATGCTGTACCTTTGAGTCTTTTTGCATTCATTATGCTAATGAACACAAACTAGAAACTCGTCTTTCAGGTCTGGAGAAGTTTTTTCTTGGATGATGATGATTATTATTATTATTTTGAGACAGTCTCGCTCTGTCGCCCAGGCTGGAGTGCAGTGGCGCGATCTTGGCTCAGTGCAATCTCTGCCTCCTGGGTTCAGGCAATTCTCCTGCCTCAGCCTCCCGAGTAGCTAGGACTACAGGCACACACCACCACACCCAGCTAATTTTTTGTACTTTTAGTAGAGACGGGGTTTCGCCATGTTGGCCAGGCTGGTCTTGAACTCCTGACCTCGTGGTTCACCTGCCTTAGCCTTCCAAAGTGCTGGAATTATAGGCATGAGCCACCTTGCCCAGTCTGGATTATTTCTCTTTTCTTTCTTTCTTTCTTTTTTTTTTTTTTTTTTTTTGAGATGGAGTCTCGCCGTGTCGCCCAGGCTAGAGTGCAGTGACGCAATCTCGGCTCACCGCAAGCTCTGCCTCCTGGGTTCACTCCATTCTCCCGCCTCAGCCTCCCGAGTAGCTGGGACTACAGGCATCTGCCACCACGCCTAGCTAATTTTTTATATTTTTAGTAGAGACGGGGTTTCACCATGTTAGCCAGGATGGTCTCAATCTCTTGACCTCGTGATCTGCCCTCCTCGGCCTCCCAAAGTGCTGGGATTACAGGCGTGAGCCACCACGCCAGCCTTATTTCTTTAATTATTTCATTCTCCTTGTTTTTAGTTCTTGCTTTTAAGAATTCCCATTTGTTGAATGTTGGACCTCCTGAACTAATTTTCTAATGTTCTCTTATTTTCTATTTTTTTTGTTGTTGCTTTTTTATATTTTTATTCTTCTTTGGGATTTCCTGAACTTTGAATTTCAACTCTACTGAAATTTTAGTGGGAGTTTTGGAGAGAGGGAAGATTAAACTTACGGATTTAATGCCTCCTATTTAACTGATGTCCTGGCTTCTAGTTTTCCATCCTGTTCTTTATATCTCACATTTTTTTCTCAACTTGAAGAAATTCAAGGTAACGTGGTGGGTATGTAAGAGAGTGTGTCTGTGTATTTGTGTATTTGTAAGTCTTCCTGAAATCAAGATTGAATTAGACATGAGATGCTTGGGAAAGAAATCTCAAACCCTTCATACTTCAGTTTTCTTTTTTTTTTTTCTTGAAATGGAGTTCTGCTCTTGTTGCCCAGGCTGGAGTGCAATGGTGCGATCTTGGCTCACTGCAACCTCCACCTCCCGGGTTCAAGCGATTCTCCTGCCTCAGCCTCCCAAGTAGCTGAGATTATAGGCATCTACCACCACACCTGGCTAATTTTTGTATTTTTAATAGAGATGGGGTTTCTCCTTGTTGGTCAGGCTGGTCTTGAACTCCCGACCTCAGGTGATCTGCCCGCCTCAGCCTCCCAAAGTGCTGGGATTACAGGTGTGAGCCATGCAGTTTTCTTTTATATACCAGGTGAATTTCTTAAGCTGCTATTAATTTCTCAACATTTTAGCATTTTTGTAAATATTTGGAACACAGCAAATCAGTTTTTAAACATTGATATAATCCTTTTTCAACAATTCTGGATGGGATGTTGTTTATGCCTTTCCCTATTATTGTTCTCTCTGGTTATTTCTTCTCTCTGGCTTGTAATCATCATATTATATCCAGGTAACATTTATGAGATTACTAAATATGTGCTAACGTTAATATGCATAATGCTGTAGCAAATCCAAGTTGAAGATCTCAATTAATTAATGTAGTTTAGTTTTTTTTTTTTTTTAAATAGAGATGAGGTCTCACTATGTCGCCCAGGCTGCTCTTGAACTCTTGGGCTCAAGCAGTCCTCCCACCTTGGCCTCCAAAAGTTCTGTGATTACAGGCATGAGCTACCACGCCCAGCCTCAATTAATTTAGTTCTAAAAATTCCTGAGATGCTAGTATTTGACTTGTTGCCTTTCTCTGCTCAACATATAAGCTCAATTCTGCTAAGGCAATCACATTTTTCCTTAGAAGGTCTCTAATGTGGAGCTGAAGTCTTACAAAGGTAATAGTCAGGTTCTGTGTTATTTCTAGGGTCGAACAATCTTATCAGAAGGTTATGGCCCTTTGGCATCAGCTGCATGTTAACACCAAAAGCCTTATCTCTTGGAACTATCTGCGTAAAGACCTTGACCTTGTACAGACCTGGAACCTAGAAAAGGTAATTATGAAAACCTTACCCCAGGCTTACATTCCATTGGCAAGATTTTTTCAGAAGGAGCTTTTTTCATTACTGTGAGACTTTTCCCCACCCAAATGGAGTAAAGTGGACTCAGGAATACCATTTTAGAGTTCGAGACCTGAGGTTCTTACAAGCTAGAAGCAGCAATTTGAATGGTAAAGGAAATTCCTAATTAGAATAAGTAACATCTTTGGTCTTCTTGGCAAGGGTAGAAGGTTGCAGGCTTTTTCTCACTCTGTAAGACAATCATGTCTTTTGCATAAGAATATGTAGTAGGTGAATACTTGTGAACAATTATTAAGAGTTATGTCCAGTGGGGCACAAAGGGTGGTTCTGGGGTGCTGGTAATGTTCTGCTTCTTAATCTGAATGCTGACTAAATGGAGGAATTCAAATTATAAAAATCAACATGTTTACGATTATGGTTTATGCACTGTTTTGTATATATGTTACTTCAGTAAAATGGAGGAAAAGAGGAAGTGTTACATTTTTATTCTGTTGCAATTTCTTCTGGCTTTTTCTTTCTAGCTTCGATCCTCAGCACCAGGGGAGTGCCATCAGATTATGAAGAACCTTCAGGCCCACTATGAAGACTTTCTGCAGGATAGTCGTGACTCTGTGCTGTTCTCAGTGGCTGATCGCTTGCGCTTGGAAGAGGAGGTGGAAGCTTGTAAAGCCCGCTTCCAGCACCTGATGAAGTCCATGGAGAATGGTGTGTGCACTGGGAAGAGGGAAAGAGAATAGTAGAATGAGAGCCTTTCAAGGGGTTGCTGTGAAACCCTTCATATAAATGAGAGAGTAACATCACCACTTTTTTCCATTTGAGTAGCTACGAACTTGAGATAGAGAAGAACTTATAGATGAATTCTCAAAATCAGATCATGGAAGAAGTCTGTTGATATTTCAGTCATTACTGCTCATCAACCTATCACATTTTCTTGTGGCTGTAACATGTTTGGACTCTCAAAGATTAGTATACAGTATGTGAAATTTAGGATCAGGTAGGATTAGGCAGAAGATTCCCTAAATAAAGCCTTGCTTTCATTAGTAGGATATCAGGTCTGCTTATCTCTGATGTCGAGCTTACTGGTCTTTTGTGTTTGTTCATTCACAGAGGACAAAGAGGAGACTGTGGCCAAGATGTACATTTCAGAGTTGAAGAACATCCGGCTACGCCTGGAGGAGTATGAACAGAGGGTGGTCAAACGAATTCAGTCTCTAGCCAGCTCTAGGACTGACAGAGATGCCTGGCAGGACAATGCATTAAGGATTGCAGAGCAAGAGGTAAGCCCTAAGAGCCATGTGGATGCTGGTTGTGGAGTGAATGCTTTCAGAGTTCATTGGATGGCAAGAGTATGGCACCTAAGAAATGAGGCAATAGACTCAAGACAGTCCTTCTCAGGAGTTCTTCTTGCAGTCTATAAATGTCTTTTACCCGTGGAGAAGTGTGATTTCAGCTCCATGTGTATTGCTAAATGTTGATTAGTTTCCTACAGAGTTGAGAAGGCAAACAGACTAGTAAATTTTTCTAAGCAGTATATTTGGGCTATGTATTTTGAAACTGCTTAGTAGAGATGCTACTCTTTTATTCTATCCCTTATGTGCCTGTGTTACTTTAAATGACTTGGTTACCTTCAGTCATATGACCAATAAATATAAGGAATGACTCTGATTTGAATGTGGGCTCTGATACATGCTCTGTCTGTGACTTTGAGCAAGTGAGCTCTCATCCCTAGTTTACTTTCTTGTAAAATGGAGATGGCAATGCACGATATAGGGTTATTTTGAAAATTAATGGTATAGTACATATAATGAGCTTCCTGAAAAAGTAAAATACTATGAAAATGTAGGATAGTATTCTTGAAGTAAAAGTAGCAAATATTTTTTGCTTTATTAAGTCCTCTGAGGCATACAAAGAAAAGTAAATAAAGATCCTTGTTTTTTGGCTTATAGTGTAGTGAAAGGAAAATAAAAAGTCGAAGTTACAATTGGAGACTTCAGTATAAGATATAAGAAATGTCATGAATAGTAACTAGTGTATTTCCAAGCAAAGATTGCTGTAGGAACTTAGAGTGTTTCTAGAACATTTCTAATTAGAATGGTATGAGAGAGCTCTATGAAGGCTATTAAATTTGATCTGGGAGCTTAAAGGGGATGGAAAGGAATGGCTAATGAGGAGGAGTGATTTTTCTAACTTTCTATTTTTTCCCCCCAAACCTGAAGAGAAGAGTGAGAGGGAAGTATGATTTTTACTGGTGGAGAGGGAGGTAATATGAGGCATATCATATGAGCCTGGGAATTCTCATGTGGAAGCTTTTTACTTTTCTATAGGGTGATACAAAATCTATTTGTCCCTGAAAAATAGAACTCACTAAGAAATAAAGGTTGACTGCATGCTTTGGGAGGCCGAGATGGGAGAATCGCTTGAACCCAAGAGTTTGAGGCTTCAGTTAGCTATAACTGCACCACTGCACTCCAGCCTGAGTGAAAGAGACCCTGTCTCAAGATACATATATACATACATACATCTAAAATACCTCTTCCTTTTTAAAACTTTATTTTAAAATAATTTCAGATATATAGAAAAGTTTTATTCTCTTATACCTTTCACCCAGAGTCTCCAAATGTTACCATTTTTGTGCATTTGCTTTATCATTTTATTCTATATATTATACATAATAACATTCCTTTTTTATCTTGAGAGTAAGTTCCAGACATGAAGCTCCTTTATTCCTAAATACTTCAGTGTGCATCTTCAAAAAACAAGGGCAGCCTCTTACATAACCACAGAACAATGATAAACATCAGGAAATTAACATTGATACGGGTTGAGTGTGGTGGCTCACGTCTGTAATCCTAGCACTTTGGGAGGCTGATGTAGGCGGATTGCATGAGACCAGGAGTTCGAGACCAGCCTGGCCGACATGGCAAAACCTCATCTCCACTAAAAGTACAAAAAGTAGCCAGGTGTGGTGGCAGGTGCCTGTAATCCCAGCTATTCAAGTGGCTGAGGTATGAGAATCACTTGAACCCGGGAGGTGGAGGTTGCAGTGAGCCGAGATCACACCACTACACTCCAGCCTGGGCAACAGAGCAAACCTGTCTCAAGCAAACAAACAAACAAGCAAACAAACATTGATATAATACTGCTATCCAAGCTCACGCCTCATTAAAATTTCATCAGTTGACCAAATAATGCTCTTTACATCCTCATACCATCCATCCCTAGCTACCCCAAGAAGGAAGGTCCAGGATTCAGTCCAGGATTACATATTGCATTTGGTTGCTGTGTATCTTCAGATTTCTTTAACTTGAAATAGTTTCTCAACTTTCCATCATCTTTCATGACCTTAACATTTTTTTTATGAGTGCAGCCCATTTATTTTGTAGAATAAATGTAGAATATTTTGTCCTTCTGTTTGTGGTTACCTGAGGTTTCTTCCTGATTAGTGTTAGGTCTTACAATTTTGGCAGGAATCCTGCAGAAGTGATACTGTGTCCTTGGTATATTAGTGTGTCATATAAGGATACATATGACATTACTGGTGATGTTAATTTTCATCTCTGGTTCCTATTTTCCCTTTGTAATTACTGAGTATCCTATGGGGAGGTACTGGAGACAATGTAAATATCCTATTTTTCATCAAATTTTCACCAACTAGTTTTAGCATCCATTGTTAATTCTTGACTGAATCACTTCTTAGTATCATAGTTGCCAAAAGCTGCTTTTCTAATTCTGTCGTTCCTTCTACATAAAAAACATGTACATTCTATGGAAAAGGAAAAACCAGGCCTTCTTTCCTTTTCTGTAGTTTGTCTTCCTTCTCTCCCTCCCTCCCTTTTTTTTTCTTCCCTCCTTCCCTTGCTTTCTTCTTTCATTATTTATTTATGTCAATATATACTCATGGATTCTTATTTTATTCAATGGTGTGTAATTTGTTACTGTCATTGTTTTCATTGTTTTGATGCTCAAAATTTCCCAAAGTTAGCCAATGGAAGCCCCTTCAAGCTGGCTTTTTTGTCCTTTTAACATGTCCCCATCATTTTTTGAGTTATTTCCTTCTTTCTCTTTTTTTTAAATAGAGATGAGGTCTCACTATATTACCCAGGCTGGTCTCCAACTCCTGGCTTCCAGCAGTCCTCCTGCCTCAGCCTCCCAAAAGTGCTGGGATTACAGGCATGGGTCATGATGCCCATTGAAGTTCTTTCTTTTTGACAAAATAAGATCTTCCAGGTTCATCTTGCTTTTTCCAGTCTCAACCCTGGAAATCAACTGTTTCTCCAAGGAGTTCTGATTCTTTTGGGCAGAGAATATTATTTAGAAACTAAGATCTGGGTACCAAATGTATTCATTGTTGTTGGAGTATTATTGCTTATAGGCCCACTTAGCAGACAGAGCTAGAAAACATAGGCCGGGTGTGGTGGCTCACGCCTATAATCCCAGCACTTTGGGAGGCCAAGGCAGGTGGATCACCTGAGGTCAGGAGTTGGAGACCAGCCTGGCCAACATGGTAAAACCTCGTCTCTACTAATAATACAAAAATTAGCCAGGCATGGTGGCGTGTGCCTGTAATCCTAGCTACTTGGGAGGCTGAAGCAGGAGAATCATTTGTACCCGGGAGGCGGAGGTTGCAGTGAGCTGAGATCGTGCCATTGCACTCCACCCTGGGCAACAAGAGCGAAACTCTGTCTCAAGAAAAAAAAAAGAAAACATATATTTACAAATATATATATGCATACACACACACACACGTGTTACATATACACACATATACATGTACGTAAGTTTACAGATATAGATCAATATATTTATTGATCTCTCAATTTCTCTTTCTCTCTCTCTCTCTCTCTCTCACACACACACACACACACACACACACACACACACACACAAATTCATATGTATTTGTCTCCCCATCCAGTTCCCAACCCATAGCACAGGGATTATTCTAGCCTCTTTCCATATTTTTAACCCCCTTCCCCAAGAGAGAAAAACCTGCTTTATGTTATCCACAGTATATTTACTTATTGTTCAGTCCTAGCATTTACAGATAGTAGTTTCAGAATTGTTAACTCACTGCAGTAAACAAACCTACCAAACTAGAGTTTAACATTTATTTATAGTTCCTTATGTCTTTAGCCTAAAGGTATATCTATAGTTCGAATACTGAGTTCAGAAATTGCTTGTGTGTGTTCTTACCCTTTCTTCCCCTTCAGTGTGATTATGTTATTTATCTGAAATACAGTTAGGCTTATATATTTCTGTTGTGTTCCATTTGAGAGCCACCCTTAAATTTTCCTTATTTATTTCTTTACAAGAATGTAAAACATTAACATGGTTCTAAAAGTCAAATCTATACAAAAAGAAGTGTATTCCCCTCTAGCTAGTCCTTTTATCCCCTTTGCCTTCCTTCGATCCTTTCAATTCCATCCTTTTCATCTCATTAGTTTCTGGTTATCCTTTCTGTCTGTCTCTTTGTATAAACATATACACATATATTTTCTCATTTTCCCTTCTTTTATATACAAAATATAACATGCTATAGATACTCTGTTGACTTTGCTTTTTCTGCTTAAAAATATATCCTAAAACCACTTAATTCACAGAAATCTTTCTCATTTCATTTACAGCTGCATAATTCTCCATCGTATGTCTGCTTCATAGTTTATTCAACCAGCCTCCTATATATGGGCATTTAGGTGGTTTCCAATATTTAGCTATTACAAATGTGGACTTCTTTCTACCTTTTTTGTTCAATTCTGTCTCCCTCTTTATGTGTGTCTTGTTCCTGGCAGCACACCCAGGAGGATTTACAGCAATTGAGGTCAGACTTGGATGCAGTTTCTATGAAATGTGACAGCTTTCTCCATCAGTCTCCATCTAGTTCAAGTGTCCCAACTCTGCGCTCAGAACTGAATCTGCTGGTGGAGAAGATGGACCATGTCTATGGTCTCTCTACTGTATATCTGAATAAGTGAGTGAGCTGAGGTTTTGGGTCCAAGAGCAATATTTTCCATTGGGATAAGAAAGAGAAAGGCTTAAAGTATTTCATGAATAATACAGAGAGATTATAGATCCTGAAGAGCATATACTGATAATGAGAGGTCTTGGCTTCAGTTCCTAGTAACATTAAGTAGGTTCATTTGGACTGCAGTGAAGAAGTGCCAGTGATATGAAAGGGGAATTAATTTGCAGTGTTGGGACTATGATTTACCTCACTTCTGTTTGATTAAATATTTCTGAAAATAATACTTAATGGCATAAAGACAAAGGAAGAGACACTAAAGAATAAAAAGAAAAGTTTTTAGTTACACTAGGTATTAGACTTTGAAGGTCTTCCCTCTTCCCACCCATCTCTACCTATGACCTTGAAGAGTAGCGCATCTTAAACTCTTCATAGTGTAAAATGGGTTTCTGGCTTCATGCCTTTCTTCCATGAGTCCACCACATGTATGCATGTTCCAATGCCACTTAGAACTTTATTTTGAATTGGCTTAAATTGGCAGCATAAAAACCACATTTACTTGTTTTCACAAAACCCTGTCAACATCTAAAAATGGTGACATTGATTTTGGTTATTATGTTTTATGAACCTCTCTATAGCACTCCAGGTATATAACCCTGGCTCCTAAAATTCATGTGTTAATGAAGGAATGTGTATTTGTCCCCACAGGTTAAAGACAGTTGATGTTATAGTACGTAGCATACAGGATGCTGAACTCTTGGTCAAAGGTTATGAGATTAAGCTGAGTCAAGAAGAAGTAGTACTGGCAGATCTCTCAGCTCTGGAGGCCCATTGGTCGACATTACGGGTGAGTTGCTCTGAGTTTCTTAGGAGGTTGACCTAACATATTCATTGCTTTGGGTTAGCAGAGAAATGCAATTTTGGATGGCATGACACTGATTTAAATTTGCATTTGAATAAGGCAGAATGTCATTAAATATATTTTAATATGTATTCAAAGAAGAAGGGACTGAGAAGTATGTCTAGCTAGAAAGGGAAGAGAAAGGACTAGGTTTTTCTATTTATTTTTTCCCTTTTCACCTTAATAAAATCATGGATTAATTGGATACAGTCAGTGGTTGTGCCATAAGTTTATAAATCACTTAGCTGTTATCTAATTTGATTCTCACAAGCCACTCTGTGAGGTGGACAAGAAGAGATTTTTCTCTCCATTTACAGATGAGAAAACCAACACTTACTCTGGCTAAATGACTTATTTTGGTTTCATATGTTATAAGTGGTGAAGCCAGGTTTCAAACACAAGTTCTATGCACATTTCTCTATAGAGTACTGCCTGTCCTTGGCATCCCAGTGTGTATCAGGAAAGCAGAGACCATGACATGTGGAGGCAGTCCTGGCACAAACATTCCAGGGCACAATCACATATACAATGTGGAAATAGCTGTAGACCGTGTCCTTGTTTCCCACCTTAGACTGACTCCTTTTTAGCATGGAAAGTATACAACCTGTTTCTGTACTTATGTTTCCACAGCACTGGCTTAGTGATGTGAAGGACAAGAATTCAGTGTTTTCAGTCCTGGATGAGGAAATTGCCAAGGCCAAGGTAGTGGCAGAGCAGATGAGTCGTCTGACACCAGAGCGAAATCTGGATTTGGAGCGCTATCAGGAAAAAGGCTCCCAGCTGCAGGAGCGTTGGCACCGAGTCATTGCCCAGCTCGAGATTCGGTGAGTGGTGGCCCCACCTTTTTCTCCTATTAGAGTTCAGGGACTAGGTCTTAAACAAAAACAGAGTTATATCTGTACATTTATATTTAAAGGTGGAAATGGATAGGGAGGGGTGGAAATTTAAAAACCACATAAATTCTGGACAAGTAAGTGACAGAAAGGTGAGACCGGCAATCTCAAAGCAGATGTAATGCCTCTCCTGTGTCCCAGGTCTTTTCTAGTTAAGCCACTGATGACAATGGCTTCCTGGAATGTAGACTTGAAAGGTCCCTGGTGATCTTTTCTCAAGGACAAAACCTATACTCTAGTTCTTGTTTTATTAGCTTTGTATCCAAATATGAGCCATTTTTTATGATGGAGCTTTACAGAATTTCTTGCTTTCATCTCATTTGCTAATTCAGTAATTTTTCATCTCTGTTACTAGAGGTCCTGCTTCTAATGACAGATGTAAATAGGAAGGACAGAAACTGCACCTTTTGGAGGCTAAGCTGGTTAGGGAAATTTGTAGGGAGAGGAGCTTAACAACTCATAAGTTTTCATTCTAATTGAAGTCTTATCACAAAGCTGGTTAGACTAGAGAAGTGATATGACTTATTGGAAGTAGCAGGAAATAATGACTATTTTTCACTTCTCTCCCCTCTCTCCTTGAGAAATTATAGTGATTCATAAATCATAGCTGTGCTGTACTGACAGGTACTCTGTCATCAGGGAATAGAACTGTACAGCCAATACTACCTTATTGGTCACCCTGGTAATTCTTGGCAACCTAGGTGAAAAATTTGACAAGGATTATTGTGGGATGCTAGACCACAAGGCAGCATCCAGGGCTAGCAGGTCACAACTGGTTTCTACTCACTTTTTTGACCATAGGGCACTGGTACATGCATAGGTCTCACTCAGCCTTGCATCGCTGTTCCCCGTAGATAAAGATGGATCGTTTGTGGTCAAGCCCAGCTGGATACATGGGTTAAAGAGGGAATTACCTCATTTACTTTATTGTATTTGTACCAAGGTATCTGATAGCAGTTTCCCTTTGTTCTTCTAGCCAATCTGAGCTAGAAAGTATCCAGGAAGTTCTGGGAGATTACCGAGCCTGCCATGGAACTCTCATCAAGTGGATTGAGGAAACCACTGCCCAGCAGGAAATGATGAAGCCAGGCCAGGCAGAGGATAGCAGAGTGCTTTCGGAGCAGCTCAGCCAGCAGACGGTGAGTGTGGTAGTAGCTCTGGCGAGAAGAGTTAGAAATTTAAATTTTCTTTATCATAAAAGAAAATGATGTACTGGCAATTAAAGCTTCCTCCAAATGGAAGATATCCAAATTCCCTTTTCTTTGAGTGGTTTGAGCAGGATCGTCCCAAGATACTGGTTTTGCATTTAGACTAGAGAACCTGTAAGGTACCTTCAGTTCTGAGTTTCTGTAACTGTATTGAAACCACTAGATGGACAGATTAAAATTATCTTTATTTTGTTTTTTTTTATATTACATTTTATTTTACTAGGATTAGATATGGGGTTTTGAAAACCAAGGGAAAATTGTAAGTAGAAGAAAATGATTCTTTTTTTTTTGAAAATGATTTATTTTAAGCATTTTTTTTTTGTTGGTATTTTGTTTTGTTTTGTTTTGTTTAGCATTATGGTTAAGAGTATGAGATCTGGAGTTGTATTGCCTGGATTCCAATTCTGGCTCACTTACCTACTATAAGCCTTTGAAGAAGTTATTTAGCTTCTCAGTGTTCTACTTCCTTATCAGTAAAATGGACATAGTTTGTTATTTATTTAACCTACCTTATGAGATTATCGTTGCTAGGATTAACTGAAGTGATACATGTAAAATACTTAGAATAGTGGTTCTCAAAGTGTGGACCCCAGACTAGCAGCATCCGTATCACCTGGGGACATGTTAGGAATGCAAGTTCTTGGGTTGGGCACAGTGGCTTCTGCCTGTAATTGCAGCACTTTGGGAGGCCGAGGCATGGGGATCACTTGAGGATAGGAATTTGAGACCAGCCTGGTTAAGAAAGCGAGAACTTGTTTCTACAAAAGATTAAAAAGACAAAAAAGTGCAAATTTGTGAACCCAAACCCACTGAACCAGAAACTCTGGAGGTGAGGCCCAGCAGTATGTGTTTTAACCACCCTTTCCAGCAATTCTGATGCAGCTAAGGTTTGGAAACTACTGCCTTAGAACATAGTAAATGTTCAGCTCTTTCAATGGTGGTAATGGCAATGATAATGTTGTGATATTTTGCTTCCTAGGCCCTATTTGCAGAAATTGAGAGAAATCAGACAAAACTGGATCAATGTCAAAAATTTTCCCAGCAGTACTCTACTATTGTAAAGGTAACTTTACCACATCCCAAAAAGAACATGAATCATCACCAGCTCAGGAAAACCTACATCTTCACTGTAGGTTCTGTTTCTAGACAAATTAAGCAGAGTTCTTATGCTACAAGCTGGCCTGATCCTTCAGTTAAGCAGATGTGTATTTCCTGCAACCCCATGTTTGGGGTTGCTTGGAGAAGTAGCAGACGTTGGCTGTGATTTGAGGAGTCTCCATTTGCGTGACCGTAGGCCCTTTAAACTTAACATGGCAAAAACAGAATGTTTGAGTTTTCTTCTTAAATATGCTTCTTACTTGTCTTTCCTATCTCAGGAAATAGTATGGCCATTTTTTTCTAATTGCTGAGGCAAAAAACCCAGGAGTCATCCTAAACTGTTCTCTTTGCCTTAAGCTTTATATTCTCCGTTGGCTCTTGTCTTCAAACATGTCCCACATCTGACTGCCTGCCGTTATCTCCCCTCTATTTCCCTAGTTCACATTCCAGTGAAGAATCTTCTTTAGACTACTACAGTACCCTCTGAGCTGGTCTCTTGCTTCTGCTCTGGCCCCCACAGGCTATTTTCCCACAGAGTAGCCAAAATCCCCTTTTTAGAACATATTGCATGTCACTGAATCTTAGACTCCATTGATTACAAGCTACACCATAATTTTCTGCATGCCAAAAAGAGGAAAAAAGAAGAAACTCTGCCAGTTATGTGACATGCCATTGATTCTAAAATATGTTCCAATTTGAAAGACTAAAATGTGGAGAAAATGTGTACCTTAGAATAGATGAAATACAGCAAATAAGATCATGTCACTCTCCTGCTCAAAACTGTCCAATGGCTTCATATCATAGTCGTAATAAAATTCTAAATTCTTACATGGTTTATAAGGCCGTGAATGATTTAGCTCTCCCCTATTTCTCTTAGAATATCTTTAAGGAAAAATGACTTGAGGCCAGGTGTGGTGGCTTATACCTGTAATCCCTGCACTTTAGGAGGCCAAGGCAAGAGGGTTACTTGATCCCAGAAGTTTGAGACCAGCCTGGGCAACATATCAAGATCCCATCTGTAAAAAAAAAAATTTTAAATTAGCTGGATGTAGTGGTGTGCACCTGTAGTCCCAGCTCCTCAAGAGGCTGAGGTAGGAGGCTCACTTGAGCCTGGGACATTGAGGCTATTGAGCCGTGATTGTGTCACTGCACTTCAACCTGGGCAACAGAGAAAGACTGTGTCTCCAAAAAAAAGAAAAAAATAACTTGAGATTATTACATATTTATTTGTTTATTCTGTGACTCTTACTAGAATGTAAGTTCCAAGGGAGCAAAGTTTTTCCTGACTTGTTTCTCAGTGTGTGTGTATAGCACTCAAAACAATGGCAAGTACATAGAAGATGCTTAACAAATACTTTTTGAATGAAGGCTTTCCTTTAGTTAATAACAGAACACTCACTGTAAGAAAGAATTGAGTTCAAACCCTTCACCATTTTCCAGGCTTACTTTGAGTATGCACTTAGACTATGTTTCTGTTACTGTATCTATAAAGTGAGAACAATAATACCTCACTGAGTGATTGTAAAGATTAAATGAGATAATGTATACATAGGACCATGCCTCAAACTTAAAGTGCACTCAGTAAGTGGTAGCAATTGCTTTGATTATATTTTAATGTTCTTACTACTATTTTTTTATGGGTTCCTTCACAAATTCATTCCTTGTTTTCCTTCTACCCGGAGTTTTTTTAAGTAGACAGCAGAAGGACGTTTTAGGCAAAGGAACTGCATAATCCCAGGCAGAGAAGAATGAAAATACTTGATTATATGAGGAAATAGAGAGTATTCTGATATAGCTAGAAGGCACAATAAGGAGCAGTGACTATGGAAAATTAGCGGTGAGATTGGGGCCAACCCATGACAGGCCTTGTTCCATTGTTGTGGCTTTATCTTCTATTCTTGCTTCTCAAAGTGTTGTCTTTGAACCAGTAGCATCCGTAGCACCTGGGAGCTTATTAGAAATGTAGAATCTCAGACCTGCTGAATCAGATTCTGCATTTTAATAAATTATATGGGGATATAATTTATATGCATGTTGGTGTTTGAAAAGCTCTATTCTAGATCATTGAAAGCTTTTTAAGGAGAAGAGTGATGTGGTCATCTTTGGGTTTTAGAAAAAGTATTCTGGTGGAACAATAGAGAATAAATTGAGATTAGACTAGAAGCAGTGAAAGTACCTAAGAGGCTACCGCACTTATAAGGCTACTTCATGTGAGAGAAGAAGAGAGTGGACTAGAGCAGAACTTGCAGGGTTGCAGAGGAAGTGGCAGAATAGTATGGTAAAATGAGAATACTGGTTCAGGGATTAGAAATCTAAGATTCTAATCCTAACTCTGTTAACACTTACCCACTTAGTTAATTAGGGAAATTCACATCCCCTCTCTGGGTTTCACTTTCCCCACAGGTGAGATGAAAGGGTTGGTCAGACTGCAACTAAGGCGTGAGCAAACTATGACCCACAGGCCAAATCTTGTCCACACACCTGTTTTTGTATGGCCCATGAGAAAAGGTTGAAAAGAAAATCAAAAGAATAATATTTTATGATGTGAAAATAATATGAACTTCAGTTTTTAGTGTTCATAAATAAAGTTTTATTCTAACAACCACACCCTTTCATCTATATATTGCCTATGGCTGCTTTCACTTATAATGAGAGAGATAGTATGGCCTGATATTTTCTGTCTGGCCTTTTACAGGAAAAGTTTGCTAACCTCCAGCATGAGTGGTCACCAAAACGCTTCCAGCAATAAAAAGCTATGATTTATTACATGATGTATGTGAATTATAAAACCCTGAGTAACTGTAGCGAAATTCATCCTTTCCTAGGACTATGAATTGCAACTGATGACATACAAGGCCTTTGTGGAATCGCAGCAGAAATCCCCTGGCAAGCGCCGTCGCATGCTTTCCTCTTCAGATGCCATCACTCAAGAGGTGAGAGGGTGGGGGAAGGAAATACACCACTGTCTTCCCTTAAGGAAAGATTCATTTGCCTGGGCCTTACATTTTGATTTAGGGCTCACTTTTCTGGTGAACATGTGACTGCATGAACATTTCCTCTTATTTTGAACTATTTAAATTTCATTTTCTGGCAGACGATTTATTTAAATTGTTCTTTTGAACCACAGTTCATGGACTTAAGGACTCGCTACACGGCATTGGTGACTTTAACAACTCAGCACGTGAAATACATCAGTGATGCACTCCGGCGTCTGGAGGAGGAGGAGGTGAGGACAGTTGGGTCCAAAGTCATCTTGAAAGTACAGTAAAACATCTTAGCCAGCACGGTGGTGTGTGCCTGTAGTCTCTGGTACCCAGGTGGCTGAGTTGGGAGGATTACTTGAGTCTAGGAGTTTGAATCCAGCATGGGTGACATAGGGAAATCCCCTCTCTACAAAAAATATTTAAAAATTAGCTGGGCATGGTGGCACACACCTGTGGTCCCAGTTACTTGGGAGGCTGAGGTGGAAGGATCACTTGGGCCTGGGAAGTTGAGGCTGCAGTGACCATGATTGTGCCACTGCACTCCAGCCTGGGCAATAGGCTGTCTCAAAAAAAAGCCCAAAATATCCCACATACCCCGTAAATATATACACCTACTATGTACCCACAAAAATTAAAAAAATTTTTTAAACCAGCAAAATATATGCTATATATGTAACATATAATTAAATTATTATATAATATATATTTTATTTGAGAGACAAGGAAGTTAGAATACTATGTATAATTATGATTTCATTAAAAACAAAACTGTGTACTACAAAGACATGGCATAGAAAGAAGTTTATAGGCACCTATACCAAATTTCTGGGGAAATAACGTTAACTTACATAATTATGTATTTTAGACTTGTTTGAATTTATTGTAATGAGCATGTCATCTGTTTGTAACTGTAAAAATCTTCTGTCTTTGTAAAATAAGTTTCTGCATATTCAGCCTCTCTTATAAAAAAAAAGCTGTTAAAACATTAACCATACCATCTTTTGCTTTTTAAATTAGCAAGACTTTCTTTATATCCATACCTACATAATGTAATCTCAGTAGGCTTCAGTCTCTTCTCTTCTTACAGATTCACCTGTAAACCTAAGAATTATGAAAATGAGTAAGATGCTATATGTGAAGAGATTTTTTTAAAAAGCATCAAATAATTATTGAGTGCCTATTATATATAAAACAGTGGTTTGTATTTTTCAGAAAGGTATTAAACCTAGGTATAATAAATTTAGCTCACAAACACCTGTGAGCAATACTGTAGGCTGGGCTAAATTATACTTGGGGTTATTTTCACAGCCCACTTATTTAGGTAACTGTATCTGTTTTTAGGAAGACTTCATTTAAGAAAATCTGAAGTCGTGCCAGCCTAATAAAAGACATTGCTAGCATATTGATTTTCTATTTCCTATTCTAGAAAGTGGTAGAAGAGGAGAAACAAGAACATGTGGAGAAGGTTAAAGAACTTTTGGGCTGGGTGTCTACCCTAGCGAGGAATACACAAGGAAAAGCTACCTCATCCGAGACCAAAGAATCAACAGACATTGAAAAAGCTATTTTGGAACAGCAGGTGAGAAGAAGGTCCATCTCTGTTTACCTGGGTAGAATAATATGTGATAATACATTAGGTGGAATAGTAGAAGTCACATGTGGGCCATTCCAGAAGTGATTGCTACCTGAGTAAATGTTAAAGAAACTTAAGAAGCCATCTTGTTTGTTCTTGTACCTTTTTATCAGCTGTAGCTCATTGGTGATAATAATTTGACCTAAGCTGCATATTTTCTCTAGGATTTAAAAAAATAATTTTAAATAATTTTTGACTCTTAATTCTTGGGTTTTGAAGCTTTTTCTCTTTATTTCTACCATGTAGGTTCTGTCAGAAGAGCTGACAACAAAGAAAGAACAAGTCTCTGAAGCTATTAAAACATCACAGATCTTCTTGGCCAAGCATGGTCATAAGTGAGTATTAAATGAGAGATTATGGCACATCTGGGGCACCTGGTCTATCAGTCTAAAACTTACAGCCATAATGAGATTTCAGAATGGAGAATTCAGAGCAGCAAGAGCCAGATTATGGGGACCCTGTAGTTCATACGGAGGAGTTTGCATTTAATTTGTTGGCTATGGGAAGAGATTTTAAATGTGATTGTGTTTTACTTTTAAAGGTTGCTAGAACAGTTATATGAAGAAAGGATTGACATGTGGTGAGAATAGAGGCTGAGAGGCCTGTTAAGAGGCTATTCTGATAATGTAGACAAGAAATGACGAGGAATGGAAACAAAGAGACTAATATTCAAGAGATGTTAAGGATAATGAATCTATGGGTGTGGTTACACATGAAAATTATCGCATAAAGTGACAGAGATTTGAATTATCAGTGTATTAGAAACCATGTGGGTAGATTACTCAAAAGGGCTTTTTGGGGCTTCTCAGCCTGTTAAGGAAGCCTCAGAGAAGGAAAAGGAAAATTATGAGTGATAACTCAGAACCCAAGAAAGAACAGAGTTCCAAAAAGGAGAGAAGTTCAGAAGTCAAGAAAAGTTGAGAAATATCTGTTACATTTGGCAAGTTAGAAGTCTTTGGTGCCTCTGGTGACAAGTTGTGGGATGAGGTCAGATTTAGTATGGTGAGGAGCACATTGGAGGCAAGCAAGGCGAAACAGAACTGCTCTTTCAAGAAGCCAGGACATAGGAGCAAAAAATATAATAGAGTCAATATTTAAAAATGAAATATATGGTCAAGAAGGGTTTTGTTTTCTTAAAAGATACAATGGACTTAACTATGTTTTCGAGTAAGTCTCAAGGACAAAGGGGAGGAGATAATTAGAGAAAGGTCCCAGTGGACATGCAAGAGGAGGAAACTCATTGATAGTTAGAAAGTACAACCTTAAACAGGAAATTGGGACCACCTTTTTTCTGAGGTGGAGATGAGGGAAAGGAGATTAAGAAAGGTATGGATAGAGGTAAATTTGTTAGGACCGAAGCCAGAAAGTAAGAGAATTAGTGCCCAGTGGTCTGTATTTTCTCTTTGAAATAGGTGGAGAGGTTTGTTGAAAGGATGGTGCCGAGGAGAAAGGAAGAGGGACTTGGCTGGGAATTTACAAGAGGATTGTCAGGAAGTATTGTGACCCAGTTGAGATTGGAAACCAGTGGGCTCTGTCTATGTGGTTGTGGAATTTTTTTTTCTCTAACTGGATTTACCTAGCAGCCTTAGTGTAGGAGCAGAAGAGACTGGTGGTTTGATTGATTTGGGGTTGGGCTTTTATCAGGTTAGCGAGTGGAGAGTGCAAGGATAATGGTAAGGAACTGATCAAGAATATGGATTGTGGGGTCTGGCCTCTGAAGAAAAGAAACTTAATAGAGAGGACTGATAGAATAAGAGGAAATGGAGGCATTAAGGAAGGCTTAGGACATATCCATGAGTTGATGGATAGATCCCATTTGAATCAACAGAGTTCATTCTCAGAAACATAATGTGGAATGAAAAAAGAAAGTTGCGGGATTCATCAGATTCAAGAGGTGGTTACCTTTGGGAAGAAAGGGAAAGGAATGGACTTGGTGACAAATATACAGTGGGCTTTAATTATATCTGTAATGTCTTATTTCTAAGAAAGGGTCTAAAGCGGCCAGGTGCGGTGGCTCACGCCTATAATCCCAGTACTTTGGGAGGCTGAGGCGGGCAAATCACCTGAGGTCAGGAGTTCGAGACCAGCCTGGCCAGCATGGTGAAACCCAGTTTGTACTAAAATTACAAAAATTAGCTGGGTGTGGTGGCGGGCACGTGTAATCCCAGCTACTCGGGAGGCTGAGGCAGGAGAATCACTTGAACCTGGGAAGTGGAGGTTGCAGTAAGCCAAGATCGCACCACTGCACTTCAACCTGGGTGACAGAGCGAGACTCCATCTCAAAAAAAAAAAAAAAAAAAAAGAGAGAAGAAAAAGAAAAGGCCCTAAAGCAAATATGTAAAATAGTAAATTGTGAAATGAAAGCTGGATAGCTAGACAACAGGTAAATAAGAATGTGTTACATTCTTCTGCCTGTTTAAAATATTTTATTTTAAAAAGAAAATAGGTATAGAAGGAGTAAAGAAAGATAAAACTGAAAGGTAGAGTTATAATCATATAGTGGATTCTTGAAGTCTAAGATTTCAGAAGCAGAATAATTTCAGATGATAGGATCTAAGTTTGACATTTGGGGGTGGGGCTAAAGTGGAGATGAGGTCATTTGAACTACAAGCATAGGGGTGACATAGCATTGACATCATCAAGAACCATGACTTGATTTGAGATAAACAGAAGAACTGACTGAAATGCCAAAGTCTCCGATGAATATGGAAGAAGATCATCCATCCAAGATGAAGAAGTAGCAATTTTGAAGCAATAGAGCAGAGTTTGGAGATTGTTTTTTTTTCTCCTAAAAAAGCTTTAATGCTTCATCTTCCAGGCTCTCAGAAAAAGAGAAGAAACAAATATCTGAGCAATTGAATGCCCTAAACAAGGCTTACCATGACCTTTGTGATGGTTCTGCAAATCAGCTTCAGCAGCTTCAGAGCCAGTTGGCTCACCAGACAGAACAAAAGGTACTTTTAGTTTTCATCTCCAAATATTGGGTGGATACCTTTTGAATGGTATGAAGGCAGCTTTGCTGATTCAGAGTCATGATCACTAGCTTTCCATGACCAATGTGACTTAATTTTTAACCTCACCTTAGCAGCCATTTGTCTTGTGTTTCTTTACTGGGGTTCCATGATGTGTTGGTCAGTCAAAAGCACTAGAAGACACTTACAACTAACCCTTTAGACCTGGTTCACCTTTTTTGTCTTATGCCATTTTGTGGCAGACAGCAGTCTAGGAGAACATAAATTCTGTATTATATGTGATCACAGGGCAGTAACATACTCCCTTGTGGCATTGTCACTCAAAAGTTGATAGCCAAAAGTTCTGGATATTGGGAAGAAAAACCTGTGAACCTCTTCCCTCTATACTAAGGCAGTAAGAAATATTAAGTTCCAAAGCAAACTGGTAGAGTAGTTTCACTGACTAAGACGCTGGTTCCCCTCACCCATAGTCATCTCATCATGTGGCATCTTGACCAGTTCCCCTCCATATTCATTTCCTGGACCATGTGAAAGTCATCATAGTTCCTACTGGTTGTCCTAAGTTCTTCCTGGATACTTGTGCGTGTGTGTACACTTACCATATTATATACATGTGTCTCTGGGATATATATGTGTGTTTGCCTGCTTATTTCCTATGTTGTGAAGCAATGGCCAACTTATGTGGGGCAGGCCAAAATTAAGCTCACGTGATAGTCAAATTTGGTCCAGATGATGCTCAAAATGATATTCAGACAAAGCATGTCTTGATTCTGATCCTTGGATATAAATTTTGTGCAACAGGAGCTAGAGTTGTAAAAACCACAAGACAAAACCAGCTATGATTTGATGGTGTATTTCCAAAAACAAAGTGCTGGTGTAACATTCTCCATTTAAGGTAGCCCACTTCCAGTGGCTTGTTGCTTCACCATATAAGGGAGTATGTGAAAAGTTTTAACAATTGCTTGCTGAGAACATCCGGTTCTCATTTTGAAAGGTTAAAAAAGAGGGGGGAAAAGGAAAAAAAGAAAAAAAGAAAGACAGGACAGGCTGCTGAGCACCACTACATTGAGCATGATGTGTCTCCTGTATGTGTGTTTCATGTGAAGTATTGTTCTGATTAACTGACATCCTTGCTTACAAGTTTCACTAACCCTTTGGAGTTTAAGCACAAATGCACAAAGGGAAAAGAGGACGACCTGTTTGGGGTTCTTTTTTGCAAAAACAAACAGTCGCATGCTGGACGCTAACACCAAGCTTACACTGTGTGTGTGATACGGCTGAGCTGCTCCATAAGGCTCTATCTTTTATCTGCCCAAGGCGTGCCCTGCAACTCTGGTAAGTAGAAGCCTTTTATGTTTTCTTTCCTCCTCTCCTTCTATCTCTTAATGCTTGTTTAGGTCAGAATGTCCATGTTTGGTAGGACAGAAATGAGTTTCTCTGGATTTTTTCCCAGCTGAGTATTTCCTGCCTATCCTTCAATTATATGAGGGTGTTGGAAGTAACAGTGTAGACTTTTCTCTTTGGCTACACTGCAGGCCTTTCTTCAATGTCAGCATTTTTGAGACTCCATGAATCTCACAAAAGAAATGAAAAGTTCTCAAAGGGATGTTTTTCTTTGTCATATTGTCTGTTCTGAATAGTCTTTCATGGATTTTCTAAAAGGAATTTTTAAGGTATCTTGAAATTTTTCAGTTATCACATTCCAGTGAACTTTTTCCTTCAATTTCTTTAAAACAGACACATAGTGAGTTTGTATAATATATATGTTTAAATTATATGAATTGGACTTTCTATTCTTGGTCAGAAAACATGGGGATAGGGAATAAATAATACTTTAAATAGTGTAGAGAAGTCTGTCAGTTATTCCATTGATTGAACACATATGTAGAAATGGAGATGAGAACCAAATATACTGTTCTTTCATTTGCTATCCATTCTGTATTCTTATTGTATGCACCTCATCAAGCTTGAAATCCTCAGTGCGTGTTTCTAACACCTGAGGGGAAATGGCTTAATGATTTTAAGGGTTTCCTTATTATTTATCCATATTCATCCCATATTTATTAAATGACAGCTACTGTTCCTAGACCTTCATGGACAATGGATCAGCTCTTACAGAACTTACTCACTGAGATAAAATGAAATGCCATTATTTAGGAGGCAGGGAAATAATTGGAAATTGCTTCCACAAGATCCTCTATCAATAAGATAGAGAGTTAAATAAGTAATCAGAAAGTAGCACTGACCAAAGAGGGACAGATAAAATTATATACAGAAAATGAAAATAATGAACATGAAAAGAAGAGCTGAAAAGTTGGAGAGTAATAAAAATGATGAAGTGTTGTAAGTGGTTAAACACTTAAATAATTTAAAATCTGAATGTATTATTCTGTGATAAAAGATCTCAAAAATGAGAATTCTTTAGGAGCTGTTTCTAGGATTTGCAAGGGTAATTTTGACAGCGTATATGCCTTATTCACTGACCTTCGGACCTAACTCCTGTGTTAAGATGTGACTCTACTGTACTTGTCTTTTACAGTTTTCTGGGTCTGACTCTGGGAGGACAAACAAGATTTAGAATCAGACCTTGATTTGTTTCTGGAACTCACTAGTTTTGTGACCTTGGACAAGTTACCTAAACTCTGTGCCTCATTTTCATTTCTTCAAACTAAAGATTCAAACAATTGTTTTCATAGGATTACTGTGAGAATTAAATGTCAGTGTTCAGTAGATCTAGTAATAAGTGATAGCTGTAGTCATGGTTATTGTACTACCCATTCTAGCCTGGATCAGAAGAAAAGTTACTAGTGGTTCCATAGGCAAGGGTCCCCAATCTGTTTCTTCCTTGACTTGCTACTTCCAAGACCTAGAACTAACTTAATTTAGAGCCATTGCCTTGGGAGAAGCTAGCATTGTCCAAGAATATGAGTATCCCACTTGCTAAATAGTTGCTTGAGTAGTATACACAGGCCTGTTTACTGGGATGCACAATTGTTCTGGAGCTTCTGGGCTGCATAAATCTCTCTTATTCTATGGACCAGTCCTGCTGTGCTCATCAGCAGGGAATTGCTACTTCTAGAGTCTTCTGTGTGGTTTGCAACACCAAAAACTTGTTGTATGGCGTTGAATTCTCACTTTGGGGGAACTGTTACGTGTCTTTAAGAACATTTATGATGATTTAGTCTTAGAAATAAGATTAAATCCTATCATTTTCACTGCTTACCACCCTGTAGAGCTTGTCACTCAGATATGCTTAATGCCACTATCTCTCAAGTAATCTAGGAACTTCTGACCTATTAAACATTCTGCAGTTTAGAAAAACTCTTTTTTAGTCTTAACACCGGGTGGCTTGCTTCAGAATATTTCCTACATGTTGGGGCTTATCCCATGCTGGGTTTTCCTTGTGGTCAGAATTTTATATACTGTAGTACTTTTTTTTTTTTTTTTTGAGACAGAGTCTCGCTCTGTTGCCCAGGCTGGAGTGCAGTGATGCAATCTCAGCTCACTACAACCTCCACCTCCCGGGTTCAAGCCATTCTCCTGCTTCAGCCTCCTGAGTAGCTGGGATTACAGGTGCGCACCACACCCAGCTAATATTTTGTATTTTTAGTAGAGACGGGTTTTTCACCATGTTGGTCAGGCTGGTCTCAGACTCCTGACCTCATGATTTGCCTGCCTTGGGCAGATTATAGGCGTGAGCCACTGTGCCTGGCCTGTATACTATAGTTCTTTGAATGACTCCTTTCAATAGTTGTGCTTTGCCATTGGCTCTGATTCAGTTTTCTTTTTCTTCTCTTTTCCTTTTTTTTTTTTTTTTTTTTTTTTTTTTAGGAATGCAGAGCAGTTGCTGGGGTGATTGACCTAGGCACAGTGGAGATATTTCCCATCTTCAAAGCCATGCAAAAGGGCCTCCTTGACCAAGACACAGGCCTAGTGCTTCTGGAATCTCAGGTTATCATGTCTGGCCTCATTGCCCCTGAGACGGGTGAAAACCTCTCTTTGGAGGAGGGCATAGCCAGAAACCTCATTAATCCCCAGATGTACCAGCAGCTCCGGGAGCTACAGGATGCCCTGGCCTTAATAAGCAGGCTTACTGAGAGCAGAGGCCCTCTTTCTGTGGTGGAAGCAATTGAAAAGAGAATAATCAGTGAGACAGTTGGACTGAAAATCTTAGAAGCTCACCTGGCAACTGGAGGTTTCAGTCTTTCCCCTAGTGAGAACTGTATTAACCTGGAAGAGGCTTTTCATCAAGGCCTCATTTCTGCATGGCTTCATTCAGTATTAGAGTCTTATCTTAGAACATCCAAGAATTTGATAGACCCTAACACAGCTGAGAAAATTGGTTTGCTGGATCTGATGCAGCGATGTATTGTCCACCAGGAATCAGGATTCAAATTACTGCCTGTCAAACAATTGGCAGGGGGGATGGTGAGCTTGAAATCAGGCCGGAAGGTTAGCATTTTCCGTGCAGTTCAGGAAGGGCTAATAGATAGGCAGGTCACTGTCCGGTTGCTGGAAGCTCAGCTTTTTGCTGGTGGCATAGTAGATCCAAGAACAGGACACAGACTTACAGTGGAAGAGGCTGTAAGACATAATCTGATTGACCAAGATATGGCCTGTGCTATCCTCATAAGGCAGCTTCAGACAGGAGGCATCATAGACACTGTCACGGGGCAAAGGCTAACAATAGATGAAGCAGTGAGCAATGATCTAGTAGCTGCTAAGATCGCCCTTGTGATTCTGGAGTCCCTCTGGTCATTCATGGGGTTGCTGTGGCCTGAATCTGGAGAGATCCTCCCAATTACAGATGCCCTAGAACAAGGTATTGTGTCTACTGAACTAGCACATAAAATCCTTAGTAACCGACAGCATATTAAGGCTCTGTTTCTACCAGCAACCACAGAGATTTTGTCCTGGAAGAAAGCAATAGAAAGTGGTATCCTGGATAGAGATCTTGCCAATAACTTAAAATCGATTTGTATACCTGATGTGATGCCCCACATGCAACTAGCAGACTCTGCAGAACAAAATATTAATCCTGGAGCAGCAGTTCTACCGTGCAGCAAGAGCCACCCTAAGGCCACAGCAAGCCAGAGTGAGAATCTGTTGTTCCAGCTGATGACTCACAGCTATATTAATGTGCAAAATGGACAGAGGCTGCTTCTGTTAGATAAAGAGCTGATGGAGACACTAACATCCAGAGATGAGTATCAAACAAGTCCTCCAAAAGTGGTTGAAATTGGGCATCAAAGGCAAAAAACTCCTGAGGGATTGCAAGAATCAGCTAATGTGAAAATCTCAGGAACTTTCAGCAGTGGGTGGACTGTGAGGCTGCCTGAGTTCCAGTTTTCTTCTCAGAACAAAGAATATCCCGATCGGGAAGATTGCACTACAGAAAAAGGCAAAAAGACCACTGTAGAAACAGAAGATTCTTCTGTAGAGAACCCTGAACAGGATCTGTTTGTAGAACAAAAAGAGAGAAATCCAAACATTGATGCTTTGAAGGTAATAAATAAAGTCAAATTAGAGGTACAAAGGCAGTTGATAGGTACCCAAAGGGAAGACCAAACAGCAGTGTCTGTCAGAGAAAATGCCAGCAGGGGACACCTCCTGACCATACCTCCTGCTGAGGCGGAAGGTGTGCCGTTGGTGGTTGACAAAGATGTTTTTTCTGTTGAAACACCAAAGAAAGAACATCAACCTCTAAGAAACACTTCCTTTACATGTCAGAATGAACAAGCACACACTCTTGAGACTGAATATATTCATGATGAAACTGGAGGATCTCACATAAAACCCCAAAGCAAAAAGTTACAAGTTCAGGTAAAGAAAACTCTAGGTATAAAGTTAGAACTAAAGTCTGAAACTGATGGGAATGTTCATCCTCTGGACAAAAAGGAAATGTTAAAGAAAACATTTCTGGCTAAGGATGACCATAAAGAAAGTCAAGAAGCACAGAACATCGCAGGTGGTAGTATGATGATGTCAGAAAAGACCGATGAGGAAGATAGTGGCAGGGAAATTTTTCTGTCATGCAGTCATCCATTAGAATTGCTTGAAGAAGCTACCTTAAATGTATTATCTGCACAGTTACTAGATGGTGGTATCTTTCATGAACAAACAGGTCAAAAGCTCTTACTAAATGAAGCAATATCCCGAGGCATTGTGCCAAGTCACACTGCCGTGAAGCTTATGGAGAAGCTGAACATGTTTCAGGGGTTCTTTGACTCTCAGACTTGTGAGTCTTTGACAACTGAAGAAGTCATTAATGAAGGTCTGATGGATGAGAAATTATTACATAATGTCCTCATGGCAGACAAAGCTATAAGTGGTGTCTTAGACCCCCGTACCCAGACACTGTGCTCTGTAAAGGATGCAGTTACAGTTGGACTTCTTGACAAGGAAACAGCCACCAGAATTTTAGAGAGGCAGGTGGTGACTGGTGGAATTATTGATCTGAAACGAGGCAAAAAAGTTTCAGTAACTTTGGCCTCAACTCTTGGCTTGGTGGACGTTGCTGACCAGCCAGAACTTATAAATCTGGAGAAAGCTTCCAAAGGTAGAGATGCTGAAAAAACAGTTAGGGAGAGATTAATTAGTTTACAAATGGAAACAACAGGACTTATAGACCCTGATAGTAAAGCACCTTTAACAGTTGTGCAGTCCATTGACAGAGGTCTTTTGGAGAGAGAGGAGGCCGTTCGTTTGTTGACTAAGCAAGTGGTAGATGGAGGTATCATTCACCATATATCTGGGATGAGACTTTCTGTTGATAATGCCTTCAGACATGGCTTAATTGGTGAAGATTTAGCCGAGAAACTCAAAAGAGTTGAGAACTTAAACATCCATCAGATTTTTAATCCTGAAACGAAGGAAAATATTTCCCTCCCTAAAGCCATAAAATTAGATCTTATTACCTCAGACCTGAAAAGAGAAATCCAGGAGGTTCAGGCCTTTACTGGAAACTTTGTGGATCTCATTTCTGGTCAGAGATTGACCTTGGCAGAAGCTAAAAAAGAAGGACTGTTAACTAATGAAGCAGTATTGTCTCCAGGAATGATGCATGGCATTGTAGATCCCGAGAACTGCAGAATTGTCCCCTACTCAGAATTAGTCAAGAAATGTAAGATTGATATTGAATCTGGACAGAGATATCTAGAAGTAATTCCCTTCTCAGACATTAAAGATGGGGTGAGCGACAAAGTGCTTACATTGTCTCAAGCAATTCAGCTTGGAAAAGTAGACTTTGCATCTACGCTGAAGGTTCTAGAAGCCCAGGCAAATACTGGTGGAATCATAGATACTGCTACTGGAAAAAGACTGACATTGGCATCAGCTTTGGAAGAGAAACTGGTGGATGAAAACATGGTCAGAATTATTGCATCTCATCAGGTGTTAAATGGAGGAATTGTTGACATATTTAGTGATCAGAGAGTGACTTTAGTAGAAGCTATTGAGAAAAGACTGATCAGCCCTGAACTGGCAAATATGATCCAAATAGATAGTTCAGAGTTCAGCGATCACAGGGCTCAGATTGAAAAGCAAGAAGGGATTGAAGTGTGTGCATTACAAAATGAATTTCTAGGAAAGGATATGTTAATTGCTTGTAATCAGACTGCTGAAATGAGTTGTAATAAAGTAGAAGAGAGTGAGAGATTATTTCAAGTTGAAAATCAGTCTGCACAAGAAAAGGTTAAAGTGAGAGTTTCTGATGGGGAGCAGGCAAAAAAGAGCAGGGAAATTTCCTTAAAGGAATTTGGGTGCAAGGATCAACGTAAGCCAAGAATGTCTTCAGATGCTAAAGAATTTATCAGTATCATAAATCCTCATAATCTTAAAGGTAAATCCTTGGGCCAAGTGTCATTGACACACCCTTACTCTGAATGTGATTTTAAACTTAAAGAAGTGGCTAGAAATAACATGGGAAATGATACAAATGAAGAGCAGGAAAAAGCAGTGACAAAAATAGAAATTATTTCTCATATGAAGCAGTCTACCTCATGTCTAGATTCTGAAGAAATAAGAGAAAATCAAGGGGAAGTGATTTTGGAAGTACAAGAAACATATTGTGAAACGTCAGGCAAATTGCCGAGTGAGCAGGTTTTGCAGCAACCAATGAATGCTCGGGTGAAAAGTAAGAGAGAGAAGAGGGAGGTGATTGTAGAAGAAAGTATCAGAACATGCAAACCAGCATTTCTTTCTGAAGAAAAGTTGTATCAGGAAACTGCCATTAGAGATGAGCATGACTCCCATATAAAGAGCCAACCTAGGGAAATGACCTCAAGTGAAAAAGGGAAAGAAGCTGATACAGAAATGGGATTTTCTATTACTTTTAAAATTGAAGAGTCCTCTTCCCAAGTGGTACCTCAAGGAATTTCTGTAAAACATTTAGATGCTTTAACACTCTTCAGCTCTAAACAGGCCAATGAAGGAAAAGTAAACAATTTAAGTCTCTGCTTGACTTTAAAACCAGAAGAAAACTTATCTCGAGAAATTGCCTGTGGGGCCCAGAGTGAACCATTCCCTTGTATGACCCCAAGACCTGAAGGATTGCACTACCAGGAATCAGATGGAAAAGCCCAAGTGACAGGCCCATCCCAAATTTCCAAAACAGACAAGTCTTTCCAAGGAACCACCAGACAGGAGACCAACTATCAAGATTCCTGGGTTACTTCGAAAACTAAGGAAACCAAACATCAAATTTCCTCATCTAATGAATGTAAAGAAAAGTCATACCAAGAAGTATCTTTTGACCCAGCAAGAGGTCTTAAATTGGAAGAAATCACAGTTTCTAGACCAGATTCAAAAGAAGTCAGGTATCTAGAATTCTCAGACAGAAAAGACCTTCATCATCAGGGCAGCAAAAGTGATGATAAACTTTGTGGAACTCTCAAATCTGAAATAGCAACACAGGAACTAACTGGAGAGAAATTTCTAGAAATGGCAAACCCTAATGTTGCAGGTCTAGAAGCAGGATCCATTGAGGACATAGTGACTCAGAGAGGTTCCAGAGTCTTGGGATCCTTTCTTCCAGAGAAACTGTTCAAAGGAGTGTCTCAAAAAGAGAATACAGGGCAACAGAATGCCATCATTAGTCCTACTGTTCTAGAGACCAGTGAAGAAAAGACAGTGTCCCTAACAGTATGCTCTGCAGTGAAGACAGAGAAGACACCACAGGAAAAGCTCAGAGAAAGCCCTGGCAGTGAACAAACTCCCTTCATGACTGCACCTGAAGGAAAGGGAAATGGAGGTGTAAACCCAGAGCCCTTCAGAGCAACTCAGGTCAGTGGTGTGCTTTTTTTTTTTTCTTCCTAAAGATACAATTAGTTTAATGCTAAAATTCTTAACTGGGTACAGAGTTTACATATGTGTAATTGTATGCCTCTATACATTTTAAGGCACTAGATGATTCTCTAAGATATAACTTAGTTTATCATCATCTGTTTGTAGCAAAGTTGTTGGAAAATTAGGCATTGGCTCTGAATGTCTTTCTGAAATCTGCAAGGGTTTTAAATAGAAACGAGCTAATAGAAATACTAGGATGATGCTACCTGAAATCAGAATAGCTTTTGGAAATTTTGGTAAAATGATGCTTGTAGATTGATAGCTCTGAGCTTCTGCTCTCTGAGGAAATTGGTAAAATCACCTTTGTCTATTGATTTGAAATGACTTAAACAAAGTGTTTTATTTTATCCCACTCTATGTGCAGTAAAAATTGCTTCTATTTGTCTAACAAAAACCCCTGCCTGCTTTAAAGCTGACTTACAGGAGAACGTCAGAACTGAGTCAGCTTTCTTTTTGGCTCCACAGAATGTATTTACCCGGCAACTCTGTTTAGAACATGATGAAAAGCTAGTATCCTATCTGTCTCTGTTACGGAACATTGAAATGAGGACCAAACAGATTCAACCTTTGGAGCTAAACCTGGCAGAACTACAGGATCTGCTGTGTCAGGCCAAGGTAGGTTCCCAGAGACTTCCACCACAGACACCAGCTTCAAGATAGCTGCCTCCATCTTCCTTGAAGATTTCAAGACTTACTAGAACCTGCTTGCACTCTATTCTAGGGTAAACAATCTCAGACCCTTGTCAGATAATTATGGGATGGGCTACATTTGGATAGACCGGATAAAATTTATACAGGATAAACTTGAACAGACCTTGGATTTGGCTATCAATGTAATTACTACCATTTTTTTTTTTTTTTTTTTTTGAGATAGAGTCTTGCTCTGTCACCCAGGGTGGAGTGCAGTAGCGGTGATCTCGGCTCACTGCAACCTCCGCCTCCCGGGTTCAAGCAATTCCCCTGCCTCAGCCTCCCGAATAGCTGCGACTATAGGCACCTGCCGCCACGCCTGGCTAATTTTTCTTGTTTGTTTGTTTTTTGTGTTTTTTTGTGTGTGTGTGTTTTTTTTTTGAGATGGAGTCTCACTCTGTTGCCCAGGCTGGAGTGCAGTGGCGTGATCTCGGCTCACTGCAAGCTCTGCCTCCCGGGTTTCCGCCATTCTCCTGCCTCAGCCTCCCGAGTAGCTGGGACTACAGGCGCCTGCCGCCACGCCCAGCTAATTTTTTGTATATTTAGTAGAGACGGGGTTTCACCGTGTTAGCCAAGATGGTCTTGATCTCCTGACCTCGTGATCTGCCCTCCTCGGCCTCCCAAAGTGCTAGGATTACAGGTGTGAGCCACCACGCCCGGCCCTACCAATTGTTATCTGCGTGGTTTTGGATTGATTTAGGTAAGTTCAAAGGCAGAGTGATTGGTTAGGAAACTATTGCAGTAATTCAAGCAAGAAATGTTGGAGGCTTAAAACAGTAGATTAGATATGTAAGTTAATCTCTCTTACTTCCTAAAACTATACTAAGACATCAGGAAAAAGGTTTTTTGGGTTGTTTTTTTTTTTTAGTGCATAAATTCATAAAAGGGCAAGAGAGGAGAAAACAGCAGTAAAATTTTAGAAGTTAGAAAGCAGCTGGATGAGGCGATAACTACCTTAGCAAGCTAGAGTAAACCAGATCCTCAACTTAAAGTGGAGGAAGCTAAGGAACAACCTGATTTATACTACAGAACTCCCCAAAGCCTCAAAAATTGGGAGCACCAGAAAGAGATGAAAATGGATATGCAAACGGGCTTATAATTGGTTTAAAGTCTGTTTAAGAAGCAATTAGACCTTTAGATTTTCAACTTACTTCACATAGCCTGGCAACTGCTTGTGCTGTGCTCTAACGAAAGGCTGGATGTTCATTCTCTGAGGAAAGTAATTCAAAGTATCTCTTGACTAGGGAGAGCAGCCATTTATTGAAGGTAAATATTCCATACAGAAATCAGTAGGATTAACTGGAAGTTCACATACATACTGAATTTTGAGCTATATCCTTGCTCCCGCTATGGTTTGACCAGCCCAAGGGGGAAGACCTAATGGTACTGATATAAGTGGTTTCCCAACTGTATGGCCCAGCTCCATCACCCTCAGTGAAGACTACAGCCAGCAGAGTTTATAGTCAGCTTTTTAGGGCATTACACTCCACTTCAGCATCCAGAAAGCTTCTGATACAAAAGGAGAGGCTAAAACAAAGAAAAAGAAACTTGGACAAAATACAGACTATTTAGGAAAAAAAACATACTGAGGGCCAGTCACAGTGGCTCATGCCTATAATCCCAGCACTTTGGTAGGCCAAGACAAGAGGATTGCTTGAGCCCAGGAGTTTGAGATCATCCTGGGCAACACAGTAAGAAATTAGCCAAGCCTGGTGGTATACACCCTAGTCCCAGCCACTCAGGAAGCTGAGGCAGGAGGATTTGCCTGAGCCCAGGAGTTTGAGGTTGTATTGAGCTATGAATGCATCACTGCACTCCAGTCTGGGAGACGGAGTGAGACCCTGTCTTAAAAAAAAGAAAGAAAAATATATTCAAAAGCACTGCCATTTAAAGGACCAACAAAGAAACAACAACAACAAAAATAGATTGAAAAAGTCTAACTGGAGATCTCTGAAGAAGACCTGGAAACACTCGTCTCACAGAAACCAAAGGAGGAGGAGTCAGCCCTAGTAACTGCCACAGGGAGATTGAGTACAATGAGGACTGAAGGGGAGATTCAGCTCCTGAAAGTTATTGGTGACTTTGAACAGTTTCAGTGGAGTGACGGGATATAAACTAACTTGCAGCTGGAAGAAATGGGAGGTTGGAAAGTAGAGACAATTAATATAGATCCTTCTTTCCAGAAGTCTTAGGTACAGGCAAGGAATGAGGTGGGACACTACTTGAAGGAGATGGATTGAAAGGAATGTTTTGAATGGGTTTTGGACTGAGGAGAAAGAACCAATTAAAAGGGAGAACTTGAAGTTAGAAGAGAGAGGAAGTGATAACTGATAGAACCAGTCCCCTAAAAACGTAGAAAGACAGCCTTGAGAGGGAGGAAGAGTGGCTATTTCACTGAAATTGGAGGTTAAGAGTTGTCATAGGATTGGAGTCACCATGAAGACAGATTGTAGTGGTTTACTGGTTCTCTCAATATCTAGTGTGTGGCCTTGGGTAGGGTGGCTGAACCGGGGCTGAGGATGATGCCCCAAAGAACTATGTCAAGTTCTTCCACAGCTTATTTCCGGCTTATCTGTTGAGGACCAGAATATTACAGACTAGATGAGTGGAAAAGCTGGTTGGGGTTAGCTTTGTATTCTTTGGTTCCATGACCCTGGAATTTAGAGTGGAAGAGTCATCCGTTCGGTTTATTTTGTAGCACATTAATTCTGCACAGCTGCTCCTTGGGGAAAGGCATAATGACACTCTCAGAGAGGCAGCAAGTTACAGTGGAGGGAGCACACTGCACTGAGTGAGAAAACCTGAATCCAAGTCCTGGCTGTACTGCTTACCAGCTGGGTGACCTTGGACACCATTCACATTTTTTTTTTAAGCAATGAGGCATCTCTTCTGTAAATCCAGAACAGTAACATCTACCTTGCCTACTTCATGAATTAGTGATTGTGAGAACCAAGTAAACTAATGAATGTACATAAAAACATTTTCTAAGCCCTAAAGTGTGTGTAGACATGGGGTGAGAGAGAAATGTGTTCACAGCTGATTCCCAGAGGGTTTCTAGTCTTGCTTTTATAGGTAACTCCACTTTATTCCCTCAGGTATTAGAAAGGGAGTTAAAGGATCTGACCACCTTGGTCAGTCAGGAGCTGGAGTGTGTGAATCAGATTATCATCAGCCAGCCTCAAGAAGTTCCTGCTCAACTGTTGAAGGCTCTAGAGAAAGATGCCAAGAATCTTCAGAAGTCTCTCAGCTCTGTGAGTGACACTTGGAATTCCAGGCTACTCCACTTCCAGAATGCTGTGGAAATAGAAAAGGTAGCATTTTGCTTTTATTCATAAAGGCTCACAAAGTCTGGGTGGCTGGGAGATTTTCATAATGTGATTTTCCATTTATTTCTTAGACTAAAGTGTTAAATCAGCACACACAGCTAGAAGGCCGACTTCAAGATCTGAGAGCCTGGGTTGGCAATAAAAATCTTATTCTGAACAGCAAGGGATCTAACAGTGAAATAGATGTTGACAGCCTGAACCTCTGCCTCCAACAGTATGAGGTAAACTCAAGCACATTTTCTTTGTCCTTTGAGTTGTATCAATTTTATTTCCCTGCTAGGCAAACCAATATCCATATTTATCTTTTTTTTTTTTTTTTGAGACGGAGTCTTGCTCTGTCACCCAAGCTGGAGTGCAGTGGCACAATCCCAGCTCACTGCAACCTCCGCCTCCTGGGTTCAAGCGATTCTCCTGCCTCAGCCTCCTGAGTAGCTGGGACTATAGGCGCCTACCTCCACGCCCGGCTCATTTTTGTATTTTTAGTGGAGACGGGGTTTCACCATGTTGGCCAGGCTGGTTTCGAACTCCTGATCTCAGGTGATCCGCCCACCTCGGCCTCCCAAAGTGCTGGGATTATAGGTGTGAGCCACCACACCCGGCCATTTATCTTTCTTAGAAAGTCTGATTTTCCATTTTATAAATAAAGTCAGCTATGTTTAGGTTTATAATTATCATATCCCTGGCCGGCCATGGCAGCTCACACCTGTAATACCAGCATTTTGGGAGGCCGAGGCGGGCAGATCACCTGAGGTCAGGAGTTCAACACCAGCCTGGCCAACATGGTGAAACCCCGTCTCTATTAAAAATACAAAAAAATTAGCCGGGCGGTGTGGCAGGCACCCGTAATCCCAGCTACTTGGGAGCCTGAGGCAGGAGAATCGCTTGAACCCAGGAAGCAGAGGTTGCAGTGAGCCAAGACCGCGCCATTGCACTCCAGCTTGGGCAACAAGAACGAAACTCCGTCTTAAAATAAAAAAAATCATATCCCTGGAGCTTCAGTGATAATGATCATTTCTCCTTTCAGCTATTCTCTGAGAGACCATCTACTGAATGACCTGTTATTATCAATCTCATCCTCTCTTTATAAATGAGCATCTAGGATCCGTCCTTTGTTTCTTTTTTGACCACGATCCAATCCTACGTGCACACACACATACCAGTTTCAGGAGATTTTTTGTTGTTGTTTTCAGGGGTACATGTGCAGGTTTGTTATATAGGTAAACTGCATGTCATGAGGGTTTGATATACAGATAATTTTATCACCTGGGTAATAAGCATAGTAACCAATAGGTATTTTTTCTGATCCTGTCTCTGCTCCCACCCCCTCACCCTCAAGTAGGCCCCAGTATCTGTTGTTCCCCTCCTAGTATCCATGTGTTCTTGTTTGGCTTCCACTTATAAGTGAGAACATGCCATATTTGGCTTTCTGTTCCTATGTTAGTTTGCTTGGGATAATGGCCTCCAGCTCCATCCATATTGCTTTAAAGGATATGATCTCGTTCTTTCTTATGGCTGGATAGTATTCCATAAAATGTGGTGTCCACATTTTCTTTATCCAGTGTACCATTGATGGGCATTTAGGTTGATTCCATATCTTTGCTATTGTGAATAGTGCTGTACTGAACATACACACACATGTGTCTTTATGATAGAATGATTTACATTCCTTTGGGTATATACCCAATAACGGGATAGCTAGGTCAAATGGTAATTCTAAGTTCCTGTGAAATCGCCGCAGTGCTTTCCACCATGACTGAACTCAGGAGAGTTTTTGATTGGTTATTTACAGCATGGGTTGGCAAACTTTTTTTTTTTTTTTTGTGTGACAGAGTCTCTCTCTGTCACCCAGGCTGGAGTGCAGTGGTGCGATCTCAGCTCACTGCAACCTCCATTCTCCTGCCGCAGCCTCCCAAGTAGCTGGGATTACAGGCACCCACCACCATGCCAGGCTAAATTTTTTGTATTTTCAGTAGAGAGGGGTTTCACCATGTTGCGTAGAGTGGTCTCGAACTCCTGACCTCAGGCAATCCACCCACCTTGGCCTCCCAAAATGCTGGGATTACAGACATGAGCCACCGCGTCTGGCCAGCAAACTTTTTAAATAAAGGGCCAGATAATAAACATTATAGGCTTTATGAACCATATGCAAAAGACCTATTTCTGTTGCAATCACTCAAAATTAAAGCAGCCATAAATAGTACATAAACAAATGGCTATGGCTATGTTCCAATAAAACTTTATTTACAAAAAAACACGTGACAGACCAGATTTTGCTTGGGGGCCACAGTTTGTTGACCCCCCTGCTCTAGAGAGTTGCTTTTCTTCTTCTTAAGCCCCAGATTAATTGATTCTTTTTATTAGTCAATAAGAGAAAAGACCATGAGACACATGTGAGCCAGAGAGTTTTCTCCCCAATATTGTTCTCTTTTTTTGTTCTATTTAAGATTATTTGAGGTATTACAGTGGTTTATCAACCCTCTGCTATAGAGAGATACCCCTCTCCTTCAACTTTTTAGAATGTCAGAACGGAACTAGAAATGTCCCCTCCTTCTATTCTATCTTCTCCCTCTTCCCCAATCTTAAGAGAAGCAGACATAAAAGTTTGTCCATGATCAACCTTATACACAATCTCATCCCTCTTTATCACGCAAGAGTTGACCTGCCTCCTCTTTTTATACCCTTTATCCAAAGATATCACTGAGGGAGAGAGTTTCAGACTTTATTCAGCCTTTATCTGTTTGCTAAGATATTACAAAGAAGCAAGCATGAAAAAAATTACCATGACATAGTGTGAGATATAAAAACATAGAGACATAGAGCATTTCATGCATTGGTGCCCTCCCCTAGTTATAACATATGAATCCTCTTGTAGCAGAGAACGACAGTCTGAGCCTTGTTTTTCTAGTGATAGTTTCCTAAATTATCATGTTCACAGAGGAAGGAAGCTTTGTCTTATTGTTAGCAGTGGCAAATCCATGTGAGTCTGCAGCAGCTCGGTTCTTGCCTCCTCAGGCGAAAGAATTTGACCAAGGGGCATAAGGCAGGGGGAGAGACTGAGGCAAGTTTTAGAGCAGGAGTGAAAGTTTATTTAAAAGTTTTAGGGCTGGGCACGGTGGCTCACGCCTGTAATCCCAGCACTTTGGGAGGCCGAGGCGGGCGGATCACCTGAGGTCGGGAGTTTGAGACCAGCCTGACCAACAAGAAGAAACCCCGTCTCTACTAAAAATACAAAGTTAGCCAGGCGTGGTGGCACATGCCTGTAA
The DNA here is from genome assembly GCF_000001405.40 of Homo sapiens. NCBI lineage: Eukaryota > Metazoa > Chordata > Mammalia > Primates > Hominidae > Homo > Homo sapiens. The sequence goes on from NC_000001.11 coordinate 39,343,996, forward strand.
TCTCAGCTACTCGGGAGGCTGAGGCAGGAGAATCACTTGAACCCGGGAGGCAGAGGTTGTGGTGAGCCGAGGTTGCGCCATTGCACTCCAGCCTGGGCAACAAGAGGGAAACTCCATCTCAAAAAAAAAAAAAGAAAAAAAGTTTTAGGGCCAGGCGTGGTGGCTCATGCCTATAAATCCCAACACTTTGGGAGGCGAAGGCGGGAGGATCACCTGAAGTTCAGGAGTTCAAGAGCAGCCTGGCCAACATGGTGAAACCCCATCTCTACTAAAAAAAATATATAAAATTAGCTGGGCATAGTGGCAGGCACCTGTAATCTCAGTTACTTGGGAGGCTGAGGCAGGAGAATCGCTTGAACCCGGGAGGTGGAGATTGCAATGAGCTGAGATCGTGCCACTGGACTCCAGCCTGGGTGACAGAGCGCGACTCTGTCTCAAAAAAAAAAAAAAAAATTCAGAGCAGGAATGAAAGGAAGTAAAGTACACTTGGAAGAGGGCCAAACGGGCAACTTGAGAGATCCAAGTGTGCTGTCTGTCCTTTGACTTGGGGTTTTATATGTTGGCATGCTTCCAGGGGTTACGTTTCTCCTCCCCTGATTCTTCCCTTGGGGTGGGCTGTCTGCATGTGCAGTGACCTGCTAGCACTTGGGAGGGGTCGCATGTGCAGTGTGTTTACTAAAGTTGTATACATGCTCACTTGAGGCGTTTTTCCCTTACCAGTCGAGCGTTTTTAGAGGAAGTTCATATACCAGTTTAAACTCTGCCACTTTGCCTCTTAGTGCGCATGCTTGAGCCCACTCGCCCAGCTCCTGAGATCTTACCTGGAAGCTGCTAATCACCAGCTTTAGGTGTTTTCTATCTATTGAGAGCCTGCCTTTCTCTGCTGTCGCTGCAACCAATTATTATTTTAGAGAGATGGTTGAACAACCACCTGACCGTCACCTGATGGTCACCTGACATTCTTGGAGGTGACCATCAGGTGATGTGGAGGTGGGCAGGGCCTCTCATGCCCTGCTCATATCTGCCTAACTACCTACTGTAACATTATGATAAATATTCAAGAAGCCCTTTCTGCCTGTTCTGCAGGATTGACTACTCTCAATTGATCTACTCTCAGTTTCAAAGTGATGGAGATCCAGTATAACATAATTGATAATCACTAGATGTGGGAAGATTACTTGTTTTTAATAGTCTGAAAACAGATGATTTTAGTGTTTGGACAGTTTTTACTACTTTAAGGGAAAAATATAACTATAACAAGAAAGTCTGAGTGTAATCTTTCAGTTTAAAAAATAGTATAAACAGCATCATTTACTCAGAAAATCAAAATTTAGGCTGGGCATGGTGGCTCATGCCTGTAATCCCAGCACTTTGGGAGGCTAAGTGGAAGGATCACTTAAGCCCGGGAGTTTGAGACCAGCCTGGGCAATGTGGTGAGACACCATGTCTACAGATAACTTAAAAAATTAGCTGGGCATGGTGGTGCACACGTGTGGTCCCAGCTACTTGGAAGGCTGAGGTGAGAGGATTGCTTGAGCCCAGGAGGTCCAGGCTGCATTGAGTTTTGTATGCATCACTGCACTCCAGCCTGGGTGACAGAGCAAGATCTTGTCTCAAAAACAAAAATTTTAGCGAATCATAAACAAATTATATATTTTCTCAGTACTGGCCTACCAGTAACTCATTGCTGGACAGATACAAATAGAAATTTGAACCTAAGAAAGTACAATTAGGTACATCTCAGATCAGAAATTCATGTTATACTTTGCAAAACTTTTTTAAAAGATTGATGGCCGGGCGTGTGGCTCACGCCTGTAATCTCAGCACTTTGGGAGGTTAAGGAGGGCAGATCACTTGAGGCCGGGAGTTCGAGACAAGCCTGGCCAACATGGCAAAACCCTGTCTCTACTAAAAATACAAAAAATTAGCCAGGCATGGTGGTGAGTACCTGTAGGCCCAGCTACTCAGGAGGTAGAGGCACAAGAATTGCTTGAACCAGTGAGGCAGAGGTTGCAATGAGCCGAGATTGTACCACTGCATTCCAGCCTGGGCAACAGAGCAAGACTCTGTTTGAAAAAAAAAAAAAGGCCAGGCATGGTGGCTCACGCCTGTAATCCCAACAGTTTGGGAGGCCAAGGCGGGCAGATCATGAGGTCAGGAGATCGAGACCATCTTGCTAACACAGTGAAACCCCATCTCTACTAAAAGTACAAAAAATTAGCCGGGCATGGTGGCGGGCGCCTGTAGTCCCAGCTACTCGAGAGGCTGAGGGAGGAGAATAGCATGAACCTGGGAGGCAGAGCTTGCAGTGAGCCGAGATGGCGCCCCTGTACTCCAGCCTGGGTGACAGAGCGAAACTCTGTATCAAAAGGAAAAAATTCACAGATATTTTGGATTAACAATAGTATAATTATGCTAGCATAAATAATTGAGCTGCTTACTGTATTTGGAAATCAAGGTAGGTCCAGTAAAGGGAACTTAATTCTAATTTATGAGGAGTTTGGAGAGACTGAAAGTGAGAGAGACTTTTTTTTTTTTTTTTGAGATGGAGTCTCGCTCTGTCACCCAGGCTGGAGTGCAGTAGTGCAGTCTCGGCTCACCGCAACCTCTGCCTCCCGGGTTCACGCCATTCTCCTGCCTCAGCCTCCCAAGTAGCTGGGACTACAGGCGCCTGCCACTACGCCTGGCTAATTTTTTGTATTTTTAGTAGAGACGGGGTTTCACCGTGTTAGCCAGGATGGTCTCCATCTCCTGACCTTGTGATCCGCCCACCTTGGCCTCCCAAAGTGCTGGGATTACAGGCATGAGCCACCGCACCTGGCCAAGAGAGACTTTAATTCTAATTTGGCCCTAGAATCATTAGTGCCAGTTATGAAAATACAGGAAATTAGCCTCTCTGATTCTGTTGGTTTTCTTCATGAACTGAGAAATGGAAGTATCATGGTTTTTTGTGTTTTGTTTCCTTTTTCCATTTACCTTAGGATTTGAAACAGCCCATGGCTGAAAGGAAAGCTCAGCTGGATGCTCTTGCTTTTGATATTCAGTTCTTTATCTCAGAACATGCCCAGGACTTGTCCCCTCAGCAGAATCGACAGATGCTGAGGCTTCTGAATGAACTGCAGAGGTCCTTCCAGGACATTTTGGAACAGACTGCCGCTCAGGTGGATGCCTTGCAGGGCCATCTTCAACAAATGGAGCAGGAAGCCCTGGTGAAGGTCAGACTGAACCAGCAGCTGGGCTCAGTTTGTCTTTGGGGATGTCCTCTGTCATTGGGTTTTCTGGCCAGACTCTGTGTATCATGATTGCAGGAGCCTGGGTTTACCAATTTTGAAATTTCATGTCATGCAGGCCAGTATGGTTCTAGTCCAGGAGGCACTTGTTCTGGCTGTTGTTCTTGCCATGTCTTTGGTTTTATGTATGTGTGAGAGAATGTATGTGTTGACATGTGTATACATATGCAAGTGTTTTCTTTTAGTGAGACTTTTCCTTCGCTGTATCTCATTGTCTCTGAATTTCAAATGAAAATCATGTATCTAGTCCTTTCCCTACTTTACTTTCTCCTTTAGCATTGTTTTGAGGGCTCGTAAGAACATCTAGATACCCTGAGCTCTTGAGGAGAAGGGTTCTGAAATCAGTTTCATTCTATTTAATCTATTTCAAATGATTTACCATAAGGTTCCTTGACAATCCTTAAGTGGCTGACAAGGAAATTTTATTAGAATCGTATTAATTTTTGGCTCTTTAAGAATTAATATTATTTTCTTGCACCTTTCCTCACAGTATAGTGCCCAGTGCTTATTCGCTTATTCAATCATGGAAAACAGTATGTAGAAGCAGGATGATACTAAAACAAACAAACAAACAAACAAAAAACTAACCATCCTACCATCTTCCATCACAACTCTCTTCTTGCAAAGCTCAACTCAACATAATTACATTAATAGTAACATCAAAACCTTAGAATACCCAGAATGATGTTCATGCCATTTCTGCTATTTGAATAGTAAGTTGGCATATAGCAAGATGATATTAGAATTGTCATTATCACCATAAAATTTGTCTCAAGGGCTCCTTTATTAAATGTTGTGCAAAAAATTGAGCTTTTGAGTCAGACTTTAAGGGAATTAGGGTAGTTGGTGCCATATGTCCTGTATTACTGTCTCATTTTTTCAACTATATTGAAATTGAGATATATTAATGGAAAGCTTTAGGTTACCTTTGAAAACTGAGCATGTGCAATGCTCGCATTCAGGAGTTTATATAGCATGATATAACCTTTGGATAATTAATGAAGTAAAATTCATCTGAGCCACATTAAGACAAGACCCAGCCCAGATTCAGGGTAGACTCCTGAGCTGCAGCAGGTGATAGAACTGCATGTGAACATTCTCCCTGAGCATGTAATTAATTCCACAATGCTTATTAACCTTGTTATTGTCAGAAATGCTCTGCTTCTCTCAATATTTGCCTTGGATGTGTGTGTATGTCTCTGTGTTAACTTGTTTGCTTTGCTTTTTTCAGATTCAGTCTGCACCCATCCTAACCCATGAAGATCCTGTTTTACAGCTGAAGAGCTCTTAGGAGTTCTCTTCCAGAGCCCTTCTATTTGTCCTAAAGAGGGGGAGAGAGGGCCAATTTGGGCACCTGTTTGTAAGTGCAGGTGACTAAAGCGCCATCAGAAGGTAGAAACTGGTGGAAAATGGTTTTAGAAGGATGGTCAGGAGAACACATCATGCTCAATTGCTCAGTCAGGTGCTTCAATGTCATACAACTGAGATAAAATCTAGAGAAAGGATCAGGCACAGAAACATATTCCCTCTCTCTCCTTGGGCCTGGCCTGTTCCTTTGATATTAGTGTAGACACCTAAAGGACTGAGCCAGTTGCTATTCTTGGGCACTTTCCTTCTCAAAATAGCCAAATCTAGCCCTTCATGCCTGGCGTGTAATCATTTTATTTAATGAGTCTCTGGATTGATGAGACATTTGATTTATAAAGTCAGCTCAATTATTAAGAAGCTCGATTAACTTATGAATTATCCAGGTCTTTGATTTTTCTTTCTACTCCAATTCTTCTACTTTTGCATATTATGTAGCAAATCTCTGGTTCTAGTGGAGGGATTGATCAGAACCACTAAATTATTATCATCACCATTATCATGTGTGGATTTCAAGCATCTGGGCTCTTTCTTCTCCATTTCCAAAGATAATAACAGCAGTCTGGTGAAGGAGCTCTCAAACCAAAACCTGAACTAGAAACATTCTCATAATTATCCTGATTATCCAATCCATAGACCCAGATCAATGGACTGTCCAAATGAGGGGAGCTTTCCGAATATGATTTCTATGTCTTTTCCTATTCTAGTCTCCCACCAACTTTTCCATCCTTGAGATATAACCTTCCTGTTTTACATTTCAGGGAGTTTCTTGTATTTGCAAAATGTGAATTACGAAATGTCTCTTGACCCCTTTGCATTTTAATTAGACCCTGCAGAAACAACAAAATACCTGTCACCAGCAACTGGAGGATCTTTGCAGTTGGGTAGGACAGGCAGAAAGAGCACTGGCAGGCCACCAAGGCAGAACCACCCAGCAGGATCTCTCTGCTTTGCAGAAGAACCAAAGTGACTTGAAGGTCAGTGTGAATCTGTCAATTTTGACACAAAGTCTCGCTCTATCGCTTAGGCTGGAGTACAGTGGTGTTATCTTGGCTCACTGCAGCTTCGATCTCCTGGGCTCAGGCAATCCTCCCACCTCAGCCTCCCCAGGAGCTGGGACAAAGTCATGAGCCACCATGTCCTAATTTTTTAATTTTTTTGTAGAGATGGGGTATCACTATGTTGCCAAAGCTGGTCTCGAACTCTGGGCTCAAGCAATCCTCCTGCCGTGGCCTTGGCCTCTCAAAGTGTTAGGATAACAGGCTTGAGCCACCATGCCTGGTGATTTTTTCATTCCTTCGACAAATATTTAGTGCTCAAGGGTTAGCAATAATGGTAAACAGACATCATCCCTGGCCTTGTGAAGCACACAGTCTAGCAGGGCATACAGAAATTATACAGGTTATTATAAAAATGAACATAAAATTATTAACTGTTATATCTGTGAAGGAAAACTCATATGAGAACATATAGCAGAGAGACCCAATCTAGTCTAGGATTTCAGAAAAGATTATCTTGAAGAAGTGTCACCTAAACTTGAGAAATGAAAGATATGTAGGCGTTAATGCATGAAGAGGTAGGAGGAGGAAGAGAACATACCAGGCAGAGGCTTATATATTGGTCTTGAGGTGGGTATGGTATTGAGCACAACATATTCAAGAACCGAAAGAAAGCTAGTTCGACTGGACTGCAAAAAACAAGAGGAAAATTAGGGAAAGTTGAAGTTGGAGGGGTAAGTGGGACCTGTATCACACTGGACCCCGCAGGCCACATTAAGGATAAGGAGTGATACCCAAGAGAGTATAAGGGCCCATCAGGCCTCGACTCTGCTAAGATCATGTTGTCAACACTTCTTTATGGAAAGAATGATCTCTTTGAGGATAATGCATTGCAAAATGAAAAATCTCTCATGTTCATGTTTATGGACAACCTCCTTTTTTGGCTTCACTAAATATTTGCTTAGAAAACAAAATCAAATTTCTTTGCATTGATTTAAGCCTAAACCTGAAGCAAATTGTAGTTAGGGACTATATACAGGACTATATGTCATCCTAGCCATTCCATCTTTATACCATTAGAGGACTTAGAAGCACTAAAGTCGAAGGCTCTGCCATTCCTATTTTCTTGTGTTAAGGATTTACAGGATGACATTCAGAATCGTGCCACCTCATTTGCCACTGTTGTCAAGGACATTGAGGGGTTCATGGAAGAGAATCAGACCAAGCTGAGCCCACGTGAGTTGACAGCTCTTCGGGAAAAGCTTCATCAGGCTAAGGAGCAATATGAGGCGCTCCAGGAAGAGACACGTGTGGCCCAGAAGGAACTGGAGGAAGCAGTGACCTCCGCCTTACAGCAGGAGACTGAAAAGGTAATAGACTGCTATGACGCTTGATATTTTTCAAAAAAGAAAATTTTGGTACCAACACAAATAAAAGACAGTGAGGGGAAAACAGGCTTATAGCATGCACAGAATCATGAGGAAGGGCTACTTCAGGAGCTAGTCTGGTTTTTGTTTTTTGAGACGGAATCTCTGTCACCCAGGCTGGAGTGCAGTGGCATGATCTCGGCTTACTGCAACCTCTGCCTGCCAGGTTCAAGTGATTCTCCTGCCTCAGCTTCAGCCTCCCAAGTAGCTGGGATTACAGGTGCCTGTCACCACACCTAGCTAATTTTTGTATTTTTAGTAGAGATGAGGTTTCACCAGGTTGGCCAGGCTGGCTAGTCTGTGTTTTTACAAGAATCTTTATTTTTACAAGAAATGTCCAGGAGGAGTTTAAGTCAGGACAGTTGGTAAAAAGTACATATTCCTATTCCTCCCCAAACCCCCAAACATCTTGCTATCTGTATACTCAGTCCTCTGACTAACTGAAAAATATCAGAAAGAACTTAGTGAGGAAGAGTATTATTATGGGGAGAAAAAAAGCAAATGGCTTTTTTTTTTTTTTTTTTTTTTTGAGACAGAGTTTTGCTCTGTTGCCAAGACTGGAGTACAGTGGTGCAATCTCAGCTCACTGCAACCTCCACTTCCTGGGTTTGAGTGATTCTCGTGCCTCAGCCTCCTGAGTAGCTGGGACTACAGATGCATGCCACCACACCCAGCTAATTTTTGTATTTTTTAGTAGAGATGGGGTTTCACCATGTGGACCCAGCTGTTCTCAAACTCCTGACCTCAAGTGATCCTCCTGCCTCGGCCTCCCAAAGTGCTGGGATTACAGGTGTGAGTCACCATGCCTGGCCAAATGACATATTTTAATATGAGTCTAGACTGGTGATCTAAGAGTACTAGGGAAAAATATCTATGAAGTCTTAGTGAGCCAAAAGCTGTCCCCGAGCTGCCTCTATAGTTACGATGGGAATCGTGGCACTCGGATAAACCAAAGAGAAGCCAAAGTCTCAAATGACCTTCTGCACCCCACTCAGCACTGGCAGATTGAATTTGAATTCTTTGTTTAGCCTTGGATGCCGACACTAATGAGGAAAGTGGAGAACATGGAAAAGAAAAATAAATTACCTGAAGATGAATTTTGAAATAGATTAATATATAACTTGGCATAACCTATTTAATCTATTAAAATACATGTAGAGCCAGTAAATATAATTTCAGAGGCAAGTTGAAGAATTAAATGTTTCCCTGTAGCCTCAGGTGAGAGAAAAAATTTAAAAAGAGCTAAATGTTCTGTTTAGTTGAGGAAAGGATGAAAGAAGTTTGTCTTTCCTTTAGGAAAGAGCAGCCCGGTAACTGAATGTGACTGTGCTATTTCTTACCCTACCAAGCCAGTCCGGCACTTCTGTGTACCTCAAAAGATTCTGTGAAGCTTGCTGGGGTGGCAGGACTAAATGACCTCTAAATAAAATATTTCTGAATCCTAGGATTTGTTTTGTTTTGAGACAGAGTATTGCCGTGTCACCGAAGCTGGAGTGCAGTGGCACGATCTTGGCTTACTGCAACCTCCACCTCCCAGGTTCAAACGATACTCGTGTCTCAGCCTCCTGAGTAGCTGGGTCTACAGGCATGCACCACCACACCCAGATAATTTTTTGTATTTTTAGTAGAGATGGGGTTTCACCGTGTTGACCAGGCTTGTCTCAAACTCCTGATCCTGAAGTGAGCCACTGTGTCCTGCCTCTTTTTTTTTTTTTAAAGCAGTAAGATATAATGAAATGTAGAGATATTTTTAATAATTTTTCAAAAGATTTTAAAAGATATGAATTCTCTTTTGTATGTGCAAAGACTGTTTATACCCAGTCTTAGAATTAGCATAAAATTATCTCCTCCCCTTTACCCCATTACTTAACCTGTGGTTGTATGATTGAGTATGTAAAGCCTTCTCACTAGACTACCTCGGTGGCTTTCAGAGTAAAGCAGCAAAGGAACTGGCAGAGAACAAGAAGAAGATCGATGCTCTCCTGGATTGGGTAACTTCAGTAGGATCATCTGGTGGACAGCTGCTGACCAACCTTCCAGGAATGGAGCAGCTCTCGGGAGCTAGCTTGGAGAAAGGAGCCTTGGACACCACTGATGGTTACATGGGGGTGAATCAAGCCCCAGAGAAACTGGACAAGCAATGTGAGATGATGAAGGTAAGGGTGTTAGCTTATCCTCACTATGCTAGAGAAATCTCTCCTGCCCTGAGCAAGTAACCACAATCACCTTGCCCCTAAATCCAGTGAGCACTTCTCAGTTTGTATCTTCTTTGATGTCTCAGCAGCTTTGACACTGTTGGCCACTCCTCTTGAAATACTTTCTCCCTTGGTTTCCATAATACTACTCTGCCCTGACCATCTTTCTTACTTTCCTCTGGCCAGGTTTTCAAATACTGATGTTTCCAGGTGTATCCTAGGCCCTCTTTTTATCTTTCAGAACATACTTTCCTTGGGCAGTCTCATCTACTCACAACACTGTAATTGCCATTTGCACTAATGAATTCTGTGTATGCATTTCCTTCCAGCCCTGATTTCTGTCCCGAGCTTCAAAACGGTATATAAATCTGTCTGCCTATTTGCAACTTGGGCCCATAAGCACATCAGCCTGAAAATGGAACTCCTATTTCCTATGATACTCCTCCCACAATTAAACATTCTCTTTCCTTTATTCCCACTTCATTGTCTGAACTGGACATCATCCTAGATTCCATTCTCTCTCTCACTCTCCTATGTCAAATCAGTCATCAAATCTTATGGTAATTATATTTCTTTCAAAGTCAGCTATACTTCTTCATCTTTATTGAGATATTATTGTAGTTTAGAACCACTGTCTGCTTTCACTGTTATTATTATAGTAGCTTCTACTGGTCTTCTTGCCTCTTGGTTTTTACCTTCCAGTCCATTCTCCTTACTACTAAGGAATCTTTCTAAAATGCCATATCCTTGCTTAGCCCTTTTTATGGTTCCCTGTTGCCCTCAAGATTACCTGGTTAACTCTCCTCTCAGCCCCTACCCACTGGGATCTAGTCTACTTATTTGGCCTTATCTGTCACCTTCCTTTATACTTGAGCATCTGCTTATATTGATTCCTTTCAGTTTATTGGCTAAACTGTGCTCTCACTTTCCTCTGGGCCTTTACATGCTCTTGGAACTTACTTGCTTCTCCATTGCATAAAGTAACGGAGGGGGCCCAGCTATTTGTTAATTTTTACTCATTCTTCAGATCTCAGCTTAGAGTTCACTTCCTCTAGGAAGCCCTTAATTCACCACCACTCACCAAAGTTAGGGTATATATTCCCCCATATGCTCTTCTTTCTTTTCTTTTATTTATTTATTTATTTATTTTTTGAGACAGAGTCTTGCTCTGTTACCCAGGCTGGAGTGCAGTGGCACGATCCCAGCTCACCGCAACCTCCATCTCCTGGAGTCAAGCAATTCTCATGCATCAGCCTCCCAAGTAGCTAAGATTACAGGCATGTGCCACCATGCCTAGCTAAGTTTTGTATTTTTAGTAGAGATGGGGTTTCACTATGTTGGCCAGACTGGTCTCAAACTCCTGACCTCGGGTGATTTGCTCACCTCCCAAAGTGTTGGGATTACAGGTGCCCAGCCTATAAGTTCCTCTTATACCCTTTCCTACTTTGTAGCATTTCTCATTCGATATTGTTTTGTTGTCTGTATTGCCCTCTAGATGCTAGGCTTGAAAACGCACACTGTTTCTTACAGGCTGCCTGTTCTGTAACAAAACAAAACAAAAAAGCAGAAGTCACTTCTTACTGTTTATTTCTACTCATTTATTTATTCATTTAGTAATTACTGAATAGCTGCCATATGCCAGGAATTAGAAATAAGCCAGTGAGCCAACCAAGTAAACCATCTTCAAGGGCATCAACTGGCATATACAGGCACATTCTATTGAATGATTGAAAGAAGATTACATATTTAGGACACTTACAACACATGGATCATATATTTTAGTGGTGACACCTTTATAGAAAAAATATTGGCTTAGCTGGAATACTTGTGTTCAGTGGCCTTTGTGGACCATTGTCATATTTTATATTAATAGGATTTCTGCCTCTTGCATGACGCTTTTCGAAGGTCCATTATACTGTGTCCCCCAAAGCCCTGGTAGTCTTATAAGAGGACAGAGCAAAAATGGTTCTGCTGTCATAGGGCTCCTCTGACACCTTTTGCTGGCAGCAGTCAACCTAATGAAGTGGTATCTCCATTCTAGGAAGGAAACTGCCTTATAGGTAGATGAGTTGGAAGGTGAGAATGAAGGACACCTAGGTGATATACAGACAAGGTTGTAGTACCGCTCCCACTTCACTATCTAATTGAGCAAGATATATTTGTCATTCCAGCTTTCTTTTTTTCTTCTGCTTTTTTTTTTTTTTTTTTTTTTTTTGAGACGGAGTCTCACTCTGTCACCAGGCTGGAGTGCAGTGGCACAATCTCGGCTCACTGCAACCTCTGCCTCCCGGGTTCAAGCCATTCTCCTCCTCAGCTTCCTGAGTAGCTGGGATTACAGGTGCACGCCACCACACCCAGCTAATTTTTGTATTCTTAGTAGAGACGGGGTTTCACCATGTTGGCCAGCATGGTCTCGATCTCTTGGCCTCGTGATCCACCCGCCTTGGCCTCCCAAAGTGCTGGGATTATAGGCGTGAGCCACTGCGCCCAGCTTTTTTTTATTTTTTAAAGACATGAGGCCTCACTTTGCCACCCAGGCTGAAGTGCAGTGGTACGATCATAGCTCACTGTAACAGGTGTGGACTCACCATGCCTCATTAATTTTTTTTTAAGAGACAGTCTTGCTATGTTGTTGCTCAGGCTGGTCTCAAAAACCTAGCTTCAGTGATACTCCTGCATCAGCCTCCTAGTCACTCAGCTTTCTTGAAATGATGTGGGAAGCTGAGGCTATCAGGTTGTTGTTGATACAGGCTAAAACTAGACGATGATCTGTAGTCCTTCTCTAAGTAGTGGCATAAACAGTATAGGTAGTAAGGAACACTGACAACTCCCACTGTCTTCTAGATTCAGGAAGAACATCCCAATATATGTTTCAAAACAAAAACTCACAGCTCTCCTCAAAGAACTCATATTCCATTGGAATAGAAAGAAGGTCTATGTATAAGCACATAGACACAGTACATACAAATAAAAAGTACAAATTACTTATTATTACCCAGAAATACAGTTTAATCTCTAATTATTGAATTAATTTTCCATGGCTTTTCCTAGTAGGGACAGTCTTCATGGACACATGAGTGACATATTTCACAGTTAAGAACTTGCATTTTTTTTTTTTTTGAGATGGAGTCTCAAGTCTGTTGCCAGGCTGGAGTGCAGTGGCAGGGTCTTGGCTCACTGCAATCTCTGCCTCCCAGGTTCAAGCAATTCTCCTGCCTCAGCCTCCCAAGTAGCTGGGATTACAGGCACTTGCCACCATGCCCAGCTAATTTTTGTATTTTCTGTAGAGACAGGGTTTCACCATATTGGCCAGGATGGTCTCAATCTCTTGACCTTGTGATCTGCCAGCCTCGGCCTCCCAAAGTACTGGGATTACAGACATGAGCCACCATGCCTGGCCAAACTTACAATTTTTATATTGTCACATGTATGATTTATTCAGCTACCCTTCCACTAATGTAGATGATTATTAGTTGTCCATTTGTACAGTTTAGCGAAGAGAGTCAGGTTTGAGTTGCAGTTCTGTTCGTTAACAAACTGCATGACCTTAGTCAAGATATATAACGTCTTTTTGGTATTCACTTACTCTTAATATGGGTATTATATTGTCTACCTACATTATAGGTCGTGCCACAAAGCAAATGAGATAATACATGTAAAATCTCTTTGAAAACCATAAAGTCCTATACGTGTCAGTTCAGAGGGGATTAGCATGTGGCATACTGTTTAGAGAGTGACTGATATTGGTGATTTCTGAGCAGTTGGAAAAGTGATCTATTGAGTAGAGGTAGAGACCTCTCCCTACTTCTAGCTTATAGGTAGATGGTCCTTGAAGATTATAAGTACAACTTAAGAGTCAGCATCTAAATTAAAGGGCTATACCTAAAACAAGGGGCTGAACTGAATAAAATGAAGTTAACAGGGAAAAATGTGAGATGCAGCAAAACTGAGAGAGGTGTATGACTTGACAGCAATGTGGGTGAAAAGACCAAGGCTGAATGTAAGCAGACCTCACATGGAGTATGAAGTCCAGTCTTGTATACCTCAAATTATTGTGGATTGCCTACTGATTGTCCTTTGTTTGGGGGGATTTTTTTTTACCAGGCCCGTCACCAAGAATTGCTGTCCCAGCAGCAAAATTTCATTCTGGCCACCCAGTCAGCTCAGGCCTTCTTGGATCAGCATGGCCACAATCTCACACCTGAGGAGCAACAGATGCTGCAACAGAAGCTGGGAGAGCTAAAGGAACAATACTCTACTTCCCTGGCCCAATCAGAGGCAGAACTGAAGCAGGTGCAGACACTTCAGGATGAGTTGCAGAAATTTCTGCAGGATCATAAAGAGTTTGAAAGCTGGTTGGAACGATCCGAGAAAGAGCTGGAGAACATGCATAAGGGAGGCAGCAGCCCCGAGACCCTTCCCTCCCTGCTAAAGCGGCAAGGAAGCTTCTCAGAGGATGTCATTTCCCACAAAGGAGACTTGAGATTTGTGACTATCTCAGGACAGAAAGTCTTGGACATGGAAAACAGTTTTAAGGAAGGCAAAGAACCATCAGAAATTGGAAACTTAGTAAAGGACAAGTTGAAGGATGCAACAGAAAGATACACTGCTCTCCACTCAAAGGTAAGGGGGCAGTTCCTGGCATCCTTGGTGAAACAATCATGGCAGCCTTCACACAATGTAGGTAGTGTCTGGGGCTCAGAATAAGAACTCCAGGACACAGTAGGAGAGCTGATTTATACTTGGACCATGGGCAGAAGGTCTTCACAAACAATGCACAAAATGTAAAATACATAGGTACTAGCCCAAAGGCCTGATAGCTAGCTAATACCTAATACCTAGCACTGGCAGGAGTATATCACACTGATGGTGAAGGTGGAAGTATTCCCCTTCCTGTATCCTGACCAGCAGACTTGGACTCCCAAGAGACATAGCACACAGGGGAAATTTAAACCAATTGCACAGTCTTTATTTCTGTCTTTATTTCACAGAGCATCTAGGGTGAATCCTTACCTTCCTTCCTATCTAAAGAACTTGCTCGCTCTTCTAAAGTTTAGAATCCAGTCAGCTCTTCTTACCTGTCTTATGCCTTCTGCCAACACTTCTAATCCCCAAGAAAGAATACTTTTTGCACTTCTTAACCCCTACCTTTGTCTGCAACCTTATGTTCATTTCTTTGGAAGCTTGTCATACATCTCATTAAATTTTCCTGGGAATGTAAGAAGGTCAAGGTGAATAGTATGGAGCAAACAATGGGGACCCACACTTAGAGATCATTGCTACCCATCTATCCATGGGTTCTGGCAATACCCTTATCTGAAGTTACAGTGAGTTGTCTGTAACAAAGCCAGGCCTCTTTCTTTGGGCAGCTGCTGCCTTTGGCCTGACCTTGCTTAAGTCTGCTTACCTTTCTTTCTCTGGCACAGTGTACACGATTAGGATCTCACCTGAATATGCTGTTAGGCCAGTATCATCAATTCCAAAACAGTGCTGACAGCCTGCAGGCCTGGATGCAGGCTTGTGAGGCCAACGTGGAGAAGCTCCTCTCAGATACTGTTGCCTCTGACCCTGGAGTTCTCCAGGAGCAGCTTGCAACAACAAAGGTAAGTCAGGACACAGGCTGTGTTGTGGTGTCAAGACCTTGTATTCCATGGCGTAAAGTACCCCAAAATAAAGCAAATGCTTACATAAAATAAAGGCAGTGGTTGGGATGCCTTGGACAAGATCTGAGTGCTAAACACTTGCTTCTAATATTTATGGCTATGGTTAAACTTACAATTATTCTGTAAAGCTGTTCAGTAGCTCCGGATTCCTAGAATCATCTTTGATTACTTAGATGTTTTTCTTTTGTTTTTTTCATGGACAAGCAGCAGTTGCAGGAGGAATTGGCTGAGCACCAAGTACCTGTGGAAAAACTCCAAAAAGTAGCTCGTGACATAATGGAAATTGAAGGGGAGCCAGCCCCAGACCACAGGCATGTTCAAGAAACTACAGGTATAAAGCAGCAACAGTATAATAGTACTCCCTTAATTCCTAGTATGTACCTCTATTCTGCAATATGTCACATTGTGTTGTGCAAATATCTGTGGTGCCAGGCTAGAGGCTGAGAATATAAACATGAATAGACATAGATTGTCATCAAAGAGCTTATCCTCTAATGAACTTTATTCTTGCACCATTGAAGGACCTTCACAATCTGGCTTCAGTCCCTTTTCCCCAGACATCTATCTTCTAGCCACATCTACTTTTCTTTCCCAAGTAAACCACTTACATTGTATTACCCCTGAAGTTTTTCCTATTGCTTAGCTGATAACATTTATTGAATGCTTACCAAGCGTGGTGAAATCTTGCCCATGCTTCAAGATGTAGCCAAGAGTATATCATGGTGACTATAGTTAATAACAATATATCGTATACAGGCCGGGCGTGGTGGCTCACATCTGTAATCCCAGCACTTTGGGAGGCCGAGGCGGGCAGATCACGAGGTCAGGAGATCGAGACCATCCTGGCCAAGAAGATGAAACCCCGTCTCTACTAAAAATACAAAACAAACAAACAAACAAAAAAATAGCCAGGCATGGTGGCAGGCGCCTGTAATCCCAGCTACTCTGGAGGCTGAGGCAGGAGAATGGCATCAACCTGGGAGGCGGAGCTTGCAGTGAGCTGAGATCGTGCCACTGCACTCCAGCCTGGGCGACACAGCAAGACTCCGTCTCAAAAAAAAAAAAAAAAAAAAAAAAAAATATATATATATATATATATATATATATATATATATATATACACACACACACACACACATATGTATATACACACATATATACACACACACACATATATATCGTATACTTGAAAATGGCTGTGAGAGTATATTTTAAGTGTTTTCACCACAAAAAAATGATAAGTATGTGAGGTAATGCATATGTTAAATAGCTTAGCTTAGCCATCCCACTCCTCAAAAGAAACGAAAGATAATTATTCTTCCTTCTGGGCTTCTCGAGGACAGTACTTCTAGTATTAATATACCACTTAAGATTTGATTTTTATCATTAATTGTGATGCATCTTCCTCTGCCTATGCTCTGTTTTAAAGTCTTAAGTTGTAGATGTCAGATAAGATACTTAAGTATCTTTAGTCCTCAGCATCTAGTACAATTTCTGGTTCTTTGTATGCAGTAAATAACTAATGCTTATTGAACTTGGCTCTGATACTAATGCATTTCAAACTTATTCCTTCTATTGGTCTTAATGTCAATTATTATTACAATTACTATGTTCAATGTAGGACTGGGCATGGTGGCTCATGCCTGTAATCCAGGCACTTTAGGAGGCTGAAGTAGGAAGATTGCTTAAGGCCAGGAGTTCAAGACCAGCTTGGGCAACATATTAAGACCACATCCATATAATAATAATAATAATAATAATTTTTATTATTTATTATTTAATAATATTAATAATAAAGTCTTTAAAAGCATAATACAAAAATTGTCTCCACTCTTTCTTTTCATGGCCTGATTTTTCAGATTCCATACTCAGCCACTTCCAAAGCCTCTCCTATAGCCTGGCTGAGCGATCTTCTCTGCTGCAGAAAGCAATTGCCCAATCTCAGAGTGTCCAGGAAAGCCTGGAGAGCCTGTTGCAGTCTATTGGGGAAGTTGAACAAAACCTGGAAGGGAAGCAGGTGTCATCACTCTCATCAGGAGTCATCCAGGAAGCCTTAGCCACAAATATGGTAAGATCTGTGTCCCAAGAGCTAGCATAGAGGGTATGTTTGCTATGTGCCATCATTACATAATGTTGAAAAAGTAACAAGAGGGAACCTAATATCTGTGAATCATCTAATAAGATTTAGAAATGATAACTAATCTATGTAAAGATATTTCTACCCAGTTGAGCTGGAATGAAAGTGGAGATAGCAAAGTCATGTGGTAGAAGGGGTGGAGAACTAAGGTGATGAGATGTGTGGTATTCTGGAGGCTCGGTTGCAGTCCTCCAGTCCCCCTTGTGAGATAGCATATAGTTATTAGTTTGTGGCTCAGATGTCCTGGAATAAGTGAACCAGGAGCTGACAGACGTGTTCTTCATGACAGAAATTGAAGCAGGACATTGCTCGGCAAAAGAGCAGCTTGGAGGCCACCCGTGAGATGGTGACCCGATTCATGGAGACAGCAGACAGTACTACAGCAGCAGTGCTGCAGGGCAAACTGGCAGAGGTGAGCCAGCGGTTCGAACAGCTCTGTCTACAGCAGCAAGAAAAGGAGAGCTCCCTAAAGAAGCTTCTACCCCAGGCAGAGATGTTTGAACACCTCTCTGGTAAGCTGCAGCAGTTCATGGAAAACAAAAGTCGGATGCTGGCCTCTGGAAATCAGCCAGATCAAGATATTACACATTTCTTCCAACAGATCCAGGTGAGGATATATCTGCCATGTTAGCAGAATAAAGGGAAGAGAAGGGCAGGGAGAGAACCAGCATTTGCTGAGCGCATACTACATCAGTCAGTATACTGGAAACTACCTGCATTATCTTTGGGAATTATTACAGTGATCCCGTAAACTAGGTATCATTTGTCCATTTTTTAAGCAACACAGTCAATATTTATTTTTCACTCTTATTACATGTTCAACCCAAATCAGCAGGGCCACTCAGTTCATCATAGTCACTCAAGGGATGCAGATTGATGGAGATTTCATCCTGATATAAGCTTTCATGATTACTGCCTCAGTGGTAAAAGGGCATATTATATTTATTTACATTTTATTAGTCAAAGCACTTTCCACAAAACCACCTATACCTTTCAAGAGGGTGAGGAAATGTAATCTCACCACTTACCTAGAAGGTGCAAAGCTAGAAATATTTGGTAAAAGTATTAACAGCTACCACAGATATATATCCAGAAGTAAAACTGCCAAGTCATAGTATATGCATATATTAATTTAATTCGACTCAGTAGTGGCCAATTTGAGCTCCAGAATGGCTGTACCAGCACACATTCCCACCTGTAGTACTTCAGCATTCCTGTATCTCTGCATTGCTGCCTTCGCTTTATCCAGCTTTCTAACTTTTTCCATATTAAAGTGGAATCTCATTGTTTGGTTTGGTTTGCTCTCCTTTTTGCTTTGAATGATTTCAAACTTACAGAAAAGCAGAAGAAATGGTCCATTACACACCAGCATACTCTTCACCTAGATTCACCAGTTGCTAATTGTTTTCCCTCTCTTATAAAAATATAAAAGAGAGTATCATTATGGGCTTCTATATTTGTTATTACCATTATTCTTTATGATACTTAACGTTTTCCCAAATGTGGTCGGTGGGAGCCTCTTCAAGCTGTCTCCTGTGGCTTTTTGACATGTCTTCCTCAGCATAAGAGCACTTTTGGAACTTAAGATATTTGTGGCACAATAATGTATTTCCTTGTCCCCTATCTGAAATCAGCTATTTATCCAAGGAGTCCCACTTTTAGTGGGGAATGATATTTAGAAACCAAATCTGGACACTAGATGAGCTACTGGAGTGTCACTACTTTTAGGTTCTTTTTAATAGATAGTGTTAGGAAATATATGTGTATGTTTCTTATATCATAAAATCATACTGATAGTCTAGTCTCAACGCAACACCATAGGAATCTTCCTCCTTTCCACATTTGTATCTTCCTTTCCTGTAGGGAGAACCCTAGTTCCCAGCAACTTTAATATATTTACTTATTTGTTTTATTCTACAATAAATATAAGATAGTTTTAGAATTACATTAGTATTTCTACCAATAACAAACCTGCTAAATAAAATTGAAGATTTCTTTGGATTTGTTTTTGTCCTTAGCCTATGACCCACTATGTACTGTGTTCAAAAATTACCTGAATTATTTTTTCTGTAATTTCTTATATAATTAGATTTGTTTCTATTTGTATTCAACTTTAGGACTTTATTTTTCTACCTTTGTTGATTAAACTTATTTTTAAATATGTAAAGCATTAACATAGGTCAAAAGTTAAAACTCTTCAAAAAGTTATACTCAAGGTATAGGAAGTGAATAAGGATATATTCTCATTGTCTTTCCTGTCTCTTCCATCCCATTTTCACCCATCCCCATAGTAACACATTTCAGGTTTATTTTTTTCTATTCCTTTTTACCAAAATGAACATACACACACATTCTTATTCTCCATTCTTCCTTACAAAAAAGAAGGGTATATTACGTAATCCTTTGCTTTTTTACTTAATATGTCTTGGAAATCACTTAATATGGATTCACAGAGATCTTTGTTTTTTAAACCATACTTTCATTGTGTAGAAGAGTTACAGTTTAATCAACAAGACTCTTTCTTTCTTTCTTTCTTTTTTTTTTTTTTTTGAGACAGAGTCTTACTCTGCGCTCTGTTGCCCAGGCTGAAGTGCAGTGGCACGATCTTGGCTCACTGTAACCTCAACCTCCACTTGGGTTCAAGTGATTCTCCTGCCTCAGCCTCCCAAGAAGCTGGGATTATAGGTGCCTGCCACGATGCCTGGGTAGTTTTTTTGTATTTTTAGTAGAGATGGGGTTTCACCATGTTGGCCAGGATCTCAAACTCCTGACCTCAAGTGATCTGCCCGCCTCGGCCTCCCAAAGTGCTGGGATTATAGGCATGAGCCACCACACCTGGCCAACAAGACTCATACGTGGTGGAAATTTGAATTGTTGTTTCCGAAATTGTGCTATTACTACTGAATAGCTGTGTGTATTTTTTCCCATAATATTGGAAGTGTATCCTCAGAATAAGTTCCTAGAGTGGAGTTGTTGCATTAAAGGGTAAATACATGTATAGTTTTGTTAGAAATAGCCAAATTCCCCTCCATTGAAATTTCACCATTTTGCATTCCCAGCAGCAGTGTATTAGAGTACCTGTTTCCCCTATAGCCTCACCAACAAAATTTATTATCAAGCTTTTAATTTTTTTCTGGTGTGATTGGTAAAACATGATATGTGAATGTGGTTTTAATTTTTATTTCTCTTATGAGCGAGGTTGAGTGTATTTTTACATTTAAGAGTCATTTATTTGTGAACTATCTGTTCATGTATTTTGTCATTTTTTGGTAAAGATTTTTGGTTTTCTCTCAATTTTTAAAGTTTTTTTTTTTTAGAGTTCTTATATATTAGAGAGATTAATTCTTTATCTGTGATATGTTAGAAATATTGTTTCCCAGATTGTGCTTTTGACTTATGGTGTTTTTTGCCATGTAAACGTGGAATTTTTTTTTTTTTTTGAGACGGAGTCTCGCTCTGTCGCCCAGGCTGGAGTGCAGTGGCGCGATCTCGGCTCACTGCAAGCTCTGCCTCCCGGGTTCACGCCATTCTCCTGCCTCAGCCTCCTGAGCAGCTGGGACTACAGGTGCCTGCCACCGCGCCTGGCTAATTTTTTGTATTTTTAGTAGAGACGGGGTTTCACCGTGTTAGCCAGGATGGTCTCGATCTCCTGACCTCGTGATCCGCCCGCCTCAGCCTCCCAAAGTGCTGGGATTACAGGCGTGAGCCACCGCGCCCGGCCGTAAATGTGGAATTTTTGTTCTACATAGAAGATTTTATGAGTATTTTATTAAATATGTATTTTTAGTCATAGTTTGAAAGATTTTTGTCACACCCAGGTTATGAAAAAATTTATTCATGCTTTATTCTAAAACTTGTTTTAATTTTTTTTTACATTTGAATCTTTTAACAATTTAAGCTTATTCTGAAGTATGAATCATGTTACCTTTTTCTGTTATGTCTATCTAGTTGTTCATAATAGAAGTTGAGTGCCCCAATCCAAAATCTGAAATGCTCCAAAATCTGAAACTTTTTTTTTCTTTTTGAGACGGAGTCTTGCTCTGTCACCGAGGCTGGAGTGCAGTGGCACGATCTCAGCTCACTGCAAGCTCTGCCTTCTGGGTCCATGCCATTCTCTGCCTCAACCTCCCAAGTAGCTGGGACTACAGGCGCCCGCCACCACGTCCAGCTAATTTTTTTGTATTTTTAGTAGAGATGGGGTTTCACCATGTTAGCCAGGATGGTCTCGATCTGCTGACCTCGTGATCCACCTGCCTCAGCCTCCCAAAGGCCTGGGATTACAGACATGAGCCACCACACCCAGCCCAAAATCTGAAACTTTTTGAGAGCTGACATGACACTCAAGAGGTCATGCTCAAAGGAAAGACTCATTGGAGCACTTCAGATTTCAGAGCTTCAGATTAGGGATGTTCAACTGCTAAGTATAATGCAAATATTCCAAAATCTGGAAGAGTCTGGAATTCAAAACACTTCTGGTCCCAAGCATAAAGGATATCCAACCTGTATCATTTATTTGAAAAGTCCATATTTTCCCCAGATTTAAGAAACCATCTTCATCATATACACAATTTTTATATGTCTTTGAGTCTATTTCTGGATTTTCTTTTTTTTCTTTTTTTTTTTGAGATGGGATCTTGTTCTGTCACCCAGGCTGGGGTGCAGTGGCATGATCTTGGCTCACTGCAACCTCTGCCTTCCAGGTTCAAGCGATTCTCCTGCCTCAGGCTCCCAAGTAGCTGGGATTACAGGGGCCTGCCACCACGCCTGGCTAATTTTTGTATTTTTAGCAGAGACGGGGTTTCACCATGTTGGCCAGGCTGGTCTCGAACTCCTGACCTCAAGTAATCCACCGACCTTGGCCTCCCAAAGTGCTGAGATTACAGGCATGAGCCACCTCACCTGGCCTATTTCTGGATTTTCTATTCTGTTTTGCTGGTGTTTCCATTCATGTACCAGAGCATACTATTTTAATTATAGAGGCTTTATGGTATATTTTAATGTGTGGTAGAGAGCTAGTCCTCCTCAATTTTTTTCTTTCAAAGTTTTTCATAGGTGTAGTTGCACATTTATTTTTCTATGTGAATTTAGGAATCACCTTCATTAGTTCTAGAGAAGTTAGCATTTTTATGTGGGTCACACTAAATGTATTCATTCACGCAAACACATATACATACATAAGCAAATACATACGCATGCACTTTTATGGATGTGTTTCCATCTAGTCAGATCTGCTTTTGTGTTTTTCAGGAGTGTTTTTGATTTTTTTGTTCTTTTTTGTTTTGAGATGGGGTCCTGCTCTGTTGCCCAGGCTGGAGTGCAGTGGCATGATCATAGCTCACTGCATCCTCAAACTCCTGGGCTCAAGTGATTCCCAGGAGTCTCAGCCTCCCCAGCAACTGGGATTACAAGCAAGAGCCACTGCACCCAATTTCAGAAGTGTTTTAAAATTTAGATTTTGTGTTTCTTGTTAGTTGATTACTAAGATTGAGCCTTTTGTGTTGCTATAGTAAGTTGAAGTTTTCATTATTGATTTTTGTGTGTTAATTTTATAGCCTGCTACCTTGTTTAACTACTTCGTTGTTTGATTTCGTTTTATTGTTGATTATCTTGGGTTTTACAAATATACTTTTTTTTTTTTTTTTGAGACAGAGACTTGCTCTGTTATCCAGGCTGGAGTGCTATGGCACAATCTCGGCTCACTGCAACCTCCGCCTCCTGGGTTCCAGCAATTTCCAGCTAATTTTTGTGTTTTTAGTAGAGACAGGGTTTCACCACATTGACCAGACTGGTCTTGAACTCCTGAACTCAAGTGATCCTCCTGCCTCGGCCTCCCAAAGTGCTAGGATTACAGGAATGAGCCACCATGCCTGGCCTTTTTTTTTTTTTTTTTTTTTGGAGGCGGAGTCTCACTCTGTTGCCCAGGCTGGAGTGCAGTGGCACAATCTTGGCTCACTGCAACCTCCTCCTCGCAAATTCAAGTGATTCTTCTGCCTTAGCCTCCCAAGCAGCTGGGACTACAGAGTGCGCCACCATGCCCAGCTAATTTTTGTATTTTTAGTAGAGACGGAGTTTCACCATGTTGGCCAGCCTGATCATGAACTCCTGACCTCAAGTGATGGGCCTGCCTTGGCCTTCCAAAATGCTAGGATTACAGACGTGAGCCACCGTGCCTGGCCATACAAATATACTTTCATGTGACCTACAAATACAGTTTTATCTCTTCTTTTCCAATTCTTACTCCACAGATTGTTTTCTCTTAATTGCATTGGCTGTTTTTTTTTTAATTATTAAATTAACTTTTTTTAAAAAATAGAGATGGAGTTTTGCCATGTTGCCCAGGCTGGTCTTGAACTCCTAGGCTTAAGTGATCCACCCACCTTGGCCCCGAAAAGTGCTGGGATTACAGGCGTGAGCCACTGGGCCTGGCTGATATCTTAAGTATAATGTTAAATAATAGTGGAGATAGTGTGTTTACCCCCATTTTATAGAAGAGACCATGAAGCTTAGAGTAGTTTAGTAGCTTAAGATCACAAGTTGGTAAGTGGCAAAGTGTGATTGAATTTCAGGTGAGGTGTATTTGACTCCTGAAACTTTCATTCTTTACGTCCTGTCATGGTACCTCCCAAGTCTTTGAACGTTTGTTTAGAGGAGACAAGACTGTTTTGTAATTCCTAGCCACTCTCCAGTGGATTGAAGTTGTCCTACATATTTATCAGATTTTTTAATTGGGCTTTTTAATACAAAAAATAATTAGCTGGGCATGGTGGCAGGAGACTGTAATCCCAGCTGCTCGAGATGCTGAGGCAGGAGAATCGCTTGAACCCAGGAGGCGGAAGTTGCAGTGAGCCAAGATACCGCCATTGTACTCCAGCCTGGATGACAGGAGTAAAACTCTGTCTCAAAAGGAAAAAAAAAAAAAAAAATGTTTGTTTGTTTTTTTTAAACTTTTCACTGAGTTGCATATTTATTGTTTTGATCTAGCATTTGACCTGGCAAGCATACCTCTTTCCTTATTCCTTTTTAGAGTATATTTATAAGGATTAGAGGATTTAATACATTTCCTTGTTTGCTTGACAGGAGCTCAATTTGGAAATGGAAGACCAACAGGAGAACCTAGATACTCTTGAGCACCTGGTCACTGAACTGAGCTCTTGTGGCTTTGCGCTGGACTTGTGCCAGCATCAGGACAGGGTACAGAATCTAAGAAAAGACTTCACAGAGCTACAGAAGACAGTTAAAGAGAGGTGAGTTATCACTTGTGTTGGTCAGCATTGGGGAACTATTTTTTCTTGTTATGGAGTGAAATGATCTTTTCTCTTTTCTTCCTTTACCAGAACAGATGGCATCTAAAATTCTACTACTGAGTTGTAGGAGGGTGAAAAGTGCCTTTTTTTAGGCAAAGCTACCTCATCTACTTGATGCTTAGTGGTTTTTCTTTTCTTTTTTTTTGAGACTGAGTATCACTCTGTCACCCAGGCTGGAGTGCAGTGGTGCCATCTTGGCTCACTACAACCTCCATCTCTTGGGTTCAAGCAATTCTTCTACCTCAGCTTCCTGAGTGGCTGGGATTACAGGCGCCCACCACCATGCTCAGCTAATTTTTGCATTTTTAGTAGAGACGGGGTTTCCCTACACTGGCCAGGCTGGTCTCGAACTCCTGACCTCAGGTGATCGACCTGCCTCCGCCTCCCAAAGTGCTGGGATTACAGGCATGAGCCACTGCACCCAGCCACTTAGTGGTTTTTCTAATAGTAACTAATAGAAAGTAGGGATGAGTTCCCTCTCTTTGTGATCAGAAGCCTAGGCCACTTGGACCAAACAGAACAAATTTGAGGCAGCAAGTAAGATTACAGAATAATTTTGAAAGAAGAGAAAAATTGGAAGAGACTTCCTAGACATAATTAAGGGTGATGTTGGCAGTCCCCTGGCTTTTTTTTTTTTTTTTTTTTAAAGATATGGGGTCTTGCTATGTTGACCAGGCTACTTGTGAACTCCTGGCCTCATCGATCCTACTGCCTTGGCCTCCCAAAGTGCTGGGATTACAGGTGTGAACCACTATGCCCAGACCCCCTGCTTGTTTTGACCACATTTAAGTTGCTATTTTAGAAGAGTATCTGGATTCTTCTTTCAAGGCAAACAAGGGAATATATGACAAGGCTGGCTGATTTTGGTCCCTGTTGAAAAGCCATGATTCCTCACTGGACAGCCTCACATAGATTTAAGAGCATGAACAAGACTTCTTATCTAAGTTTAGCGATAAATATGATCTTGATTTAGCAGATAACTGCCTTAGTGATTAGAAGAAAAGAGTTGCTCAAACCAACATTATTAGCAGCAGGTTATCTAATGGAGAGGATGGGGACAAAGGTCAAGAAAGCTTTTGTTTTTCTTCCCCTATGCTGAGGGCCTTTTTACTGTATGAGGAATCAGGATTTCTGGATTGACATCTGTCTGATAGATATGGCCATTTCCAAAACTTTCCTTTTGATTTAGTTTATTCATTGGCATCATTAATCTAGAACTAATCACCTAACTTCTGTGAGCCTCAGTTTCGGCACCTTCCTTGCTAAAGCAATCAGCACTTGAATTGGTCCTTGAAAGAGTCAAATAGCTAAAATGTAGCAGGGCCGGAATTGAGATCCAAAGCCTGCATTCTTTCCATTGTATCACAGTACCTAAATAGCAGCCTCCCTTTAGTTTTTCTCACTTTCACTTTAGCCTAGAGTAAGATTGAAGACCTCTTTCCCCAGAAATGTCCAAACAAGGGCAATATATTCCTGAGTTTGGTACGCTTCAATGTTATATGCGGTTGTTCAGCCAAACCTGCTATGGAAAAGATTATGAGAAAGAAAGGCCATGTTAGGTAACTGATGTCTGGAGTCACAGAATGAACTACTCTTAGCTCAAGTTGACTTTATAAAACTTAGTCTGGCAAGTAACAAAACTGCTTCATTGACAGAGAGAAAGATGCATCATCTTGCCAGGAACAGTTGGATGAATTCCGGAAGCTGGTCAGGACCTTCCAGAAATGGTTGAAAGAAACTGAAGGGAGTATTCCACCTACGGAAACTTCTATGAGTGCTAAAGAGTTAGAAAAGCAGATTGAACACCTGAAGGTAGGTGAACAAAGGGACTCCAAGAATTGGGCTAGGCACTGGTTTGAATACTTGTATTAACTGGTCTCCAGCTGTGGTGGGGAAATGTATGAGAAATCCAAGTTGTCAGTCTGCATCAGAACAGAAATTCCTACGTTTTCTTCATATGATAACCATCTACCCATACAGTCCTTGAGAAGCATACACTCTCTTTGTATGTTTGAGAATTAGACAAATATATTTGAGCAAGTAACCAGATAATATGATCAGGAAATTGAGGATAGAAGAACTAGTACTACTTCAGCTAGTAAAGGAAAAGCTAGAATCAGATGGTTGGAAGGTACCTTCAAGGATGGGACCAACCTTCCTCCCATTCCCTGCAAAATCCCTTCTGTACTGTCTTTGATCCGTAATTATCCAGCCTCTGCTTACACCTCTAACCTATGTCTTCCTTTTGTTGAAATAAGCCAAATATGCCTCTGACTAACTGTCATGCACTTATCCTTATTTTCTCAGTAAAGCATACTTCATCCTGAGCAGATGAAAGAAAAGCGTTTGATTGCTTTCACAGAGTGAGTGCCAGGAGCATTTGCTGTTGGGAATTCCCTAGGACAGAGCTTTCCCAACATTTTTGTTTCACAGTGCCCATGGTGTTTTAAGAAATTTGTCATGGCACCTCAAGGCCAAAAAAAACAGAAACAAAAAAAAACTCCTAATACTTCTACTTGCTAAGAAGTTAGGTCCAAACAACTTAGTAGTTGTTCATATGGTGTTCAACAGATGTCACTGTATTTTCCTCAAAAATGTAAAATATTCTGTGAGTAAAGCCATAGTTTGGGGACTGTGGCTCTTTGGAATCAAGAGTGATTAATGGCCAGGCGCAGTGGCTCAACGCCTGTAATACCAGCACTTTAGGAGGCCGAGGCGGGTGGATCACAAGGTCGGGAGTTCAAGATCAGCCTGGCCAAGATGGTGAAACCCCATCTCTACGAAAAATACAAAAATTAGCTGGACGTGGTGGCAGGTGCCTGTAATCCCAGCTACTCAAGAGGGTGAGGCAGAGAATTGCTTGAACTTGGGAGGTGGAGGTTGCAGTGAGCTGAGATGGTGCCACTGCACTCCAGCCTGGGTGATAGAGAGTGAGACTCTGTCTCAAAAAAAAAAAAAAAAAAAAAGAGTGATTAATTAAAGAACTGACAAGCAGTGACCAAGGGTCAGTTTGAAATTAGGCAATATGAGTAGAGCTCTGTGCCTTTCTCTGCAGCTTAAAGTCAAAAGCAAACTAAGTAGATTGTCAGGGATATTCAGTATGGAGGAGGGCAATGAAGGCTAGAATGGTGTCCTTTCTCTGAAAGGAGTAAAATCCTACAACTATGGCAGGAGACATCTTGGAGACTTAACGTGATGTGGTATTTTTGTCTTAGAGCAAATGCCATTGTTTCCTGACGGATTTCTGTGGTAGTTGGATCTTTGATTTCAAACCCAATATAAAGTTTCCTTAATAAATGCAAAGTATAGCCTATGATTCTATGTATTTTTCTGTATCTCAATATCTAGCTCCTTATTTATCCTCTAGTTACCATTTCTTTTTTTATCTTTATATGCATGTTGTTCCCTCTTGTCCATCTGGCAAACTCTTATCTTTCTTTGCTTTTTTTTTTTTTTTAAGACGGAGTCTCACTCTGTCACCCAGGCTGGGATGCCGTGGCATGATCTCGGCTCACTGCAACCTCTGCCTCCCAGGTTCAAGCAACTCTCCCGTCTCAGCGCCCTGAGTCGCTGGGATTACGGGTGCCTGCCACCACGCCCGGCTAATTTTTTTTTTGTATTTTTAGTAGAGACGGGGTTTCACCATGTCGGCCAGTCTGGTCTTGTACTCCTGACCTCAAGTGATCTGCCCGCCTCAGCCTCCCAAAGTGCTGGGATTACAGGTGTGAACCACCATGCCCAGCCATTATCTTAATTCAGAGCTTTCCTTCCTCTAGGCAGAATTAGATAGAACTCCTCTTATGCTCTTGGAATTCACAGACTGTCCATAATACTGTAATAGCATTTATCACATTATAATGCAATTGATAATCTGAGCTTCTGGTTTTAGAAATTGTATCATAATTCTATTTTGTACCCCAGTGTTTGGCATGGTGCCAGTCATATAGTAAATGTTCAATAGATATTTGATAAATGAATAAATAAATCAGAAGGATGGTCTCTTAATGCTTTTCAAAACACTAGGGAGTATATACAGAACAGATGTCCCTACTTATGAGGAAAAAGCCCCAGATACTACATTTGGCCATTTTCTTCTTTAAACAGAGTCTACTAGATGACTGGGCAAGTAAGGGAACTCTGGTGGAAGAAATCAATTGCAAAGGTACTTCTTTAGAAAATCTCATCATGGAAATCACAGCACCTGATTCCCAAGGCAAGACAGGTGAGTACAGGCTCTTCAAAATATAGTGAATAAAAATTGCTCTTTGCTTTTGGCCTTTGGAGATGCCTCCTTATATAATTAAAGTGAAAATCAAGGTTGGATATGAAAACAAAGGGCATGCCCAAAGCAGTCTTCCCCTGCAACCTGACCTGTCACCCCTTTTGCTATATAACATTGCTCCATTTTGCAAAATTCCTTCCCATGATGGAAAAAGTAAATGAACTAGTTGTCCCACTTAGAACTATCAAATGAACACTGAATAATTAAAATGAGATTTTCATCTTGAGAATTTCCCTTTTTTGAATGTGTAAATGGGATGGGTAAGCATCATCTTTAAACTTGGGCACTGGCCAGCCACGAAGTCAGAAGATCAAAACCAGCCTGGCCAACATGGTGAAACCCCATCTCTACTAAAAATACAAAAATTAGGCCAGGTGCGGCAGCTCACACCTGTAATCCCAGCACTTTGGGAGGCCAAGGCAGGCGGATCACGAAGTCAGGAGATTGAGACCATCCTGGCTAACACGGTGAAACCCCATCTCTACTAAAAATACAAAAAATTAGCCAGGCATGGTGGCGGGTGCCTGTAGTCCCAGCTACTCAGGAGGCTGAGGCAGGAGAATGGTGCGGAGCTTGCAGTGAGCCGAGATCACGCCACTGCACTCCAACTTGGGCAACAGACAGAGCGAGACTCTGTCTCAAAAAAAAAAAAAAATACAAACATTAGCCGGGCATGGTGGCACGCACCTATAGTCCCAGCTACTCGGGAGTCTGAAACAGGAGAATAGCTTGAACCTGGTAGGTGGAGGTTTCATTGAGCCACGACAGTGCATGCACTCCAGCCTGGGCAACAGACAGAGTGAGACTCCATCTCAGGAAAAAAAAAAAAAAAAAAAAAAAAAAAAGTTGGGAAAGCCTGGGTAGGTATGATTGTGATATCCAGGAAGAAGCAAGGTATTTAGAAGTCAGTGTTGGGCCAGGCATGGTGGCTCATGCCTGTAATCTCAGCACTTTGGGAGGCCTAGGTGGGCTGATCACTTGAGGTCGGGAGTTCAAGACCAGCCTGGCCAAAATGGTGAAACCTTGTCTCTACTAAAAATATAAAAATTAGCCAGGCCTGGTGGCTTGTGCCTGTAATCCCAGCTATTTGGGAGTCTGAGGCAAGAGAATGGCTTGAACCCGGGAGGCAGAGGTTGCAGTGAGCCAAGATCGTGCCACTGTATTCCAGCCTGGGCGACGGACGGAGACCCCATCTCAAAAAAAAAAAAAAATCAGTACTTCAAAGGGGGTACAAAGATTGTGCCCAGATGTGTATATAATCTTTCACTGCAAATTAAGTCTTTGAAGCAAAATCTAATATGAAGGCCAGGCACAGTGGCTCACGCCTGTAATCCCAGCACTTTGGGAGGCCAAAGGAGGTGGAACACTTGAGGCCAGGAGTTCAAGACCAGCCTGGCCAACATGGTGAAACCCCATCTCTACTAAAAATACAAAAATTAGCCAGGCATGGTGGCTTGCGCCTGTAATCCTAGCTACTCAGGAGGCTGATGTGGGAGAACTGCTTGAACCCGGGAGGCAGAGGTTGCAGTGAGCCAAGATTGCGCCACTGCACTCCAGCCTGTGCGACAGGGCGAGACTCTGTCTAAAAAAAAATAAATAAATAAACAAAATCTCATGTGAGTTCCCAGTCACTTGCTCGTTGTTAATTGAGATCACATAAGTTTTATTACTAGTCTGTGATAGTGCACTCCTATAGTCACTTAACGAGTAAAGGAAAAATTTATTTGCTTTCTGAAAATGTGTACTTTTCTATAGTATTCTAAAGTTAAAAGATATTTTGGAACTATCCACAAGTGACATTTCAGGGAATTGGTGATATATCAACCTCTACGTTCAGTGACTTATTCGTGTGACTAAATCAGAGTCAGCAAACTTTTTCTATAAAGGGCCAGATAGTAACTATTTTAGGTTTGCAGGGTATATGGTCTCTGTCACAGTCATATACCTCTGCCATTGTAACAAAAACAGCCAAAGACAATACATTAATAGAAATGAGTGGTTGTGACTGTATTCCAGTAAAACTTTGTTGAAACAAAGGGCCAGATTTGACTGATGAGCTGTAGTTTACTGACTCCTAGACTAGATCATTTTTTTAAAAAAAAACCAGAAATCTCATATAGAACAGAAATCTCATATAGAACCCTACTACGTAAAACAAAACATTTTGTTGGCTGCCGGGCGCAGTGGCTCACGCCTGTAATCCCAGCACTTTGGGAGGCCGAGACGGGTGGATCATGAGGTCAGGTGATCGAGACCATCCTGGCTAACACAGTGAAACCTCGTCTCTACTAAAAATACAAAAAGTTAGCCAGGTGTGGTGGCGGGTGCCTGTAGTCCCAGCTACTCGGGAGGCTGAGGCAGGAGAATGGCATGAACCCGGGAGGCAGAGCTTGCAGTGAGCTGAGATCGCACCACTGCACTCCAGCCTGGGTGACAGAGCGAGACTCCATCTCAAAAATAAATAAATAAATAAATAATAAAAATTAAAAGAAACCATTTTGTTGGTGTAAGTTTCCCTTATATGTTATTTTATAGCATTTATCTGTTATGAAATCCATCAGTAAGAATATTGAGACTAACTTAACGAATATAAAAATTTGAAAAGGAAGATTATTGGATGACAGCTTCACCATCTAATTTCTTTCTTTCTTTTTTTTTTTCCTGAGACGGAGTCTCGCTCTGTTGCCCAGGCTGGAGTGCAGTGGCACGATCTCGGCTCACTGCAAGCTCCATCTCCCAGGTTCATGCCATTCTCCTGCCTCAGCCTCCCAAGTAGCTGGGACTACAGGCACCTGCCACCACGCCTGGCTAATTTTTTGTATTTTTAGTAGAGACAGGGTTTCACTGTGTTAGCCAGGATGGTCTCAATCTCCTGACCTTGTGATCCACCTGCCTTGGCCTCCCAAAGTGCTGGGATTACAGGTGTGAGCCACCAGGCCCAGCCTATCTAATTTATTTCTAAATTTTGTTTGGTTTCATTGTATCCAGAAAATATGGTTCACACAGATTAAGTAACTGCAAATGATGACAAATGTTTTTGAAAGTTGACTTCACAATGTCAGAACAGGCTTTGATTGAATTGAGCTAGAAACTTGAAAGTGATGTAATAAGAAATTATTGTTTCAAAGTTAAATCACTAAGAATATTTAATGAGGGCTTTTACACATAGAAAACACTTAAGACTGACATTGAGGACAAAAACTGTCCAACTGACTTGAAGTGTTAAGAATTCTATTATTACACAATTCTGCCACAATGAGAACTGTGTAGATGTACAGAGAGCAAGTCGTGTTATATTTTTGGTCGTGTTATTTAATGTATTACACATGTGCTATAGATGTTTTTCTTTGTATAGTATACATGAGTGGACATGGACAGGTTTGAATATCATAAATTGCTGGTAAAGAGCTACCACCTTTCCAATCAGGGACACTCAAAAATAACTTAAAATAGATGCTTAGATGTGTCAGGAGCTGCTTTACTTTCCCCAGAAAAGCAGCATAATTGGTTTTATCTGGTGGGTTAAGGTGTAGAATTCAGCATAATTGAACATGCATGTTTTATTATCATTTCTAAGTACTTAGAAATTTATGTGAATATTACATTTAAACCAAACATTAAACACAATCCCTAAAGCACGTTTTTAGGGTGTTTTGAAAATCAGTTTGAAAATTACTATCTTGAGTGCTCTCAAAGTTCTCCTCCAACTCTGAAAAACCATGTATATTTCAGTTCCTTACATTTATCTAGCTCCGTTTCATAAAGTACTTTGATATACATTCGCTCATGATCTCTTCCCAGTTACCCCATGAGAGTTAACAGGATAGGTTGTATTATCTTTAAATCCTGCAGAATAAACTGTGTTTGTAGATTAAGGCTCACATACTGAGTTAGTGACAACCTTGGTTAGTACCGTCTTCTCCCACCTACTAGTCCAGTTTCTTTTTTTGCATCACCACACTGCAATGGAATGTTATTTTTCTATTTTGTATTTTTTAATCGAAAATATAATAACATTAACATTTAAAAGTTTTATAATCACCACCCTAATTCAGCTAATTTTTTTCCTTCCTTTTAGAGACAGGGTCTCGCTCTGTCACCCAGGCTGGAGTACGGTAGTGTGATCATGGCTCTCTGTAGCTTTGACCTCCTAGGCCCACGCAATCAGCCCACCTCAAGCTCCTGAGTAGCTAGGACCACAAATGTGCACTGTCATGCCTGACTAATTTTTTTTTTTTTTAATATTTTTTTGTAGAGACAGGGTCTCGTGTTGCCTAGGCTGGTCTTAAACTTCCACCCTCCCAAAGTGCTGGGATTACAGGCGTGAGCCATTACACCTGGCCCACAACTATTTTGTTTTTGTTGTTGTTTTGAGATGGAGTCTTGCTCTGTCGCCCAGACTGGAGTGCGGTGGCACCATCTTGGCTCACTGCAACCTCTGCCTCCCGGGTTCAATCGATTCTCCTGCCTCAGCCTCCCCAGTAGCTGAGACTACAGGCGTCCGCTGCCACACCCAGCTAATTTTTTGCATTTTAATAGAGATGGGGTTTCACCGTATTGCCCAGGCTGGTCTCGAACCTCCTGAGCTCAGGCAATCCACCCACCTCAGCCTCCCAAAGTGCTAGGATTACAGGTGTGAGCCACCGCGCCCGGCCAACTATTTTGTAATATAACCTTGCACATGACTTTTTGTACAGTGAAGTCAGTGCATATGAGAGTTTTCTGTCCTTTTAAAGTATCATTATGAATATTTTTCAGATTTCTGTATAATATTTATCATTACCTCACCTGATTTTTACCTATCTTGGGAAACTTCTGAAATATAAGGAATCAGTTTGGGGAGAATGTATGTGAAATTATGGTGATTAGAAACAGAACCAAAGGCCCAAAGCACAATTTATAAGAATGTTGATGAGCCAGATTTATTGGCACTTAGGATTTCTGTTTTTTCTTGGGGAAAGGTGAGCAAGAAGAGGTTATGAAAGAAAAGGCAAATAATCTTCCTTTAAAAACAATATAAGAAGGGCTCATTTTAATGTCTTTATTAGAAGAAGGCTGCTTTTTAGGCCAGGCACGGTGACTCATGCCTATAATCCCAGCACTTTGGGAGGCCGAGGCAGGCAGATCACCTGAGGTCGGGAGTTTGAGACCAGCCTGACCAACATAGTGAAACCCCGTCTCTACTAAAAATACAAAAATTAGCCGGGCCTGGTGGCAGGCGCCTGTAATCCCAGCTGTTTGAGAGGCTGAGATGGGAGAATTGCTTGAACCTGGGAAGTGGAAGTTGCAGTGAGCCGAGATCATGCCACCGCACTTCAGTCTGGGCAACAGAGTGAGACTCTGTCTCAAAAAAGAAAAAAAAAAAGGCTGCTTTTTCTGTCCTTAATGGTATTTTCATTTTTATTATATTGAAAGATATTGATATAAAAGGTGAAACTTTCTGGCTTTATTATAAAAGCTTATTCCAAAATATGGCAAGTACCATTCTAGACTGAATAATTTTACCAGTACTTGCTTCACAAAATTAGGGCGGCATCCAGAGAATTCAAGTTGGAGATTTAATAAAAAGGGAATACGAATTTCCTCTAGAAGGGATTAAGAATCATTCCTGCTAAGAACCTTGAGTGACGTTTTGTTGCCTGGCAGCTAAAATAATTTGTCTCTTTCCATGAGTATGTTGTCTTGTGCTGTGTTAACTTCCTGATACCTAAGCTTAAAGTGAGGGCCAAAGGACAAATTCAGTGCCTATATGTATTCCTAACACGTTGGTCTTGCCCTGTTTGTCTCCCTGTCCTTCTGCTCAGGTTCCATACTGCCCTCTGTAGGAAGCTCTGTAGGCAGTGTAAACGGATACCACACCTGCAAAGGTGAGAATGCCATTTCAACAGTGCTTCTTTGTTGGATGTGTTAGGACAGTGTCTATGTTTGCATCTGTGTATGTTGCAATATGTGGTGGAAGAACTGCTGCCAGAATGGGTGTGAGGATAAAAATCTGGGGAGAAGCAACTGTGGTTTGCTGGCTATAGACCATAAACAGGTTGGCAGCCCCTGAAGCTAAAGGTATTGTAGAAATACAATAGATTGGATCACTAGATAAGGCAAATAGGGAAGGAACTCAAAGAAAATATATGTTAATCTTTGAATTATAAAGAAGTTATACTAGAGATAATCTAGTCTAGCTCTCAGCCTCCCAGCTAGGTGACTTCTCTGTAGTTTGGAGAAGAAGGAATGGAAGAATGCTCCAAGTCCCTTAATCCCAATAGTAAACTAAGGTTAATTTCTTACTTTGCTCCCTTCACTTTTGTTGTTCCCATGTTTAGCATTTTAAGGTATACATCTGAGTATATAATGCCAAAACCAGAAAGCAGATTAATGAGAATGCTTTTGTTTTGTGTATATAAATGGGAACTTTTGTATGATTTAGCAGGAAGATAATCTCTAATTCACTAGAAGGAGTAAGAGAGATGCAAGTAATTTAGGAGTGAGGAGTCAAGGAGCATACTCGAAGAGCTGTCTCCAATCTGATTTCTGTTTCTATGATACTAGATCTGACGGAGATCCAGTGTGACATGTCAGATGTAAACTTGAAGTATGAGAAACTAGGGGGAGTACTTCATGAACGCCAGGAAAGCCTTCAGGCTATCCTCAACAGAATGGAGGAGGTTCACAAGGAGGCAAACTCTGTGCTGCAGTGGCTGGAATCAAAAGAGGAAGTCCTGAAATCCATGGATGCCATGTCATCTCCAACCAAGACAGAAACAGTGAAAGCCCAAGCTGAATCTAACAAGGTACTGTGTTTACATTAGTTGCCTCCCAACACCAAGAGGAAGAGACAGCTGTACCAGTGTTCCTGCCCAAGCCCAGGTATCTGAGAGAGAGACATGGGCAACAATCTAGGCTGTGATGGGCAGTATGTTTGACATTCTAAATGATTAATATGCCTTAACTCTCCTAGAGAATTTTCTTATGAAATTAGAAATTGTTATAAGTTAGATTCAGAAACAAAACCAGGTATGTTTGCAGAAAAAGAATAGCCCTCCCCAGAATCGTTAGCTCATTGAGAATGGGATCTCATTTTCTATATGATGCTGTAAGCAAGACAAACCATTCTTATCAAAGTATCTTTCCAATTCTTAGAGGGATCTAAATAACAGTGATTACAGTTCATTCTTAAGATTGACATGTGAGACTAGGAAAAATGTCAGAAGATATAAGACCACAGAAAATCCTGTAGGCAAGTTTCACCAAAACTTTTAATATTCCCATTGAGCGTAGCATCTCATCTCCTTCAAGATATGTTATCATCATATCTTGGTATTTTTAGTTTATTTTGATTAATAATTCCTTCTTATTGAGTTCTACTGATGTATTATACATAAAAGAAACTCAGATCCTGCCATTTAGATTTTCATTTTAAAATAAAAATTGAAGTAGAAGGGTTAAGTATCTTAACACCACTAAACAAGTCATTGATAGGATCCTAGTAGAGTCTATAATAACTGCCCAGTTTTCCAATCATTTCTACCACACACACAACTTTGTTTCCTGTCCAGAATCTCATGGCATGCATGGCATTCTTTCTCCTAGGCCTTCCTGGCTGAGTTGGAACAGAATTCTCCAAAAATTCAAAAAGTAAAGGAAGCCCTGGCTGGATTACTGGTGACATATCCCAACTCACAGGAAGCAGAAAATTGGAAGAAAATTCAGGAAGAACTCAGTAAGTTTTCACAAGAGTGTTACAAATTTGCTAAGTTACTTGTCTTCAAAGCAAGTAGAGAATTTCAGCACATCCTATAAAACAGGAATTATTTTTAGTTAATTTTTATAAATAAGCAATTAGGATCCAGATAGGGCCAGAGCATGAGCCTGAATTGGGAAGAAAATTAGAAATTCCACTCAAAAAGTCAGAAGTTTGGCTTTCTTGGGCAAGTCAAACTGGTAATCTACTGTGATCAAGAACCAAAGAGAGGCCAGGAACAGTGCCTCACACCTGTAATCTCAGCACTTTGGGAATCTGAGACAGGAGGATTGCTTGAAGCTAGGGGTTCAAACCAGTCTGGGCAACATAGCAAGATCCTGTCTCTACAAAAAGCAAGGAAAAACAAATTAGCCAGGTGTGGTGGCATGAGCCTGGAGTCCTAGCTACTGGGGAGGCTGAGGCGAGACGATTGCTTGAGCCCAGGAGTTCAAGGCTGCAGTGAGCTATGATTGTGCCACTGAACTCCAACCTGGGCAACAGAGAGGGACCTTGTCTCCAAAAAAAACGTAACAAAAGAACTAAAGAGAGTATTAATGATAAAAATGAAAGATGGAAATAATAAAAATATTCAATAAAGAGATTAGATAAATTGTGTACTCATAATATTGAACTGTAAACAATGTAGATGAATTTTTTTTAATTTAATTAAATTTTTTTTTTGAGATGGAGTTTGCTCTTGTTGTCCAGGCTAGAGTGCAATGGCATGATCTCGGCTCACCGCAACCTCCGCCTCCCAGGTTCAAGCGATTCTCCTGCCTCAGCCTCCCGAGTAGCTGGCATTGCAGGCATGCGCCACCATGCCCGGCTAATTTTGTATTTTTAGTAGAGAGGGGGTTTCTCCATGTTGGTCAGGCTGGTCTCGAACTCCCGACCTCAAGTGATCCACCCACCTCGGCCTCCCAAAGTGCTGGGATTACAGGTGTGAGCCACCATGCCTGGCCTTTTTTTTTTTTTTTTTTTTTTGGGGGGGGGGACAGGGTCTTGCTCTGTCACCCAGGCTGGAGTACAGTGGCACAATATAGCTCACTACAGCCTCGACTTCCCTGGCTCAAGCAATCTTCCTGCTTCAGCCTCCTGAGTAGGTGGGACCACAAGCATGTGCTACCACAACTAGCCAATTTTTAAATTTTTTTGGTAAAGATAGGGTCTTGCTTTGTTGTCCAAGCTGGCCTTGAACTCTTGGGCTCAAGTGATTTTCCCACTTGAGGAGTTCAAGAACAGCCTGGGCAACATAGGGAGATCCCGTCTCTACAAAAAATAAAAAATTAACTGGGCATGGTGGCACACGCCTATAGTCCCAGCTACTTGGGACGCTGAGGTGGGAGGATCACTTGGGCCCAGGAGGTTGAGACTTCAGTGAGCCATGATCGTGCCACTGCTCTATCCTGGGTGATAGAGTGAGACACTGTCTCAAATAAGTAAATAAATAAATAACGCTTCTGGGGTCATTTCCTGCAGTATATTAGGAACATAACTTAGGTACCAGGCCAGTTGTTGATAATGTAAAGGAATACATTCCCTCATTTCCTCTCTACAGATTCCCGATGGGAAAGGGCCACTGAGGTTACTGTGGCTCGGCAAAGGCAGCTAGAGGAATCTGCAAGTCATCTGGCCTGCTTCCAGGCTGCAGAATCCCAGCTCCGGCCGTGGCTGATGGAGAAAGAACTGATGATGGGAGTGCTGGGGCCCCTGTCTATTGACCCCAACATGTTGAATGCACAAAAGCAACAGGTCCAGGTGAGCAATATAGCAACAAAGAAATTGGAATCACATGAAACTGGGTTTGAATGTTTCTCCCAGTAAGTAGATTTCATGTGATCCTGGACAAGTCATTTAATCTCTCAGAGTCTCAGTTTAAATGAGGTATTTATAAGGTGTTAATCATGGTGCCTGTAAAATAGTAAACAGTCAAAAACTCTATTATTATTATTAATAGAGACAGTAAGATGAGTAGATATGAGAATGGGGAGTTTTTCTGACTAAATTGTGGAATTACATTTTACTTTTGGCTGGGCGTGGTGGCTCACACCTGTAATCCCAGCACTTTGGGAGGTCGAGGTGGGCGGGTCACAAGGTCAGGAGATCAAGACCATCCTGGCTAACACAATGAAACCCTGTCTCTACTAAAAATACAAAAAATTAGCCAGGCGTGGTGGCATGTGCCTGAAATCCCAGCTACTTGGGAGGCTGAGGCAGGAGAATCATTTGAACCCAGGAGGCTGAGGTTGCAGTGTCCTGTCCGGACAGTAGAGCGTGACTCCGTCTCAAAAAAAAAAAAAATTTTTTTTTACTTGTAATCCCCTGTGATAGTGATCCACATTACTTAATATCTTATATCTGCCGGCTTTACATAGGATTTTCTGTGATCAAACCTCAAAAAAATTGATTTAAGTGCCTAACATCATAGAAATTTAGGTTGGTCAGGCCGGGTGCAGTGGCTCACACCTATAATCCTAGCACTTTGGGAGGCTAAGGTGGGTGGATCACCTGAGGTCAGGAGTTCAAGACCAGCCTGGCCAACATGGTGAAACCTTGCCTCTACTAAAAATACAACAATTAGCCGGGCGTGGTGGCAGGTGCCTGTAGTCCCAGCTACTCGGGAGGCTGAGGCAGGAGAATTGCTTGAACCCACGGGATGAAGGTTGCCATGAGCCAAGATGGTGCCACTGCACTCCAGCCTGGGCAACAGAGCAAAAACTGCTTCAAAAAAGAAAGAAATTTAGGTTGGTCAAAATTATGTCATTCCCAATGAAATCCTGCCTGGAGGCTTTTACTTCTTTTACATTCTCCCGCAGCCTGGTCCATGTCTTCTCAACTTACCAGGTTCCTTAAATTAAGACCTAAGAGTACTTTTTGAAGGAACTGCTTCTTTTAGTTCCTGCATCCAGGTAATTATTGAGTCCTATTTAGTCTACTTAACAAATATTTTTCTAATCCGGGATTTTCAAACTTTTTGGCTTCAAGAACCCCTTTTATTCTCTGAAAAATTACTGAGGATCCCCAAGAGCTTGTGTTTATCTATTAACATTTATTGTATTAAAATACTGAGGAATTTTAAAAGTATATATTTAAATTTTTAAAATAGCAATGATAAAACCATCACATTAACGTAAGTAACATATTTTTAATGAAAAAATAGCATTTTCCGAAACATAAAAGTTTGATAATAAGAGTGGCATTGGCCGGGCACGGTGGCTCATGCCTGTAATCCCAGCACTTTGGGAGGCCAAGGCAGGCAGATCACGAGGTCAGGAGATCGAGACCATCCTGGCTTGCACAGTGAAACCCTGTTTCTACTAAAAATACAAAAAATTAGCCGGGTGTGGTGGCGGGTGCCTGTAGTCCCAGCTGCTCGGGAGGCTGAGGCAGGAGAATGGCATGAACTCGGGAGGCGAAGCTGACAGTGAGCCGAGATCGCACCACTGCACTCCAGCCTGGGCAACAGAGCGAGAATCCGTCTCAAAAAAAAAAAAGTGGCATTGTTTTATGTCTTTGCAAATCTTAATTTCTGGCTTAATAGGCTATTCTGCTTCTGCATATCTGTTACAATATCGAATGCCATGTAGCTTCTGGGAAACATCATTGAACATTTGTGACAGCGCAGAAATTTTAAAAGGCAAATAACATCTTAGTATTATTATGAAAATGGTTTTGATCTCTGTATGTCTGCTAATCCTAGACCCTCCCCTGAAGTGCCTTTCACCAGCCTTAATCTCTGCTCTGCTTGGAGAACTGCTCGTTCTTTATTGTCACATCTAGGGAGCCTTTCCTAATTTCTGTCTTCTGCCATTTGTCATCCCCAGCGGAATTAGCCACCCTATTCCATGCTTTCACAGTTCTGTGTTGCGTGTTCACATCAGAGTTTAATCATTTTTACTTTTGTTACATTTTATTATAGTTCATTGTTTACACATTTGTCATTTCGTGAGGCTATGTCTTATTTATTTTTGTGCAGTGTAAATACTGAGTACTTTCTATAAATTATCTCATTTAATCCTTATAACAGCCAAAGTAAGTACTTTACTGTCCTCATTTTACAGATGAGGAAGCTGGGGTTTGAGAACTTATGAAATCTTGCCTAAGGTCATACAGCTAGTAGGTGACAGAACCAGGATTTGAACACAGGCAGTCTGACTCCACATCCTGTAATCTTAACTTTTTTGATGAAAGCAGCAAGGGATATGAAAAGAAAAAAAAGCCATAGTCATTGCCTTAAAGAAGCTCTTTGTCTAATTATGCTATATTATAAAATACAGATTGTATATGCTCTTCGAATTCTAAGAAAGAAACTAAGAAAAACAGACACTGAGAGTTGACATGGCAAGCCCAGCTAGTAATACAGCTGGCTCTGGGATCCAGTGTTCTGAACTCCCAATTCAGAGGCTTGGGTATTGCATGGCAAA
The DNA here is from genome assembly GCF_000001405.40 of Homo sapiens. Lineage (NCBI taxonomy): Eukaryota > Metazoa > Chordata > Mammalia > Primates > Hominidae > Homo > Homo sapiens. The sequence continues at coordinate 39,384,819 of NC_000001.11, forward strand.
GCAGATGAATGCCAACTTTAATTTCTCAGCCGTGTCTGGCCTTAGTAACTGACATTGAAACAGAATGGGACAAATAAGGAAAAGAAATAAAATAGGAACAATCAGTGATCCTTTCAAAGTAAGTTTTTATTAAGCAATTGTTAAGTGATACTGCCTCAGCCTAATAGCCTGGTCCTTTAGTTTTCTGGCTTATAGTTTTAAAGTAGTTGGCACTATTTGGCACAATCCAACATCAGTTTTTGTTTTGACACTGCTTTTTCTTTTTTGGAGACAAGGTCTCACTCTGTTGCCCAGGCTGGAGTGCAGTGGTGCTGCCTCAGCTCACTGCAACCTCGGCCTCCTGGGTTCAAGCAATTCTCGTGCCTCAGCCTCCCGAGTAGCTGGGACTACAGGTGTTCACCAGCACGCCCCACTAATTTTTGTATTTTTAGTAGAGACGGGGTTTCGCCACGTTGGCCAGGCTAGTCTTGAACTCCTGACCTCAAGTGATCCTCCCACCTCGGCCTCCCAAAGTGCTGCGATTACAGGCATGAGCCACTGTGCCTGGCCTGACACTGCTTTTAGATAGATCTGTTTTTTTCCTGTCTAAACATCTTGGTGTCATTTCTATTTCAGTTTATGCTAAAGGAATTTGAAGCACGCAGGCAACAGCATGAGCAACTGAATGAGGCAGCTCAGGGCATCCTAACAGGCCCTGGAGATGTCTCTCTGTCCACCAGCCAAGTACAGAAAGAACTCCAGAGCATCAATCAGAAATGGGTTGAGCTGACTGACAAACTCAACTCCCGTTCCAGCCAAATTGACCAAGCTATTGTTAAGAGCACCCAGTACCAGGAACTGCTCCAGGACTTATCAGAGAAGGTGAGGGCAGTTGGACAACGGCTGAGTGTCCAGTCAGCTATCAGCACCCAACCAGAGGCTGTAAAGCAGCAATTGGAAGAGACCAGTGAAATTCGATCTGACTTGGAGCAGTTAGACCACGAGGTTAAGGAGGCTCAGACACTGTGCGATGAACTCTCAGTGCTCATTGGTGAGCAGTACCTCAAGGATGAACTGAAGAAGCGTTTGGAGACAGTTGCCCTGCCTCTCCAAGGTTTAGAAGACCTTGCAGGTAAGTTGGGGTGAAGAACATACTTCTGCCATTATTAGAGGCAAGCAGAAAGAAGGAATGGGTTAGGAGTAGTCCCAAGATTCTAGGATTCCCTTACGTAATTTGTAGACTCAGAATGGTGTTAAACCAATTCCTTCTCCTAGTTGCAGTGAGAACTGTTGTAGTTGTTACACAGTGAACACTTAAAAATGTGAAGGTTTACATAGCATAGTCCTAAAGATAAAAGCTCTAATAAAATTTCAGTCAGCAAGTAGAGATTCATCCCCATAGATGTACTGATAAATGGAGTTCCACATATACTCTCATTGATACCCACTTTTTTTTTTTTTTTAATATTATGCATACCACACACACACGGTCTCGCTCTGTCACCCAGGCTGGAGTACAGTAGTGCGATCATGGCTCACTGCACCCTCAATCTCCTGGGCTCAAGTGAACCTCCCACCTCAGCCTCCCAAGTAGCTGGGACTATAGACACACGCCACCATGCCCAGCTGATTTTTTTTTCTTTTTTTTTTTTGAGACAGAGTCTCACTCTGTTGCCCCAGCTGGAGTGCAGTGGCACGATCTTGGATCACTGCAACCTCCGCCTCCTCGGTTCAAGCAATCCTCCTGCCTCAGCCTCCCAAGTAGCTGGGACTACAAGCACGTGCCACCATGCCTGGCTAATTTTTGTATTTTTAATAGAGACGGTGTTTCACCATGTTGGCCAGGCTGGTCTCGAACTCTTGACCTCGTGATCTGCCCGCCTTGGCCTCCCAAAGTGCTGGGATTACAGGCGTGAGCCACCGCACCCAGTGATTATTTTTATTTTTAGTAGAGACGAGGTCTTGCTTTGTTGCCCAAGCTAGTCTTGAACTCCTGGGCTCAACTGATCCTCCCACCTCAGCCTCCCCAAGTGCTGGGATTACAGGCATGAGCCACTGCACCCGGCTGCTTCTGGACTTCTTATGATAACTTGGTAGAAGAAAAATTGTGCCATTAATTTATTATTTATTTTTCTGGAACTGTTTATGACTTTCACGTTTACCAGCTAGAAGTCAAAGTTTACTTCTGTTACTTAGATCACCTTACAAGGTTGATACGAGGATTAAATAAGATAGTGTACATGAAGGAGCCTAATTATATGCCTCTTTTTGGTAGGCCCTCAAGTAACATTAGTTCCCTTCCCCCAAGATTAGACCGTATACTCTCAGCAAACATTTTAAATGCCAGGGTTCAGGCTTTATTGATTTCAATTTTATTTTCTCATTTCAGCCGATCGCATTAACAGACTCCAGGCAGCTCTTGCCAGCACCCAGCAGTTCCAGCAAATGTTTGATGAGTTGAGGACCTGGTTGGATGATAAACAAAGCCAGCAAGCAAAAAACTGCCCAATTTCTGCAAAATTGGAGCGGCTACAGTCTCAGCTACAGGAGAATGAAGAGTTTCAGAAAAGTCTTAATCAACACAGTGGCTCCTATGAGGTGATTGTGGCTGAAGGGGAATCTCTACTTCTTTCTGTACCTCCTGGAGAAGAGAAAAGGACTCTACAAAACCAGTTGGTTGAGCTCAAAAACCATTGGGAAGAGCTTAGTAAAAAAACTGCAGACAGACAATCCAGGCTCAAGGATTGTATGCAGAAAGCTCAGAAATATCAGTGGCATGTGGAAGACCTTGTGCCATGGATAGAAGATTGTAAAGCTAAGATGTCTGAGTTGCGAGTCACTCTGGATCCAGTGCAGCTAGAGTCCAGTCTCCTAAGATCAAAGGCTATGCTGAATGAGGTGGAGAAGCGCCGCTCCCTGCTGGAAATATTGAATAGTGCTGCTGACATTCTGATCAATTCTTCAGAAGCAGATGAGGATGGAATCCGGGATGAGAAGGCTGGGATCAACCAGAACATGGATGCTGTTACAGAAGAGCTGCAGGCCAAAACAGGGTCACTCGAAGAAATGACTCAGAGGCTCAGGGAGTTCCAGGAAAGCTTTAAGAATATTGAAAAGAAGGTTGAAGGAGCCAAACACCAACTTGAGATCTTTGATGCTCTGGGTTCTCAAGCCTGTAGCAACAAGAACCTGGAGAAGCTAAGAGCTCAACAGGAAGTGCTGCAGGCCCTAGAGCCTCAGGTAGACTATCTGAGGAACTTTACTCAGGGTCTGGTAGAAGATGCCCCAGATGGATCTGATGCTTCTCAACTTCTCCACCAAGCTGAGGTCGCCCAGCAAGAGTTCCTCGAAGTTAAGCAAAGAGTGAACAGTGGTTGTGTGATGATGGAAAACAAGCTGGAGGGGATTGGCCAGTTTCACTGCCGGGTCCGAGAGATGTTCTCTCAATTGGCAGACCTGGATGATGAGCTAGATGGCATGGGTGCTATTGGCAGAGACACTGATAGCCTCCAGTCCCAAATCGAGGATGTCCGGCTATTCCTTAACAAAATTCACGTCCTCAAATTAGACATAGAGGCCTCTGAAGCAGAGTGTCGACATATGCTAGAAGAAGAGGGGACTCTGGATTTGTTAGGTCTCAAAAGGGAGCTAGAAGCCCTGAACAAACAGTGTGGCAAACTGACAGAGAGGGGGAAAGCTCGTCAGGAACAGCTGGAACTGACACTAGGCCGTGTAGAGGACTTCTACAGGAAATTGAAAGGACTCAATGACGCGACCACAGCAGCAGAGGAGGCAGAGGCCCTCCAGTGGGTAGTGGGGACCGAAGTGGAAATCATCAACCAACAATTAGCAGATTTTAAAGTAAGTCTGAACCTTGTTTTTCTTTTTCTTTTACATGTATTTATTTGCTTGTAACTTGGAAACCAGTCAAGTATACATTTTAACTTCTGTCCCTAGTTTTATTATTGTCACTTCCATCACCATGAAAGCACACTGTCTGAAGACTAAATAGTCTCTCGGACTTCTGAGCAAACTGGTTTGAGCATTTTTCTTTTTCTTTTTCTTCTTCTTCTTCTTTTTTTTTTTTTTTTTTTTTTTTGAGACAGGGTCTCTCTCTCTCACCCAGGCTGGAGTGCAGTGGTGCGATCTCGGCTCACTGCAGACTCGACCTCATAGGCTCAAGCGATCCTCCCACTTCAGTCTCCCAAGGAGCTGGGACCACAGGCGCCACCATACCCGGCTAATTTTTTGTATTTTTTGTAGAGACGAGGTTTCACCATGTCTCCCAGGCTGGTCTCAAACTCCTGAGCTCAGGCAATCCGCCCACCTCAGCCTACCAAAGTGTTGGGATTACAGGCATGAGCCATCACGCCCAGCCAGAGCATTTTTCTATTGTAGTTTATTTCAGTCTTTATAACCAATTAAGGATATAGAAAGAAATGTCCAAGTCTTATCTCTTACTCTAAGAATTTCCTTTTAGGATTTCTTGAGATTTCAGATTACCAGATTTTGTAATAGCAGTGAATGTATCTTCAGGTCTCTGGTTTTTGTGTGTTTTTTTTTTTTTTTTTTTTTTTTTGGAGACAGAGTCTTGCTCTGTAGCCCAGGTTGGAGTGCAGTGGGGCGATCTAGGCTCACTGAAACCTCCACCTCCGGGGTCCAAGTGATCCTCCTGCCTCAGCCTCCCAAGTAGCTGGGGTTACAGTCGCTCACCACCACGCCTGGTTAATTTTTATATTTTTAGTAGAGATGGGGTTTCACCATATTGGCCAGGCTGGTCTCGATCTCCTGACCTCAAGTGATCCACCCGCCCTAGCCTCCCAAAGTGCTGGGATTACAGGCATTAGTCACCGCACTCAGCCCCCTGTTTTTCAAATTGAGGTATGAAAAGCCGTAAGTTAAACATAGTCTCATCTTCCTAAAGGGTTTATTTTACATAGATTTTAGGGGAGGATATTGATGTATATTTGATATATTATGGAATAAAACATAAAATTATCATTAATTGTTAAGATAAAACATGACACTTCAAATAAATCTCCCATTTATATAGTAAGCAGCTTAATAATACATCCCAGACTCCTCAAGAGTACAAGTTCTTTGCCTATAGGAAAGAAGTTTGAGAAGTACTGCCTTAATTGCAAAAATACTTTAATTCTTTGCCTGAGCCAAAATCTCCATTCCTGAGATTGTGTGAGTATAAATTAAAGTAACAGGAGATGATTACATGACCCAAAAGTGTGGATTTACTGGGTTAGGAGCACATCTGTTGGATCTTGGTTCTCACTATATTAACCTGTTGCCCCTAGAGTTTTCCTTGTGGTAAATACGTAAAAGTCTCTCACTCTGCCACTGTACATGGAATAGATTTGGAAAGGATACTTTCAGCACTTTGTTTCCATCACTAGAGTTAATTATTCCTGCTTACACAGTTAACACTCCTGCCATTAAAGTAAAATTGTGATCTCAGAGACCCTGCTTGCCAGCGTTATTTATCTTAAAAACATGGATGCAGAGGTAATGTTGACACCAGCTCAGAGCCACGTAGTCCTAGAGACGTCACAGTTTTGTAGACAGGATCCAAGTGCAAAAATGTGGCTGTTTCAGAAGGGCCCCTCTAGGAGCTTGGGAGAAATTCAGCACTAAAGTGGGACATTGGCTGAAGGCCTTCTTACCATGTTTGGAGATAGTACAATTTTGAGCAAGAGGAGTCATCGTATTTGGGTTTCTTGAGGCACCCAGATAAGGAAAGGGTAGGTAGAGAAAACGTAAACCCGTGAAGCAGTGCATTCCTCTTAGAAACTTCCTTTCTAGTGGTAGTGTGGCCTTCCCTGTTTCAGCTTGCACATTTTTCTTTCCTCTTTTGTTATAAGTGTCTCAAAAGCAGAGACTTTCTTCTACAGGTATGCTTCAGTTATCCAATTTACTTGCATCCAGGCTATTTAGAATTAACCATCTAACCAACTCAATGAAATTTTTAGAAAACTGAAACTTATCCCTTTAGGCTCCAAAATAGTTTTGTTTTATCAGCCGGGTGCGGTGGCTCACGCCTGTAATCCCAGCACTTTGGGAGGCCGAGGCGGGTGGATCACGAGGTCAGGAGATCGAGACCATCCTGGCTAACACGGTGAAACCCTGTCTCTACTAAAAAAAAATACAAAAAATTAGCTGGGTATGGTGGCAGGCGCCTGTAGTCCCAGCTACTCGGGAGGCTGAGACAGGAGAATGGCATGAACCCAGGAGGTGGAGCTTGCAGTGAGCCAAGATGGCGCCACTGCACTCCAGCCTGGGTGACAGAGTGAGACTCCTTCTCAAAAAAAAAAAAACACACAAAATAGTTTCATCTAACCAGGTTCTGGTTTATATAGGAATTATTTTAAACTCAATTTGCCTAATTTTCTAAATATGTATTATGCATAAGTTTTTTTTAATGAGTGCAGGTTAACATTATTTAAATGGTTGTACTGTCTATACTATGGTGATATTCTCAAGGATGTGAGACACATTTGGAGCTGCTTTGTATTAAGTATTCCCAAATTACTGTGCACTTTGATTTCTATATTGAAGTTATTGTTTAGGGCCTCTATAGTATTATACTGGTTGGATTGGCTGTGCATGTGTGTGTGGAGAGGAGGAGGTAATTTTGGGATTTCTGCCCACCACCATGATATTGGTTATTATTTCCTACTGCTATCACTTTTCACTGCTGTCATTTGGTCTGTGTAGTCTATTCCTCCCTTCTAATCTTCACTGAGCTAGAAAATGAGATAAACAGGCCTGTTAAAATTGCATTAGATATGAGCTAAAATGTACAAAAGAGTCCACATGCAGGCATAAATAGTGTTTGGATTTGAGGACAAGTCATCTTTTCCTTTTCATTTAATCCTTGGTTTCTAGAGACATTCTGACTTTTGATGTTGCTGGAAGATTTCAAAAAATTACTGGGCATTACTTTATCTTATTTCTATCCTAGTATGTTGCCTAATAGTGCTCAGAGTTCAATAGCACTTAGTTGCTTGTCATAGCCAAATTCGTTTCACTGATTTCTAAAAATAAGCCTTCCACCTCAGATACTCTGGATGTGAAGGCTGGGACTGGACACTGATCGGCTGGGCTCTTGCAGAGTGTGTTCATCAACAGTGGACTGGTGTTGACAAGGCAAGCCTGGAAGAAGAGTGGGAGAAGGGAGAAGGGTGGTGGAGTGTCCTGTGTGTAGTCCATTGTCAAGTCAGTAGGTAGTTACCATAAAATGATCAGTATCCACCCTCAAGTTGGGGATGCAAATCAAAAGCCCTGTTCCACCTGTCCACCTTGTAGGGAAGTCAAAAGCTTTGGAAAGAGTTTTTGCCTTCTCCCAGCAAAAATCTTTGGTCAGGAGGGGAGGAGCATATTCTTGGCTGAACTCATGCTGAGCTCATCGGAAGTGAAAACAATGAGAGGAGAAAAATTCTGTGTGTCAGTTCCATAGTCCCCAGGAGGCCGCATAAAGGGAAGGTCTTTTTGGACCCATTCTGAGGACTGAGTCATTTTCATGATTTGAGTGTGGAGTTCCTGGGTTAATGTATTATAGTCCAGCCATAGATTAATCTTTCCTTACTCCAGCAGCAGACCAGATTTATAAAGTATGACTCTGTTTTCAGATTCAAATTATTTTTAATAAGGTAAAAACAAAGATGAAGATAAATATTTTTAAAAACAGCATTAGCTGTAAGTTTTCAGCTCTTTTTTTAATGGAATCATACTTTTAGCACAGAATCTGCACAAGAGAAGAGGATATGAATCTGGGAGACGGAAACTCTGCTTTAACCCAGCTAACTCCATGGGAGCTAGAATAGACAGATGAGTTAGGCCTGTGAAGAACCCCCCAGTCTTACTTGGGACTGTACAGTCTTGCTGATAGATCCATGGATCTGCAGTCTGTGGGGAAAATTATTTCTTCCTTAAATGAATGTGGAATACTAAAATACATTATTCCTAGGAAAGGCTTTCCCTCAGTTGCTTCTGAATGATTAGTAGGTCCTCACTGGCAGACCAGATTCTATCACATGGGAGTGGAAGAGAGTTCCTTTCCACTCAAACCAGGCAGAGATCTCAGGCTTCCTGAGTTAGGATCTTTACCAGGTTCAGCTCTCTGTTGGAAGTAGAAAGGAAGAAGCCATTCTAGAAATCACTAATGAGAGGATTGAGCTTGTTTTCAGAAAGCTGGAAAGAAAAGACTTTGGCAAATCTCTTCAGGAAATTCCGTTTTCCTGAACAAGGGAGTCTGGTTATTGAGGAAAAGGAATTGTATGTGTCTAACAGGAGGCTAACAAGAAAGGAAGGACGTTTTTATCACTGAAACTTGAGCCAAAGAATTCCCCTAGAGTGACCTTCCTGGGAAGGGTAAAAAAAAAAAAAAAATATATATATATATATATATATATATATGTTAAGTCTCTGATGATAACAAGAGATTTTCCTCATTTTGAAATTCCCTACGTAGGTTTTACTTGAACTGAGATCATTCTGAATCTTAAACCAACCCCTCCTTTGCCCCCTGCTCCCCGCAAGAACCATGTGACTTCTCACTCAGAAAGTATTTGATGGTTTGGGCATCATACTGGTGAGCATTATCAAGAAACCTGGATGCACCTTCATTCACTTGTTTTTCATATGTATTTATATTGTTGTGTATTTGGGTCATGCTTCAGACTTGGCATTCTACCTCTCAGTGATAAAATGAACAATGGGGCCAGGCACAGTGGCTCACACCTATAATCATAGCATTCTGGGAGGCTGATGTGGGCAGATCACTTGAGCCCAGGAGTTCGAGACCAGCCTGGGCAACAAAATGAGGCGGCCCTTCTATAAAAAATAAATAAATTAGCTAGGCATGACGGCACATGCTGTGGTCCCAGCTTACACAGGAGGCTGACGCAGGAGGATCACTTGATCCTAGGACGTTGACGCTGCAGTGAGCTGCGTCCATGCCACCGCAGTCCAGCGTGTAACAGAGTGAGACCCTGTCTCAAAAAAAAAAGAAAGAAAGACAGAGAGAGAGGGAGGGAGGGAGAGAGAGAGAGAGAGAGAAAGAAAGAGAGAAAGAAAAGAAAGGAAGGAAGGAAAGAAAAGAAAGAAAGAGAAAGAAAGAACGAACGAACGAACAATGGGAAAAATTGACTGACAGACCTCTTTAGGGTCTGCGAGTTTCTCATAGTGGTTCACTTCACCCAGTGGTGCATATAAAGCACCCAAACCAGTTGGTCTTTTCCTTTCTTGTCTTTGAGGCTGGGCTGCTGGGTTCTAATAGGTGCAGCATCAGGCTTCCTTAGGATTATTTTCATTCCTAATTCAGGTTGAGCAGAGCCCAGGATCAGGGTCTCAGTATACTTGAAGTTTCTACCGGGGGACCTAGGTATCCTACTATGAAAACAGAATAAGAAAGTCTTGTAAACGCCTTCATTTGATTGATTGATTGATTGATTGATTGATTGATTGATTTATTGCCACATAGAAAGCAAGCTTAGGCATCTTCATGTGCACATGAGAAAAGCCCTGGAAGAGGCTGGGGGCGGTGGCTCACGCCTGTAATCCCAGTACTTTGGAAGGCTGAGGTGGGTGGATCACCTGAGGTCAGGAGTTCGAGACGAGCCTGGCCAAGATGGTGAAACCCTGTATCTACTAAAAATACAAAAATTAGCTGGGCATGGTGGCACATGCCTGTAGTCTCAGCTGTTTGGGGAGGCTGAGGCAGGAGAATGGCTTGGACCTGGGAGGCAGAAGTTGCAGTGAGCCGAGATCGCACCACTGCACTCCAGCCTGGGTGTCAGAAAGAGACTCCGTCTCCAAAAAAAGAAAAAGAAAAGCCCTGGAAGACAGGGCCCAGCATGGAGTTGAAAGACTGCCAGTTTACTCCTTCCTTTCAAATGATTACAAGGACAGTATCAGCTCATGTACGTTTTTGGCAGTTAGTACACCTGCCTGAGAGTGAGTCACTGGAGGATAGAGCAAATGAGGTTAGCGTTATCTACCTGCCCTTGGAGAGACAGGAAATCACACTTGGTATGACCTGTCTGTCACCTGGAGGTTTAGGTTTCCCCAGCTTTACCAAGATGAGTGGGTATCCTCTATCCCTGCCAACCCCCACCTTGTGCTGACCCTTCCTTGGCCTGTCTTGGTTTTTTCCTTTCTTCCTTAAACAAAGCTACTCCAAATAGGAACTAGGGTCCAAGGAAATAAAGACAGTATCCTAAAATGGATTTCTCAATTTCGGCACTATTGACATTTTTTGGGGGTGGGTGGGGAGGAAAGGGGCAGCCACTCACGCCACCACCTCTGCCTGCCACTATCAACATTTTGGACTGGATAATTCTTTGTTGTGAGAAGCTGTCCTGTGCATTGTAGGCTGTTTAGCAGCATTTCTGACCTAGTAACTTCCCAGTTGTACAACTAAAAATGTCTCCCTGGAAGGCAGAATTACCCTCTGTTGAGAACTATAGCCCTGGAAGAAATTGCCACCTATACATGGGAAACTTAGAATTCAGGTGGAATAGGTTACTAGTTAAATATTTATGTAACAAGCAGCCTTCTGATAATCTGATTATGACTGTGTGTAGTGGCAACAACCACTTCTAAGTCAGCTTTCCTTTAAGCCAGGCTCTGGATTCTTTATTTTTGCTGGCCTTAATCTGTGTCTGGCTTAACACCTCCTGGTCACTTTCCCTGGCTGGAATTTACGTACAGTTGTCAGTTGTTGATGCAGGTGTTTGGTTGATGATGCATTGCCAAAGAGAAGAGGAACTTCCTTTGTGGACATACTTCAGGGAGCTTCCTTGTTCTGTGCCTTTAAGGGGAGACTACAGTCTCTCAGTTGTTCTCCACAGCCAACCAAGAGTTTGGCTGCTGATATTTATAACCCTTATGTGACCACCCCCACCTCCCCACCCCACAAAGAATTCCAATGCTCTGTAATAATCCTCTCCACCCCCACCATAGCAACTGGATGTGGAGAAGGTGAAGGAGCCTTTAAGGCCTTTAAGTTTGCTTCATGTTGAACCTTTTCCAGCTCCCTTTTAAAATATTGCCAGTTGTATTTTAAATATCAGTGTCACAAGCAAAATCCCAGGCTTGCAGCCACTGCATCATCTTAAAGGAGCCTCATGCCCCAGTGAAGGTAGTAAAATTGAATGGAAGGTAGTAAAATCATCAAGAAAGGATTGATAGATTTTACAAAAATCTGTCTGGAAATTTGATAGCAAGGTGAGATTTTAAAGCAACAAACAGGCTAGGCGCAGTGGCTCATGCCTGTAATCCCAGCATTTTGGGAGGCTGAGGCAGGTGGATCACGCTGTCAGGAGATCGAGACCATTCTGGCCAACATGGTGAAACCCCATCTTAGCCGGGCATGGTGGCATGCGCCTGTAGTCCCAGCTACACAGGAGGCTGAGGCAGGAGAATCGCTTGAACCCAGGAGGTGGAGGTTGCAGTGAGCCGACATCGCGCCACTGCACTCCAACCTGGGTGACAGAGCGAGACTCCATCTCAAAAAAAAAAAAAAAAGCAACAAACAAATATATCTGTAACCAAAGAAAAGGACTGAGCAGTTGGATTTGAGTTTACTAAAATTCTTCACATACAGTATCAGTATGTAGCATTCACAACTAAGATTTATCATTTGTATAAGAAGGAAGAAATATATTTCCAGAAAAACTAGAATGTATCCTGTGCAGAACTTGTATGTATTGATCGTTTAGTAGTTGATTAGTAAACATGGTTAAGATAAGCACAGACTTGCAGAAAAGGACTGATCCTCACTGTGCCTAGAAATGAATGGTAAATGGTCTCAGCCTTAGGCTGGTTCTGGAGCTTCAGAAAAATATCCTGGGCACTTTCAAGCTCGCTAATAAGCTATGAGCTTCTAGGAAGTACGATGAGTTTCTTTGAAGGGCCGTTTATTGTTAGAGTTGCTGGTTTACTAGGAATAAAATGACTTCCACAGGGAGTTGTGTCAGGTCACTGCACCAAACCATCACTGTAAAGGGCTGTCTCCTGCTGAATGGATTCTTCACAAGTCTCAGCTGTCCCAGTTGGAAAAACCCAGCTATGGGTAGAATGTGCACCCTCCCTACTTTGCCACCACTAAGTGCTTTTCAACTACGAGTCTCTCTTATTGACTATAGAAGGTTAATGGAATACACTTACTCTCTAGGACGTCATAAACTATTTTTCTACCACCAGTCATGTCATTTGAAATATGGATCTTTGCTACACATGGTGATGGTTCATGGATGGAGGTTAAAAGGAAGTGATTCCATATTCCTTTTAACCCATCCTTACTGGGCAGTTGCTCTGTGCTAGTCCTTGTGGTGGGTACTGGAGTCTCAGATAGTCTCTAGTTAACAGTGTACAGATGTGCCTTGACTTACAGTGAAATTATGTCTGGAAAAACCCATCATAACTCGAAACTATTGTAAGTCAGAAATGCATTTAATGTACCTACTGACAGCCGGGTATGGTGGCTCATGCCTGTCATCTCAGCACTTTGGGAGGCCGAGGTGGGTGGATCACCTGAGGTCAGAAGTTCAAGACCAGCCTGGTCAACATGGTGAAACCCGGTCTCTACTAAATATACAAAAATTAGCCGGGCGTGGTGGCGAGCGCCTGTAATCCCAGCTACTCAGGAGGCTGAGGCAGGAGAATTGCTTGAACCCGGGAGGCAGAGGTTGCAGTGAGCTGAGATCATGCCATTGCGCTCCAGCCTGGGCAACGAGCGAAACTTCGTTCCAAAAAAAAAAAAAAGTAGCTACTGACCATCATAGCTCAGCTTAGCCTACCTTAAACATACTCAGACACTTACATTAGCCTACAGTTAGGCAAAATCATCTATCAGAAAGCCTATTTTATAATAAAGTGCTGACTCGCTCATGTAATTTATTGAATATTGTACTGAAATAGAGAAACTGAATGATTGGGTACTTGAAGTATGGTTTCTACTGAATGCATATCACTTTCACCATCATAAAGTTGAAAAATCTTCAGTTGAACCATTGTTAAGTCAGAGACCATCTATAGTAAGGGAAACAGATACAGAGAATTACAGTGGTACTGATGTAGTGGTAAATGCAGTAAGAAAGATCTGAGTCTAAATGATCTCTGAAAAAAACTCTAAATCAGACATTTAAAATCCTATTTTGCAGATAAGAAAACTTAAGACTTGAAGAGGTTAAAATAACTTGTTCGAGCCACATAGCAAGTAAATATTAGAGTTGGGATTGGGAAGGTCTGTTTGGCACCAAAGTTTATGCTACACCAGTGGTTGTCAACCAAGCATAGCTTTGCAGAGACTCCCACTCCCCGCCACTCCTTTTTTTTTTTTTTTTTTTAAACAGTTTCACTCCCATCACCCAGGCTAGAGTGCAGTGGCACAATCATGGCTCACTGCAGCCTCGACCTCCCAGTCTCAAGTGATCCTCCTGCCTCAGCCCCACAAGTAGCTGGAATTACAGGTGCATGCTGCCATTCCTGGCTAATTTTTGTATTTTTTGTAGAGATAGAGTTTCACCATGTTGCCAAGGCCGGCCTTGAACTCCTGAGCTCAAATGATCTGCCTACCTCAGCCTCTCAGAGTGCTGGTATTACAGGAATGAGCCACAGTGCCTGGCCCAGAGACATTTTTTATTGTTATGACTGGAAAAGCTGCTACTGGCATCTAGTAAGTGCTGCGAAACAACCTACAATACACAGGATGACGGCCCCTTACAATGAAAGAATTATTCAGCTTACTTCTAGAAAGCTAGGGAATTTGATTTTTGCCATCTTCAGATCCCATGACAAGTAAGAGTTAACTGATTAAATAGTTCCACTCGCTGGGGGTGCTTCTGTGGTTTTCCTCTCCTTTTAAGAAAATTAGTTAAGAAATAGTGTTGCTTCCGGGAGTGACTTACACAGATAGAGTCAGGATCTTGGGGAACTAATCTGAGTCAGCGACTGAAGAATTTTCTCTATGCCTGACCAGTCCCCACCCCACACTGCCACAAGGCTCCTGCTGTGGAAATCAATCAGCTGTGTATCTCAGGCTGCTTCCTGTAGGGTGTGTTATGGAATGGCATCAGCCCTTGCACCAGCTGGGAGTACTGATCTCAGTGTGATTTTATCAGACTATGTTTCTTTTGAGCCTTACTGTTTGGAACAAAGGACCCTCTGTTAAGAATGCAGAGAGCTGGTGTGATTGGATAGCTAGCATATACATACATGGTTCCTATGGGAAAAAAACAGACATAAATTATGCTATAGCCCTCTAAAATTTTCATCTCCAAAATGATTTCCTGACCTTCTGTCTGTATTCACAGTTCTTTCTGTAAGTGCTTATCCTTCCCCCAAAGCAATTCGAAGGCCATCTGATCTGATAAATGGTTGTATCCTTCAGAACTAGCCTATTTCTGTGTCTCCAGTCTTGGATGTATTTGATCCCCACTATCTTTCCAGTGTTATTTCCTATATAGACCATACACTACATCCAGTTACCCCAGACACTCCTTATACATTTTAGGTATTTGATTTCTGAAGTCATAGCTCAAGTCCACTTCTTTATAAAGCTTTTTTTTTTTTTTTTTTTTTGAGATGGATTCTGGCTCTGTCACCCAGGCTGGAGTGCAGTGGTGCGATCTCGGCTCACTGCAATTTCTGACTCCCAGGTTCAAGCGATTCTCTTGCCTCAGCCTCCCAAGTATCTGGGATTACAGGCACGCACCATCTTGCCTGGCTAATTTTTTTGTATTTTTAGTAGAGACAGGGTTTCGCCACGTTGGCCAGGCTGGTCTCGAACTCCTGACCTCAGGTGATCCACCCACCTCGGCCTCCCAAAGTGCTGGGATTATAGGCGTGAGCCACCATGCCCGGCCTTATAAAGGCTTTTGATCTCCCCAGCTCACTACTCCTGATCTCTTAATCATTTACAATGTATAACTCACTTGGCTTTTATCACATACCACCTAATTTTGACATTTTCTGATTATATCCATTTGTCCTATCCCCTCAGTTAATTCACTTTTGTGTCCCTTAATGTAGTTAGCATATTGGTATATACACAGTTGGAGATGAGACAATATTTGACTGACTGGATGAACATTCTTTATTTCTCATAAGCCATGTGAGCTCTAGGATTCAAAATGCTATCTACTCTGCAAGACTTGAGGTATATATCCTTGTGTGTCCTGAAGAAATTCTAATCTTAGCCTGATTTCCTCAGTTCTCCATCTTTCTTCTGGGCTTCCTTCCTTCTCTGCTAGTTAGTATATGTTAAGGGAACACAATCTTTTTTCAGTATAAGAGGGCAAAACTAAGAAAGAAATGTGCTACTTCTTATGCACAGAGTCATTGCTACTTACTCAATTAGTTGACAGTTTGGTGTAGTGAAAAAAACTGAATACAAGTTCTAGTCAGAAGTATCCAGGTTTGAATCCTGGCTCTATCATTTACTAGCTGAGTGACCTTCAGGGAAATTACTTAACCTCTCTGAATCTTACTTACTTTAACTGTAAAATACAAATATTGGTAAATCATACCTTTAGGATTTTTATGAAAATTAAATGAAGTGATATATCTAAAAGTATTAGGCTTATATTTGGTGCTCAGCTCACTAGATGATAATATGCTTTTTTTTAAAAAGAAGCTTATCTAGACATATAAATTAGAATATTGTGAAATCTTTTTTTTTTTCATTTTTTGTTTGTTTGTTTGTTTGTTTTTGAGACAGGGTCTCACTTTGTCAATCAAGCCTGAAGTGCAGTGGCATGATCATGGCTCACTGCAGCCTCAACCTCCTAGGCTCAAGCGATCCTCCTGCCTCAGCCCCTACAAGTAGCTGGGATTACAGGCATGCACCACCACACCCAGCTAATTTTTGTATCTTTTGTAGAGATGGGGTTTTACCACGTTGCCCAGGCTAGTCTTGAACTCCTGAGCTCAAGTGATCCGCCCACCTCAGCCTCCCAAAATGCTGGGGTTATAAACATGAGCCATTGTATCAAGCCTGTGAAATCTTTTTAATAAGAACAGTTACCCCTCTTTGTGCCTAGGGATCATCATTCTCCAGAAGACTTGATCTAAGGCCCAGCACCAGATTATTTTCTTCTTGAAAATTGGAAAAATGGAAATTATGAGGATAAAGTAAAATTAGTTTGATAACAATGAAACAAGTGGATGGATAGAGAGCCTTCCTGAGCAGTTTTTGTGGGAACAATAGGGCTTATTTCTAGCCCTAGAGTGGGAATAATAGGCAAGTTTAGGTCATGATTCAACACAGCTTAAAATATATTTTATGTACACATACATATACATACATATTTATTTATTCATTAATTCATTTATGCATTTCTATCAGAATCCTACAACCAGCAGGTTTTTCTGAGACCATTTTGGCCTTGGCTTGTATGCTCTACAAATTCATATTATTTTCAAATCATTAACCAGAATTAACCAGAAGACATTACCAGCTCAGTGACTTCCCCAGCCACTCAGTTGCCCATTAGATCAGCTCTAATGATCTCAGGGATTTTGGCCTAATTAGCTTTTATCATAGACCATGTTATCTTCCTCTGTTACCGTACAATGGCAACTACTAAGTCAGCATCTTTAGGAAAGACATCTCTTAATATTAATCAATCTTTAATTAAAACATTGAGGGCTGAGCCAAAAAATATCGGCAGAGTTTCAGAAGCAAGCAGCTTAAAATACAGATATAATTCATCTGTCTGCCAATCTCATACCAGATTGAGATGTTTTACAGAAAGTCTTTAATTCTTTACAGTTTCAGCAAATATGTGTTTTTAATGTTTTTAACATTTGGTCATGTGTATATATGAGTCAAGGAAAGAAGATAATTCAAAGAAATTATATGTGCCTTAGATTTTCTCCATCTTGAATTAATTGTATTTATCAAGTGAACCATTTAATATCTCTGTCATCTTGCAATTCATTCCCAAAGGATAAGCTCTGGTTTTGGTCTAATTCTTTAAATTCATACCTAAGCTGTTTGTTTCTTTGTCATCAATGATAAGAATTTTCCTTAGTAACGAAATGAAAGAGATGGTTTTTAGAAATCTCTTCTCTCTGTATTATTTATTCTGCCTTCTTTTCTAATATTGAGGAGCAGGGGCTGGACGCAGTGGCTCACGCCCGTAATCCCAGCACTTTGGGAGGCCAAGGCAGGCAGATCACTTGAGGTCAGGAGTTCAAAACTAGCCTGGCCAACATGGTAAAACCCCGTCTCTACTAAAAATACAAAAATTAGCCAGGCTTGGTGGTGGGTGCCTATAATTCCAGCTACATAGGAGGCTGAGGCAGGAGAATCGCTTGAACCTGGGAGGTAGAGGTTGCAGTGAGCCAAGATCGCACCATTGCACTCCACCTGGGTGACAGAGTGAGACTGTGTCTCAAAAAAGAGGGGGTGATTCAACCCAGAGACCTCTTTCATGGAAATAACCAAGCAATTTTGTGATGATCATGCCACTCTGGAACTGGAAAGACTACTCTCAGTTAGTCCCAGGGGGAGGCCCACATCATCACTTTCTCAGGGAAACCTACCCTGAGCTTCCAGGCCAGGTTGAGGCCCATGACCCATGTTCTCATAGCACGGTGTGCTTTCCTTAGTGCCTGGGATAGTTTAGAGCACATAGTAGATACCAATAAATATTTGGTGAATGGATGAAAAGAAGAGAATCAACGATATAACCTTGTGAAATTAGTTGCCTCAAGAGGAGAGGAAGAGGAATCCAAGGAGACAAAGAAGGACTGGCTAGAAAGATAGCACCAGGGTACCACAGTGTCATGGAAGTCAAAAGAACACAGTCTCAAGAAGAAGGGAGGATCCATACTTATTTCTCACCACTGCTTATCCTTAACCCCCTCTAATCTGATCCAACACCCATCACTGTGCTGAAACTGCTCTCTTAGATATTCATTGGCTTCCTAGTTGCCAAGTCTAGTGGCCTTGTCTGCCTCACTATTCCCCTCTTTCATTGTACAGCATTTAATATCAGATCTTCTTTCTTGAAAGTTAATTTACTTTCTGGACATTGTGCTCTTCCGTTCTCTTCTCTGGCTGCTCTTCTGCTTTCCTTTTTGGTTTGTCTTCCTATCTCCTAAATATGTGGTTCCTTAAACTCTGTCATCTGTCTCTTCTCTTCTCTCTGCACTCAACCTCTGAGATGGCAGCTCCTCACTGTTCTATGGGGAAAGGCTTCCAAATCTATCTTTCTCTCTCTTTTGTTTTTTTTGTTTGGTTTGGTTTTTTTTTTGTTTGGTTGTTTTGTTTTGTTTTGTTTTGTTTTGTTTTGTTTTGAGATGGAGTCTCGCTCTGTCTCCCAGGCTGGAGTGCAGTGGGTGCGATCTTGGCTCACTGCAGTCTCCACCTCCCAAGTTCAAGTGGTTCTCCTGCCTCAGCCTCCCAAGTAGCTGGGACTACAGGTGCATGCCACCACACATGGCTAATTTTTGTATTTTTAGTAGAGACGGGGTTTCGCCATGTTGGCCAGGCTGGTCTCAAACTCCTGACCTCAGGTGATCTGCCTGTCTCGGCCTCCCAAAGTGCTGGGATTACAGGTGTGAGCCACCACGCCTGGCCCAAATCTATATCTCTATCCCAGCATTGAATCTTTTGTGTGAGGGGCCCTTCTAGACACCTTCACATGGGTCGTTTTTTAGTATTTCACATACAGAATGCTCTAAGATAAATGAATTCAAATATTTTATTCTTTCCTGCTGTTGTTTTATAATAAGTACTACTATGCCCCTAGTAACCTAAGAGTAACACTATATGGCATTATCTTTGTTTTTTTCCCTCTAACCTCTACCTTCTCTCTGGTCAGTTGTGAAGCCCAAATATTCTTCCTCTGCAATTACTTTCACAGCCCTCTTCCTCATTTTTACTAGGTGTATTATTCTGAACAAGTATGCTTGCCACCCTAAGTTTCATTTATAAAGATTTAGATTTTTTAAATGAGATAATAATAAGTGACAGTTGAGTGAGCATCCCGTCCCAAAGTCCTCATTTAAAAATTTTTGGGCGGGGGGGCCGGGCTTCGTGGCTCATGCCTGTAATCCTGGCACTTTGGGAGGCCGAGGCGGGCAGATCACCTGAGGTCAGGAGTTCGAAACCAGCCTGGCCAACATGGCGAAACCCCATCTCTACTAAAAATAGAAAAATTAGCCAGGTGTGGTGGTGTGTGCCTGTAATCTCAGCTACTTGGGAAGCTGAGGCAGGAGAATCGCTTGAACTTGAGAGGCAGAGGTTGCAATGAGCGAGATCGTGCCACTGCATTCCAGCCTGGCAACAGAGTGAGACTCTGCCTCAAAAAAATAAATAAATAAGTAAGTAAATAAATAAATAAATAAATAAATAAATAAATAAAATGAAATAGAATAAAACGGTTTTTTTTTGCTGGGCATGGTGGCTCATGCTGTAAGCCCAGTTGGGAGGCTTAGGCAGGTGCATCACTTAAGCTCAGACAACATGGTAAAACCCCATCTCTACTAAAAATACAAAAATTAGCTGGGCATGGTGGTGCACACCTGTCATCCCAGCTACTTGGGAGGCTGAGGCAGGAGAATCACTTAAACCTGGGAGGTGGAGGTTGCAGTGAACCGAGATCGTGTCACTGCACCCCAGCCTGGGTGACAATGTGAGACCCTGTCTGGAAAAAAAAAAAAATTAACAACAACAACAAAAAAATTTGGAGACAGGATCTCACTCTGTCGCCAGGCTAGAGTGCAATGACACAATTACAGCTCATTGTAACCTTGAACTCCTGGGCTGAACGATTTTCTCAGCTCAACCTCCCAAGTAGCTAGGACTACAGATGCACATGCCTGGCCAATTTTTTAACTTTTTGTAGAGACGAGTGTCTTGCAATGTTGCTTCGGCTAGTCTTGAACTCCTGGCCTCAAGGGATACCCCTGCCTCAGCTTCTCAAAGTATTGGAATTACAGGTGTGAGCCATTGAGCCCAGCCAGAATTTGCTTCTTTAGAGTCCTGCCTTCAGCTCTCTACTTAGAAATATTTGTCTTTGCCATCTCTGTATATCTGAAATCCTAATGAGTAAATGTGATTCCCTCCATAAAGCCTTCTCTGATACCTCCTGCCTTCCTTCTTCCCACCCTTCTGTCAGGTCTTTTCTAACTTGCAAAGCCCCATGATTTTGTCATCACCATGGTTTTGGTGACCATTAGTCTAAAAAGAGGGATTAATACACTGTCTTTTGGAAAGTCTACAGGCAGGAAAGGGCTTACAGGGGTCATGAGAGTTCCTGCAGAGTGTGTGGAAAGTTTTCTCATGGGTTCACGAGTACATGAGAGCTCAAATAGCATCAAAATCCTTAGTATCCCACTTAAAGCAAACTTCGTGTCATGCTATGTTGCTTTATGAGCCACTCCGTAGCCATGTTTATAATAATAAAAGTACCAAAGGATGGCAGTGACTGATGCCCAACAGGTACAGACTAATACTGTGGAGTTTCTACTTGCTACTAAATAATGCTTGTAAAATCTAAAGATCCTAAGATGAAAGGCATTGTGTAGATTTAAAATGAGCAAGATCCAACCAGTCCTCTGTATCCTCTTCTACTCAGAATTAGTCTTCCAAGAGAGAGCACCCATCAAGGTGGGTGATAAGGCATCATAGAATCTAGGGAAGTGTGAATCTGGGGTCTCCAGATTGTCCCAGAGGGCTGGCATTTTAGGTCTGGAGCAGACAAGGGCAGGATGCCAGGTCCAAAACTTGGAAAGGGAGCTATGTTAGGGTGTGAGGAGACTCCACCCGGCTGTCTTTCATTAGGAAGACTGCAGGAAGGAGCTGGAAGGGCCAGGATTTTTCTTTCTTCTAAGTTCACTGAAGGAAAATCTAACACCAAATTCTGTACTTGGGAATTTCAAAATGAGTAGAGAATTCTTTGAACTCTGTAATCAATTAACCGGAAACTCATTTGAAATTTGGCTTCAGTGCATATGTTTGTGGTTACAGGGGTGGGGGAAATATCTGAAGAGGGTCTCTGGAGCTCCCTGTATTTCTCTTTTAAAAAGTTTATACACAGCATGTGAAATGAACAGATGCTTTTTTTTTTTTGTAGCTATCAGGGCAACAAGAGGTGGAAAGCTGTATCAGGTATTTATTTCAGTCCCTGAGATGGCTATTGGCAGAGTTTCACATACCTAAACTAAGGAGAAACTCATGAACAGATAAAAATTAAGACATGGAGGAGAACTTGTGCTTCCTCTCTTGATTTATTTCTAAACACATACTGATGATTTTTTAAAAAGAGCAAAGCACTCAGAAAGTATTCTTTGGCTTTGGGTTCTGGGGTTTTTTTGGAGGTGCGGTGGGAGGATTAGATTACTATATGTAATTTCTCTTTAGGTTGTATTTAAATTTGTTTTCCTAACACCCTAATTAGAGAGAGTGTGACTGCAGATAATAAGTAATTCGAATCTGAATTTCATAGTCGTAGGAATGCTCCATTTATTTATTTATATGGATCACTGATGAGAGTAGTAAGAATATTGGTAGATAGACATGGGAGGGAATTATTTAAGAAAAGTCTGGATTGGTTGATACCTGACTTGGTGAGGAAACAGTAAAGGAATTTCTGTTCATGAAGTTTGTGATTCCACATCAAGATAATTCTTTATGGCTGGGAACAGTAGCTACGCCTGTAATCCCAGCACTTTGGGAGGCTGAGGTGAGTGGATCACCTGAGGTCAGGTCACCAGCCTGGCCAACAAGGGGTGAAACCCATCTCTACTAAAAATACAAAAAATTAACTGGGTGCGGTGGCGCATGCCTGTAATCCCAGCTATTGGGGAGGCTGAGGCAGGAGAATCGCTTGAACCCAGGAGGCAAAGATTGCAGTGAGCCAAGATTGCGCCACTGCACTCCAGTCTAGGCGACAGAGTGAGACAGAGTCTCACTCAAAAAAAAAAAAAAAAAAAACATTCTTTATAATAGAATAACCACCCATGTTTCATCCAGAGCCAGAATTCCTCAGATTCTTCCAACCAGAGGGGCCCTGGCATGCTAAACAGTCTGTTATGATATCTGAACACTTAAGTGAATGTATTTGGCCAGGGATATTTGCTAGTAAAATTGATCTTTCCTTCCCTGAGTTTTTCCAGTTGTGCTGAATAATTAAAGGAAAATTAAAACCTGGATTCCCTAAACTGTTAAGTATCAGATCTGTAAGCTGTCAGTCCTTAGGATTACAGTGTATCAGAGTTAGAAAGGACTTTAAAATTCATCTGAACAAACTGCAGAAGATTTGTAAATCTGTTTTCCCAAATCTCTGCCAAGTGATTGCTTGAATTTCTGCTCAAACACCTCCAGGGTCAGGAAAGTCACCAGTTTAGGGGACACTCTATTCTTTGAATAGCTGTGAGAAGCTCTTTGTTGGTTTTAAATCTCACATCTTAGTGTGCCAGCTTAAGGAGATACCCAGAACAAGTTTCCTTCCTCCCACGTCTCAGCCCTTCAGATACTTCATGCTAATTACATCTCCTAGAACTTTCTCTAGGTCAGACATTATTGGGTCTTGCACTGTTTGTTCTTCATAGGACAGGGTTTCTAGTGTCTTGGCAGTATACGACCAAGAGGACACAGGATTCTGGGGCAGTGCCTTTAAAAGTTTTAGAACTAAAAAATATTAAAACTAGAAAGGGTGTCAAGACACAACCTAGTCGGCCTCCCCACCCCTTTCAGTTTACAGATGGGCAGAGTCTTTTGGATTTGAGTGGGTAGAATTGATCAGCAGCCGTTGTTGAAGTGAGAAATGAAGTGTAAAGCATTTTACCAGAGAAAGGTCTTTTAGTTGCCTAATTCCGATTACAGGCTTCAGCGCACTTCTCATTTTTGCCAAGGACCAGTCTGATTCCCTAAGTAAGCCTAAGGCTCAGCTCAAGGTTTCAGTGCCAGATCTTCATACACCAGGTGTTGGTTTCACTTACTGTTTGTGTAAAGGATAGAAATAACTTTTCCATAAGTTTTGCGGTATATATTGACCACATGGTCCGACAGAGATTCCGAATTTTAATAGATGTTTTTTTCCTTCATAAAATCAGAGAATGGCCATCACAAATAGAACAGAGTATTGGACCCGTTCAGAGATGCAGCTGCCTCTGGTGGACAGTTTCCTGGGTTGCCCTTTGTACTTTCTTTGTTTAACAGTCACCAGGTGACCAAGTGGCTTTTCTAAAAGCCAAAGGCCGTGGACGACGGGATTGTGAGCGACTTTTCTCTAGTGTTTTCTATTTGAGATTTGAAATACCCATGCTTTTCATCTGGTCCAAGGAGGCTCAGGTTTCCTTGGCTGTGCGCAACTATAAAGGACCCAGGTGTTTGGTCGTAGGGCTCAGCTGTTGGCATCCCCACCTCCCCCAACACCCCATTTTCTTCCGTCATTGATACCACTCAGGTCTGTGAGCAGAGAAATCCTGGTGGGAGAATTGACCAGGACTTGATATACTTGAGAAGGGGGAGAGGGAAGGTAGAATGTGCCTAGAGTTATCCAATAACTTTGGTCTCTGAGCGTGACCGAATTCCTTTGGGACACCGGGAAAGTGCCGGGTTTAAGGCTGGAGTGTTCTTCGGTCCGGCAAGGGGCGCGCTAAAGGTGACACTGGAAGGAGCAGGGACAGCCTTTGGCGGCAGAGATGGAGCCGAGAGCGATGCAGGCGGCCTACCCCAGCCGGCGCGACCTGCCGGCACACGGGAACTCGAGTGGCCGTCGCCAGAGCCGGCTAGCTGGGGGAGCGCGGGCGCCCTTTCTGGATTCGTTCGCCTTTGGGCTGGGCTCGGAGCCGGGCCGGTTGGAGCGAGACAGGGGCGGGAGGGGCCGGGCCAGCGGGAGGAGGGCGGGGCTTTCCTTTGTCAGGGGATTTGCGCCGCGCAGCCCAGACTCGCGCGGGTTCCGTTCCTCTCCTTGCGCCCTCTCCGGGGGCGGGGCGTTCCCCTCTGGCCCCGGGGCGCGGTGGGCGTGGGCTGCGGGAGCCGAACGGCTGGCGTCCCGGGTCTCTCGCTCCGAATCCCGCAGAAGCCCCTCCTTCGGCGCCTCAGCCTCCAATCCTCTCCACCGCTCCCTCCACTCTCGGAGTCGCTCCTCTCCCCGGCCCCGCCCCCGCCGGGCCCCGCCCCCGCCCTCGTCCTCCTTCCTGTGCTCTCCGCGTCGCGCGCTCCCTGGCTTCCAGGGGGCTGCCCGGGCGGGGCGGCGCAGCGCGGCGGCGCGGGGAAGGGGGAGGAGAGCCGCCCGCCAGCCGAGCACTTCCAGCGAGCTAGCGAGCTAGCGGGTCGCGCTGCGCGGGGGAGGAGGACTCGCCCCCCGCCCGACCCTAGCGGAGCCTTTTGTTCCCAGCCAGAAGTTTGCATGCCGGGACCGTGACAGCTGCGGGCGGGGAGGACGGCGGGGCCGCGGGGCCAGCGGCGTGGTGGAGAATAGAGGCGGCTGCTTGTCATGCAGCCCACGGCGTGGCGGCTGCGGGCCGGGGACTGGCGGCGGCGGGCGAGGCGGCGCCCACAGCACTCGGGACTCAGCTGCCGGAGGGACAAACTAACTTCCTGAGCGCGGGACCTGAGGCTGGCGCGGCCGGGAGCCACCTGCAGCCTGCGGTGAGGCGACCCTGGCCCTCGGGGCGCGCGGCATGGCGCGGGGAAGCGGGCCGTGCTGAGCGAGCCCCTCCGACAGACCCGCGGCCGCTGCTGCTGCCCGCCCGCCCGCCTGCCTTTCCGAAGGCCTGGCGCGGGGCTCCGCTCGCCTTGTTTTGCAGCTACAGCGCAGGGTTGGCCTGGGAGCCACAACAATGCCATGATGTTTTGGAGACAGGAAGCCCCAAGCTGGCCCCGAATGAAGGACTTCCTGTGTTTAAAGTTGCAGGAATATCCGCCGACCAGCCCAGTTCAAATGCAAACACCCCAGCTAGGGAGGACGAATGGCTAATTCAGACCAGCTGGACTCTCCAGGGCTGGAACTGAGGATAAAATGAAAGGAATTCTTAGGAGCTTGGGCCATACTTGAAGACTAGAGAGGCTGTGCCATTGTTATTAAAGGATACAATCGGCATAAATTTGCTGCTCCCAACTCTGCTTCGGTGAGAAGTGAGTGGAACTAGATATCGAAAAAGACTCGTCAATATCAGATGATTTTTGTTGACTGTATTTGAAAGAGCAGTGCTCTTAAAAAAAATTAAACCATAAGCCATACAAGGAATTATTTTAAATTATATCGTCTGTCAACCATGAGGCTGCTAGCCTGTGAGGAAAAAGCTGTTTGTCTTAGAGCTTCTCCCAGAATGGTTTCAAAACGGAACTTCCAGGCCTTTCTGGAGGGCAGATGCAATTGGTGGTTTGGGGTATGAACAGCTAAAAGGATTTATAACTTATGTAGAATGCATTTGGGGGGAACCTGTGAAAAATACTTTTGAAAGATTGATGGTTCATCTTGATTGAAAAAGGATGGGTAAGCCACTCAGCAGACCAGACTGTTTAAGGCGGAACCCCAGCTGCCTGGGGAAAGGAGAGGAGGAGGATGGCTACATAGAGGACTGCTATGTTCCACAACGGTCTATATATGATACGATGAGGATAAATGAGCAAATTGACCAGGGGTCAAAGCTTAACCAGACTTCAAAAAGCACCATGGAAAAGATGGAAGGAAGTACTATATCCAGCAATGGTACATTAGGAGCAGCATCTAATGTTTTTGAATCTAGAGCACCAGAAGGTAAGAAGCTGGATGAGAGGATAATATTTGATGCACTAAAGCTAAGCAGTGATGTGCAGAAGTCAGCACCTGTGCCACCCAGAAGGCGGCCAAATGCAGAACGCAAAGACAATGTTAACAGGAGATCGTGGAAGTCCTTCATGCCACCCAACTTCCCAGAATTTGCAGAGAGGATAGAAGCTTCTCTCAGTGAGGTTTCAGAAGCTGGTGCTTCAAATCCTTCCTTGCAAGAGAAGAAGGAGTCCAGTTCTGCATTAACAGAAAGTTCTGGTCATTTGGACCACAGGGAACCTCAGTCAGAGTCAGTAACTCTGGAACATGTGTCCAAATCCATAGGTATTCCAGAGGTGCAAGATTTTAAAAACTTAAGTGGAGACTGCCAGGACTTTAGATTTCAGCAGCACAGTGCAAACCCTCCTCATGAATTCCAGCCTGTAGAATCAGAAGCTGTAGCAACAAGTGGTAACACAGATGTAATGCAGGAATCCAGATTCTCAAGTGCAACCTGGCCGAGGGCCACAAAAAGTTTAGCTAAGGGAGGCTTCAGTGAGAAGCAGCACCCCCTTGGGGACACAGCCTGCACTGTGGAAATGCCACCTCTCTCCCCTTGCCTGAGTGAAGAGCTGTTAGATCCAGAATTGCATGTTCTCATAACCCCCAGCCTGAGAGAGAAAACAGAGTCTGAGCTAAAGTTTGAGGAGGATGAGCGATGGATTATGATGGAGGCTGAGGGAGAGTGGGAGGAAGAGAAACTGTCAGACAGGGAAAAGACTTTTCTGATGGCAGATGAGAAGAACAGCCTGGCAGATATTTTTGAAGAAAGAGAACAAGCAAACACAGCAGTGGTGGAGGATGGATCCGATTGCTTAGCTGCTGTCTTGAGGACTTTTGGCCACCTATCTCTTGGTCAGATTTGTTGCCCTGATGACCCACAGCCAGCCAAGGACCAGTTGGCTACTGTTCCCAAGGATATACCCCTGGATTGCGATTGTGTTCTTACAGGTGAGGATATTCTCGGTGAGGTGGCAAACAGAACTGCTCAGGGGTTAGAGGGACTTGTTTCAGATTCAGCATGTACTGTGGGTACTATTGATGCAGAACAGCTCTCTGACACAGACTCAGTGCAGATGTTTCTTGAACTTGAAAAGGAGTGTTTATGTGAAGAAGGAGTAACTCCTCTAGTTGAGCTACAGAATCAAATCTCTTCTGAAGGGCTGGCTGCATCCCAGGATGCAGAAAATTTACTCGTAATTAGTCATTTTTCAGGGGCTGCCTTAGAAAAGGAACAGCATTTAGGCCTTTTACATGTAAGGGCAAAAGATTATGATACTAGATTGGATTGTGGATATTTTAATACCCTGGATTCTTCTCAGGTGCCTAATGCTGTGGAACTTATTGCCCACGTTGATATCATGAGAGACACTTCCACTGTTAGCAAGGAGGAATGTGAAAAAGTGCCTTTTAGCCCCAGGACTGCAGAATTTAAGTCCAGACAGCCAGCTGATCTGGATTCACTGGAAAAGCTGGACCCAGGAGGACTGCTGAACTCTGATCACAGGGTTTCTCATGAAGAAAAATTATCAGGCTTCATTGCTTCTGAGCTGGCCAAAGACAATGGCAGTTTGTCCCAGGGAGACTGCAGTCAAACTGAGGGGAATGGTGAGGAGTGCATTGAGAGGGTCACCTTCAGTTTTGCTTTTAATCATGAACTAACAGATGTTACCTCAGGACCTGAAGTAGAGGTGTTATATGAATCAAATTTACTAACAGATGAAATTCATTTGGAAAGTGGGAATGTAACTGTTAATCAAGAAAATAACAGTCTGACATCAATGGGAAATGTGGTCACTTGTGAATTGTCTGTGGAGAAAGTTTGTGATGAGGATGGTGAGGCAAAAGAGCTGGATTATCAAGCCACACTTTTGGAGGATCAAGCTCCAGCACATTTCCACAGAAACTTCCCAGAGCAGGTCTTCCAGGATCTCCAGAGGAAGTCCCCAGAGTCAGAGATTCTGAGTCTGCACCTGCTGGTTGAAGAACTGAGACTTAATCCAGATGGAGTGGAAACTGTGAATGATACAAAGCCTGAGCTGAATGTGGCATCATCAGAGGGAGGGGAGATGGAAAGGAGAGATTCAGATTCATTCCTAAATATTTTTCCAGAGAAACAAGTTACCAAGGCTGGTAATACTGAACCAGTTTTAGAGGAATGGATACCCGTCCTCCAGAGACCTTCCCGGACTGCTGCAGTACCCACTGTCAAAGATGCCCTAGATGCTGCACTGCCCAGCCCAGAGGAGGGTACCTCAATTGCTGCAGTGCCTGCCCCAGAGGGAACTGCTGTAGTTGCTGCTTTAGTGCCCTTTCCACATGAGGACATCCTAGTTGCTTCAATAGTCTCCTTAGAGGAGGAGGATGTCACAGCTGCTGCAGTATCAGCCCCAGAGAGGGCTACTGTCCCAGCTGTTACAGTATCTGTCCCTGAAGGGACTGCTGCAGTTGCTGCAGTGTCCTCCCCAGAGGAGACTGCTCCAGCTGTTGCAGCAGCCATCACACAGGAGGGTATGTCAGCTGTCGCAGGGTTCTCCCCAGAGTGGGCTGCTTTAGCTATTACAGTACCCATCACAGAGGAGGATGGTACACCAGAAGGGCCTGTCACCCCAGCTACCACAGTGCATGCTCCAGAGGAGCCTGATACTGCAGCTGTCAGAGTGTCCACCCCAGAGGAGCCCGCCTCCCCAGCTGCTGCAGTGCCCACCCCAGAGGAGCCCACCTCCCCAGCTGCTGCAGTGCCCACCCCAGAGGAGCCCACCTCCCCAGCTGCTGCAGTGCCCCCCCCAGAGGAGCCCACCTCCCCAGCTGCTGCAGTGCCCACCCCAGAGGAGCCCACCTCCCCAGCTGCTGCAGTGCCCACCCCAGAGGAGCCCACCTCCCCAGCTGCTGCAGTGCCCACCCCAGAGGAGCCCACCTCCCCAGCTGCTGCAGTGCCCACCCCAGAGGAGCCCACCTCCCCAGCTGCTGCAGTGCCCACCCCAGAGGAGCCCACCTCCCCAGCTGCTGCAGTGCCCACCCCAGAGGAGCCCGCCTCCCCAGCTGCTGCAGTGCCCACCCCAGAGGAGCCCGCCTCCCCAGCTGCTGCAGTGCCCACCCCAGAGGAGCCTGCCTTCCCAGCTCCTGCAGTGCCCACCCCAGAGGAATCCGCCTCCGCAGCTGTTGCAGTGCCCACCCCCGAGGAATCTGCCTCCCCAGCTGCTGCAGTGCCCACCCCAGCAGAATCTGCCTCCTTTGCAGCTGTGGTGGCCACCCTGGAGGAACCCACTTCCCCGGCAGCTTCAGTGCCCACCCCTGCAGCTATGGTGGCCACCCTAGAGGAATTCACTTCCCCGGCAGCTTCAGTGCCCACCTCTGAGGAGCCTGCCTCCCTAGCAGCTGCAGTGTCCAACCCAGAGGAGCCCACCTCCCCAGCAGCAGCAGTGCCCACCCTAGAGGAACCCACCTCCTCAGCAGCTGCAGTGCTCACCCCAGAGGAACTCAGTTCCCCAGCAGCTTCAGTGCCCACCCCCGAGGAGCCTGCCTCCCCAGCAGCTGCAGTGTCCAACCTAGAGGAGCCCGCCTCCCCAGCAGCAGCAGTGCCCACCCCAGAGGTGGCTGCCATCCCTGCTGCTTCAGTGCCCACCCCAGAGGTGCCTGCCATCCCAGCTGCTGCAGTGCCTCCTATGGAGGAAGTTTCCCCCATTGGTGTGCCCTTCCTGGGAGTTTCTGCCCACACTGACTCAGTGCCTATTTCAGAAGAAGGAACACCTGTTCTAGAGGAGGCTTCCTCCACTGGAATGTGGATCAAGGAGGACCTTGATTCCCTAGTATTTGGCATAAAAGAGGTGACCAGCACAGTGCTACATGGGAAAGTGCCTCTGGCTGCAACCGCTGGATTAAATTCAGATGAGGTAATTGTCCATTTTGATTCTGGGAAGGGTCTAAAGAGTAAAGTGAGATTTGCAGGGCTGACCTGGTGGTGATGAGAAATGGCACAGATAGTTCTTTTGTTCTTTTTGGGTCTCCCGGGCTTATAGTTTGTAGTCTTTCTGTTCAGTTTTTGGGGAAAATATACTTTAATTTTGTCTGGTGAAAGACTTTATAATTTCATGCTTCGTTTTTTATTCAGATAAGCCAATCCCACGGAAAACAGGGATATAAACAGTTGTTGATTTACATTTTTAAAAAGATTATTAGCAGGAAAGGGTCATTCTGTTTTTGAATTATACAGTGAGCATGTTCTTGCCTAAACCAAGAGACAGTTTATTCATTGGTGGTGTCAACATTTAGGTAGAGGCCAGAGTGTGAGCTTTGGAATGAGACCTGGGGTGCTTCCTAACCACTCTGGGAAAATTAGTTAGCTATTCTTGAGTTTCCTGTTTCTTCATTTGTTAAGGCATAACTCTGTGAGGATAAAATGAGATACATTTAAGGTACCAAGCGTATAAGATTACCAATCACTGGCCATATCCTCCCCATTCTTTTCAAATAGGTATGTTGGTTGGTTGAAAGAATTTACCAAAGTAGATTGGAGAGAAGCAATAAAGCTAAATGATTAAGAACTTTTAAATGCAAATATGTGTTTCTGAAAACCAGAGCTAGGCATAATGTTTATGAAAAATAGAGATATTTTAGTCATCTTTGTCAAACTGCCTTTGTGTCCTTAAGCAAGTCATTTTCCTTTCCAGGACCTCATTTCTTCATTATAAAACAAGAAAATTGGGCTAAATGTCCTCTTGGGTCTCTCTTGGCTCTAAGATTCTTTTTATTTTTTTTTTTTAGATGGAGTCTGGCTCTGTCAGTCAGGCTGGAGTGCTAGAGTGCAGTGGTGCGATCTCAGCTCACTGCAAGCTCCACCTCCCGGGTTCACGCCATTCTCCTGCCTCAGCCTCCCGAGTAGCTGGGACTACAGGCGCCCGCCACTACGCCCGGCAATTTTTTGTATATATATATATATAATTTTTTTTTTTTTTTTTTAGTAGAGACGGGTTTCACTGTGTTAGCCAGGATGGTCTCAATCTCCTGACCTCATGATCTGCCCGCCTCGGCCTCCCAGAGTGCTGGGATTACAGGCGTGAGCCACCGCGCCCAGCCGGCTCTAAGATTCTTAATGTTAGAGAACCGAATGTGTTAGGAAACAGTTGGAAACGATGTTCCACATCCTTGAGCACTCCTAGTCCAAGGAATTTGAGATCAGCAGCTTTCCACAGTTAATTACCCAGGTTTGATTTGGTCAGTGGTAAAGAGTGCAGGAGTTAGAGGTTTAATCTGAACACAAGAGATGACTGAGTGAGAAGATTGTTTTGATTTTACTGCGCCCCTAGGACTCAAAATAGTGCCTTCTTCATAGCAGGCATTTGCTGTTGACTGACTGACTGAATGCATGAATATCAATTTCCTAGACTATGGATGGATGCTACAAGAAAGATGGGTTTTCTCATTCACCTCACTGCAGAGCCTTTCAGGGCAGCCTTAAGTCAGCTAGAGCACCAGCTAAACATGCAGGTCCTGACAACAAAATCATTTTGATTGCATGCCATAAACTCTTTGATTAAGAGGATTGATTAAGATAATCTGGCCTTGCTGAGTGGTGGTGGTTTTACCTTGAGCTTTACCAGTTATTTTGTCAGGTAGCATTCCATTAAATTAGGATGCATCATCTTTGAGACTGATGGATTTTTGATTCATTTTTCCGAGTTTTATTGAATTTGGAATGACACCGAGATCCCAATAGCCTGTACAAAGTGAAGACAGTAGGTCAACAACAGAGCCATTCTTGATAATACAGAATATTTCACACCAGGCACAGTGGCTCACACCTCTAATCCCAACATTTGGGAAGCCAAGGGAAGAGGATTGCTTGAGGCCAGGAGTTCGAGAACAGCCTAGGCAACATAGTAAGACCCCATCTCTGAGAAAATAAAAAGAAAAAAAAAAAAACAGAATATCTCCAGTATAAAGCTTATATAGCAGTAATCATGAAATATAAGGATTAAATTTATAGTGAGGCAATCAAATCTGCATAAAGGGGAAAAAGTCATAGAAATCCTGTATCAGTCTCTGGAATCCTTGTTTCCTCATCTGCAAAATGAGTAGATGGCTACATAATCTCTAACTATCCTTCCAGCTACAGGAGGTAATCCTTTTATGAAATATTGCCTGATGTAAATGACAGGAGAAGGAAATGGTAGCCCAGCTGCAAAGTTGTCCATCTTTGAAGTGTGGTTACTTTGTGGAATATCTGGAAGTGAGCAAATGCCTATATCTGTGTACAGGAAAGGATAGATCTGAGCCTCAGCCAGGACTGTTAACCAGCAAGAATGTAGAGAGGCCATTTTGAAAATATTGAAACAAAACAAATCATTATAGAGTTAACATGAGTATACAGGTTTGCTAAATTGGTGAAATATTATTTTAAAAGGTTTTTCCAAGATGAGAGGTTAATTTTTTATTTCTTCCATTCCCTTAGGATTCCAAGAGGCAACTGAACCTGCCATTTTTATATATAAATACTTAGAACTCAACAAGTGATTTAGCATGAACTGAGGTCCTCTATGTCTGTATGTATATGTGCAAGTGCAGACATGGATACATGGTTAAAATAGATATAAACTTTGTAATTGCAATAACAACAGAGTTTGGTAGAACTAAAATGCCAAAAACTCGTTTGCTTTTTCTGTAATGGGATCTGAGGCCTACTGAGACCAATCTCTGGTTATGTAAATTCCCTGCTTATTTATAGACCTCTTCAGTCTTAATCCCAGCCACTGGTTCAAAGGAAGAAAAAAACCTTTTGTATAAAATAAGGGTTCTATAAGATTACAATTTGCCAAGGGAGTCTTTTTAAGCAAAAATTGGAGAGCACCACAATTCCAGTTCAGTGTTTGAACGCTCTGCTGATCGGCAGAATCTTCATTGGTTTTTTGCATTCCCTAACACCGTTTGTGTACAAGGATTCATTCATTCATGGAACAAAAAAAAGTTTTTGTTTTTTTTTTTAGACAGAGTCTCACTCTGTTGCCCAGGCTGGAGTACAGTGGCACAATCTTGGCTCACTGCAGCCTCTACCTCCCGGGTTCAAGCAATTCTCCTGCCCCAGCCTCCGAAGTAGTTGGGATTACAGGAATGTGCCACCACACCCAGTTAATTTTTTTTTTTTTTTTTTTTTTTTTTTTTTTTTTTTGGATTTTTAGTAGAGACAGGGTTTCACTGTGTTGGCCAGGCTGGTCTCGAACTCCTGACCTCAGGTGATCCGCCTGCCTCGGCGTCCCAAAGTGCTGGGATTACAGGCATGAGCCACCACACCCGGCCTGAGTAAATATTATGAGTACCTACTCTGTGCCAGGTACTAGGCTCCTGCAGTAAATAGAATTGACATGGTCCTTGGCCTTGTGGAACTTATACTGAGTGGAGGAGGCAGATATTAAGAAAACCACACATAAATAAATATAAAATAAATACATAGTTAGAAATTTTGGCAAATTCTTTGAATAAAATGATGTCAATGGATTTGAAGACAATAGGGTGGATTGAAGATATATTTTGGAGGTAAAATCAACAAGATCTGATTGTGGCTTCTGTGTTGGGGCTGAGGGAGTTATCAAGGGTGACTTTTAGGTTCTGGTTTGTACAGTGGAGTGGATAGTATAAATTATTGATTTAAGGAAGAGGTAAGGGAAAGTGGGAGACACTGTTTCATTTTTGAACTGTTAGGCTTGGGATGCCTGTGGTTCATTTTTTTGCATGGAGATATTAAAAAAGCAGTTGGATACGTAGCTTTGAAACTCAGAGAGACAAATTGAGAGTCATAAGCATTTATTGTGGTTAGTATTTAAACCCACAGAAATTGATGGAATTGCCTAGGAAGAATATAGAAAGAGAAGAGAGTCCAGGACTGACGTCGTTCTCTCACTCCCACCCCCAAAGATCATTTAGAGATCTAGAAGAGGAGAAAGAAAACAAAGGACAACAGAAAAGAATCAGTCAGGATAAAACTGGAAAAATGCAATAACAAGGCTGGATGCCGTGGCTCATGCCTGTAATCCTAGCACTTTGGAAGGCTCAGGCAGGCAGATCACTTGAGGTCAGGAGTTCAAGACCAGCCTGGCCAACATGGTGAAACCCTGTCTCTACCAAAAAATACAAAATTAGCTGGGTGTGGTGGCGCATGCCTGTAGTCCCCGTTACTTGAGAGACTGAGGTGAGAGAATCACTTGAACCTGGGAGGCAGAGGTTGCAGTGAGCTGAGATTATGTCACTGCACTCCAGCCTGGGCAACAGTGTGAGACCCTGTCTCAAAAAAAAAAAAATGCAGTAACAAAGATAAAAGTGTTTTAAGGAGTTCTTTGGGAAATTTTCTATTTTGTGTCCTAGTTGCATCTTACAACCTTGCAACAATTTTTACTAGTGTACTTCTTTGGAAAATGTCTGCCAGTACTGCTTAGTTAATAACATGACACAGTCCTATTTCACTAACAGTGTGTGAAATACTAAGGAGTAGGAATTTTAGTGTATCTAAAAGCACTGGTTTTGCAAAACAGCTTTATTTGGGAGTTGACAGAAGGAAGCAGGTGTTTTCAAATGTACGTTCTTTAACGTTCTGTTCACTTTTATTCAAAATAGATAATATTTAGAGGTGCTTTCATATATGTTTTAACTTATGAGAAATGATACAAATACCCATTGTCCCTGTCAATCCATAGAGTGAAGGTGAGAAATGAAGGAATAGCTAATGCTTCTATAGGAAATGTTTGTAAACAAAGTAAATCCAAAAGTTTAAAGTTGCAGTAGCTCTTATTATAGATTGAACATCCAAAATGCAAAATGCTCCCAAGTCTGAAACTTTCTGAATGCTGGCATGATGCTCAAAAGAAATGCTCATTGGAGCATTTCAGATTTCAGATTTTCAGATTTGGGATGCTCAACCGGTAAGTATTTAATGTAGATATTCCAAAATTTTAATAAATCTGAAATCAGAAACACTTCTGTTCCCAAGCATTTTGGATAAGGGATATTCAGCTTGTATATGAAAGAGATTATTGAACTATTTAAATATAATTTTACTTTTCTTTCTTTCTTTTTTTGAGATGGAGTTTCTCTCTTGTTGCCCAGGCTGGAGTGCAGTGGCATGATCTCGGCTCACTGAAACCTCCACCTCCCGGGTTCAAGCAATTCTTGTGCCTCAGCCTCCCAAGTAGCTGGGACTACAGGCGTGCGCCACCATGCCTGGCTAGTGTGTGTGTGTGTGTGTGTGTGTGTGTGTGTGTGTGTGTGTGTATTTTTAGTAGAGACGAGGTTTCGCCTGTTGCCCAGGCTGGTCTCAAACTCCTGAGCTCTGGCAATCTGTCTGCCTTGGCCTCCCAAAGTGCCAGGATTACAGGCATGAGCCACTTGCCTAGCCTATTTTACTTTTCTGTGTCATTTAAAGTGCTGTCCAGTAGGACTTGCTGCCAAGATGGATTTGTTCTCTATCAATAGTCCAGTAGAGTAACCACTGGCCATATGTGGCTTTGACTATGTGAAACGTGGCTAGTGGGTCTGAGGAACTGGATTTTAAATTTAATTTAAATGTCAATAGCTATATGTAGCTGCTGGCTGTCATGTTGGAAAGCACAGAAAGAATTTAAATGTCAGTTGTAGAGTGAGATAGGATTTGGTTATTGAGTAAAAGAGGGCCCTGTAATGTGGACTTGACATCTTCCCTCCATACCTTGGCTTTCTGCCTTCTTTGCCTTTTCATTCCTTCACCTTCACCACCACCATTTTATTGTACCAAAAGCAGCTTTAAACTTGGGATGTTTTTCCTGCCTCTATCTGATTTTTCTTCAGCAGAAACATCTTTAATGCTACAAAATGGAATTATAGCAGTTGTTTTTTCTGGGAACCATGTTGTTGGAGAAATAGTCATTTTAACTGAACTGCTTTGTAATGTTGCCTAAGAAAATATGGTATAATCAAATTATAGTAAAAAAATGAAGTGCACTCATAATTACTTTTATAACCTTCCTTTTTCAGTGTTCCCTGGGGCTTTCCCTCCCTGGTAATCTTAGCCAGCCATAGACCATTCTTTCTAGAATCAGTTTCCTAATCCTAGTGTGGTCTGTAGTCTCATATTGACCAAAATTGGTCTTACTCAAACTTATCATTTTCTTTTATATTTATTTTTGTCCTCTTCCATTTTCTGTCATCCTCTGGCCTTAATTGACTCACCTGGCTCATGGAAGAAAAAGGAAGGGAAATAAATCCAGGCTAGTGAAATATAGCTGGTTCTATCCCTCTGATAACTGAGAGAAACCCAATTTTTTTTTTTTTTTTTTTGAGATGGAGTCTTGCTCTGTTGCCCAGGCTGGAGTGCAGTGGCTCAGTCTCGGCTCACTGCAAGCTCTACCTCCCGGGTTCACTCCATTCTCCTGCCTCAGCCTCCCGAGTAGCTGGGACTACAGGTGCCCGCCACCATGCCCGTCTAATTTTTTGTATTTTTAGTAGAGACAGGGTTTCACCATGTTAGTCAGGATGGTCTCAATCTCCTGACCTCATGATTTGCCCGCCTCGGCCTCCCAAAGTGCTGGGATTACAGGCGTGAGCCACTGTGCCCGGCCACTTCATACTCTTAATGTGGCAGAAGTACCATTCTCTTCTGACCCTTTTTTCCTTTTAGACATGTCTAAATCGTAATGGAGCTTAACTGTAGTAGAGCAAAATATACACGTTGCTTGTTACACCTATTCACATTGTTTTAAAATTCTGTTGCACCATGGTAAACGTGGATAATACAGTATCATTTTTGAGCAGTTTTTTAAATGTAAATCTGTATCTTACTCAGAGTGTGTGTCTGAAGTTATTAAGGACATTTCCCAACGTTACTGGCCCATTTCCCTTTGTAATCAGAGGAATTCTGTTTCAAGATTATTGTTGTGTGTGATCTGTGGCTCTTGATCAGAATGAAGTTAAATGGCCACAGGAGGATTAAGCTATGAGGTTGGCATTTTTCACACTGTTAATATGTTTTGACTAATTGAGTTATTAGTCTTAGTCAGAGAAGAGCATTTCTTATTAGTGGTCAGTTAAGGCTATTCCCCAAGGGATATTCCATCTTAAATACTAGTCATTTGGTATTATTCTATTCTTCTCTTTTAGGATTCATATACATTGCGCTTACTTGTACAGCATTTCGAGGTTGATGCTTTTCTATTCTCCATGGCTTTTTGCATTAAAAATTAAGCAACAGGCCGGGCGCGGTGGCTCACGCCTGTAATCCCAGCGCTTTGGGAGGCCGAGGAGGGCGGATCACGAGGTCAGGAGATCGAGACCATCCTGGCTAACACGGTGAAACCCTGTCTCCACTAAAAATGCAAAAAAATTAGCTGGGCATGGTGGCGGGCGTCTGTAGTCCCAGCTGCTCAGAAGACTGAGGCAGGAGAATGGCATGAACCCGAGAGGCGGAGCTTGCAGTGAGCCGAGATCACGCCACTGCACTCCAGCCTGGGCGACAGAGCGAGACTCTGTCTCCAAAAAAAACAAAAAAAAATTAAGCAACAGATTTTAAAAAAAAGAACAAAGGAAAGAGTCATTGGGTTAAAGACCTAAGTAGTGTCATAACTCTCTGTAATTACATGTCCATAGGAGAATGTATTGAAATACAAAACCACATGTTTTCTTGATGCTTCACGTGCAAATGCTTGTTCTTTCTTTTTATTCCTGGTCGTCTTTCATTAAGTCATAAATGCCCCAAGAATAACCAGTCTCTGCGTGGTATAGAGAGTCTAATAGCCTTTGTATTAAATCTTCTTTGGCTTGTAATTATCTAGATGTTTCAGAAAGAACAAGTGGATCCTCTTCAGATGAAATTGCAGCAGGTGAATGGACTTGGCCAGGGATTAATTCAGAGTGCAGGAAAAGACTGTGATGTACAGGGTTTAGAACATGACATGGAAGAGATCAATGCTCGATGGAATACATTGAATAAAAAGGTGAGTGACAATGGGGTAGCAAGTGTACTGGAAACGGAAGGCATAGAAAAGAGACATCTGAATCTAAGGTTTCCCGAAACCTGAATGGAAATAAAAATTTAGCAGTTGCAATCTATAATTACTAAAAGAGGTCAGTAGTAATTTGAAAACTACTTTCTCCGTTCTCATAATGAACCTACATGTTCATGATACAGGTCGCACAAAGAATTGCACAGCTACAGGAAGCTTTGTTGCATTGTGGGAAGTTTCAAGATGCCTTGGAGCCATTGCTCAGCTGGTTGGCAGATACCGAGGAGCTCATAGCCAATCAGAAACCTCCATCTGCTGAGTATAAAGTGGTGAAAGCACAGATCCAAGAACAGAAGGTAAGTGAGAATGTTGGGACAGTGAACTGTAACAGCCGTAGGGAGTAGTAGACAACACATTTGCTTATAGTTTAAGAAGCAGTTCAGGAGTTTTAGTAGAATCCTAAACTACTTTGTGTCGTCCTGAAAAGAAAGGTGGAAATTGATTTTCATTATCTTACTTAAATCTGGTTTACTGTGGCATATATTAGACTGAATAATTTTACCTGTTCATGTATCCTATTTCAGTGTTCATCTACAATTTTGTGTTAAGAGGTTTTTGGT
The DNA here is from genome assembly GCF_000001405.40 of Homo sapiens. Lineage (NCBI taxonomy): Eukaryota > Metazoa > Chordata > Mammalia > Primates > Hominidae > Homo > Homo sapiens. Next base: position 39,423,165 of record NC_000001.11, read on the forward strand.
GTTTTCAGGGTCAGCAATATTCTAAATAGTGTTGTATATCATGTACAAAGTTTTATCTATATTTTTTGTTGGTTTAATTTCTATTTTAGTGCAGTTTTTTCTTTTTAAAAAAAATTTATCCCAAAGGAAATTTTATTTTTTTCTCAGCTTTATTGGTATATAGTTGACAAATAAAAATTGTATATGTTTGGCTGGGTGTGGTGGTTCACGCCTGTAATCCCAGCACTTTGGGAGGCCGAGGCAGGCGGATCACAAGGTCAGGAGATCGAGACCATCCTGGCTAACACGGTGAAACCCCATCTCTACTAAAAATACAAAAAATTAGCCGGGCATGGTGGTGGGCGCCTGTAGTCCCAGCTACTCGGGAGGCTGAGGCAGAAGAATGGTGTGAACCTGGGAGGCGGAGCTTGCAGTGAGCCGAGATCGAGCCAGTGCACTCCAGCCTGGGAGACAGAGCGAGACTCTGTCTCAAAAAAAAAAAAAAAAAATGTTTATAATATACAATGTGATGGTTTGATATACATATACGTTGTGAAATGTTTACCGTAGTCAAGATAATTAACATATTCATCACTTCAAATGTTAACCATTTTTTACGGCACTTTTCTCTTGGTTCAAAGGAAGTTCCCTGTTAGTCACATAATGACAGTCACTGCTCCATTTAAAAATTTAAGTGTGTGAAAAGTATACGAGTGGTGAGAACTGTGCTATATCTCCTGTTTTTGCCCCAAGGATGAAAAAAACTTCTTTTACTCAATGAAGCTTAGGATTTGGCGGGTTGGTTTCTTTTGTTTTTTTTCTTTCTTCCTAGTTCAGATTTCAAAATGATCCTGTGTTACAGCTTTTCATTCTCTTTATAATAGTTGCTCCAGCGGCTCCTAGATGATCGAAAGGCCACAGTAGACATGCTTCAAGCAGAAGGAGGCAGAATAGCCCAGTCAGCAGAGCTGGCTGATAGAGAGAAAATCACTGGACAGCTGGAGAGTCTTGAAAGTAGATGGACTGAACTACTCAGTAAGGCAGCAGCCAGGTAAGATCAAAGGAATTTTGAGGAGTGGGTCAGAGGTTTGTTTTGTTCTTCTTCGACTTATTATCACTATAAGTTCTTGGATGATTCATATAGATTTTTGGAAGGTGTTTAATGGCTTTTATTTGAAATGGGATAAGATTTTAGAGATGATCCTCATAATCAGAATCACACTCAGGAAATGGTCTCCAGCATCTTCATAAATTTCCGAGAGCTGGAAAACTCATTGCTCTGTGTGGTTGTTCTGCTGTAGTATAATCATAGTTCCAAATGACAGACACAGACTCCTACAGTCCAGCCGAGTTATTTTCTGAGTTTTTCAAACAGATTTCCCCCTCTTATATTTATAAATAATGCTTTTGATACTTGGAATTGAAATGTGTCATATTTCTTTTCTATTAGCTTATAGTAATATTAGATTTTTTTGCCTTTAGGAGCTAGTCTGTGGTTCTGTTAAATATCTGGGAATTCAAGAGATGCATGAACTTACCTCAATAAATGGTCAAAAAGACAGGCAACAAATCCTCCTTCAAGGAAATATTCCCTTTCTCTTTTCATAGCTATAAGTTATCCTGTGACTTGAGCTTAATAAGTCACATAGATGTCTTTACTTTTATACAGTCCTCAGTTTTAAAATTAAATACCAGCTAATGAGAAATCAATAAGAGAGCTGATCATTTGTTATTGTATCCTTTACATTTCCTAGGTAGCCTATGGCAGTCTTCAAATAATTCCCTCTTCAGTCTTTTTATGTCCACCTGCCCATGACTTGGCTTATTCCTTACCTGAGTTGCAAAGTATGGCTTGCCTATGTTAGTGGAAGAAACAAAATGGAAAGAATTTAACTTACTTGTATTTCCAGATTTGTACTGCTTATTTTCTTTTCTCTCTGTCCATTTCCAGTAATGGTACCATTAGCTTTCCAGTTTCCTAGGCTTAAAACCTCGACTCCATTTTTACTTTTCTTTTTTTAATTTCTCCTTTGTGCCCACATCGATCAGCATGCTAAATTCTGTCTATTTTACTTTACAGTGTCTTTCCTGTCCATCTGTTTCTCTAATTCCCACTCTCCCCTCAGTTCATGACTTACGAGCTCTCACTAGGTGTATAGAGATAGCTTCTTCACTAATCACTCTACCACTAACCCTGGGGCCTTCCCCTTCCCATCCCCCAGCTGCAGATGAACCTTTCTGAAATAAGCCTTTAATCATATCTTTTCAAGCTCAGAGATATTTAATTGACTCCCTGTTAGAATAAAACCTTTAGATTATGAGGCTGACACACTGCCTGCCGTGCTAAGAAGGTGCTTAAAATAAAATATAAACTCTTTAACACACCATTCAAAGCCCTCTATTTGACCCTAACCTACCTTTCTTAGCTTCTACTATTCTTCTCACTCCTTAATATTATAGCTGAAGTAAACTATATTCTGTTCTTTAATATCTTCTGACAATGTCCTAACCCTGTGTCTTATTTTATGGGTTATAATACATCTTTCATGAAATGCTTTTGTCCAGCTCTCTCTCTTCTATAAAACTTACCTTTATTCCTCAATCATGGAATAATTTTTCCTGCCTCTTCACTGCCATAACTCTTTATCTGTACCTTGTATTATGATCATTATTTTATGTACTTACCTTCCTGGTCCATAAACTCCTTAAAGTCATGGTTTGTTTATCTAATGCATATTTTTATGACTCTTTCCTTCTACTTTACTTGTTTCCATCCTCCTAGCCTAATATAGTTTCTGGGCCAATATTTTAAATAGAAACAAATAACAAGAGTAGATATTTGATGCTTCTAAATTATTTTTAGCTCTTCTCCCTAAAAATACCTTTAATCTTATTACAATAAATTCTTCAAATTTTCAGATTCCAAAATCAAATGAGTAAGAAAGACATAAAAATTAGAGGCAATTTTTAAAAAATGAAATTCAAATTTAATAATAATTTTTAATATTGTATGTTTTAGTTGCATTACTTGAAGATATATTTTGAAGGCTGGCATAAACAAACTAGGAAAGAAAGTTTTAGACTTAGATTGCCACTTAAAAAATATGTTTTTCTTTATATTCAAACATAATTGAATTTCCAGTAATCAAAATGCCAACTTTTTTTATTTAAACCACTTCTTATTAAAATAACTTTGTCAGGGCATAACTAGCATAGGACCTGGCGTAAATTAGGTCTTCAGTAAAGGTTTGCTGAACTTAAGTGCATCATATACTCCCAGGCCTCTTCAAATGCCATATCTTAGTCTGTTTTTAGTAATTCAAAGACAACATTATGACCTTTCATTATTAATCTGCATGCTAATACAGTTCTGTGGTTGTTTTCTTGTCTGTTCCTTGTCAGGCTATCTCCAATATCCAGACTTCCTCCTCACTTTGTAATTTGCTGCTTTTATTTTATAGAGTAAAACAAACCACAGGTACTTTGGAAAGTACATCTCTTAGCACTTCTCTGGTCTCAGTGACAGTCATGTATCCCAGGAAAAGCCAAGCTTAGTTATGGATCTTATATTAAATAAGAGTTAAGATTCCAAGTGAGCTATAAAGTCTGTAGTTTTTTTTGTTTGGTTTTTTTTTGGGGGGGGTGCTTTTTGTGTTGGCAAATTCAGCCAGCGTGAGGTTTTTTGTTTGTTTCTTTTTTGTTTTTTTGCCTTAAATCTGGATTCAAAGTTATGTTCTGGGGCTTGAAATTACCAGAAGCCTGACTGGATTTTGGGGAGTTGGGGAGGGAGTTCTAGTTCATAGGCAATATACAGTCTTTACTCTTCAGATATCTTCACTCATAAATGAAGGTAGTAGTGACAGAGAGAATGAAAACAGACAACTTTTTGCCTCCTTTAAACCTTATTTTGGTCAGATGTTCAGGTGATATATATACTACATTCTGTTTTGATTTGTGTTAAATAAGGAGAACATTAGAAGATTTGATTCTACTGTTGCTACTCACCAGGTGATTGGACAAATCTTTCTTTAAGCCTTCTGACTGAACTTTCTCTTTTATAATAGGGGGATAATTATTCTTTTATAATGGGGGATAATTATTCTGTCCACCTTACAAGGTTATGACAGAATGAGAATAAGGTTAATGGTGTGAAATCCTTTAAAACATCGAAATGCTACATAACGTGTGTTCTGTTTACTATTGGTATTTAAACTATACCTGGAAAAGACTATTCTTTTACTGAGTATAGTACTATTACCAGTTTTAATGTGACTTTTCTTCCTGAGCAGCTTGTTCTATATATTTGTGTAGGCAAAAACAGCTGGAAGACATCCTGGTTCTGGCCAAACAGTTCCATGAGACAGCTGAGCCTATTTCTGACTTCTTATCTGTCACAGAGAAAAAGCTTGCTAACTCAGAACCTGTTGGCACTCAGACTGCCAAAATACAGCAGCAGATCATTCGGCACAAGGTAGGGAGTGGTTACAGTAAATGAAAATAGAAAACTGGAATTAGAAATCCTAGAAATGAGTAAACTGCCTGCAGCATTCTAGAGGATGTGTGTTTTGTGGGTTTAACTTAAAATATGGTCAGATTATTAATTGGAAAAGTCACATTCTTGAAATACAAATAGAAATTGACTGATAGGCTACCACCGGAATAAACAGCTTTTGTTCCCAATTTTTATATTATTTTTGCCTTTCAGTCGGTGAGTTTTTTAATTGTTTAATTTGTTGTATCATTTGTTATTCATCATTTTGTGTTTACTTTTCATTTATTTTGTTTCTGTTATTCATTTTTTCCATCTGGATTTCCAGGCTCTGGAAGAAGACATAGAAAACCATGCAACAGATGTGCACCAGGCAGTCAAAATTGGGCAGTCCCTCTCCTCCCTGACATCTCCTGCAGAACAGGGTGTGCTGTCAGAAAAGATAGACTCATTGCAGGCCCGATACAGTGAAATTCAAGACCGCTGTTGTCGGAAGGCAGCCCTACTTGACCAAGCTCTGTCTAATGCTAGGCTGTTTGGGGAGGATGAGGTGGAGGTGCTCAACTGGCTGGCTGAGGTTGAGGACAAGCTCAGTTCAGTGTTCGTAAAGGATTTCAAACAGGATGTCCTGCACAGGCAGCATGCTGACCACCTGGTATTCATGTTTCCATTTTTATTGGTTATGTTATTCTGTTATTTTGTTATTTTGATTCATGTTTCTCTTCATTTATTTTTTTTTCTTCATTACAAACACTTCAACTTTATTTTATACACAAGTGCATAGTTAGTGGACTTGATGCTGACTGCTAATCTGTTTTTGGATGAGTCCATGGAAATACTTATATTTAACAAGTTAAATCAGTAATTCTAGAAGATGGTACAGGGTATATAGTCAGGGGCCATCTGAACTCCAACTCATGATTTACATTATTAGGTGATGGGTCACTAAGATTCTATTTGAGCAGTTTTATGAAAGATAATGTGCTTTAACAAAACCAGATCTATCTGTGTAGTGCCCAGGATTTGATCATACAGTTAAAAAACTTTTAGGATATTTCTGGATTTGTTCAAATTCCGGGGATTCTGTGTCATCTTAATAGAAGAGTTTGCCTTTTTCATTTCATTTTTATGAAATCTGTTTGGGAGAGTAAAAATAGGTAATTTTTCTAATAGTCTGATTCTTTTGCTTCGTCAACTTTAAATATGAAGAGAGTTTTTAACCAGGATTCTGATTTAAGTCAGTCTGTTCTTACTGAATTTCTTCTCTTGAACTTTCTGTTTATTCCTTATTTTGGACACAGTAGACAATTTTGCTCAATTTCACTTCTGCCTTTCTTGGGTTCAGGTTTGGTACCAATAATTGGTAAAGCTGATGTAATTCTAAGTTTTTCTCATCCAGCGCATAGGAAAGCTTGCCTATAGGTATCTGATTTAATTATTTTGAATAGTCAATGGGCTAACCAAGGAGAAGATGAGGGGATCAAATATCTGATGTTTAAATTAAACTAGTATTCATCTCTTTACTTTAAATTTGATCTCTTAAAGGTCTCGCATTTTGTTTCATTTGTAGTGCCACAGTTTCAGGATTAATGGTATTCTTTCCTTTCAGGCTTTAAATGAAGAAATTGTTAATAGAAAGAAGAATGTAGATCAAGCTATTAAAAATGGTCAGGCTCTTCTAAAACAAACCACAGGTACTTTGAAAAGTGTGTCTCTTAGCACCCCTATGGTCTCAAAGACAATTATGTACCCAAGGAAAGGAGTTCCCTGCCTTAGCCTCTTCTTTATGTATATATGAGAAGCTTAGTATTCACTGATTGTATTCCCTACTGTGCTCCAGAAGGTTGTTTCCTGCTAAATCTTTTGAAAACTAAGTTATCTCACATCTGGTTATAGATGATGATTTCTCCTCTCCTTCAGTATCTTGAATGCCAACATGCACTGAAAGGTGCTGGAAACATCTAGAAACACTTGACGCTGAACTCAGATTTTAATAATTCAGAAGTGGCTTCTTTTATCCAGTGGAAAGTTTATTTTATTTCCCATTTGCCCTTAGTATGGGATAGGTGAAATCATTACCACAGAGAGAGAGAGAGCGTCTATGAAATTAAAGCTCTGATTTGAAGAAAGGGGATCAGAGACTCCTCATTCCTAGGTCTCTTAAATATGAGTAATTGTGTGCTATCTTCCATAGGTGAGGAGGTGTTACTTATCCAGGAAAAACTAGATGGTATAAAGACTCGTTACGCAGACATCACAGTTACTAGCTCCAAGGCCCTCAGAACTTTAGAGCAAGCCCGGCAGCTGGCCACCAAGTTCCAGTCTACTTATGAGGAACTGACCGGGTGGCTGAGGGAGGTGGAGGAGGAGCTGGCAACCAGTGGAGGACAGTCTCCCACAGGGGAACAGATACCCCAGTTTCAGCAGAGACAGAAGGTGAGCTGTTACTTTACCATAAAAAGAAAAAAAGGCTTCCTCTTTGTCAGAATCCTTAAGTTTTATCAACCTTTACCTTAAATATAAACTAAAAATATGTGCCCCCTTTCTTGTTTACTCATGGACAGTAAGATTTGACATAAAGACATATACGTTACACATATGTTATGAAGAAGAAAGAAGTTGAATCAAGTTTACTTTGTAACATTTTAACCTCTATTATTTATTCTCTAAAGAGTGCTTCATGGTTTTATTTGATTTCTCTGCAGGATCTAGTATAGTTCTAGATGCATAGAAATATTGTATAGGTACTTGTTAGGTTAAATACTGAGCCTTTGGTTAAAGCATTATTTATCATTTCTGTTGAAGTAAGGAGATGAAAGAAGTATTAGTTGTTTTACCCAGAGACAATGTGGCTCAAAAAGTCTTACAGGCAGTTCTAAGCAAGCAACAATGAAGTCTAAAGTCAGGCTTCAGAATGATTGAAAAATCTGAGATGAGAAAAAAATAACTGAAGGAAGGAGGTCAGAGTCCTGCTGGGATGTGTGGTAGAGATAGCAATTTCCACCCAGCACAGTTGCTGATGTGCTTTATTTAGCAAGGTATGGCCTGAAAACTCTTTTCCCTCCTTAGGAATTAAAGAAGGAGGTCATGGAGCACAGGCTGGTGTTGGACACAGTGAATGAGGTGAGCCGTGCTCTCTTAGAGCTGGTGCCCTGGAGAGCCAGAGAAGGGCTGGATAAACTTGTGTCCGATGCTAACGAGCAGTACAAACTAGTCAGTGACACTATTGGACAAAGGGTGGATGAAATTGATGCTGCTATTCAGAGATCACAACAGGTAATGCTTATAATACCTCTGCATTAATATTTTAGACAGTATTGATGTGTGAGATACAGTACTATGACCCACATAAATACAGACTCAGAAATAAGAATGGGCTCAAGCTAAATCTGGTGGAATAAATATGTTTCATTGATGGGAAATGATTGGGTAGAAGTTTGTGAGGATGGATCCAGAATTTGACCAAAATACTTGACCCCTTTGAGTAGAGAAGTACTTGGAGAAGAGTCTACATGAGGCCTTTTCTTAGCTAATGCCCTGCTAAGAAGGCTGATGGTGATGGGAGTAGATAATATCTAGATTCAAAAGGTCCAAATGCACCACAATCTTAGTTTGACATAATTAACTCTCTTAGCATTAGATGGAAGAGGGGGAAGGAATTACTATCAAATATGCAAACCAAAATAGCAGAGCTATCTAAAATAGAACCTTCTCAGTAAACACAGGTGTCATATTTCCCTTGATCTTTTTTCCTTCCTACTTTCTGGAAAAAAATCATTTGTTCTTTTGTGTAGCTGGATACACACCTCTTAATGTGCCGTAGTACAAAAAATAAGTTAATATAACTCCTTAGGATCATAGTGATGAACATATGCTTTTTGAATCACACAGAAATTTGCTCTGAGTCCAGGTATATCCCCAGTGTGTCTTTAGAGTTATCCCTTATCTTGGCCAGATATTTCAATATGAAATGTATTGTGCTTGGGAGAAGCGTATTTTTAAATGTAAGTGTATATTGGCCAAGTTGAAGAGGAAGAGATAAAAGACTGGAGAGGTCAGGCATAGGAGACTGGGCTCACACCTGTAGTCCCAGCACTTTGGGAGGCTAAGGCAGGAGAATCCCTTGAGGCCAAGAGTTCAAGACCAGCCTGGGCAACATAACAAGACACATCTCTACAGAAATATTTAAAAATTAGCCGATCATGGTGGCAATTGCCTGTGTAGTCCTAGCTATTAGAGAGGCTGAGGTGAAAGGATCACTCGCGCCTAGGAGTTAGAGCCTGCAGTGAGCTATGATTGTGCTACTGCACTCCAGCCTGGGCAACAGAATCAGACCCTGTCTCTGAGGGGGCAGGGAAGGATGGAGGATTGGGGAGCCCTCATGAAACTAACAGTCACGTAGAACATGTTCTTGGTTTTCGTTATTACATAACCATTTAAAAATGTGTTGTTCTTTTGGGGTCTTATGCTGCTTCAGCTAAGCGGGCACTTCCGAGTTAACTTGACTCATCCGTCTACTGCCATATTAGGTTTATATTTAAACATCTGACTAAACCTACTACTGTTCCATGTCTGGGTAGGAAAGAGCAATGGCAGGAAGAGTGTAGTCTCATAAAAACACTGATTAGAGGCATCTTTCTTTTGAAGGGGATTGATATCTGTTATTTCTAGCTGTAGAAACTGAGTTCTGTAACTTACTTTAAAGAAATTGAAATGTGGTCAGTTTTAACTTGTTTGCATCTTGATTTGTGATTTTATGAAATTCTTCCCAGTTTTGACTCTACTTTGTGAGATATAAACTGTATTACTGAAAATCCAGGCCTTGCTTTGTTGAATAAATTGCAGTTATGTGGAGACTTGGCTGTATATAATTTGTTTATTTTTCTTTAATACGTCTATTAGTATGAGCAAGCTGCCGATGCAGAACTAGCTTGGGTTGCTGAAACAAAACGGAAACTGATGGCTCTGGGTCCAATTCGCCTGGAACAGGACCAGACCACAGCTCAGCTTCAGGTACAGAAGGTACGTGCCCACTCTTTCCTGAGCTAATAGAATCATCAGTAACTTAGAGTGACTAGGAGAGTTTCTGACTATCCCATGTCAAGTGGAATAATTTAGTGGCATGATGGTAAATAGAAATTAATTTTCTATGTATTTGGTTGAGATGAGGAAGAATTTTTTTTTTTGCTTTGTGAGAAAGGAAAAATAGGCCCATTAATCCATAATTAGCAATTTCCTTGATAGAAATTTTTGTAAGCTACTAAAAAGATAAGCTAGAGAAGATGTTGGATAGGCAAAGTGTCAAACTGTATAAGAACAATTTTTGATGTGGCTTTTTCATAGATTTTGTCTTAACCTTTAGTAATAACAGGAAAAGGGTCTTTTTACTTCTTAACTACAGTTTACTTTTCAAAGGCTTTCTCCATTGACATTATTCGACACAAAGATTCAATGGATGAACTCTTCAGTCACCGTAGTGAAATCTTTGGCACATGTGGGGAGGAGCAAAAAACTGTATTACAGGTGAATTACATTTATTTATTTGCCATATTGTTCCTGTTTTTATCATGGTGAATTAGAAGCACAATTGTGAAATGATGGTTTAAGGCTTTTTCCCTCCTGGACTTTTCTTATGATTGTTATTAAAGTCCAGCTTGATGTTCTGGGGAATTCAGAATCTTAACCCTGTGTCCACAAATGTTTAAAACAGCCATCCTATATAATGTGAAATATATTGCAAATCCATCTTCTTTATAACAGGGGAATTGCTACTTATCCTCACTCCACAGGGAGCAAGCTTTGAGTTACTTTTCAAGGTATTTATGGTAGATTTTTTTCAGAACCATATGCAGATATTAATTCCTTCATTATATCCTTCTAAAAGGTCGTACCTAGTTTTAAAAGGATTGGTCAAGATGGTTTGTAGACAAGTTTTTTCATTTCGTTTTGTTTTGTTTCATAAAGGATATGTTTAAGCACAGTTTCCTCAGAAATATTCATAAACTGACTGAGCTACTCATCCTAAACATTTGAAGCATAAATGGCAGGTTTCTGGAGACTTTTTTTTAATCAGAAGAAAAATGACAGGCAAAACTTGATAGGCAAAGATTCCATCGTAGCCCCTTAGATGTTCAGTTTTAAACTGATCCATTATAATGGTATATTGGCCAGGCACGGTGGCTCACGCCTGTAATCCCAGCACATTGGGAGGCCAAGGTGGGCAGATTACCTGAGGTCAGGAGTTCGAGACCAGCCTGGCCAACATGGAGAAACCCTGTCTCTACTAAAAATACAAAAATTAGCTGGATGTGGCAGTGGGAACCTGTAATCCCAGCTACTTGGGAAGCTGAGGCAGGAGAATCCCTTGAACCCAGGAGGCGGAGGTTACAGTGAGCTGAGATCGCGCCAGTGCACTCCAGCCTAGGTGACAGAGTGAGACTCTGTCTCAAAAACATATATAATAATAATAATGCTATATCTAAGGTTGTGTATCATTACTGAAAGGTTAATTTTGCTGTGTTTTTCTTATACTATTTTACTGCTTTTTAAACTTTTATCTTTTAAAAATTATAGAAATAAAATATATGTATGATAGGAAAATTAGAAAATTTCAGATAAGTATGAAGAAGAAAATAAAAATCACTTGTAATCTTTACTGATATTTTAAAATAATTTAGTTATGTATTCTTTTAGACTTTTTAATGTATATATACCTACTTTTTTTCTTAAGAGTTTATAATAGTAATACTTATCCTTTTTTTTTTTTTTTTTGCTCACATAGGAAAAGACAGAGTCTCTAATACAGCAATATGAAGCCATTAGCCTACTCAATTCAGAGCGTTATGCCCGCCTAGAGCGGGCCCAGGTCTTAGTAAACCAGTTTTGGGAAACTTATGAAGAGCTCAGCCCCTGGATTGAGGAAACTCGGGCACTAATAGCACAGTTACCCTCTCCAGCCATTGATCATGAGCAGCTCAGGCAGCAACAAGAGGAAATGAGGGTAAGGAGCATGCCAAGTTTCATTTTATTGTTCTAAAATGGTCTCTATAATTTATTTAAAAACAACATTTGTTAGTGTCTATAGGTGCAAGTTCTGTGTTACGAAGTTAATTCTTAATCAGTTAGAATTCCTTTCATAATACATAATCTGAATTATTTCCTTGGTTGTTTAATATCAATTGATTAAACACTAAGATTATAGAGATGTCGAGAACCTTAGAATGACAGAACTAAAGAAAGAACTCACTAAAAATCAATGGAATTTAAAATATTTCCGGGGATAATAGGGTGTTGTTACACTCAAGGTATGGTTGGACAGTACTTTCTACTTAGTTAGGCACCAACTGGAGTGAAAGCCATGAGGTAATGTCAAAAAACATTTGCTCTGTATAGTTAATGACACTTCAAAATGTTTATTTCTGGTTTATGGCTTGTGCTTATTGCTATTCTTATAAGTGGAAGTGTATAAACTGGACGTAGTCAGCAGTAAAGTCAAGGAGTGGTTGGATTGCCAAAAATGTTGCTATTCATAGCTTATCCAGCTTGGTATCTCAGTCTGGGGAGGTAGACAATTATTAAACCATGTAGAGTAAAATAGAGTACATAGAAGTACTTATGATTACAGAAGAGTGTGGAGTAGACTTGTATGACACAGCTGGTAGGGGAAGAGAAGAGAGGATGTTTCCAGGAAGGCTGCTAGGGTGATGAGACATCAGAACTGACTTTCAAAAATTAAATTGGGTAATGTCAGAACCTAAGACTTAGGTGTTTTTCTGTTCCCACACAAATGGTGAGATGCTGGGCCTTGCTGGTTTTTAACAATTTTGTTTGTTCCTCTTAAAGTTGATATTAGCTCTGATCAAAGTATCTAAATACATAAACTGGTATAAAAGTACTCATTATGGTTTAATTCTTTTTTTACCTAGCAATTAAGGGAATCTATTGCTGAACACAAACCTCATATTGACAAACTACTAAAGATAGGCCCACAACTAAAGGAATTAAACCCTGAGGAAGGGGAAATGGTGGAAGAAAAATACCAGAAAGCAGAAAACATGTATGCCCAAATAAAGGAGGAGGTGCGCCAGCGAGCCCTGGCTCTGGATGAAGCCGTGTCCCAGTCCACACAGGTATGTGTGTGTCTGACACTCATAACCTTGAATTGTCTACTGTTCTAAACAAGAGGTCTCTGTATCAGGTATGTCTCTGTGCTCAGGAATGTCCAGAGCAGCATGTTAATACGTGATCGGTAGATAGAACAGAAAGCTTAGCCTATCTTCATTTTTATTCCAAGGAACATTGGCATACTGACATTCTAAGGAGAGTGAAATGAGTCTTGGCTGGTATATATTGTCTGTTGATGGTTTCTCTGAAAACTTTATGTTGTGATGATCCTTTAGCAGATGATTTTGGATAAATTTACCTTGCAGATTCAAAAGCAGTGACTGCCTCAAAAAAGTACTTATTGAACCTGTTACTTTTTTGCTTTAGAGCAACAGCACATTAGTTTTCTTAAGCAACCAGCTAACTCATAGTTTAAGATGCTTGAGTAAGGAGTAGTAAGAGCCAAAGAGAAGCATAAACCAGCAGAGGGATTTAAAGCATGTAACTACATACTTTCAACTAATATATTACTCTTAGTGGTACTGTTGTCATGTCTGGGTATTTTATTCCTATGTTTAGTCAATATTCTTGGTTAATATTTGTACTTACTCAAGTTTCTCCCCCCACCTTCCGTCCCATCTCTCACTCACATTGTGGAATGTGTTACTTTGTGTTGTTGCTGCCTGCTCCTGTCTTCCCCACATCGTCACATTTCATTGTTGTGTTGACCGCGCCCACCATTACAGATTACAGAGGTAAGGTACCCATCCCCATTGGGACTAGGGTGTTCTTATAATGCTGAAAATTGAGGTCATTACCTGTAAGGGAATTTCCCTTAACTTTAGTGGAATAAATTTAATTAGTGCAGTTTATTATGCCAGTTTCATTTGGGGTGGAACCTAGAAGTGAGAGAGTGATGGGAAGTGATGTTGTTAAGGAATCCCACCATGTTTTTTCTATAGGACACTTGAAATTGATAAGCCTTTCTTTAACTAAAACCAGAGTTGGTTTGAGATAGATTTTTCTTAGGAGGCATGCTTATCTGTTTTGCTCTTTTCTCTCCTCTCTGCATCAAATTTTAATGAGAACTTTTCAGTTGTAGTCATGTTATTCAAAGTAACAGAAAAGTGGGAAGGTAATAATTCTTCAAGAATAAGGTTAGATTTGGTCTTCCTTAATTACCTTTCATTATTCCAACGTTTTTTCTCTCTTATTGTTCCATAAGGTGGGTCGTTAAACTGCATGCCATGTTACTTTTAAACTACAAGTCGTGTAGCATATTAAGTTTCCCATCCATTTACACAGCTGGTGGAGGGCATCTAACTTGTTGGTCTAGTCTGTTGCATGCAACTGTCATCTCAGATGTTGACATACTGACTCTCAGCAGTTTCATAGTCTTGTCCCTTTTTTGTTACATTAGTTGGAATAGGAGAAATATTGTGGCAGCACTAAAGATTTGAATTGGTTTCTAGTATATTCATATATTTAGATTCTTAAAATAAATATTGGCTTTTTTTTTTTTTAATGGGCCAGCTCTGTATATGCCCAAAACAGTTTTGTTGTTGTTTTTTTCTTTTTCTTTTTTTTTTCTTTTAGACAAAGTCTTACTCTGTCGCCCAGGCTGGAGTGCAGTGGTGCTATCTCAGCTCACTGCAACCTCTGCCTCTCGGGTTCAAGTGATTGTCATGCCTCAGCCTCCCTAGTAGCTGGGACTACGGGCGTGCGCCACCACACCCGGCTAATTTTTTGTATTTTTAGTAGGGACGGCGTTTCACCATGTTGGCCAGGCTGGTCTTGAACTCCTGACCTCAGGTGATCCACACACCTCAGCCTCCCAAAGTGCTGGGATTACAGGTGTGAGCCACCACCCCTGGCCCAAAACAGTTTCTTAACCAAACTCAACACTTAATAGCCATTGGGCTAAACTGAGCACAGGTTATCCTAAACAGTAGTAGGATAATATCTTGTCCTTATTCCCTAACACTTCTCCAAGAAGAGTGATGAGGTATGCTGTGATGGTAATGTTCCAACATTTGTTTAGTTTCATGATAAAATTGAGCCTATGTTGGAGACACTGGAGAATCTTTCCTCTCGCCTGCGTATGCCACCACTGATCCCTGCTGAAGTAGACAAGATCAGAGAGTGCATCAGTGACAATAAGAGTGCCACCGTGGAGCTAGAAAAACTGCAGCCATCCTTTGAGGCCTTGAAGCGCCGTGGAGAGGAGCTTATTGGACGATCTCAGGGAGCAGACAAGGATCTGGCTGCAAAAGGTGCTTGATGATTGTCATTATTTTTAAAAATCAACAGAATAAATTCTAGGCTGTGGTTATCTTCAGCATCCCACCAGATTTATTTATTTCTTTGAATGTAAAGGCAGTCCCCAGTAATGAGTATTCCAGAAAGTCACTGGAAAATCATTTGGAATTCAGAACACATTTCGCCATTGAAACAAGGTTACAATTGGTAGTTAGATTCCCAGGCCAGGAAACAAAAGCTCCTTTAACCCCTAACGTGAGTAAACTACAGTATCAATAGTGGGTAGAACATAGCTACCTTTTGTAACACTTTCCATGGGAAACATACAAGTTTAACACAGAACACTGGAAACAAGAGTTCTCATCTTAGCCCTTTTGTAAGTTAGGGGTTTTGTATCTTAGCACTACCTTTATAGTAGATGATAGCTCATTTCTGGATTACTTCTGTGATCCCTGTATGTGGGATACCAATGTAAGAGGAAAACGCTAGTATATAAATAATAGGCCGGAGCCACCCGCAGTGGCTCATGCCTATAATCCCAGCACTTTGGGAGGCTGAGGTGGGCAGATCACTTGAGGCCAGGAGTTCGAGACCAGCCTGGCCAACATAGTGAAATTTTGTAAAAATACAAGAATTAGCTGGGTGTGGTGGCATGCGCCTGTAATCCCAGCAACTCAGGAGGCTGAGGCAGGAGAATCGCTTGAACCTGGGAGGCAGAGGTTGCAGTGAGCCAAGATCACACCACTGCACTCCAGCCTGGGTGACAGAGTGAAATTCCCTCTCTCTAAAAAAAGAAATAAATAATAGGCCGGGTGTGGTGGCTCATGCTGATAATCCAAGCACTTTGGGAGGCCGAGGCGGGTGGATCACCTGAGGTCAGGAGTTCGAGACCAGCCTGGCCAACATGGTGAAACCCCGACTCTACCAAAAATACAAAAATTAGCCAGGCATGGTGGCACATGCCTGTTATCCTAGCTACTTGGGAGGCTGAGGCAGGAGAATCTCTGGAACCTGGGAGGCAGAGGTTGCAGTGAGCCAAGATTGCGCCACTGCACTCCAGCCTGGGCAACAGGAGCAAGACTCTGTCTCCAAAAAAAAAAAAAAGAAAAAGAAATAATAGTAAAACTAAAATAGAAAATTATCCTTTAGTTATAAATGCTTAGCATTTTTTTAAAAAATAGTTTCATTGAAAAGGTCAGAGTTACATGGAATTTCTGAATAGACCAATTTCAGGCTCTTCAGAAAGTCCTATTCATATCTCTTTTTTTAACCTCCTCAGAAATCCAGGATAAATTGGATCAAATGGTATTCTTCTGGGAGGACATCAAAGCTCGGGCTGAAGAACGAGAAATCAAATTTCTTGATGTCCTTGAATTAGCAGAGAAGTTCTGGTATGACATGGCAGCTCTCCTGACCACCATCAAAGACACCCAGGATATTGTCCATGACTTGGAAAGCCCAGGCATTGATCCTTCCATCATCAAACAACAGGTTGAAGCTGCTGAGGTAAGAAGGAAACAAAACCCTTTTTCTTAGGTGTCTGTCCTCTAGAAAAAGCACTTTATCAAATCAAAGTGAGGTATGTTAACTGCTTAGCCAGGCTGAGTACCTTAAAGGTTTTTGTTTTTGTTTTTGTTTTTTGCTCTTGTCCCCAAGGCTGGAGTGCAATGGCATGATCTTGACTCACTGCAACCTCCGCCTTCCAGGTTCAAGTGGTTCTCCTGCCTCAGCCTCTTGAATAGCTGGGATTACAGGCATGTGCCACCATGCCTGGCTAATTTTTGTATTTTTAGTAGAGACAGGGTTTCCCCATGTTGACCAGAGTGGTTCTGAACTCCTGACCTCAGGTGATCCACCCACCTTGGCCTCCCAAAGTGCTGGGATTACAGGCGTGAGCCACCACTCCAGGCCTAAAGTTTCTTTTTAAGTGAGACATTCTCCAATTGAAAAAAACCTGCTCATTATATTACATTTCTTAAATGTAGAAAAATAGATGGTAGAAAATAAAAATCAATTTTGGACTCATTATCTAGAGATAACAGTTGTTACATTGACATACTTTTTTCTAGTTTTTGGTGCTATTTTTCTTTTCTTTTCTTTTCTTTTCTTTTCTTTTCTTTTTTTTTTTTTTTTTTGGAGACAGGGTCTCACTGGGTCACCCAGGCTGGATTGCAGTGGCATGATCTTGGTTCACTGCAGCATCCACCTCCCGGGCTCAAGCAATCCAGCCACCTCAGCTTCCCTAGTAGCTGGGTCATATGCCACCATGCCTGGCTAATTTTTTTATGTTTTATAGAGATGGGGTTTCACCATGTTGCCCAGGCTTGTCCAGAACTCCTGGGCTCAAGCAATCCTCCAGCCTCGGCCTCCCAAAGTCCTGGGATTACAGGCGTGAGACACTGCACCTGGCCCAGGAGTCTCTTTTTTACCAACAACATTTCTTACCTCATATTGTCCATTTAGCATAAGCCAAGCCTATCTTGATATTATTTCTCTAATTTCTTACTTTTATTTCAGCTATTTTTTCATAGAGAAATTCTTTCCCTCCCCACCTTGGGTCAATACCAATACATGAGCCAATTTTTAGGATCTGGCACAGAGTTTTTTTCAAGATCATAGACCCCAGCACTTCTGTTATACTCTATTGTCAGCACTTAAATTTGTGACTTGTACTGTGTTATTTTACCCTTGATATGTTTCTCTGTAATAGACTTCTAGCTGTTGATTATAATTTCTTTGGAGGCAGGAAGGGGTGAACCTTTGGTAAATTATTGAACCTCACCATACCTTTTCTATAGTATTTTATATATACATATACCTATATGTAATATATATTTTGTATATATGAAAAATAACCATGTAGAGTCTGAAGCTTTAGTGTCCAGATAAGTGAAACTGACAGTTATGTTGAGCATCTGCTATTGATGGGGTATAAATCACATTTGCAAAGTTTGGTAAGTTCTGTTCTGTTTTCTATTTTGGCTTATATTCTATTCGTTTACATGTAGACTATTAAGGAAGAGACAGATGGTCTGCATGAAGAGCTGGAGTTTATTCGGATCCTTGGAGCAGATTTGATTTTTGCCTGTGGAGAAACTGAGAAGCCTGAAGTGAGGAAGAGCATTGATGAGGTGTGGAGAAATGGATGAGGCACTCAGTTAGAACATTAGTGGGCCCAGACTGAAGAGTGGTATTGATTGAAGAATCTGATTGAATGTTTTTCCCCTAGATGAATAATGCTTGGGAGAACTTAAACAAAACATGGAAAGAGAGGCTAGAAAAACTTGAGGATGCTATGCAAGCTGCTGTGCAGTATCAGGACACTCTTCAGGTGAGAGGCCAGGAGGTGACCACCAAGGAAATACAGGTTCTGTTTTTTGCCATTTTTGTCATTTTTGGAATTAAGCACAAAAGTGGATCACCTTCACAGGACTGCAGACCTAAGATAGTGGTGTTTCCACAAATTTAGCCAAAGTTCCCCACTTGTAGTGAAAAAAGTAGCGACATCTGTCTGAATTCTTACTCTTCCTGCCATGTTTATCATTGCCTGCTCATCATAGATTCATTCAGCTACGTTGTGAAGCTGGCCTTACTGTGAAAGTCATTGCTTGCCAGAGGTTCCAAACCCAGGTTATCTTCAAGCACAGTTTGGCACAGTTGCTTCAGAACATCATGAGCTTGCTAGCTGGGATTGAAAAATCTTCACTTTTATTCAAATTTAGTATTTCCAAATTGTAGTTTATTTTGAACATTATCTTGATAATGTTGGCTCCATTATTAAATCACCATATTATTAATATAAAGATCATTATTCTTTATCTGTGCCCCTTACCTGAAATCACAAACAGCACAAGGTGCTTTGATTGATTTATGTCTTCTTATGTTAGCAGAGATAATGCTAATTCTCTCCCAAATTCTTCTGGTTGTTTTTGACTGTTTACTTGTCTTTTGTTCTAGGCTATGTTTGACTGGCTAGATAACACTGTGATTAAACTCTGCACCATGCCCCCTGTTGGCACTGACCTCAATACTGTTAAAGATCAGTTAAATGAAATGAAGGTTTGTATCTGGGTATGGCTTTTGAAGAAGAATTGTTTTATTATAGTTTTTAAAGGCTTGATTTGATGTTAACATTGAGTGTGTCTTTGACAGGAGTTCAAAGTAGAAGTTTACCAACAGCAAATTGAGATGGAGAAGCTTAATCACCAGGGTGAACTGATGTTAAAGAAAGCTACTGATGAGACGGACAGAGACATTATACGAGAACCACTGACAGAACTCAAACACCTCTGGGAGAACCTGGGTGAGAAAATTGCCCACCGACAGGTAAGGCAGGTGGTAGATGACATCAGTGAACTACTCTCCGCTCTTTTCTAATTTCGTATTGAATATTCCCTTTCTGTCTTTTCCTGAGTAGCACAAACTAGAAGGGGCTCTGTTGGCCCTTGGTCAGTTCCAGCATGCCTTAGAGGAACTAATGAGTTGGCTGACTCATACCGAAGAGTTGTTAGATGCTCAGAGACCAATAAGTGGAGACCCAAAAGTCATTGAAGTTGAGCTCGCAAAGCACCATGTAAGTATTTTCATTTTTTCATCTCTAACCCTATTGATTTGAGACCAGATGCTGCCACCAGCAGCCTTTGAATGTTGTGTATATCTTAAGAGAACCAAGTTAGATGATATCCATAGAGATAAATTATGTTGTTCAACATGTTTTAGGTCCTAAAAAATGATGTTTTGGCTCATCAAGCCACAGTGGAAACAGTCAACAAAGCTGGCAATGAGCTTCTTGAATCCAGTGCTGGAGATGATGCCAGCAGCTTAAGGAGCCGTTTGGAAGCCATGAACCAATGCTGGGAGTCAGTGTTACAGAAAACAGAGGAGAGGGAGCAGCAGCTTCAGTCAACTCTGCAGCAGGTACATGTGACATCCAAGTAAGGTAGGAAGAGCTATACAGATAACAGAAAGCCTATCTAAGTCAGAGAGAAGAGATCAATTTGAAAAGCAAAGAATCCCTTATGTCTTGAGGGGAAGGTTAATACTGTGCTGTAACTTATCTAGAAAGAGCAGCTTTTGATTGGGTAGTTCTTTTCTGAATTCATTTCTAGCTCAGTCTCTTTATTCACATTCAAAGTTAGCAGATCTTCACTATAACAGATTCCCTTTTTTTCTTGGATCAAGTCAGGTCTCTTCCTATTCAACAGTACCTTAATCAATAGTCAATTCATCTGATCGTATCAGGCATTTATAATATGTTATAGTGAGGTCTGAAGGATTCTGCTAGATTCTAGCAATAATATTGGCCCCATGCTAATCTAGCAACAGAACAGCTTTGCCAGAGAGCAGCCGAAAATTCCTTCCTCAAGATAAACTCCTCATATCATTTGGAAAGTTGACTTTTAAAGCTGAGAAATGACTACTGACATGGTTGATATATCTTTTTCTCAAAAGGCCCAGGGCTTCCACAGTGAAATTGAAGATTTCCTCTTGGAACTTACTAGAATGGAGAGCCAGCTTTCTGCATCTAAGCCCACAGGAGGACTTCCTGAAACTGCTAGGGAACAGCTTGATACACATATGGTAATAGCAATTTTTTGAAATTGAGCATAAGCATCCCATATTCACTAGCTCCTTTCCAAGTTCACAGTCATAATTAATATGTATCTGGAAATCTACAAAGTAGTGCATTTTTATCAAACATATAGTATAACCTTTGGGGATTGCTGCCTGTTACAGGCTTCTAATACCTTACAGTAGGCAGCAGTAGTGACAGGGAAGGTCAGCTGGAAATTTTGAGTTAATCAGCTTTACTGGCACACATATATTGACTTGAAGATGACAGCATCAAGAAGACAAATATACAACACAGATGTGCTTTCACTTAAGAAGGAAACTACTTAAGGGGGGTTTAGGGAAATCAAATAGTTACCCGACAGTATTTCAAGAATGCATGCTAGAACAAAAAGCAACATAATTTCTAGGCAAATTTTTCATGAAAAGGGGAAATAGATTATTGGAGTCTTTTGAGGGATCTCTAATCCTTAAAAAATGTTTTTCTTGGCCGAGCGCAGTGGCTCACGCCTGTAATCCCAGCACTTTGGGAGGCCGAGGTGGGTGGATCATGAGGTCAGGAGATCAAGACCATCCTGGCTAACATGGTGAAACCTCGTCTCTACTAAAAATACAAAAAATTAGCCGGGCGTGGTGGCGGGCGCCTGTAGTCCCAGCTACTCAGGAGGCTGAGGCAGGAGAATGGTGTGAACCCGGGAGGCGGAGCTTGCAGTAAGCCGAGATCACTGCCACTGCACTCCAGCCTGGGTGACAGAGTGAGACTCCATCTCAAAAAAAAAAAAGTTTTTCTTCTATGGGTGATAAAATTATTTTAATATTTTAATTTGCCACTTGTTATTTAGTAAAATATGTTAATACTTACATTTTAATACAAATGAATTCTAAGTAATCAGTATTTAGTTATTACAATTAATTTTATTATTAAGTATGGTGGGTTTCATTCCCTTATGGCTCAGCACTTGAACTGAATCCAAAAGAATGGCTTGTAATCAAGATGAGCCCTTCCTGGACTTTCCCAGACTCTGCTACAGAATCTATATGTAGGTGTCTTCCAGAGAATTCGTAGAATTGATATCTTTCCTGCCTTTTCTTGTAGGAACTCTATTCCCAGCTGAAAGCCAAGGAAGAGACTTATAATCAACTACTTGACAAGGGCAGACTCATGCTTCTAAGCCGTGACGACTCTGGGTCTGGCTCCAAGACAGAACAGAGTGTAGCACTTTTGGAGCAGAAGTGGCATGTGGTCAGCAGTAAGATGGAAGAAAGAAAGGTACAGTGTATGATCCCCATGTTTGAGTAATTTGCTGAGTGATTGCATGTATAATAATTGCCATCTTATTTATATGAAGATTTTTTGAAGACCAGGGTATTGTAACAGAAGTTGCAGAACTGATTCCATCTGTGTTGAGTTGCATTGATGGTATAAGTTTCTGTTGTTATTTGCTTTTATAATTATTCATTCCTTACCTGTTAAGACATTACTGCCATTATCGCTTCGTGATGGGCTTTATGTCCTATATTAATCACCAATTTGTGTTCTACTTAAAAACAAGGTTTTGCTGGAGTTGGTATCTTGGGGTTGAGAGATTGGGGACAGGGCATATAGGGACTGACGAATAATTCTCCACAAGGAATTTGGTTCCTAACGTAAATGTAGTGTGCAAGGAAATTTACTAGAAATCAGGAGAGAAGTAAATTATATGACCTCTTCCCACTCATCCTCAAAAATCAAATTCTCTTCTCTACAAAATAATGAAAGATGACTAGGGATCAAGGTGTTTGCCCAAAAAGATTATTTTTTATGAGTACAGAGTTTCACTGTATTTTTTGCTGCTCAGATCAAGTATGAAATATATACATACACAAACCTGTTGACCACATTCACTCAATGAATAGTTATTGAGCAAGTGTGTGCCAAGTCCTGTGCCTGATTTATGGTGGAAACACTAAAGACGACCCTATCTTTGGGAAATTAATGAACAGAAGGGCATAAAACACATGAACATCTTGAGAGAAGCATTAATTTCCTAAAAACCTTCTAGCATGGGATTGGGTAATTTGATTATATTAAGAATGGCTAAAGGACCTAAGTGTATGCTAATTCTTGGACAGAGTCAGACCTGGTGGCTCACGCCTGTAATTCCAGCACTTGGGAGGCTGATGCAGGAGGATTGCTTAACACCAGGAGTTTGAGACCAGCCTGGGCAATATAGCAAGACCCCATCTCTACAAAAATACCTAAAAATTAGCCAGGTGTAGTGGCACACGCCTGTAGTCCTAGCTACTTGGGAGGCTGAAGTAGGAGGCTCACTTGAGCCTGGAGGGTTGAGGCTGCAGTGAGCAGTGATGGTGCCCCTGCATTCTAGCCTGGGTGACATCAATAACCTATCTCCAAAAAAAAGAGAAAACAATCCTTGGACAGGCTGTCATCCATAGATCCTGCAGAAGGCAAAGCTAAGATTAAATAAACTGAGACAGATTCCAGCTCATAACCAAGAAATTTTCAGAGAGTTTTCTTAATAGTTGAGCAAAATACCTTAAGACATAGTTGCCCATTATCAGAAATGGTCAGGCAAAAGCTGAGTGTCAAGGATAGTTTATTATTTTGCAGAAACATTACCTTCAGGATCAGTAAAATCATTTATTAAATGTGTGTGGTGCTGTAGTAAGAAAATATAAAGAATATGTAGATATAAAGAATATAAAGATATAAATTAGATATAAAAGTATATCTTTTATATCTATAAAGTAGATATAAAAAATATATAAAGAATATGTGGATAGAATGATGTGGAAAGAATTCCTATCATCTAGGAACTTGTAATATATTAATTTCTAAACATTTCTATATATATTTGAAGTGGATTTCATTTTTCCACCTGATTTGTTTAGATTGGGTTTGTACATTTTTATAACATTTATTGTAATTTTTTTTTTTTTGGTGGGGGGTGGTTACAAAAATAACCTGAAAGCGCAAAGAGGAAAATAGAAATTACAACCCAGTCAGGTAGAATTAACAACAGTTAACGTTTTTGGTGTACATCTTGGAGTTTTTTCTGTGAATATTTTGGAAATACTCATTTTTGTCAGCCTGTCATTTTTACTTTGCCTGCCTAGTAGGGGGGCCAGAGGCAGAAGTCATTACCAAAAGGTTAGTGTAGGTCTCTGAGGATGGAGCTTATGAACTCTGTGGGATTGAAGCGTACTTGTGAGGAGTAGCCTTTTCCCTGAATGAGCTCTTGTTGTTGCCATTCTTAGGTAAATGAAAGTGTCTGAAAATCTACATCTAGTGTTGTCAGATTTTTGCCTAGAATGTCTTGGCTTCTTTCGTTACCTCTTCTTCTTATAGCATAAGCATAATTTTTAGACTCATATTTTCATATGCCATATTTTCTGAAAACATGTATTTAAACAAAGAGTACTACATTGAACATCATCTTCATAGTAAATTGCTTTTCATTTAGCTGTTTTTATACCACAAAAAGTACATTAAAGGAAACTGAAACATTACCCAAAGCAGGTTGTAGATCCTGCAGCTGTCACCACTAAAGGGTCTGTTCACTTACAGTTATTGAATAGTCTTATTCCCGTTCAAGGAAGTGGAGAGTAGCAGAGAAAGGAACTTAGCTGCTTATTGTGCTCTATTTCCTTTTCCATGTACACAGTTCTTGCCCATTTGTTTCAGACACTAACATTAAAATGTCCCCTTCTTTACAAATAAAGCATGTTTGGACGTTGATTAAATGAGGCTTCCTTTTTAGAGGTCATTTCATTTGTTGTACAATTCATGCCTTTGTCGCTGAGCCTATAATTCCTGAAATTGGCGCTTTTTCTTTCTGTGTGTGTGTGTTTTACTTGAAATTCAGTCAAAGCTGGAAGAGGCCCTCAACTTGGCAACAGAATTCCAGAATTCCCTACAAGAATTTATCAACTGGCTCACTCTAGCAGAGCAGAGTTTAAACATCGCTTCTCCACCAAGCCTGATTCTAAATACTGTCCTTTCCCAGATAGAAGAGCACAAGGTAAGTATGATATTATGATGCTGCATTCTTTTTGAAAGCACTAATTGAAAGAAATGCCCCTTTATCTTATCTTAAGCTAAAAAAGAGCACTATTGTTCCCTCAGGTTTTTGCTAATGAAGTAAATGCTCATCGAGACCAGATCATTGAGCTGGATCAAACTGGGAATCAATTAAAGTTCCTTAGCCAAAAGCAGGATGTTGTTCTGATCAAGAATTTGTTGGTGAGCGTGCAGTCTCGATGGGAGAAGGTTGTCCAGCGATCTATTGAAAGAGGGCGATCACTAGATGATGCCAGGAAGCGGGCAAAACAAGTAAGTTGGGGAAGAAAGATACTAATTCACTGAAGAGTCTTGGGCTGCATGTATTGAGTCTCTGGGATGATTCTCAAACGTGCTGTATAGTGTGTATATTCATTCCTGTTAACTTATTTCTTATGTAATTTTAGTTCCATGAAGCTTGGAAAAAACTGATTGACTGGCTAGAAGATGCAGAGAGTCACCTGGACTCAGAACTAGAGATATCCAATGACCCAGACAAAATTAAACTTCAGCTTTCTAAGCATAAGGTAAAGCAGTTAATTGCTCTTAGGTCCCAAGCCATAGTATTCGCTAAAGCTTGTATCTTGCCAAAAATAAAAATCAGAGCTAGTAAAAAGAAAACCAATTGGTTAATGTTTAAAAGTCAAAATGATGAAGCCAGGGTTCCATTTTATATCTAGATGGTCTAATCATGATATTTGCTCATTTAAATAACAGTTTAAGGAAAGTAGTTATGGGAGTAACTAGTTAAAACTGTAGGCTTTCACAAATTGTCAGGCACTTCTATATATGGTATAAACAAAAAATTATAAATTTCTTAAGGATAAGCTATGGTTAATTTTAGTTCAAAAAAAGTGGTGATATTCATACTTTATTTGGTTTCTAGCCTGAAAACTCAAATTCTTTTGTTCCAAATCAAGATGTCGTCTGACTTTTAACACTTTTTTCTTTTCTTTCTGGAAACATAGGAGTTTCAGAAGACTCTTGGTGGCAAGCAGCCTGTGTATGATACCACAATTAGAACTGGCAGAGCACTGAAAGAAAAGACTTTGCTTCCCGAAGATAGTCAGAAACTTGACAATTTCCTAGGAGAAGTCAGAGACAAATGGGATACTGTTTGTGGCAAGTCTGTGGAGCGGTGAGCATGAATGTCCCCTTCAGGGGTCTAACCGGGATCCCAAAAGCAAGAGGTTCTTACCAGATTCTATAAAATGGTGATAAAGCTAATGCATCAGTAAGAGGTTTTGTACCATCTTAACACCACCAGTTAGTTCAAAGACTGTTATAATTTAAATAAAATGTGTAAAAATTCTCATTTTAAACTTGAACCTTATTGTATTAGAGAGAGGCCTATAAAATCAAACCAACAATAATAGATCAGTAACTCAAAAGTATTTGTAAATCATCAATTTGTAATACCAACAACTGTCTTATTGACTGCTCTTGGACACTCCAAAGCCTCTACATGCATTACCTCATTTAACCATAATGATACCTGACCTTTGCTGGGCAATTACTACTGAATATGTACCAAACAGTAGCTGATAATCATTTAATCCTCATAACCACTGAGGTGGGTACCATTTTTATTCCATTGTACAGATGAGAAAATGACCATAAAGAGGTTCTTAACTCCCCTAAGGTCACTCAGCTACCCTGTTGGCAGAGCTGAGGTTTAAACCATGGCAGTTTGGTTCTAAAAGTTGTACTTTTATCTATTTGTACCCACTATGCCATGCTAAATATTACAATATTGCTACCCTATTTGTACTTTTTTTTGTTTGTTTGTTTGAGACAGAGTCTCACTCTGTCACCCAGGCTGGAGTGCAGTGGCGCGATCTCGGCTCACTGCAAGCTCCGCCTCCCAGGTTCACGCCATTCTCCTGCCTCAGCCTCCCGAGTAGCTGGGACTACAGGCACCCGCCACCACGCCTGGCTAGTTTTTTGTATTTTTAGTAGAGAAGGGATTTCACTGTGTTAGCCAGGATGGTCTCAATTTTCTGACCTCGTGATCCACCCGCCTCAGCCTCCCAAAGTGCTGGGATTACAGGCGTGAGCCACCGCGCCTGGCATTTTTTTTTTTTTTTGTCATGTTGAGACAGGGTCTAGCTCTCTGGCCCAGGCTGGAGTGCAGAACTTACTGCAGCCTCCAACTCCTGGGCTCAAGGGATCCTCCCACCTCAGCCTCTTGAGTAGCTCAGACTATAGGCATGTGCCACCATACCTGGTTAATGTTTTTTGTTTTTGTTTTTGAGATGGAATCTCCCTCTGTCATCCAGGCTGGAGTGCAGTGGCACTGTCTCGGGTCACTGCAACCTCCATCTCCCCGGTTCAAGCAATTCTTCTTCCTCAGCCTCCCAAGTAGCTGGGACTACAGGTGCACACCACCATGCCCAGCTAATTTTTTTTAATATTTTTATTAGAGACGGGGTTTCACCATATTGGCCAGGCTGGTCTGGAACTCCTGACCTCATGATCCACCTGCCTCGGCGTCCCAAAGTGCTGGGATTACAGGTGTCAGCCACCACGCCCAGCCATTGTTTTTTATTTGAGTAGAGACAAGGTCTTGCTATTGTCCAGGCTGTTCTGTAACTCCTGACCTCAAGTGATCCTCCCACCTTGGCCTCCCAGAGTGCTGGGATTGCAAGTGTGAGCCAACACACTTGGCCTGTACTCCAATTTTTTTTTTTTATGAGGTGACTGAGGTTCAAGGAGATGAAGAAACAGCCTAGGGTCACACAACTGATACAGAGCTAGGAGTTGAACTGATTCCAGATCACTACCAAAACTATCATCTTTTACTTAGAGTGGTATATGAGGTGATTAACACAGACCTTGGGTTGTTAGGGTGTGCCTGTGTGTCACTGGGCTATAAGATGCCTAAAGGGTATCTCTACCTGTCCCCTGTGCTACCCTTAATCCATTCTAGAGGGTGGTTTGATTTAAAATGTCTCACCATCTCTCAGTCACTTTTTACTCTATTTCTTTTTTTTTTTTTTTTTTTGAGATGGAATCTCGCTCTGTCTCCCAGGCTGGAGTGCAGTGGTGCAATCTCGGCTCACTGCAAGCTCTGCCTCCCGGGTTCGCGCCATTCTCCTGCCTCAGCTTCCCGAGTAGCTGGAACTACAGGCACCCACCACCATGCCCGGCTAATTTTTTGTATTTTTAGTAGAGACAGGGTTTCACCGTGTTAGCCAGGATGGTCTCGATCTCCTGACCTCGTGATCTGCCCACCTCGGCCTCCCAAAGTGCTGGGATTACAGGTGTGAGCCACCGCGCCCGGCCTTTACTGTATTTCTAACTGTTCTAACATAGAAGTCACTCTCTATATAGGGTTCAAGCAATATTCCCTTTCAGCGAGGCAGAATTGTGGGCCATTTGTAAAAGGAATCCCTAAAAATGGTAGCGTTTGTGTGCATTTCTCAGGCAGCACAAGTTGGAGGAAGCCCTGCTCTTTTCGGGTCAGTTCATGGATGCTTTGCAGGCATTGGTTGACTGGTTATACAAGGTGGAGCCACAGCTGGCTGAGGACCAGCCCGTGCACGGGGACCTTGACCTCGTCATGAACCTCATGGATGCACACAAGGTAGGGGTGAGGTCTGGGCTACATTGGAGTGCAGTGGGTCTTCTGTATATGACTGCCTAGGGTCTTCTACATATGACTGCCTCTGCCCTTCTTTCTAGGGGAGAAAGAGAGCCTGACAGTTGCTTTGTGTGTTTAAACAAACTGTTGCTGAGATTCTGCATTAGTCACAACGAATTTACCAAAATTGGTTTGATTCAGATTTGGCAATGTGTAAACTTCACTTCAAGGTTGCGCCTCTTCCTGTTTGTTTCTCTCAGTTGAGTCACAAAATGGATCTAAATTCCAACGGAAACCCATAAGATAGCCATTTCCACTGACTCCTAAAATGGAAATGAGTGATTTTTTTTTTAAACCACTTCTGAACCTAACAATCCTAACACCAGGCACGCCAATATTTAACATAATCTCTATCTGTCATGTTGAATTATGTAATATCCTCCTGTTTCAGCACAAGCATTTAACTTTACCTTGAAATTACAACAGATTCTTATTATGTGCACAGCAGATGTTTTTATTTCCCATAATTCTGGAAACGTTAGTATAATGGTTACCATTTTACAGATGAAGAAACTGGGCCTTAAGCAACTTTTCAAAATTATGTATCTCCTAAATGCCTGAGCTAGCATTTACAGCCACATTTTCTGGTTGTTTTTTTCTTTCTTTTTTCTTTTTTTCCCCTTGAGATTGGGTCTCGCCATGTTGCCCAGACTGGTCTTGAACTCCTGGGCTCAAGCAGTCCTCTCATCTCGGCTTCCCAAAATGCTGGGATTACAGGCATGAGCCACTGCGCCCGGCCTGGTTGTTTTTTCTTATGCATTGCTCTGCCTCCCTCTATGCATAAAAGACACATGATTAGAACCTACCAAGAAAATTATTATTTCCCAGTGGTTTCTTGGACTCAAAACATTCCTTGAACAAACAAATTCTCCTATTTTCTTTTCTAGGTTTTCCAGAAGGAACTGGGAAAGCGAACAGGAACCGTTCAGGTCCTGAAGCGGTCAGGCCGAGAGCTGATTGAGAATAGTCGAGATGACACCACTTGGGTAAAAGGACAGCTCCAGGAACTGAGCACTCGCTGGGACACTGTCTGTAAACTCTCTGTTTCCAAACAAAGCCGGCTTGAGCAGGCCTTAAAACAAGTAAGGGATATTTGCTGTCCCAACCCAAGGGATAGATCTGAGTGGGTTTATTTGGTTTTTCTTTTACTAGAATCTGTTCCAGTCAGTCTTGAAATAAGTATAACAGAGTTGAAAATTGATATTCTGAATGTTCTATAAAATTTTAATATTCATTTTGAGAAATAATGAATTCAGTTGATTTTCAAAGATCTACAAATGAAAGATAACCTTTGTGGAGTTTTGATGAGGCCATGAAATGTCTGAATGAACACTGGACCCTTTCCCTAGCATGTCCCAGTATCTAGGTCCTTGGCTGCAGAGAGAGGTTGAATCTTTTGTGCTTGGTTATTTCAGGCGGAAGTGTTTCGAGACACAGTCCACATGCTGTTGGAGTGGCTTTCTGAAGCAGAGCAAACGCTTCGCTTTCGGGGAGCACTTCCTGATGACACAGAGGCCCTGCAGTCTCTCATTGACACCCATAAGGTAATCCAGCCTTGGGGTTTGGTGACCTCATGCTACCTACCACCTTGAGGGCTGCCTACCACTAAATGAAAGCAACTTTTTCTTGGAAATATCAGAGCTCACATGAAAAGGAACAAAACCAGAGTGGCCCTAGCTCATTGGTTTAGCAGGAATGAAAGGGAAGCGACTGATGGGTTTTTTGACACCTTAAACAGTAACATTCATTCTTATAAAAGTAATATATGTTGGTTGTAACAAGTTTTTTAAACATGGTATTAAGAAAAATGTTGACTATTTCATCTTCTTTACTCCTCACCTGCATACGCCTTTGTTTGCCTTATGTTACCAGCTTTAGGCCCTGATCTGATCCCCCAGCACCACTTACTAAGCTGTAGAGTATGGTGCAGTGTCTGGGGTCTCAGTCTGTCCTAATGAGGTGGGAAATGTTTCCCTTTTTAAATTTTTATGTTATCCACTCAGAGATTTTAATCATGGATTTGTTATTATATTCTGTTATGGGTATTTTTTAAAATCATGGTTTTTACAACTATAATTATATTTTTCCAATACAAATATGTTTACCAACATGAAATGAAATAGGATATAAATGAGAGTAAATGAAAAATGGGACTAAAAAAGAGAGAAACTAACTCGAATGGGAAAAGGGGGGCATACCTCTGTGTGTCCTATTCTTTGTTGTCATCTCCACCAGAGAAAGTCATTCTTGTGTAAACCCCTCACCTTCCCACATCTTTTAGAATGAAAATGCCATAAATAACTATACAGGCTTTTAGAGGTCTGCGTTAACACATGGAGGAAAAAGAAAACATTGAAATTTATCCCCCCTCAGTGTAAACTAACAGTGCTGCTAATGTAGACTTTTTACGTTTTTGTTTTCAAATCTTTTTTGTTTAGGAATTCATGAAGAAAGTAGAAGAAAAGCGAGTGGACGTTAACTCAGCAGTAGCCATGGGAGAAGTCATCCTGGCTGTCTGCCACCCCGATTGCATCACAACCATCAAACACTGGATCACCATCATCCGAGCTCGCTTCGAGG
Source organism: Homo sapiens (assembly GCF_000001405.40). NCBI lineage: Eukaryota > Metazoa > Chordata > Mammalia > Primates > Hominidae > Homo > Homo sapiens. The sequence goes on from NC_000001.11 coordinate 39,453,849, forward strand.
AGGTGAGTCCCTGGTTCAGAGGAGGACTGCACACGCCCAGTAAACTATCACTATAGTATAGTATAGTATTTTTCCCCCAGGTAAGGAATCTTTCACTCACTGTGAATAACTCAGCAAAAATTAAGTTAACATTTTAGTAAAGACTGTTTTCTTGGTAATGTGTGGCAACCTGGAGGAGTAGTGTTGGCATAGTGCTATGTTAATGTGACTTCCAGTGGACATGTTGTGTAGTGTCTGCTCCTTCCTGGGAAATCCTGTGTTAACAGGATGTACAGCTGACCCTTGAACAATGTGTATTTCAACTGCACAGGTCCACTTATATGCGGTTATTGTTCAGTAAATACAGTCAGCCCTCCATGTTGGTGGGGTCCACATTCACAGCCAAACATGGATAGAAAATACAGTATTCACGGGAAGCGAAGCCCATGTGTGCAGAGGGCAGACTTTTGCAGGTTGCACAAAACCAATTATAGGCCTTGAGTATGCATGGATTTTAGTATCCACAGGTGGTACTGGGACCAGTCCCCCATGGATACCAAGGAACAACTATACTAGATTTTCTTTCAGGAGGGCTGATATTTTATTCCAGCTCTTATCCCAGTTGTCACTGGGGTAATAGTGAAGCCTCTTGACTGTTTGGGTGGTCTCTCCTCTAAAAAGTCATTGTGTTGGCCGGGAGCAGTGGATCACGCCTATAATCCTAGAACTTTGGGAGGCTTGAGGCGGTCAGATTACCTGACTCAGGAGTTCAAGACAAGCCTGGGCAACATGGTGAAACCCATCTCTACTAAAATACAAAAAATTAGCTGGGTATGGTGGCACAAGTCTGTAATCCCAGTTACTTGGGAGGCTGAGGCAGGAGAGTCACTTGAACCCGGGAGGCAGAGGTTGCAGTGAGCCAAGATTGTGCCACTACACTCCAGTGTGGGTGACAGAGCGAGAGTCTGTCTCCAAAAAAATAAAATAAAAAGCCATTATGAAAATCAGATGAAAAAGGGCTTTGGAAACAAAGGGGGTATGCTTGACTGAAAGAGGCCATGGTTTCCTTCTTTTTCCACAGGTCCTGACATGGGCTAAGCAGCACCAGCAGCGTCTTGAAACGGCCTTGTCAGAACTGGTGGCTAATGCTGAGCTCCTGGAAGAACTTCTGGCATGGATCCAGTGGGCTGAGACCACCCTCATTCAGCGGGATCAGGAGCCAATCCCGCAGAACATTGACCGAGTTAAAGCCCTTATCGCTGAGCATCAGGTATCTTAACCTCACTGTGTGATCACTGGTGTTTTCCGTGTTGGGCATGGAGACCATCTCTGTTGCCCTGTGTATATGTTTTTAAATGGCTGCTTAACACATTACCACAGACTTAGCACTGTAAAACAACACATACTTACTTACCTCATAGTTTCTGTGCTTCATATACCTGGGCATGAGTTGACTAAGTCCTCTTCCTGGAGTCTCCCCAGGCAGAAATCAAGGTGTCAGCCAGTACTGCAGTCTCATCTGGAGTTCAGGGTCCTCTTTTAGGCTCACTCAGGATGTTGGCAGAATCCAGATCCTGGTGGATGTAAGACTGAGGTCTCTACTTTCTTGCTGGCTCTCAGCTAGGAGTTGCTCTTGCCTTCTAGAGGCCCCCTCAGGTCTTAGCCACACAGCCAGCCGGAGAAACTGTCCAAAGTGCTCTATGGAGTCTTGAAATGTAATGAAGAATGAAATGTAATTAAGGGAGTGAATATTCCATCATTTGCCCACACTCAAGGGAGGGGGATTACATAGAGTGTGCATACAGGAGTGGGAATCCTGGGGGCCTTTTTAGAAGTCTGCCTGCCACAGCCTGTTTTTATTGACCATCATTTGAGCCAGGGTCCCACTGGTCCCCATTATACCTGGTTCAGAAAGCTCTCTCGCATGAACCCAGTGGTCAGTGAAGGTGCACATTAGACTAAACTGAATGGAGGAAAGCTCAGGTGGGCCATCTTCATAATATATCCTTAAGAGGCAAATACTATTTTTAACCATAATCATTTATACTGAATTCAAGCGTGAATGTTGATTAGTTATACTGTAGACTATATGGTCTTTTTAGTTTATATAAACAATTACCCCAGCAAGTGAGAACTCACTATACAGATAGTCCCTGACTTACAGTCTCTCAACTTTATCATGGTTCAAAGGTTATACATATTCAGTAGAAACTATACAATTAGAGGCCAGGCGTGGTGGCTCACCCCTGTAATCCCAGCACTTTGGGAGGCCAAGGGGGGCAGATCACTTGAGGTGAAGAGTTTGAGACCAGCCTAGCCAACATGGTGAAACCCTATCTCTACTAAAAATATAAAAATTAGTCGGGTGTGGTTGTGGTTGCCTGTAATCCCAGCTACTCAGGCGGCTGAGGCAAGAGAATCACTTGAACCAGGGAGGCAGAGGTTGCAGTGAGCTGTGATCGCACCATTGCACTCCAGCCTGGGCGACAGAGCAAGACTCCATTTCAAAAAAAAAGCACTTTGAGTGCCCATCCAACCATTCTTTCACTTTGATTACATGAGATAGTCAACACTTTATTATAAAATAGGCTTTGAGTTAGATGATTTTGCCTAACTGTAGGCTAACGTGTTTTGAGCATGTTTAAGGTAGGCCAGGCTAAGCTACGATGTTCCATAGTTTAGGTGTGTTATATTTTCAGCTTAACGATGGGTTTGCCAGGATGTAACTTCATCGTAAGTCGAGGAGCACCTGTCCTTCCTGTGGGATGTACCTCCTCTCTGAGAGATTATCTTCTTCCTATTCAGTTCTTCTCCTTTCTGTTTTCCTCTCTCTCCTCTATGTCTTCAGTCTCTCCCTGTTTATTCTTTTCTCTAAAGCTTCCAGACATGTCCTTCCAACCCAGAGTTCCCCTCCTTTTTCAGCTACGCTTCTTGTTCCCTGTCTCATCTCCTTTTTTCCCATCACTCCCCAAGTCCCTGTGGTCTGGCTGACACTGTTCTGGTCACATTCTACTGGCTAAATCCAACAGAGTTTTTTCAGTCTTTATTTTGTTTGACATGTAACCTAGCTGGCTCTTCATCCCTTCCCAAAACTTCCCTTTTGACTTCTGTGTCCTTTAATCTTTGTGTTTTCCTCTGATCTCTCTGACCGTTCCTTTTTAGCCTTTTTAGCTGGTTCCTCTTCCCTGCCTATTCATCAGTGTTGTTCCCTGACGTCTCATTCTTGATGCTCTCCTCACTCTGCTAAGATTTATCTGGTCTAACAGCTTTAGCTATTACCTATAAAGCTTCTGCATCTTTTTCATCTTCAGCACTATCATCTCCTAAAGTCCAGACATACAGTAAACTAGAAGCAGTTCTAAAATTTCCACTTTATCTTTGCCCCCTTGCCTGACGTCATTTGTCCATTCCAGATCTGCCCCCCCTTTCCTCATTCAGAGGCCTGTGATGTCTGGAGTTCCTCCTTTTCCTCACATCTAGCCACTCACCAGGGCTTGTCAGTCCCACTTTCAAAATACCTCTTGGTTCCATCTTTCCTGCCCTGGCTCTGGCCCTCACCATGTTTTGCCTCAGTTGCTGCAATGGTTTCTTAACCTGTCTTCTCACTGCTAGCCACTCCCCATCCCACACTTACCCCCACCCCCACATCACTCCATGTTTTACACTGAAGCCAGAGTGATAGCTGTAAAGCATGGGTCTGATCATGTCTCTTACCTGGATCGAAATCCTTCAGCTGCCCCCTGTTGCTCTCAGAATAAATGGCCAACCCTTAGCCTGACACAGAAGCCTTTCGTGATCTGTCTCCTGCCTGCCTCTCCAACCCTGCCTCTTGCCATTCCTCTGATTGCATCCTCTGCCCAGCCAGTGAGTGGAGGGGTCCTGGTCACAGCACTGTCAGGCATCCCTGTCTCTGTTTGGGTTGCACCCTCTTCCAGGACTGCCTTCCCACCATTTGTTGACTGTTTCTTCATTGCTCAGTGTGTCAGTCCGTTTGCATTGCTATAAAGGAATTCCTGAGACTGGGTAATTTATAAAGAAAATAGGTTTATTTTGGCTTACGGTTCTGCAGGCTGTACGGGAAGCATGGTGCCAATATCTGCTTCTGGTGAGGGCTTCAGGAAGCTTAGAATCATGGTGGAAGGCAAAGGGGAGCCAGCGTGTTACATGGCAAGAGAGGGAGAGAGAGAAAGAGGAGGAGATAGCAGGCTCCTTTTAAACAGCCAGTTCTCATGTGAACTAACAGCAAGAACTCACTCATTACCATGGGGAGGGCACCAAGGCCATTCATGAGGAATTTGCCCCCATAACTCAATCACATCCCGTTAGACCCCACCTCCAGCATTGGAAATCACATTTCAACATGAGATTTGGAGGGGACAAATATCCAAACTACATCCCTCAGTAACTCAACTCAGGCACCAGCCTCCACACAGCCTTTCCTGCCACCACAGGCCGTAAAGTACCCATCCTAGCTCTTCCTTTGCCCCCATAAGAGTAAAAATACAATATTTAACTCTTTTTCCTATTTTTTGTGTTTAACAGACATTTATGGAGGAGATGACTCGCAAACAGCCTGACGTGGACCGGGTCACCAAGACATACAAAAGGAAAAACATAGAGCCTACTCACGCGCCTTTCATAGAGAAATCCCGCAGCGGAGGCAGTATGTTTCCAGCCCCCTGTGTTAGGATGCTTCATTCCTGCTAATTGAGGATGAGCACTTTCCAAATGCCTATCAAAAAAAATTATATTCCATTTTCAAAAACCGTGTTGGTTTTGAACCAAAATCTCTCATTTTTGAAACTCACTTTTCTTACATTGACAGACAGTAGCTGTACTCCATATTCTTTGGTATGATTGGTATGAAATTACGAGGTGGTTAAGCTTATTTTTTAACAGTGGCCTTTCCATTGTTTTGGTTATCAGCCCTAGCTGTTTACATTTGGCTTGTACTAATTTAATCAACACAACAGCTTCTACAGAATATGTTGCTTTTTTAGTTGAGTTAACGTGTCATCAGCTCACTAAGGTAGGACAGAATTGCTTGGAGATATGTAGGCAGCAGGTAAGTATGTGCTGGGAGGATCAGTACTTTTGGAATTAGTACACCTCCGTATCTAAATATTGCCAAGTCCCGTATTTCTTTTCTCAGTTATTGACTGGATATTATTATAAAGATCTTCTAGGTTTATACATACAGCTATTTCTCTTTGTATACTAACCAGCTGTTCTAATCTTGTGATTATTTTTCCTTTTAGGGAAATCCCTAAGTCAGCCAACCCCTCCTCCCATGCCAATCCTTTCACAGTCTGAAGCAAAAAACCCACGGATCAACCAGCTTTCTGCCCGCTGGCAGCAGGTGTGGCTGTTAGCACTGGAGCGGCAAAGGAAACTGAATGATGCCTTGGATCGGCTGGAGGAGGTAATGCCCTGCTGAGTGGCCTTCCCTGAAACAAAGTGCTTTTTTCAATCAAAACACAGCCCTTCTGAGGCTCTCTTAATGTGAACCTTGTGTCTTAATTTACTTTTTCACAATAGAAACAGACCTATACCAAGCCAGTACTCATTCTTTGAGGCCCCTGAATGAGAAAAGACACATGTGTAAGAAAACCGTTTGTGACAGAGTAGGCTAAAGCTTCTAGGTGTGGAAAGCAAGAAAACAGCCAGTCCATAATGAGGGCCAGGACCTGATCTGCCTCAGCATCTTGCTGTGGTTGGGAATCAGGAACAGAACTTTGGAAATTTATCTCCAGATATGTAGCATAGCACAAAAATGACCCTTGTTGAGCCTTTCATGTAAAAACAGATGCTACAGAATTATGAAATAGGAGTAATTTTTAATGATTTTGTTATTAGTCTTCACTTGATCATGAGAAGCAACTCTATTTTGAAGTGTCATTACCCAGTATAAAAAATATAGTACTATGCTTCCTAGTTTCTAAAACAAGCCTCTAATATCTTTTGTATTTTTTTATTTGTGCATATCAAAGCAGCTATGCCTGGAAGTGAGTGTTCTGTGTTTTGTTTATTTTTTCCTTAGGTCAGTTGACTTTTAAGCTTATTGGGTTCTTGGTGCTTTTTTCCCCCATTCCTTCTAACTTTGGAGTTTGAAAGACCAAGGGGAAACTGCTGCACTCTTTAAGTCATTTTGAGTGTATATCATTAACGTAGACTTAAGTAGCTGAAAATTGTCTTGCCCACTGCATAGGCCTGCTGTTTTCCATCAAGGCCAAATATTTAACATGGAGGTCAGATGGGCAATTTGCTCTCTGGTGCCATTCCAAAGAAACATGCTTGGATACAACATTGGGTTCCCAATGCTTCCATCCAGAACTCAGATTTTCTCATTGAAATCTCAGAAGATAGTGGTAAACACGAGCCTCCTGATATGAGCCCTATGTGTGATTATAATGCCTTTCAAAACAACATAATCGAGGAGTGCTAAGGACCTCCCTTCTGGGTTAGAATCCATTTCCTTGCATCTAAGAGAGTGATCCTTTGAAAAGCCCAAAGGGAAAGCAAGGCTGGCTTCACCCATTCTCATTCTGTGTGCTCCATATTTTCCATGGTGATTCAGTTATTGTTTCTCTTGCTATTCCATTATACCATAGCTCGTGTAAATAGTCATGGCTTTAAGTGAAAGAGCCAGATTGTGCCTTCACAAAAGAAGCAAACACATAGATTTCATTGTTGATGGCCCCTGGAAGCATGGCTTTACTGAATGTCTGAAAGTTTGGGTATGCTCTGGGCAGCTTTTGAGGGCCCAAAAAATAAATCTTATTGACACTTCTGATTTCTGTGTAGTTGAAAGAATTTGCCAACTTTGACTTTGATGTCTGGAGGAAAAAGTATATGCGTTGGATGAATCACAAAAAGTCTCGAGTGATGGATTTCTTCCGGCGCATTGATAAGGACCAGGATGGGAAGATAACACGTCAGGAGTTTATCGATGGCATTTTAGCATCCAGTGAGTCTAGTCATCATTCCAAACATGGGTCACACCTGGATTCCTTGCACTTTGTAGAAGCTGTGATATTCTAGCTAAACAGTCTTTCTGAAGCTGGCCAGGAGCTTGGCTCACACCTGTAATTCCAGCACTTTGGGAGGCAGGTGGCAAAGGCATGGTGGCACACTTGCAGTCCTAGCTACTTGGGAGGCTGAGGTGAATCACCTGAGCCTGGGGAGGTCAAGGCCTGCAGTAAGCTGTAATCGTGCCAGTGAACTCTAGCCTGGGCAACAGAGTGAGACTCTGTCTCAAAAAAAAAAAAAAAAAAGACAGTGGTTAACCAGAGGTTTTCAGCTGGGAAACAATATGATTTGGTCTGTGTTTTAGTAAATCACTGTGACTACTATAAATAGTCACACTTCCCTTTGTATAGCAATTTGTTTAGAATCTAAGACAATAATCTAAACATAGGAAAACTTCATGCTATTCCAAACTGTCACTATTCTGAAATAATCTAAATATCCAATAATTGTGGAGTGGATGAGTATATTCTTGAGTTGAGTGGTAGGACTGTGGGTGGTTGTAATATTATGTTTATGCCTTTTGGTATATTTGAAATGGGGAATATTACCTTTTTTCGTTGCATTTGGGGTAGGGGAGTCTATAAGTGGATATGTATTATTTTTCAGGAAAAATCAAGACATAAATTTTTTTGCTCTTAAGAAGTATTTCTGGCCAGGCGTGGTGGCTCGCGCCTGTAATCCCAGCACTTTGGGAGGCCAAGATGGGTGGATCACTTGAGGCCAGGAGTTCAAGACCAGCCTGGCCAACATGGCAAAACCTCGTCTCTACTAAAAATACAAAAAAAATTAGCCGGGCCTGGTGACAGGCGCTTGTATTCCCAGCTACTCTGGAAGCTGAGGCAGGAGAATCACTTGAACCAGGGAGACGGAAGTTGCAGTGAGCCGAGATTGCACCACTGCACTCCAGCCTGGGCGACAGAGCAAGACCTTGTCTCAAAAAAAAAAAAAAAAAAAAAAAAAAATCTATAACCGCCAACCGAACAAGTACCCCTCTTAATGTTTCAAAATATGATTCCTTTTCTCCAGAGTTCCCCACCACCAAGTTAGAGATGACTGCTGTGGCTGACATTTTCGACCGAGATGGGGATGGTTACATTGATTATTATGAATTTGTGGCTGCTCTTCATCCCAACAAGGATGCGTATCGACCAACAACCGATGCAGATAAAATCGAAGATGAGGTAAGGGAAATAATTATATTTTGAGTACACTTCTGGCTGTAGGTTTGTAATATCCTGAATTTGGTTGGGTTCAGTGATCATATTAGCCTTTGACTTGTCTGTTGGGAGATAATTATTTGGAGTTCTATTTTGAGATCTCTTTTTGGATAGCATTTCAAAGAGTCCCAGAGGATCTCTGACATCTGAGCTCTAGCTCAGGCTAGATGGATTACTCAAGTGAGTCATGTCTGTGTGGTGCTCTGAAGTTTACAGAGAACCTTTGCAGGGCAGCATACTCATCCTGGTTCACTCGTCCTGTGTTTGGGATGGACTCATCTCACTCTTGAGCATGCTGCCTGGAATCTAGGGAAATGGTCTACCAGTGTAGCATTTAAGGGTTGAAATGGACTGGGCATGGTGGCTTACATCTGTAGCTCTAGCACTTTGGGAGGCCAACACGGGAGGATCACTGGAGCCCAGGAGTTCGAGACCAGCCTGGGCAACATAGTATGATTCTGTCTGTCCCCCCCGCCAAAAAAAAAAAAAAAATTAGCCAGGTGTGGTGGCAAGTGCTTGTAGCCCCAGCTACTCAGGAGACTGAGGTGGAAGGATCACTTGAGCATGGGAGATCAAAGGTGTGGTAAGCTGTGATCATGCCACTACACTCCAGCCTGGGCAACAGAGCAAGACTTGTCTTAAAAAATAAAAACAAATGTTTAAAAGGGGAGTAAAATGTAATGTTTAAAATGGTGTATACCCATCATGCTTTCTGCCTTGTTAAGAACTACCACATTGAAACTGCCAAATTTATTAGTGCCATCTAGAAACCCTAACATCTGTTGATAACAGATCTTGGTAAGGGAGAGGTGCTGGGACAGGTCTTAGGAGTGGCCCTGGAACACACCAGGACTGACTTCCAGGGAATCTTGGGCTCCTAGGGTGAAATTTAAAGCAGTTCATAATTTGCTTTATTAATAATTTGATTTTGATGCAAGCATATTAGCACTTTTCTCTGAAGGAGTTTTGAAGCAGGAATAAAGAATGTGTTGTATAGTCACTTGGGAATTTTCTTTCATGCCTTTTCTCAGTGTCTCAATTAGTTCACTTAGTAAGAAGAACATATACTAATTTGGAACAGACAATAAATGTATATGTCAAAAGCCTGAAATGCCTAAAAAGTAAATAATGAGCTGTGCGTGGTGGCTCACGCCTGTAATCCCAGCACTTTGGGAGGCTGAGGCAGGCGGATCACCTGAGGTCGGGAGTTCAAGGCCAGCCTGACCAACATGAAGAAACCCCATCTCTACTAAAAAAATACAAAAAATTAGCTGGGCCTGGTGGTGCGTGCCTATAATCCCAGCCACTTGGGGGGCTGAGGTAGGAGAATTGTTTGAACCAGGAGGCGGAGGTTGTGGTGGAGCCGAGATCGCACCATTGCCCTCCAGCCTGGGCAACAAGAGCGAAACTCCATCTCAAAAAAAAAAAAAAATGTAAATAATGAATAGCCTCCCTGTTAATGTATAAAAATCTTTGTTTCTCTGAATAGGAAGTTTTGCTCTACCCTTTACACTTTCCTTTTTGTTCACACCCAATAGGTTACAAGACAAGTGGCTCAGTGCAAATGTGCAAAAAGGTTTCAGGTGGAGCAGATCGGAGAGAATAAATACCGGGTAAGGAAGAGAAAAAGCAGTCCTTTGTTGTGGTGGTTTCTCATATGTGGCTGATCCCACCTTTTCCTCCTGATGCTTAGAGGCCCAGAGCCCATCGGACTTGAGATGTGGTCACTCTCTGACCTCATCTCTATAGATGCCAAGTGTCAGGTACCCTGTTACATCTGAAAACTAGTCCCATATCTACCTAGATAGTAGTAGTTTGTATTTAAGTTTTAAGATAGGAGATATTTCAGAGCTGTCACTTCACATCTGACAAAGTTCCTAGGGGGATGAAGGTACCTTTGGAAACAATTATATCTATTGACTGACCACTTGCCCACAAAGAGATGGTCATTGTGAGCCTGAGTGGCTCCCAGGCTAGAGAGGCCTGGGGAAACTGTGTTGAAGCCCCAACAGACACTGTGCCTGCTCTGAGCTGGGCTACAAATGGGGCCCAGGAGCACTGAGGAGACATCAGGCTCAGTGGTCTTCCCTGGAAAGCCATGCTAGGTGTGGCCATAACTGACAGTGAACTATACTTGTGTTTTAGCTTCTTTTGGGACCAGGGTCAGGGACATAGAAGGATCTGAAACAGGTCTCCTAAAATATATCAACAGCTCGTCAAGATTCTCTAAAGTCCTAAGAAAAATCTATGATTGGCAAAGAGGATTTAGATTGCACTAAGAAACACAGGAAGGTCCATGTTTCATTAGTATATCCAAAATGTCCTCAAAGTACACCAAATCTACCCCATGCTGCAGTCTCCTGAGGAGTGCTGGGTGAATCTGCTTTGAATATAACCTAGGGCATTTAGTTAATAAAGCTCCATATAATCTTATGCCTGCTTGTTGGATTTTGTTTTCTTGTTTTTTGTTTTTAATTATCTATGAGAGAAATGAATTAACAAGAACAACATAGCATGGAGAGTTAGTTCATAGTTTATAAAACCACATCCCTGGCCGGGCGTGGTGGCTCACACCTGTAATTCCAGAATTTTGGAAGGTAGAGAGGCGAGCGAGCGGATCACTTGAGGTCAGGAATTCGAGACCAACCTGGCCAACATGGTGAAACACCCTCTCTACTAATAACACAAAAATTAGCTGGGCTTGGTAGCGCATGCCTGTAATCCCAACTACTAGGGAGGCTGAGGCAGGAGAATTGCTTGAACGCCGGGGTCGGAGGTTGCAGTGAGCCATGATCGCGCCACTGCACTCCAGCCTGGGCAACAGAGCGAGACTCTCAAAAAAAAAAAAAAAAATTAAAACCACATCCCTGTGGCAGGAGCTTGGTAAGAATATGTTCAGTGTGTGTCACTTTGCCAGAAAAATGTAATGATATGATTTTCATTCTTTAGTGTTAATTTGACAAAATGTTCTCTTTTTTTTTCCCCTCCTTTCCTCCATCCTTTACTCTTTACTGTCTATAGTTCTTCCTCGGCAATCAGGTACAGTGTGCCTTGCAATGTTCTCCTTCTCAATGGATATGGTCTGTGTAGCTAATGCTGCCTGTTCTTCGCTATGGGGAGAGGATGTAATCTGAAGCATGCCTGGGTCGCACCTGGTTGTCTTACCAAGTGGAGAAACTGTTGATGGGGCCAGCATTGCAAAGCTATCTTAGCAGCAAAAGAATATAAGTATAATTTTTTATAAAGGAGATGAAATGGAGGAAAGTGAAGCTATGGTATCAGTCCATTACACTTCTAAGAAGAGCCTGGTTTTGTACTTCTGTGTTAGAAGTCAGATTACCAAATAGCACAGTTCTTATTTATATTAGAATCTTTTGACAGTTAATAAATTTTGTAATGTATGGTAAGTCAATTCCTGAAGAACTTCAGTACTATTTAAATATCTTTTTAATATTTGTAGTTACTTATATTGTATGTTATAATTACAAGGTATCTGAGAAGTGTAGTGTGGAGATCGTAATTGGCCGTGGCCTGAAGTATGCTGATTATGGCCAGCCAGCCAAGATTTAATGGGACCAAATTAGACTTGCAAAAAAGATTGGATGCTTTGACTCCACTTGGTAACTCTAACCTTTCAGATCTTTTTGAGTGCTGTGGGGTCCTGTGTCCTCCAATGTGGAAGGAAGTTGCATGAGTAAAATCTGTCTCTCTGATATGAAATTATAAACACTAGTTGTTGATTTCAGGCCCTCAAACATCCCAGGCCTTGCAAGTCACTATAGAAATGTTCTAGGCAAGTGGGAAGAACAGGGGATAAGAGAAAAAAACTAAAGATGAGAACAAACTGGCTTTAAAAAAACATCATTGCTTGAGAGTGTCCAATATGCCTATTTGCTAATGACTGTGTGTGAATGCTAGGGTGCCTTTGAAGAGTCCTGACACCCTCTTCTACTGCTCCATTGATCAGGAGAGGGTCAGATGACTTCTAATGTTGAGAACGGAATTATGAAGTTCATTTTATACACAGGCAACTGAGGCCTCAAAGATCACATGCCTACTCTCACACAGCTAGTGTCAGCCACTGCAAGAACCCAAGTCTCTGTAAGAGGTTTTCCTTTTAAAAGGTGGAAACAACAGTTACTGACCCTTAGGACTCTTATTTGTTCTTTGCCTCACTGACAACCTTGTCCTACCAGGTGTGCACAGGTCTCCATTTTTAGAGCTGCCATAATCCCTCCTACCACTTGTGACTCTGGCCTCAACTTCCCCAGCTACACTGGCTGCTGGCTTGGTCAAACCTCCTTTCCCCCATAGCTTAGCAGAAACAAGTTAGAATCTTTCAAAGAGAGCTTTAGTGTGAAATTAAGGTTGGGGGGGACATGAAATATATGGAGTGATAAATTATAGTACACAGTATTCCAAGAATAAAGTACTCTTGTGGTTCCTTCCTGATTCACCCTGGGGTACACACAGGTGCATACTCCCTGCCTCTCACCCATCCAGAGAAAACCCTTTGCAGTGACTCAGGTCCAAGAGCACTGCTCTTGGGTGGAATCCTCCATATCTCTCAGAACCTCCCACAGGGCTTCTCATTTTCACTTGTGGGGCCCAGCTTCTGAGAGGGGGCTCTCACAGAGCCTGGGGGGCAGCTTCCTTCCCAGGACAGGACGTGTATTCTCTTTCAAGTCTGGGTTCAGTGCTGCTGCTACCACACAGTGCTTTTGCTGCAGTCACTTTGTATAAACATGTTTAAATTGTATCAGATGAAAGGTGTGGGACTTCTTTTATTTTCAAAGTAAAGGGCTGGGAGGGAGGATACAGTATTTTTCAATTGCCTTGCCTGTGCAAATACTGCATTTGAGTCAGAGCAGCTAAGGAATATGGAGAATTACCACAAGTATATTAATTTTGAGGGAGGATGGCTATATGACCTCAGATATCCTTTCTTGCATTTTCAATTTTTCTGCCTTGTTTTAAAGTTACAGTTGTCCTTTATAACTTTGAAAATCCTGGCCGGGCGTGGTGGCTTATGCCTGTAATCCCAGCACTTTGGGAGGCCGAGACGGGCAGATCACGAGGTCAGGAGATCGAGACTAACCTGGCTAACACGGTGAAACACCGTCTCTACTAAAAATACAAAAAATTAGCCGGCCTGGTGGCGGGCGCCTGTAGTCCCAGCTACTCGGAAGGCTGAGGCAGGAGAATGGCATGAACCCAGGAGGCGGAGCTTGCAATGAGCCAAGATCGCGCCACTGCACTCCAGCCTAGGCGACAGAACGAGACTCCATCTCAAAAAAAAGAAAAAGAAAAAGAAAATCCTACCAACTCCATACCCGAGGAACCCTTGAATTGAATGATTTTAGGAATTCCATTTCTCCTACCAGATGTTTGTTTGTTTTGGAAACTCTGCATACTTCTCTTTTGTTGCTCCTTACTTCATTTTGGAAAGAGGGTAATTTATGCCATGAGAAACTCCAGATGTTTAGAGCTGGGAAGTAGGAATGTTTGGGCAAGAAAAAAGGGAAAACATAAATAATCAGAAATATGCTTGTTTTAGCATCTAAAATGATTATTGGATACTGTTCATAATCATCATGGGAGCTACAATTTTTAATTGCTTCAACTCAATTTTAGTATAAATATGACCTAATCATTTGTTCAGCTGAAGAAACTTTTCTGCTGGTGACACTGCAATTAGCAAATACTTCGGGTTAATTCCTGAAAACCTGATGCAGAAAATCAGATTTTCTTCTAAGCTTGTAATGATGCTTTGCAAAGGTTTCCTTAAGGCTTGAAATAGTATTCACTATTTTCCATTTAGCTTTAAAGCATACTGTATTCAGAAGTTGATATCCACAATCTTTCTTTTAGGAAAACAAATTAGCATGCCAAGAATATGAATTTTTAATTGAGCAGAATCTCTTTTAAAAAAATAAAGTGACCTAACACTTTGTCTGTTTTCCTACCTCTCCTTTTGGTGCAGAGGCAGTGGTGTGACCATTAAAAGTGATTTTTATCCCAATAGAAAGTATATTGGCCCGGCGCAGTGTCTCATGCCTGTATTCCCAGCCCTTTGGGAGGCCAAGACTGGCGGATCACGAGGTCAGGAGTTCAAGACAGCCTGGCAAACATGTTGAAACCCCGTCTCTACTAACAATACAAAAATTAGCTGGGCGTGATGGCACACGCCTAATAAACCCAGCTACTCGGGAGGCTGAGGCAGGAGAATTGCTTGAACCTGGGAGGCAGAGGTTACAGTAAGCTGAGATCACACTGTTGTACTCCAGCCTGGGCAACAAGAGTGAAACTCTGTCTCACAAAGAAAAAAGTATATCAAGACACCAGTCTTTAGCTTGATATTTCTGCTTTTCTATTTTTAAAATCCTTTTGTGAAATATATAAAAATGCAAAATTGTGAGAGTTAACAATTCTTCTGTAGCTATCAAATTGTCATTCCTGTCTGAATACAGTCTGCTTTGGGAGAAAAACATAGATCTGCTTTAAGACATATATATTAATTAAGTTTCCTTTGATTCTACAGTTTGGGGATTCTCAGCAGTTGCGGCTGGTCCGTATTCTGCGCAGCACCGTGATGGTTCGCGTTGGTGGAGGATGGATGGCCTTGGATGAATTTTTAGTGAAAAATGATCCCTGCCGAGGTAAGGAACCATTCTAAGCATGAATTACGTGTTAGGTATGCCCCCAGCAGTGATCTTTTATGCTTACAGGAAGCATTGATGGTGGGGTCTGTCTGTTTTTTATTTTGTTAAGCTGCCCAGGTGTCATCCCACTAGCACAGATTAGAACTCAGGGGTGCCAGCATAGGCCAGGGAGAAAAAGCTGAAGAGGTTGATGCTATTTGGGGAGGTAGGTCTAGAGGAATGCAGTAATGAGAATTAAGAGTGTATTGGTGTTACTCGAATGTTTGTTTGGGGTATTAAATTAACACTATCCTAGAAAGGAGCCCAGTGAAGCCCTTTAGGTTCCCTCTTAGTGCCTCAGATCCCTTTGCCTGTAATTCCTGTGGCTGATACTCAGGGAGAGTGTTAGGCCCTTCTCATACAGGGAAGAACTGGTGAGCCCCCTGGACCAGGAGGAAGGATAAAGACACCTACATGTGAGCCCATTCACTTCTAAGACAGGTGGCCACCTAAGCAAGACCATGGGGTGTCTTTCTGCTAAATGTGAAAAGGCTGGCCCACCAGCCCAGAAGCATAAGGAGACTGTCAATTTAATATGAGCATGAGTGGTGGCATCTGCAGCTAGGGGGTGTGTGGGGACTGCAACAGGGAAGAGATGACCGGTTCCAATTGCTAAATCCTCTTCAGCTATGTCCTTGCCTTTTTCCTGTTAGCAGAGCTGCATGTGGGTGCACAGGAGGCTCCCCCACTGTCTGCCAATTTGTCTTTCTTGACTAGTTTCTGCGTTTCCTGCCCTGTCTGTTTCTTTCTGTTTACGTATTTTTTATTCTAGTTCACCATCCTGGGAGTAAAATAAAGCGCTCTGATTCCAGCTCTTCGATTTCCAGTCAGTCTCCCATAGGTTGGCTTTTAAGCTTTGTCCCTCTTCCTCACACCCTAGCCCATTGAGAATGGCTTTGCTTCTTAAACTGTAACATCTCTTGGTTCTGTGTATCTGCTGCATTCATGAATGCTTGAAATGGCCAAACCATAGCTTTTCTAACTACTCAAGTTGATGGTGCATAAAATACTGTTGAGACAGTGTCCATGGAATTTGTTTTGAGTTTCTATTTAACAAATACTTATATAGTTTTATGTGCCACACACTATTACAAGTACTTTACAAGTAACACATTTATGCCTCATATGAAGTGTAGATGCTCTTATCTCTGTTTTACAGAATAGGAAATTGAGGCATAGAAAACGTAAATAATTTGCCCAAAGACAAACAACTAGTAAATGGCAGAGATGAGATTCAAATTCAGGGCAATCTGGGTCTGGAGTATGTGCCCCTAGTCAGCATGTTATATCTTTCAGAGGCTGACACACCTTTGTGTATGTTTATTATTGGATCACCTGCATAATTATTAAGGTTTATTTATAAACCTAGCAGAAATGTTTGCTGTACAGTACATAACTTCTTTGGAAATGATTTATAGTCATATTCTGAAGCATTTAGTGAGGACAGAGCTAAAGATAGCAGTTTTCACATGAATTCAGATATGCCCCTAAGTAGTTCCTCTTATTTTAACTCATTCTGTGTTTACTACAGTAAACCAGAGTAAAAATTCAGCAGTAATAATTTTCATTAGAGGTTCCTTTTTTAAAAAAATTGGGGCCAGGTACAGTGGAATCCCAGTACATTGGGAGCCCAAGGCAGGAGGATTGTTGAAGCTCAGAAGTTCAAGACCATCTTTAGCAACATAGTGAAACCCCATCTCCACAAAAAAAAATTTAAAAATTAGCTAAGCATGGTGGTACACACCTGTGTAGTCCTAACTACTCTGGAGGCTGAGGTGGGAGTATTGCTTGAGCCCAGGAGTTCAAAGCTACAGTGAGCCATGATCATGCCACTGCACTCCAGCCTGGGCAACAAGGCAAGACTCTTGTCTACAAAAAAGTAATTTTGAAAACACTTAAAAACTTGAAAGTATTTAGTTTTAGAATTTAAAAGCTGTCTTTTATTGCTTTAATGAGAAACAATATATGCCATTTTAACTTTAACTCAGTAAAACAACTTTATTCCTTTCCAAATCTATGAATAAGGTCCTATTTTTCCTGTCATGTATGATCAGACTAAATAAAAGAGATATTGCATGTGGCATTTTGGAATCCTTGATTGCCTGTTTATTTGCTGCCTGCTCTATTTATGATAACATCATGCTGCTGGCCAAGGAGAACACTGCTTGCTTTGTCCTTATCTTAGTATCTAAAATTTGGAACCCCAAGGAAATTGGGGAGGGCCATCTAGAAGCTATTTTCTATGAAAGCTAGTAACCTTTTTTAGCATCCCTTGGAACAAGCAAGGTAAGACTTTCCTGTGTCTCTCCAGGAGTGCTCTCCTGGAACTCAGTAATCATCTCAATCCATTGACTGTGGAGAGAACTCTCCAGAAGTTTTAAATTTCGTAACTCTGTCAGTGATGGGCAGGATGAGCTATTTTTAATCAAATAAAAAATGGTGCTAGGCGATGAACACCTAAGGACTAGGATGGATTATAATAAGTTAGAAGGGTATGAAGGATGAGAAGAGAACAAAGTTACTTGAAACTATATTGGAAGTTCTATAAGGATTAATGTGGCTTCTGGAAACAGTGCTTATGGTAGGTTTTGTACTCATTTATGTTGCATATTTCCTTGGGTCTCTGGAATGTAGAGAATGCTATACTGAGGACAGTACAAGATGTGTGACAAGGTTCTTAACACCAGTGTGCACTATCATTTCTTACCTCCTTTTACACAGCTATTTTAAAAGGTAGAAGATATCTCAAACTGCATGTAGCTTTTAGTCATGTGTAAAAAAATGAAAATATTTTACTAGCTAGATTTGCCAGTCTCCTGGTACTGCCAAAATCAGATATTTCAGTTTCTGAATGTATCCGTGGCACAGGAAATCATGATGTTTTGGATAGAGAGAAAAAAAGTGCTCCTGCCTAAATAATGGGTATACTTGTACCTAAGGTACTGTGTATGTTTTTGATCATTAGACATATTAGCTCCCCCAGATAAGTGAACATCTAGGAAATTTCATTTATGAAGATTTAAAAGACACATTTTGAAATAGAACTCATTTTTTTTTTCAGATTGTTATACAGATAAAATTTACCATCCTAACCATTTTTAAGTACAGGACTAAGTATATTTGTGTCATACTACCGTCACCACCGTCCATCCACAGAACTCTCTTCATCTTGTAAAACTGAAACTCTATACCCATTAAACAATAGCTTAGAACTGAATTTTAACATGCCCGCATCAGCCAGTTTCAGGTGGCCAGCATAACTCCCTTAGCAAAGACAGCCTCTTTGGTGGTCAATGAACTGAACTTGAGGTGGCTGCCGTCATGTCTGGTTCTGTAGGTTCAATGGTAGATCTTTTCTCCAGTGAAAAGAATGGTGAGGGGGAAAATCCTATCACAGTAGTCAACCAAGTACTAGGAATCTTCTCTTTTTTTTAACTTTAGGACTATAATACCCAATTTTGGGAAATATTTGAATCAATGTAAATATTAAGAGTACCTTTACTACTAAATTCAAGTGCTAGTACATAAATTTTGCTTAATCAGAATTTGGTGTTTCCTTCTAGTTCGAGAAAAATGTTTACTTTTTACTTGTGGGATTGCTCCAGAAATCAATTTTCACAGCTTCCAACTGTTTATTGTTTGTTGTCGCCTCCTCCCATCCCAGCCTTTTCTATTATCAAAGTAAAAGTATTAATTGCCCCCTTAACACCTTTTTTAATTCTTAAAATTGGCCGCTTTAAGTTTATTTCTGAAGAAAGAGCTTTCATTTCTTCCAAGTGATATGTATATAAAATGTTCCTTACCAAGAATCGTTTCATTGCCTTGCATCTTCAAATATTTTCTTTTAAAATGCAAATATCCATGGGAGTTGTAGCATATTAAGCTAATATTAGCTAGGCATGGCTTGGGATAAATTAATTATTCATTGGTCTCTTGACCGAGATGAGAGCACCAGAAATGTGGGAATTTTACTATTGTGAGCTTAAGAGCATAAGGACCAAGAAGATGGAAATTACAGAGAGAGGAAGGAAAATAAAAGGGAGAAGACAAGCCTCTAAAGCCCCAATTAAAGTAAGCCATTATTTTTCACTTGAGTTTAGACCTTCTTAATGAGGCCTCATGGAAGCGTGCAGGAGCTAGCTAACCACTGTTTACA
This sequence comes from Homo sapiens, assembly GCF_000001405.40. Classification (NCBI taxonomy): domain Eukaryota; kingdom Metazoa; phylum Chordata; class Mammalia; order Primates; family Hominidae; genus Homo; species Homo sapiens. Next base: position 39,472,931 of record NC_000001.11, read on the forward strand.
GTCTCAGATTGCCTTAATGCCTATGTTGCGTGTCTTTGGCATGGCTGTAGTAACCTGGAAGGATGACGTTAGAGAATTGTTCACACGTCTTTGCATCTCTGGCCAGTGAAATACTATCCCAAGAGGTGACCATTGGCTGGAGATTTCCTTATGAAAACAGAGACTGTCTCATTATGTTTATTTGTTTCGTTATGACGTGTAAGCGTACCCTGAGAAAATTATGAACTGTATTTTCCCAGCATCCTGCATGCACCCAGCTAGGAAAGCAAGTGAGACACCCTTTGGGCCCTCAGCAGTCATTTAATGAGGCGTTACAATGTACCTACCTCATGGTGGCCTCTGGGGCTAACAGGGTCATGATATAGGAGATCAGCATAGGATCCTGTGATAGAATTAAACAGGTCCTCAGATCACAAAATGCAAAGGTTGCTGTTAACATGGGATAATCTTCCTTCTTGTAGTATCTTTCTTATGGAAAGCTATTCTATCTGCTCTTTTAAATTGCTTTAATATTCTATATATAGTAGGTGTTGGCAGTCACAAATTTAACTTTGTGGTTTCAGTCATGAAAATTCATGGATTTGCATTTGTTTCTGCTGTGCAAGAGAGCCGGTCACACAGCGAGAGAGTGAGCCCCACTGGCCACTGACTCCTCACTTTAACACAGCTTGGTGCTTCTGTTCTTCATCCCCGTGAAATAATGAGCACTTCTCAATGGAAGCACTTAGTGAGTTCATGAAGGTTGCGAGATCCATTCCTTGAAACTGTTGAGAGACTTGTTTTCAGAGGCTATTTCAGAGAAACAGAGGCTACTCTGTTTCACACATACTTACTGAAACCCTAAATGCAAGCCTCGCACTGGGATCCAAAGGTAAATTAAGATGATGGTCCCTGCCTGCAGAAGCTCTCAGCCTAGTGCAGGGAACAAACATGTGAATACATGCCCTTCTATTTGGTAAAATGAATGGTTGAGAGAGCAAGAGGGGAAGAGATGACTCTGCCCATGAAGATGGAGAAGGTATCAGGAAAAGGACATAATTGGGCTGGGCATAGTGGCTCACGTGTACAATCCCAACACTTTGGGAGGCCTAGTAGGGAAGATCACTTCAGGCCAAGAATTTAAGACCAGCCTGGGCAACATAGCAAGACCCCATCTCTGTTTTAAAATAAAATACAGGCCGGGTGCAGCAGCTCATGCCTGTAATCCCAGCACTTTGGGAGGCCGAGGCGGGCAGATCATGAGGTCAGGAGTTCAAGACCAGCCGGGCCAATATGGTGAAACGCTGTTTCTACTGAAAATATAAAAAAATTAGCCGGGCATGGTGGCATGACCCTGTTGTCCCAGCTACTCGAGAGGCTGAGGCAGGAGAATCGCTTGAACCCAGGAGGCAGAGGTTGCAGTGAGCCGAGACTATGCCACTGCACTCCGTCCTAGGCAATAGAGGGAGACTCTGTCGCAAAAAATAATAATAAATAAATATATGGCCAGGCACAGTGGCTCACACCTGTAATCCTAGCACTCTGGGAGGCTGAGCCGGGCGGATCACCCGAGGTCAGGAGTTCAAGACCAGCCTGGCCCACATGGTGAAACCCTGTCTCTACTAAAAATACAAAAATTAACGGCCTGGTGGTGTACACATGTAACCCCAGCTACTCGAGAGACTGAGGCAGCAGAATCACTTGAACCGGGGAAGCGGAGGTTGTGGTGAGCTGAGATTGTGCCACTGCACTCCAGCCTGGGCAACAGAACAAGACTCCATCTCAAAAAATAACTAAATAAAAATAAATGTTTGTGTGTGTGTATAAGTGTATGTGTGTATATACTGCGCTCCAGCCTCAGCGACAGAGTGAGACTGTATCTCAAGAAAAAAGGTTTTGAAAAAGGAAAAGGAGGTGTTGCTTCAGCCACATCTTAAAGGAGGTAACACTTGACCAGAAGGAAAAGGGATCTGGATGTTCTTGGTACAGAAACCACAAGTTCATATGAACAGAAGTGTCAACAGCTGAAAAAGTAAGGGGACAAGTAGTCCCATGGGACTGCAGCCAAATGTACAAGGTTAGCGACCAGATAAGACTCTGGACGGGTCAGCAGGAGGGGCCAGGTGATGGATGCCAGACCACTGGGTCCTGGGTACTTACCACATTGTGCTTCCTAGTCCCCAAGATGTGGTCCTCAAAAAAACGAAAAGTCACGGTCAAATGAATTTGGGAGATGCCAAGTTAAAGCTCTCCCAAGCAGGGAAATATAGAGGACCAAACCCCTTTTGTAGGAAAACCCTAGAAAACCTCACTTGGGGAATTCTGCTATAAGCAGTGAAACACCATGGAAGGATTCTGAGCTGTTGACAACAGATTTTCATTTAGAAATTCATTCTGCAAAATACAAAAATTAGCCAGGCAAGGTGGTACATGCCTGTAGTCCCAGCTACTTGGGAGGCTGAAGTCAGGGGATCACTTGAGCCTGGGAGGTCAAGGCTACAGTGAGCCATGTTTGTGTCACTGCACTCCAGCCTGGGTGACAAAGTGAGACCCTGTCTCAAAAAAAAAAAAAAAAATGCATTCTGCAGAATGAGAAAATGAGTGAGGGCTGGGTGGGTGGTGAGATGAGAAACAAGGAGACCAGTAGGAAGGCTGCTACAGTTACCCAGTGGGGAGGAGGTGCTCCATGAAACACCTGAGTACAAGGGGGCATGCACAGGCTCAGGGATTCAAGAGGCATTTGAAGGTAGAATCAATAGACTGAACTGCCCTTGGGAGGGAGAGACCTACGTTGGTGCCAGGGTTTTGGTTCCTGACTCTGGTCATGCCTAATCAGTTGCTGGATATAACTTCTGGCATCCAGCAGGAAGGCCTGCCCTACTAATATATTTGGAGTTGGGTGTGACTATAATGGTAGCACTGAAGCCTCAGTGGATGAGCTCATCACCAGGTCAAGTCTAAGGGGAGAACAGGACTGTGGACAGACCCAGCAGACATCCATGTTTTAGAAGTGGGCAGGGAGGAGTGGTCAGCAAGGGAGCAGGCGTCCTTGAAGCCAGGGGAGGACAGGGTTTCAAAAACAAGAGAGCAGTGTGTAGTAACCCTCCACATGCAAGTTACAACAGCAGAGAGATGTTTTTACCTAACAAATTGTCAGACTTTTTTCCTGTATGTACTCATGCTCATAGCACAATAATTGGCCAGAATGAAGTAAATTTAATATACTCATATTATTTTGGAGAGTGTATGCTAGTAAAACATTTTGGAATCAGCTGGCATCTATCAACCTTGACACATGGTTGACATTCATCAGTTGATGTTTTTACCTTAGGTATGCATCCTTTCTCCCCAGAAAATCTACATGTAGATATTTATCCTAGGCTGGGCGCGGTGGCTCATGCCTGTAATCCCAGCACTTTGGGAGGCCGAGGCGGGCAGATCACGAGGTCAGGAGATGGAGACCATCCTGGCTAACATGGTGAAACCCCATCTCTACTAAAAATACGAAAAATTAGCCAAGCGTGGTGGCCACGCGCCTGCAGTCCCAGCTACCCAGGAGGCTGAGGCAGAAGAATCACTTGAACCCAGGAGGCGGAGGTTACAGTGAGCCAAGATTGGGCCACTGCACTCCAGCCTGGGCAACAGAACAAGACTCTGTCTCAAAAAAAAAAAAGAAAGAAAGAAATTTATCCTAAGGAAATATCGTGGATACATGCAAAATGTTTTACAAATTGTCACAGCATTGGCTACAATGTTTAAAATATTTAAACAAAAATGCAATATTGGACTGGTTAAATAAATTCACATCCATATGATGAAATAATACTTAGCAGCTAGTTAAAATTTTGCATGAGACATGTAGGGCATGGAGTAAAGTTTCTGATTTTTTTAATATATACAAGCTGGGCATGGTGGATCACGCCTGTAATCCTAGCACTTTGGGAGGCTGAGGCGGGTGGATCACCTGGGGTCAGGTCAGTGTTTTTGAAACACTGTCCTCCCCGGCTTCAAGGACGCCTGCTCCCTTGCTGACCACTTCTCCCTGCCCACTTCTAAAACATGGATGTCTGCTGGGCCTGTCCACAGTCCCGTTCTCCCTCTTAGATATATATACACACACATATATACACTTAGTGTATATATATATATATATATATATATATATATATATATATATATATACACACACACACATATATACACTTAGTGTATATATATATATATATACACACACACACACACACAGATGTGCAAAGGAGTAAGACACACCATTATAATAGTGATGTCCCTTGGGTTGTGAGATTAAGCGACTTTTGTTGTTGTTTTGGTTTTTGAGACAGCGTCTTAATTTCTCACCCAGGTTAGAGTGCAGTGGTGTGATGACAGCTCACTGCAGCCTTGACTTCCCAGGCTCAAGCAATCCTCCCACCTCAGCCTCCAGAGTAGCTGGATCTGCAGGCACATGCCACCATGCCTAGCTAATTTTTTAATTTTTTGCAGAGATGGAGTTTCATCATGTTGTCCAGGCTGGTCTCCAACCTGGGCTCGAGCAGTCTGCCCTCCTCAGCCTCCCAAAGTGCTGGGATTACAGGCATGAGACACCACACCCAGCCATTAAGCAATTTTCATTGCCCTCCTGAGATAGAGGTTGTCAGTGACCTTTGCCAGAGCAATTTCCATGAGTGGTGGGGATGGAAGCGTGAGTGGTCTGAGGGGAGGAGTGGAGACAGCGAATGTAGGTGGTGATGGAGAGAGCTAGGCTGGGAATGTCTTGGGGGTCGGGGGACAAAGAGGACAACTCAAGTGGAAGACGTGGGTTCTAGGTCCACCTCTACTGCCACTTTGCTTGACCTCAGCCTCTGTGAGTACTTAAGTGTCTCTGTAACATAGGGATGCTAATTACAGTCAGCTGCATTATTGCACATTCTGTGAACTGTGCAGTGCATAGGGAACATATCACCATTATGGCATTAGAGAATGCCCTTCCTAAAACATTTAAAATGTCACTTCCTTCAACTGCAATGCAATTTCAAAGTTTTCCTCTTATATCTTTTTTTTTTTTTTCCTGGCAGAGTTTGCTCAGAAGTGAATTTTTTTTTTTTTTTTTTTTTGAGATGGGGTCTCACTCTGTCACCCAGGCTGGAGTGCAGTGGCACGATCTCGGCTCACTGCAGCCTCCGCCTCCTGGGTTCAAGTGATTCTCCTGCCTCAGCCTCCTGAGTAGCTGGGACTACAGGCATGCACCAACATGCCCAGCTAAATTTTTTATTTTTAGTAGAGACGGGGTTTTGCCATGTTGGCCAAGCTGGTCTTGAACTCCTGGCCTCAGGTGATCTACCTGCCTTGGCCTCCCAAAGTGCTGGGATTACAGACATGAGCCACTTCGCCCGGCCAAGGGTCATGTATTGTTGAGGCTTGAGGAGGAAGGAAACACTGGATCATGGAAGGAAACAGCTTAGCATTTCAGGGACCATTAAGTCATAGATCATCCAGACAACAGGGCTCTTAGAGATCGGTTGACCTGATCGCCTCTGGTGAGCCTGAGGAAACTGAGGCCAGAGCAGGAAAAAAATCACAGTTGGCAGCAGAGCTTGGACTATAACTCAGAGGTTTTGGTATCCAAGTGAGTGCTTTTAACCTGATACTTTGATATGTTCTGTCAACATATAATATATTGAGAAGAATTTGGATTTGATTTAGGAATTTGGAACCATGCTGCTTGGACACTTATGCAACCTGATTTAAAACACTGATTCTACCAAAATTCCTCAAATTCCTTAAGGGACATATGGGGTAGCACAGATGAGAAGGTGGACAAAATTTCCTGCCACCTTCTAGATTTATGGTTTCTGACCAGTTAAACATCTGTTATAGAAAAGAATGACAAATATTTTGTTCATAATGATTCCCTTTTCTCCAGCAGTCCCATTTGTTTAGCTGTGTCTAGTACTTCATAAAGAGTGCACAGTTTAGGGTGGATGAGGAGGTAGAGGGTTTCTGCAGGATTACATCTTACAGTGAGAAATAATCTAAGAACATATTCCAGAGGGATTATGTCTTTTAAATTAGTAGCATCTTTCGCATTTAACATTTTTGTTGGCTGTGCGTGAGATCTTCCTATGGAATCCACATTTTAAGTTCTGGGTGTGCAGCCCCAGAAAGCCATAAGACAGCGCTAACTGGCTTCCCGTGCCGACTCCACGTTCTTTGCATCTTGATGTTCCTCCTACTTGCAGTTACTCCTTTGGCCTTTTATTGCTTTCAGTTTTTCACTTAACAGTTTCTCACTAGCAAGTTTTGTGCATGGTCTTGATCTCTTTCTCTCTCCCCACCGACATGTTTACTTCTTAATGATTCTCTCCTGATCTTTTTACTGTCCTGAGTTCCTGGACTCCTTTCTTTAGGATTGTTACTGACTGAATTCAAATAGAAGAGTCTAGACAATATCGATTTCAGTAATGTTTTTCTCTACTCTTTCATTACCACATATCCTGCAAAAATTAAGCAAAAAGTACACATGTACTAAGAGAGAGAAAAGAGGGGTTTTGATTTAACTTCAGAGGTTTACGAACTGTTGCATCTGCTTTACCTCAAGCAGTCAGTGTGCTTACCCCAGGGACAGTGGCAAAGCAAGACGCTAGCAGCAGAGTGGGCTGGTCCTTTATACACAGAGACTTGCTTATTATACAGTTAACATATCTGCTATGGGTAGGAACCTTGACAAGGCTGATGTGTCATGAATTTATCTCTATTTTTGAAGAACCCACAGATGGTACTAAACCCATATAACTTATATAACTGTTATCATGGGGTCAAGCCGCTGTATAACCGTCAAAAATATATTTTTTAGAAGAACTGACATTGTGTGTGTGTTTATTTCCTTTTTAGCACGAGGTAGAACTAACATTGAACTTAGAGAGAAATTCATCCTACCAGAGGGAGCATCCCAGGGAATGACCCCCTTCCGCTCACGGGGTCGAAGGTCCAAACCATCTTCCCGGGCAGCTTCCCCTACTCGTTCCAGCTCCAGTGCTAGTCAGAGTAACCACAGCTGTACATCCATGCCATCTTCTCCAGCCACCCCAGCCAGTGGAACCAAGGTATGTACTGATCTCCATTATGCCCTTCTTCCCCAATCCCACCCTCACAGATGTTCATTGTTCACGGTAGCCTCTGAAAGACTCCAGTGAGGAGAAGAAATAAAAATGAAAACATGTTTTCTATTTTAGAAATAAAACGTGAAAACACACAGATCAAGACTGCCCTGTTCCTAGCAGTACACAGATATATGGCCTTTAAGATGACTCCAAAGGACATTTATTAAAATATGCACTCAGCCTGGTTATGTCAGAAATGTTTATTTCCTCATGTTCTCAGTTTAAGTTTGAGCCCATCCAGTGTTACTACTTTTGAAAATCCAGGCTGGACACAGTGGCTCATGCCTGTAATCCCAGCCTTTGGGAAGCTGTGGTGGGAGGATCCCTTGAGACCAGAAGTTGAAGACCAGCGTGGGCAACATAGCAAGACCATCTCTACAAATTTCTAAATTTATCATCTCTAATTTTTAAATTTAGCCTAGCATGGTGGTGAGCACCTATAGTCCCAGCTACTCAGGAAGCTGAGGCAAGAGGATTGCTTGAGCCCAGGAATACAAGGCTGCAGTAAGCTATGAACTGCACCACTGCACTCCAGCCTGGGCAACAGAGTGAGACTCTGTCTCTAAAAAATAAAAATTAAAAAAAAAAAAAATAAGGAAAAAGGACAGAAAATCCAGGCACTGGCTGTGCAGTGGAGCTAACAGCTAAGTTTGATGTTATGATGGGTTATGTGTGAATGATGTTAGTGCCTGCCTGGTCCTTCTCATCCTGATGGACCAACATGCATTTTATTTTGTTTTCTGTTTCTTTAAAATTTAGTATCTTCTATTTATTTTTTTCTGTTCCCAATGTGCACCCTTTTTGTTCCTTTTTCAATTGTTCCTGTCCTTCCCTTTGGATTTCCGTTTCACAGACTTCACTTCAGTTCTCTCGCTGTTATGACAAACCCTGGTTGGTAAACAGTAAAGCTGGCACCCCTATCAGGGACAGCCATTCTCCTGACCTCCAGCTGCCCACCCCCGAGGTAGAGTATGGCTTTGCTGACTGAGGACACAGTCAAGACGAGGCCCTCGCTACTGGACTTGACCAGCTCTTCTTCCTGACACGAATCCCTGCACTCTTTCATCTCTGTGGTGCTTGCTGTCACAGCTGATTCATCTAGTCCAGTGTTTTCAGGGGTTTCTAACTCGGATTCACCAAAATTGGAGAGAAATAAGAGATGCCTGAAACTAGATTAATAACTTTATAACAATCTTGAGAATGATATTTGCTGAGAATGGTAAATGATGGTCATTGCTGTAGATTTGTTTATTGATGTCATTTATAATCAGGCCTCTTGGAATCTCCAAATGTCAGATACTCAGACGAGTTATGAACACTTGAAATTCAACTATGGCGCATGTTCTACAATGTTCTGTCTTTGCTTAGAACAGAAGAGTGGTTGGCGCCACCTGCCCTGAGACACATGTCCAGGGTGGTTGGTATTGCCACACCACACTGGTCCGAGGCGTGGGTGCTGTCTCCTTCAGCCAAGCACAGCACCAGTGAACACTGACCTGAGGCTCACATTCTAGCTTCTGAATTTCTTGGCCTAGGCACTTGAGTTTCTGTAGCCTTGATTTGAATACACATGCCAGCAATTAAGCATGTTCAAGTGCAGCCATTAAAGTGCCTGAACGCTTTTGGAAGAGCAGTGTTTTAGAAATAAAACATGGACTAGTGGCTTGTCTGATAGTAGTGCAGTTTGCATTCCAGCTCCTACCAAGAAACATTGGATTCTTGTGCCTCAAGACAGTGTTGCCTTCAGTCTTGGAAAGCCTTAGCCAGGGAAACAAGGGATGCACAAGAAGTCAATGGCTATGAATGAGCTGCTGTTTTGAGGTTCATTTCACTTCAAGCTAAAACTCCAGTTCAGAAATATATCTGGTTTAGAATATGATCTGGGGACCTACTGCCACTAAACTACTAGACTCACCCTGCTTATCTTGCTTTTCTTCTTTCCTTAATGGCTCCAGTTTCATAAAAATCTCAGTTCTATTTTAAATTTTAGATGTTTAATGATGTACAAATTCTCATACAGTTCTGATAAATCAGGGCTTTTGTTCTGTCTTAAGGTTTTATTTTCTGTTTCATTTCATTTTGAGGCTTCATCTTTCCTTACTTATTGGTGTTCTGTAGCCAGGCCATCTCCTGACTTGGAATTCTAGCCCGGGTTCTAGCTGTGGTCTTCCAGCAGCAGTGCGCAGGAACCTTAGCTTCTGAAACTGGTGTTCTTCCTCCTATGTGGCCAGGAAATTTTGTGCTTGAGTGTTAATCACTTTCTATCGCTTATGCTTTTTCTTTATAAATTTAAGAAGTACAGCAAACAATGAGATGGATTGCTTTTCTCTTCTGTTTGCATAAACGTCTTAAAGGTCCTGGAAAACAATTTACATAATTGATTTCAAAGAAAAATTAGAATGGCATGCTGTAGCATGTGGCATAAGTAATGTTTTGGGGGTTTTTTTGTTTGTTTGTTTGTTTGTTTTTTCATTTTTTAAAAAGCAAAGTAGAGACAAGGTCAAATAATGGATGTTTAAAACATTTAAGGATCAGCCTGGTCAACATGGCAAAACCCCATCTCTACTAAAAATACAGAATTAGCTGGGTGTGGTGGCAGGCGCCTGTTGTCCCAGCTACATGGGAGGCTGAGGCAGGAGATCACTTGAACCTGGGAGGCAGAGGTTGCAGTGAGCCAAGATTGTGCCACTGCACTCCAGCCTGGGCAACAGAGTGAGACTGCCTCAAAAAAAAAAAAAAAAAAAAAAAACCCCACACAGATTTAAGGCTGGACATGGTGGCTCACCCCTGTAATCCCAACACTTTGTGAGGCCGAGGTGGGCAGATCACTTGAGCCCAGGAGTTCAAGACCAGCCTGGGCAACATGGAGAAACCCTGTCTCTACAAAAAATACAAAAATAAGCCAGCCACTAGGGAGGCTGAGGTGGGAGGATTGCTTGAGCCTGGGAGGTCGAGGCTGCAATGAGCCATGAAGTATGCCACTGTGCTCCAGTCTGGGTGATGGAGCAAGACTCTGTCTCAAAAAAAAAAAAAAAAAAAAAAAAAACACCCACACATTTAAAATACTCTTTTTCCTCCAGTTAAGCCTACTATCTAAAAAACCAAAAAAAATCACTCAAATAGGAAACATAGCACCTATTGGTAGCAGTGATAATAATATGTAGCTCTTTTCCAGTTTGGGAAATGCTTCTATTCATCATTTATTCATGCAAGTTTTTATTGAGTTCCTCTTCTGTGCTGTGCAGAACACAGGAAGCAGGGGAGAGAATAGAAGTGTACAAGCAGTGTTCTGAGTAGTGAGACAAGACCTCTCTACTAAGGTCATCCTTTCAATAGAGCCCCTGCAGGGAATGAGGGGGTGAGCCACACGTGTATCTGGGGTAGGCTTGGGGTGTGGTGATTGTGCAACAACAGTCCAGGCAAAATGAACAGCAAGGGGACAAGACTGGTGGACCCTCACTGGGCCATTGGTGGAACAGCAAGGAAGCTAGTGTGGCTGGGATGGACTGATGAGGAGTGTGGTAGAAATGAAGTCAAAGAGGCAGGATTTAATCCCTGATTTCCCAAGAGAGAAGCAAAGACACAGGTGTTAATTTCAATCAGTCCTGGAACCCAGACTCAAACCCAGGTCTCCTGGTTCTTCATGCACAGACTTGTTCCTGATGTCTCAGTCCCACAGTCGTGTGCTTCTCATAGTTTATTTGATCCACAAGTTAAGTAATTTTATCTGCATTTTACCAGTAAGGATAATGACTAAAAGATCTTACTAAAGTTACTGCACCTACTTAGTGTTAAGAGATTGGGGCCAGGTGCGGTGGCTCACACCTGTAATCCTAGCACTTTGGGAGGCTGAGGTGGGCAGATCACAAGGTCAGGAGATCGAGACCATCCTGGCTAACACGGTGAAACCCCGTCTCCACTAAAAAATACAAAAAAATTAGCTGGACGTGGTGGCGGGTGCCTGTAGTCCCAGCTACTTCGGAGGCTGAGGCAGGAGAATGGTGTGAACCCAGGAGGCAGAGCTTGCGGTGATCCGAGATTGCACCACTGCACTCCAGCCTGGGTGACAGAGCGAGACTCCGTCTCAAAAAAATAAAATAAAAAAAGATTGGAGTAATACTTGAATCTCCATATCAAATAGGTGGGCTAAAACTCATTTCAAATTTTTAACCCCAAAATCTTGATACCTAGTATTATTTGAATTTCTTTTTCCTTTACTCATTCACCATAATTGTTTGTTGTAACTATTGTATTCTTACTGAGGATTTTTTTTTTTTCATTTCTAGGGGAAATTAGTAAAACAAAAGGTATTTGAAGACATTTTGAAATTTTTATTTGGAACATAAAACTTTGATTTTGGGAATTATCAAAATATATGACCTAGGATACTTTAAGAGAAATCTTTGTTTTCCTGGACTTTTAATTTGCTTTTCAACTAAGCAAATATAAGGAGGTGTAAGGAGACCTTTTAAAGTTGAATTTCTGGCAAAGATTTTACCAAGTAAAATGTGACCTTTTTATTATTTTTTTTAAGGTTATCCCATCATCAGGTAGCAAGTTGAAACGACCAACACCAACTTTTCATTCTAGTCGGACATCCCTTGCTGGTGATACCAGCAATAGTTCTTCCCCGGCCTCCACAGGTGCCAAAACTAATCGGGCAGGTAAGTACCTGCCCCGTGACCTACAAGCCAGGCTGAGAATTTGGAAACAACAGCCTATGTGGAATGTTTCACTGCTCCCAAGGAGCGGGTAATGAGAGTGGCACTTAGTGTGATGCCCAGAAAGACAGACCTGCAGATGCTCAAGTGACCTTTACTTTTTCTGTCATTACAGCTAGCTTTAAGCTTTCCTTCTGAGATGAGATGCTTCCACAGCCAAAGCTGGGCCATGCGTTCTCATCAGAAATGATCACATTTGAGAGAATGTAAAAGGAAATGTGGGTCTTCCTCAGACACCAGTCCAGTGTTGGGATGAGCAGCTTGCTAGTAATTTTTCCAACACGTCATACTTACTATGGCTGCTGTTGAACCAAGAAAGGCAGGGGAAGATCACATCTGTTCTCCTGCTACTGTTCCTCATGGGAACCTAGGAATCTTCCTTCATTTCCTGGCTGGCTGCTTCCCCTCATTTTGCCTCTATCCATCCTGCCCATGGATTAGCCCGGCTGGCAGGCTCACCCACCTGTGCTGAGGTGGTTGAGCAACCTTGCTTGCCTCCACTTTGGGGCCATGGAAGGTGACAGTGCTGCTGATAGAGTGGCTTTCTAATCCCCAGGAGGCAGCTTCTCAAGTAGAATCACAAAGCCAGAAAAGGCTTCAGCAACTTCTGTATGGATGAGGAAACTGGGGTGCAGAAAGGCTGTGAGATTTGCTTAAGATCACACAGGATCAGAACCCTAGCTTCTGCTCACTTGTTCTTCCACCCCATGCCATCTCTATTAAGTCTGCTGTTTTATTCTTGAATTCCAGACCCTAAAAAGTCTGCCAGTCGCCCTGGGAGTCGGGCTGGGAGTCGAGCCGGGAGTCGAGCCAGCAGCCGGCGAGGAAGTGACGCTTCTGACTTTGACCTCTTAGAGACGCAGTCTGCTTGTTCCGACACTTCAGAAAGCAGCGCTGCAGGGGGCCAAGGCAACTCCAGGAGAGGGCTAAACAAACCTTCCAAAATCCCAACCATGTCTAAGAAGACCACCACTGCCTCCCCCAGGACTCCAGGTCCCAAGCGATAACACTGTCTAAGCACCCCCAAGCCACTATCCACTTTGAATCCTGCTCCATACATTGGGTGTATATTTATTCTGAACGGGAGAAGTTATATTGTTAAAAGTGTAAAAGAATAATTGTGTTATGAAGCTGCCTTATTTTTTTTCTTTTTGTAAGTTACTATTTTCATGTGAATATTTATGTAGATAAAATTTGCCTCCTGGTAACCCTGTAATGGATGGGGCCCAGAAATGAAATATTTGAGAAAAACAAGTGAAAAGGTCAAGATACAAATGTGTATTAAAAAAAAAAAAGCCTATTAATAGGGTTTCTGCGCGGTGCAGGGTTGTAAACCTGCTTTATCTTTTAGGATTATTCCTAAATGCATCTTCTTTATAAACTTGACTTGCTATCTCAGCAAGATAAATTATATTAAAAAAATAAGAATCCTGCAGTGTTTAAGGAACTCTTTTTTTGTAAATCACGGACACCTCAATTAGCAAGAACTGAGGGGAGGGCTTTTTCCATTGTTTAATGTTTTGTGATTTTTAGCTAAAGAGAGGGAACCTCATCTAAGTAACATTTGCACATGATACAGCAAAAGGAGTTCATTGCAATACTGTCTTTGGATATTGTTTCAGTACTGGGTGTTTAAAGGACAAATAGCTGCTAGAATTCAGGGGTAAATGTAAGTGTTCAGAAAACGTCAGAACATTTGGGGTTTTAAACTGATTTGTTGCTCCCTATCCAGCCTAGACACCAGTAACTCTTGTGTTCACCAGGACCCAGACCCTTGGCAAGGGATAGGCTCGTTGGTGACATTGTGAATTTCAGATTTGTTTTATCCACTTTTTTTGCTATTTATTTAAATGGTCGATCAACTTCCCACAAACTGAGGAATGAATTCCACGAGCCTGTTCTGAAAATGTGGACGTAAGACAAACACGTGCTCGTCCTTTAATGGAGTTCACCAGCACACTTGTTAACCAGTCCTGTTTGCTTTCGTCTTTTTTTGTGCGTAATAAAGTCAACTGACCAAGTGACCATGAAAAGGGGCTGTCTGGGGCTCCTGTTTTTTAGCTGCTGTTCTTCAGCTCCGACCATGTTGCTGTGTGATTATCTCAATTGGTTTTAATTGAGGCAGAAACTGAAGCTCTACCAATGAACTGTTTAGAAACAAGACACACTTTTGTATTAAAATTGCTTGCAGTAACAAATATTTTGTATTTCCTGATTTTCTTTTCAACTATTACCTTATCTATAAATGTTACCCTGGGGTATAATCATGTTGTAGGTACTTAAATGCATTCCGCAAATCAAAATATCTTGATGGATAAATTATAGAGCTTAATAGATCTTGTTTTATTTCATCCTTGTTAATTTTGTTTAATATGGCTGGGCATGGTGGCTCACGCCCATAATCCCAGCACTATGGGAGGCCAAGGCAGGAGGATCACTTGAGTTCAGGAGTTGGAGACCAGCCTGGGAAACATAGTAAGACCTTGTATCTACTAAAACTAAAGAAACAATTAGGCATGGTGGCACATGCCTATAGCCGCAACTACTAGGGAACTTAAGGTGGGAGGATCACTTGAGCCTGGGAAGTCAAGGCTACAGTGAGCCACGATTGCACCACTGCACCCCAGCCTGGGTGACACAGCGAGACCCTGTCTCAAAAAAAAAGACAAGCTATTAACATGAACATGTAGGATATCTGTCCTACTTACATGATTAAACAAATAGTATTATGTAAAAAGATACTAGAAATCATGGAGATCCTGGGTTCTCAGAATGGGACCAGTTTGTCACACTATGTCACAGTATGCTGAAATTTCTGGTTAAATGGTAGAATTTCAGAGGTGGAAGCAAAATCGGTCATCATATCTAGCTCCTTTGTTTTACAGATGGAGAAACTGGGATGGGAAAGTACAAGAGAAAGTGATTTCCCTGAGCTCACAAAATGAATAAATGACAGAAGTGAACCTTGAATCCAGTCCTCGACTCCCTGTTCAAGTCTGGCACTTCTATTTCCTCCAGCCTCTAGTCAGTTGGCTTTATAATAGAGCAGCCAAATGTTAACTTAGTAATAAGAAGAAAAGGGCTAGAGGCTTCGGAGGTAAAGGGGCTAAGACTCATGCCACCTGTGTTCTTGGTCATTAGGCCGCATTCCTTAGGACATAGGCATTTGGTGAGATCGATGCATGTTTGCCAAAGCTGTTAAGGCCAAATACCCAGATTAAAAGGAATTTGGAGCCTAATGGATTCTGAAGGAAGTGCTTACTCTGTTCTCCATGGAACTGGGGAACTTCAGGCTGCCAGGACTTTGTATAGGATAGTGTTTTCACCCTAATTTGCTTCCCCTTCTAGGCCTCTTGGCAGCAGAAGCATGTGAGACCAGCTTGACCTCCATCTTCCCAGATTGTGGGTTATGGTCCAGAATCTTACCAAGTAATTAAGGTTTTCTGGGGTTTTGTGGCAAAGTTCAGCTGGCAGCGGCACCAACGAAAAGTGCATTTCTTTTTTTTTCTTTTTTTTTTTTTCTTTTTTTTTTTTTTTTTTGAGATAGGGACTCATTCTGTTGCCCACTGGAGTGCAGTGGCGCAATCTGGGCTGACCGCAACCTCCGCCTCCCAAGCTCAAACTATTCTCCTGCCTCAGCCTCCTGAGTAGCTGGAGTTACAGGCACATGCTACCATGCCTGGCTAAAAAAAAGTGCATTTCCATTCAACAAATGCCTGTACACAAGACCATGTAGGAAATAACAAGATGCTAGGAAAAGGGTTAAAGTATAATCACAGTCCTGGGCCGGGTGTGGTGGCTTATTCCTGTAATCCCAGCACTTTGGGAGGCTGAGGCGGGTGGATCACCTGAGGTCAGGAGTTCAAGACCAGCTTGGTCAATGTGGTGAAACCCCGTCTCTACTAAAAATACAAAAATTAGCCAGGTGTGGTGGTGGGCACCTGTAATCCCAGCTACTCGGGAGGCTGAGGCAGGAGAATTGCTTAAACCTGGGAGACGGAGGTTGCAGTGAGCCAAGATTGCGCCATTGAACTCCAGCCTGCAAGAAAAGAGAAACTCCATCTCAAAAAATAAATAATAAGTAAATAAATATATATATATATAATCACAGTCCTGTGATAGAAATGCTAAATGAGGAAGGAAAATTTGGTGTCTGCTGGGGCCTTGAATGATGCAATAACTAGCTCATATTTATTGACTGCTTACTGTAAGCCAGTGATTGTGCTAAGTGCTCTATATACATTCTCACTGAATACGCTTAACAGTTCTATGATCATTAGCCCCCTTTTCTTGATAAGACACTGAGCCTGAGAGAGGTTAAGATCACAGAGTTGCCAGGTGGCTAGGGAAAACCCTTGTTTTGACACTACTTTCTCCAAGAAACCTACCCCACCTCAGTTCCCTTCCAGTCCTAATGTTCTGGATTCCACTCATGTGGTCTGCTCCCACTTCCCCGCTCCTCTGCCCTTACAGCCACTTTGCTGGCTCCTCTGGGAGCACAGCTTTCATTTTGCTTTGGGAAATTGCCGTGTTCACCAGCTGTCACCCCTGTTGCTGTGGGGGCTGCTCAGGGGCAGGGGGCTTGTCTGCTCCATCTCTGGTTCAGGGCACAGCACAGAGCAGCTCACGGTGGTTGTTGCTGAACTGAAGCGTGGGCAGAGGCCCTTGGAATGGCTAAAATCTGCTGTTTAGGTTTATGGGAATGTGAAGCCCGTTGTTTAGAAAACACAGCTCTATCTCCACATCCTAAATTGAGAAATGATTTCTGTTATAAGAATCAGCCCAGCACTGGGCAGCTTGCAGTCTAGCTGGGAGCCCAGAATTGCACAAAACAAACCTGAGAATTGTACAGGCTGGATCTAGGGCCTCAAGTGATGTGCAGTGGATTCAAAAGGGGCGTGCAGAGAGGACAGTGAAGGGGGTGTGGGCAGGAGATTCCGAGACTCTGACCAAGATGACATGGGGACAAAGCCCTGTGGATTCAGCCTCCTAAACAGCTTTCTCCTCTGCCCCTCCACCCCATCACCATTAGAGACTCATGGTCATTGTACCCACCCCCACATCTGATTGCTGTACCTGCCTCCAACTGCAGGGCCCTGACTCCTGTCTCCCTCTGATCCATATTCCGCTCTGCTTCCAAGCTCTGGTCTTGGGTACTTTCAACGGTTATTCTGCATTATCCTTAGCTCAGTATCCTTATGGGACAGTCCCAGTCCGCAGGGTAGCCCCGGCTTCTAGGCGGTGGCATCCACATCTGCTCTGCCCGGAGCTGATGCAGGTGCCTCATGGGGGGCGCTCTGGGGACCGCGCAGAAAATTTACGAGCAGTGTGGAAATATACCTGTTGGGTAAAAGACAAACTAGGCGTGTGTTTAAGGCACCAGCAAATGACTATTTAGATTAAGAATTTGTTGTAGAAAATTTTATTGAAGTGATGACTTCCAAATGTGATTTTTGGGGGCATTATACACTTGCTTCGAGGTTTAATCTTCAATCCACATGGCGGGGCACCATAATCTCTGGTGCCCAGGGCCCTCGTCTAGCCCCTGTGAGGCCCTTTGCGGTGCCTCCCTTGCCAGCCCCTCCAGCCTCCGCCGTTTGCCCCCTGGGCTCTCCAGTTTCCACTGCCCCCCTGCCCGAGCGCAGCTCCACTGCTGTGTGACCTGGCGTAAGTCCCTTAACCGCCGTGTGCCTCAGTTTCCTCATTTATTAAAAGAGGAGGTTCCAGTGGTATGTACCCCCTAACGATGTGCGAGCATCACAGAAATGACACGAGACACACACTCAGAACATGCCTTGGCGTGGCAAGTGCTGACTGTTGCCATTATTAGGCTCCCCAGCCGGGGTCTCAGGGCCTTGGCACAAGCTATTCCCTCTGCCTGGAGCACTTTCCTCCACTGACCTTTCCTGGCGCTCCAGGTCAACTCCAGGAGCCTTCCCAGTGCAGTCTAGGTGCCTTCTCCTTCCGCAGCGCCTGAACCACACAGGAATAAGTAAGGCGAGAGCGCGCCCAGGGAAGAGCAGGTGTGCAGAAAGGGACTGAGTCAGTCGAGACGTTTCCGCGGGGATCCTTCTCTTGGCAGGCCTGCACCGGGGCCGTGGGGACTGAGAAGATGTGCACAGGTGGCTCCCGAGTGCTCGGGAAGGGCCCCAGAGCTTCTGGCCCAGCTGGAGGCAGGAGGCGGAGCCTCCTCCGCAAAGCTGGATCAGTACCGGGGACGCAGGGCGCACAGCTAGGGCTGGCGGGGGCGGCCCGACTGGGGCGCTGCCTGGGCTCACGCGGGAGCCAGGTGGGGGACGCAGGGAGAAGCAGCCGAGCAGGTGCCGAGAAGGAGGCGCCCGCAGAAGCGCATGCAGGGGCCACGGGGAAGGCGCCAGGAGGCGGTGAGGGGCCGCGGTGGCCGGAACCCGGGCCGGCTGCTGCGGGCAGAGGAACAGGCCCCACCCGCGGGGCTTGGCTGGCACCGCCCGGCTCTCCAGACGGGGCTACGGCCGCGTGTCGGGCCCGGTGGCGACCACGGCACACCACGGCGAGGCAGCCGGGTGGCACCACTGGCGGGACCGGGACGGCGCCGCGGCCTTAGGATCTCTGCGCCGAGGCCCGCGGCGGGAGCCACGACGGCCCTGACCACGCTGACGCCCAGGCTGCGGGCTCCTCGCCCGGACCAACCGCCAGCCACGCCGAGGTCGCACCTCGGGGTCGCCCCACCCGCAACACCTGCCGCCGCCCGGGGCTCCTAGCGGGCGCGGCCTCCGCGCCCAGGCCCCGCCCCCGCGCCCCCATTGGTCAGTCCCGGGGGTGGGCGGGCGGCACAGACGGCTGAGCCGGGGCAAGGACTCGCGGGAATCGCGCCGCCCGGGTCGCTGCCGGAGCTCGCCGGTCGCCCCTGCGCTGCGCGGACCGCAGCCACAGCCGGACTGGTGGGAACGGCGGCGACAGACGGATTGGCTGACAGTCCCAGCCCTCAGAACAGCCCCGGCCTCGAAGCGTTGGCGTCTGCGTCCGCGTCAGCGTCCGCTTGTCCCGGAGCCGGGGCAGGTGCGCGCGGGGGGCGCTCCAGGGACCGCGCTGAGGCCGCAGACGCCGCCCGCCGAGCCCCGCCCCCTGCTCGCCGAACTCAGCTCCCCGTTCGCCGTCGGGGCGTCCCCGGGCCCAGGGGCGGCGGCGGAGCTGATGTGCGCCCGCTGAGCGCCCCCGGCCCGCCATGGCCGCGCGCCCCGGACCGCTCTGGCTTCTGGGCCTGACGTTGTGCGCGCTGGGCGGGGGCGGCCCCGGCCTGCGACCCCCGCCCGGCTGTCCCCAGCGACGTCTGGGCGCGCGCGAGCGCCGGGACGTGCAGCGCGAGATCCTGGCGGTGCTCGGGCTACCCGGGCGGCCCCGGCCCCGCGCGCCACCCGCCGCCTCCCGGCTGCCCGCGTCCGCGCCGCTCTTCATGCTGGACCTGTACCACGCCATGGCTGGCGACGACGACGAGGACGGCGCGCCCGCGGAGCAGCGCCTGGGCCGCGCCGACCTGGTCATGAGCTTCGTCAACATGGGTGAGTGCGGCCGCCCGCGCGGGGACCCTCGGAGTAAGCTGGCTGCAGGGGAGGGGCGCGCATCCGCGGGCGGTGCCGGGCCCTGGCCGAACGGGGAATCACAGACGGTGGACGCGAACCACAGGGGAGTGGGACCGCCGTGGTTAGGGAAGGTCTAAGGGTCATGGGGGCCCCCTGGGCTGCGGGGTGGTCAGGAGCAGAGTGTGGGGGACTGTGGACTCCCAGGCGCTGCCTTCACCCTGCCCCAGACACACCCAGGAGTAAGAATTAGGTGATGTCTTTGCCCACCTGGGCTGCCCCGGGAAGACAGCCTGGTCCTGGGGAGACAGGTGAGTAAACAGAGGCCGGGATGCTGTCACTGTGATAAGGACAGTACTGAGGAGAGGGACAAAGTTCAGCGTGGAAACCTGTGGTCACATCATCGGAGTGACCAGAGCTGAGTCGCGTGCCCTGAGTCCACAGCAGGCTCTTCCCTGTGCGGAGCCTGGGTGGGGTGCGGCTGTCAGGGGAGCGGCTGGGGAAGGAGCAGACTCAGCTCGCTGGGGCAGGGACTGTGGCCTTGTCACCCTGGGCCCTGCACTTAGCATGTGGCCTGGTATAGGGTGAGTGTCCGGTCCTGTGGAATGGCCCAGTGGGCAGCTGGACCCACTGTGTTCTCCCAGGCAAAGCCGGGCTTTTCCTGTCTGCAAACATCTTGTATCAAACCCTGGAGCTATTTATTCCTTAAGATCTCAGATTTTTCTTTTCCAGTACTAAACTCTTTGGTCTATGCTCGTGTAGTTACTGTTGGTCAGGTCCCCCGTCTGCTTTGCCTCCTGTCTGTGGCTAGTGACAGGCCGGGGTCTGGGAGCCAAGGACCACAGCTCAGCCCGAAGTGGGGGAGCTGTGGGGCTGAGAGCAGGGAGTGGGTACCTGCCCCAGCCACCAGCCTCCCTCCACAGACAGCATCATTAATTCTTCATCCTCCCGACAACCCTGATAACAGCCACGGTCTTCATCCCCATCTCCCAGATGAGGACAGTGAGGTTCAGAGAGGCAGCGCCATGCCTAGGACAGCGCAGCCTCTATGTTGCTGAGCCAGGACAGGCCCAGGAAGCCTGACTGTCCATCCAGGGCTCAATGAGATGACATTTCTGTTGTCAGGTCAGGCTTTCAGGGTGCAGAGAGCTTTCTGAGGAGTCTGGGCTGAGGAACACAGGGTACTGAGCTGCAGCAGGTCTTGTGGGGCCATCAGCCATTTGCTTCCTACACTAGAGCAGAAGAGGGCATGGCCAAGCCTCTGCTTCCCGCAACCCAGAGCTGGTGGTGGAGGCGAGCAGCAGAAGGCAGCCATTCACCATCGCTGAGCGCCCAGTGCCAGGGACAGGACTCTAGCCGGTGGGATCTGTATGCTGCCTTTGTAGTTAGAGGACAGGGTGGGGATGTGGGACAGAGGAGACCATCTGTGAAGCTGGGGCTGGGGCTCTGTCATCAGGACAGGCTGACACTGGGCTCAGGACCAAGAAGAGTTGTGGATGGAGTCGTCCAAGAATGTCCCCAGGGAGCCGCCCATCAGAATGCGTCACCACCCAGCCCACATCCGACCTCCCCTGGCATCCCCTGGGTCAAGGCATGCACAGCCTGGTGGGGCTGTTGCTGTGAATTGGGCAGGGCCCACCCCTCTGTGTGACCTTAGGGAAGTTCCTCACCTTCTCAGCCTTGGTTGCTCCTTATAAAAGGAGGTGCCTGGTGATCTGTCCTCAGGGTTGTTGTGTGATTGGTAGAGGGGCAGGAGTAGAAAGCCTGTGCTGCTCCCCTCAGAGGGTGAACCTGGACCTGGGCACTGTTGGCCTCCCAGCTGTGGCCCAGCCTTAGTGTGGAGGTGACAGGAACATCTCCACATGTCTTGTACACGTGAAACCCAGAAATGAACTCTAAAAGCCAATCAAAGGTGTTTGTACTTATTTTTAAAATGAAAAGTAGCATGTGAACTTTTTCTTTTCTTTTCTTTTCCTTTCTTTCCTTCTTTCTTTCTTTTTTCTTTTTTCTTTTTTTTTTTTTTAAGAGGCAGGGTTTCACTGCATTCCCCAGGCTGGAGTGTAGTGGTGCGATTATAGCTCACTGCAACCTCTAATTCCCGGGCTCCAGCAATCTTCCTCCCTCAGCCTCCCCAGTAGCTAGGGCTACAGTCGCACACCACCACACCCAGATAATTTTTAAATATTTCTTGTAGAGACGGGGAGTCTCACTGTATTGCCCAGACTGGTCTTGAACTCCTGAACTCAAGCAATCCTCCCACCTCAGCCTCCCAAAGTGCTGGGATTACAGGCGTGAACCACCATGCCTGGCCACGTGTGAACTTTCACAGCCTTACAATTCCTCATTTAATTCATGTGAGACTGTTTTGCCAGCCCCATTTCATGCGCTCAGAGAGATTAAATGGCCAGCCCAGGGCCACACAGCACATCCAAGGTGACATCCATGGCTGTGGATTCCAAATCCCAGCTTCTTCCCACACCAGCTCTGAGCACTTCATGAAGACTCGGGGCCTCCAGCGCCGTGGGATTAACAAGCAGATCGTTGTTAGTGGAAGCCCAGGCTGTGGGTGGGCGCAGCCAGCTGTCAGAAAGGCCTTCTTTATTCTGCTGTGCTAACTGCACTAGTAGAACTGTCTCAGAGTAGCTTTAACTGGTAATTACTGAGGCTGGGTGGGGCGGGGTGGGTGGGGGGTGGATAGACACGTACCAGGATGCTCTCAGTGTTTGGAGGCCCCTGAAGGTTGGTGGCCCCAGAGCCACCATGGGATCTAATAGCAGGGTCGCTGTGGTGTCACTGCCCACACCCAGGCTCTCACACCTGCTTCTGCCAGCTCCACCTCTCCTATCAGCCTCATCTGAGTCCTGAAAAGCCAGGCCTGGTGCCCCTAGGGCCCAACTCTTGATGGCAGCCTGTGGGACCCAGAGGGCGGGGCTCTCGCTGGCTTCCCACCCATGGGTTCAGGCCTCCGTGCAGAGCAGGTGCTTTAGGAAGCCAAGCCTGCGTCCTGATGTTCAGAGCCTGCACTGGGAGGCCAGGGCTGGGGTCAGAGCCGGGGCCCTGCCTGGCCTGTCATCCATATCAGCCTGTAGACCTGGGCTCTCTTGGGCAGGACAGTGATGGAGCGGTTGGATTCTGTCCCTGGTCTCTCTGTGCTCAGGGAGGGGAGAGCCCTGAGCTGGGAGGCAGGACCCAGGTTCTTGTGCTGCCTGGGCCCACCATTAACTCCTGCATGTCCTGAGCCACGGCCCTTCCCTTCCCTGGGCCTCTGCTTTCTCGTCCATTCTACGGTGATGGCATCAGAAAAGCAAGGTGCCTCCCAGCCCTGACCCTGTGGCTCTGTGGCAGAGGCGCCTTCTCACAACACCGCCATGCCTTGGCCCCAGTGCCTCAGGGCAGCCCGGCCCCTCCTGAGGGAGGAAGGATGGCAGGAAGGACCACCTCTGCACACTCCTTCTGAATCCTTCTCCACCCATCTCAGCAGAGAGGCAGGTGCCCATGTTCCAGATTGAGAAACTGAGGCATAAGCAGGACTAGCAGGCAGAAGTCCAGCCAGGATCAGAATGCAGGCAGCTTCATTTTTGTCCTGATCCCTTCCTGAACCAGACAGATTTGCTCCTGTGGTCTCCGGTGGCCATGGACAGGGGTGTTGATGAACAGAGCCGTCTGGATTTGGGAGAAGCAGGACTGAGTGGGAATTCGGGACCTGGCCCGGGTCCTGCTCTGCCCTTGCCAGCCGTGTGACCTGGAACGGTGGCACCATCTCCGTGGGCCCCAGGGCCACTTCCTTTGGTTCTTTACCAGGGACCTCTTTCATTTTCCCATTCATTCATTCAGCAAATAGTTCTGTAGCACCTACCACGGACCAGGCAGAGTTCTAGTTGCTGGGGATATAACAATGAGAGAAGTAAAGTCCCTGCCCTCAGGGAGATGACTTTCTAGTCTAGAGACACATAATACATACATGAGCCCTAAAGGTAATTGTCGGGTGTGCTAGACAGCAACGCCCCATCGGGAAACAGGAGGGGCTGAACAATGGCAGGACAGACAGGGCTAGATTGGGGGTTTCTGACCTGAGACCCACACACAAGGAATTTGCATCCTGACGCCAACACCTGATCTCAGTGTGATCTGGGCTTTCCAGTCAACCTCCCCAAGCCTCAGTTTCCTCCTCTGTAAAATGGAGATACTCATCTTATGGGACTGTTCTGGGCTTGTGTGAGATGATACCCAGCGATGCCCACGTGCCCAGAACCTCTGCATCTCTTCCTTCATTGGTATCTCACAATTGCCGTCACATCTGTGTTTGAAAGAGAGGAGAGAGAGGCTCAGAGCAGTTAGGTGGTTTTCCCAAGGCCACACAGCAGGTTGTCCCCCTGCCTCCATGTGAAACACAGCAGCTGCCTCCACCCCAGGCCAGGTCCCCGCCTATCATTAGATGCAGTAAGTGCTGTCGAATTGAACTGAATGTGAATGTGTATTGTAAGCTGAGAAGCCTGTTGTTAAAGAATTTTTATTTTGGGGGAATTTATAGAAATAATGCATGCTCATTCTACAAAATTCAGATTCTGCAGAAGCATGTAACTTGGGTGCCCCTAGGGAGCCCCATTCCTACCAGACAATCCTTCCGGCAACTACTTTCTGATTTTCATTGCCATGGCCTGTTCTTTGAACTTCACATAAATGGAATCTTACAGTGCATACTCTTGAGTCTAGTCTTTGACTCAGCATGCTTCTTTTTCCATTTTCCTCCATGTTGTTGTATCTGTAGTTCTTTTTTTCATAACTGAGTTGTATTCCATTGCATGAATATACATACCACAGTCCATCCATTGTTATGGACATTCGGGTTGTTCTGAACACTTTTATCCACATCCCTCTGTGGATATATTAAAGCAGGGATTTTAATCTTGCGTGTGCCATTTGGGAGCTGTGCGATGTTGAGCAGCTTGTTTAAAGTCCCTGAAACTCAGTTTCCACACCTTTGAGGCAAGGTAAGTGAGCCAGCCTCCCGGGGTTGCATGCAGTGTGGCCAGCTGGAAGCCGACACACAGTAGGAACTTCACAAATGGGGGCTGATCGATTGTGCCCCACTTCTGCACCATTGCTCGTTGGGTAGCTCCTTCATAGAATACACTTACCTCCATTTTTGCTTGTGAAAACTCCACCCACTTTTCAATGAAGGTGGGTCAGGGTTTCCATAAATCTCTCTGCCCCTACCCCACAATCCCACAGGGACAGGCTCTTTCCAGGCAGAAGCCCCACCTGCATTGCATGCACTTTTCTTAGGATTCCAGTCGCTTTCTGCCTGTGTGACCCAGGGGCTCACCTAGCCCCTCTTTCTCCTACTCCCCAGCAACCCCTGAACAACCTGAGAACAGGACCAATTCTGACTCTTCCCTGCCCCTGCCCCCCACCCCGTGGCAGGAAGTTGAGGGAAAGAGGAACCCAGCAGGAGGCAGGGAGAGCCAGGAGGAACCTGGGCCTGGTCAGGTGGGACAGAGTGGGGCCGGCCCTCCCTGTCTGTGTGGGGGCCAACAATGGGTGCCATAGCTCCCTGGGCCCTCCCCTGGGACCCCAGGTCCCCACAGGGCCCTGCCTGGAGGAAGGTGGCTTCACGGGCATTCTCGGGTGTCTGTTGATAGGAGGGCCTTGTTGACGGGTGACCCCCATCCCAATATGTCCCATTGAACTCCAGGGCCACTCATTTCACACTGGCCCCAAGTGTGAACATCCACATCAGAGGTCTCTATTCTGACACAGGCCTGTAATCTAACCCTGGAAACCCTCTGCCCCTCCTTGGCCTCAGTTTCCCCATCTCTGCAGGACCTGAAGTCCTTTCCAGCTCTGACCAAAGAATATGCCCACCCCCTGCCTGCTGATGGGGGCTCCTCCGGGCTGAGGCACAGGGTGGGGAGGTGCACCCAGCCCCCCTCCTCCTGGAACCTCTTTCCCACAGGCAAGAGAGGATGTGTCACCATGACCACTTCTTTCTGGAAAATTCCCACAGTTCATTCTTTCCCGGGATTTCACTGGAGGAATTGTGTCTTTCTTGCTAACATCTCCTGGGATCTATTCTTGGCCTTGGCGGGCTTGATGTGGAGGCATGTGTGGGTGTTCTCTTTTAATTTGGGGTCCAGAACTGTCTGAGGCCTGGACCGGTAATTATGAGAGCAGCACCATTTATGGAAACAGCCCTTGAAGCAAGCCAGTGATGAGACCCAGCTGGAAATACCTCAGCATGGAGCCCTGGGCCCGCCTCGAGGCGGTGCTGAGATTTCTGGGTGGGAGAAGCCCCTTCAGGACGCAGAACCAACAGGTCATGAGTCCCGCCCTCCCTTGGCCTGCAGAGGCTGTGGGGCCCAAGCCTTCTTTTGGGTCTGAAGTGCCCCTGCCCCACCGCCTTTGCTGCCTGTGGGACCAGCCAGGCAGGCCCAGCCCATGCACCCGGGGCTCTGGGGGAGCCGCTGTCCACCCTCAGGGGCCAGGCCGGGAGAGGAGGCAGGTCCACAGCAACGGGAATGTCGGTGGCTTCTGATGGAGTCACATGGGGACATGGTAGCCACACCCAGACTGGCAGTGATACCCAGCCCAAAGGGCTCTGAGTGCCGGACACTGAGCCGCTGTCCTGGGGACAAGAGGCCCTTGGGAAGAAGGGGCCGGGGCACCCCCGCTCTGGGGCCCCGGAACACAGCGGCCGATGAGCTGACATGCGAGCCTCCCATGTCCACCCACATGGCTCCATCCCGGCCCTCCAAGGGCTCGCTGTCCAGAGGAACAGCTGAACCAGAGACAGCAAGCCCTGGCATGGGGGCCGGGAGAGGCTGAAAGCCTGACCTGCCTGGGGTCTGAGGACTGGGAGCCTTCTCAGTCGGACTGAGAGGGACGGGGCCACCCGGGGAGAGCAGCTTCCAGGAGGGACTCTGCGGGAGGCGTCTGCAGGTAGAAGGCACAAGAGGCCCGAGGGACAGATGGCAGGGCCAGCGCAGGGAGGGCCCTGGGACACTCTTCCTGTGGGCCCTTCGGGGCCGGGGAGGGTCTGAGGGGAGATGGGACAGGTCACAGGCCACAGGATTCTGCTCTGAGCTGGAGGATGAGGGTGTCTTTTGAAGTCCCACTTTTTGGTCAGAAATAAGACAGATTTAGGTTGTCTGAGTGAGACTAAATTGCCCAGAGCACAAAAATAGCCAGAGCCCTTGTTGATGTCGAACTGAGGGTCGCAGGGTTTGGCATCTGGAGGCCTAGCCTGGAGTGGCTGGTGGCCATGCCCGGTGAAGGCCACCTCCTGCCCACAGTGGCCTTTCCTGGAAGAGCAGTGTCCTGAGGTTGCCTTATCCGAGGCTGGAGGAGGAGGCTGAGGGCTCTCTGATTGTTTATTTTCCCAGAGCCACGGTGAGGTGGTTCAGAAAGTAACCTTTTCTGCCTCCCATGTGCAGCTCCGCGTGGATAGCATTGTCTGTCCTGGATTCTGAGCCAAGCCCCCCAGCTGGTGTGTCTCACTGGAACTGGCTGTCACCAGTCCCTGTTGGCTGCAGAAAGCTCTACAGGCGCACTGTGGCCCAAGTGACTTCTCACCTCCCAAGGTCATGCACTGTCACAATATTGGTTGGCAGCAATTGAAGTTTTGAAGTTCTTCCCAAGTCACAGGGCTTCTTTGAATCACTGTGCTGAGTTCTTGGAGGCTGAGAAACAGGATTTCTTGGAGATGAACTGGCCTTGCCTGTCACTCCAACCTCCTCATACACCTCAGCCCCCTGACCACTAGATTCCAACCACACCAGCCTCCTTGATGTTTCTCAAACATGCAGAGCCTTTGTATCCACTGTTCCCTCTGCCTAGAAGGCTGTCCACATCTTCACACAACTGGTTCCTTCTCCTACAGTCGAGGGTATTTTTTTCCCCTTACTTTCCAGGTTTTAGACTAATGAATGGATCCCTAGCATTTTTGAAAGGCAGTGTTTCTCCACTACTGACAATCTTGCCTCCCAGGAAACATTTGGCAATATCTGGAGACCTTTTTAGTTGTTGCAAATGGGGAGGGGAAGGGAGTGCTGCTGTCAGCTAAGGGGCAGAGGCCAGGGGTGCTGCTGAACATCCTGCAGTACACAGAACAGCCCCTGCAACCGAGAGTTATCTGGCCAAAATGTCAGTGGTGCCACAGTTGAGAAACCTGTTCAAGGTGACCCGTGTTTGATAGTGATGATGATGATGGGCTCACCCTTTATTAGATACAAGGTTGTCTTATTCCATCTTGTGTTGCTGTAACAGACTCCCTAAGGCTGAGTAATTTACAAAAAAAAAAAAAAAGAGGTTTATTTTATTTTATTTTTGAGACGGAGTCTTGCTCTGTCACCCTGGCTGGAGTGCAGTGGTACAGTTTCAGCTCACTGCAACCTCTACCTCCTGGGTTCAAGAGATTCTCCTGCCTCAGCCTCCCAAGTAGCTGGGACTACAGGTGCCCGCCACCACACCTGGCTAATTTTTTGTATTTTTAGTAGAGACAGGGTTTCACCATGTTGGCCAGGCTGGTCTCAACCTCCTGACCTCAGGTGATCCACCCGCCTCAGCCTGCCAAAGTGCTGGGATTACAGGTGTAAGTCACCACGCCCAGCCGAAAACAGGTTTATTTGGCATACAATTCTAGTGGCTGAAAGGCTCAAGGCTGGGCAGCTGCATCTGGTGAGAGCCTCAGGCTACTTCAATTCATGGCAGAAAGTGGAAGGACAGTGGGTGTGTACAAAGAGAGCATGTGGTGAGAGGAAGCAAGAGAGCAAGCCAGACTTTTTAACAGCCTCCCCCATCTAGGGAACTAATCCATTCCCCTGAGAGGGAAACCCACCCACTGGCCCCCTCCTCCATGGCATTAGTCTGTGAGTGGTTCATCCCCATGACCCAGACACCTCCCACTAGGTCCCACCTCCGATCACAGCCACATTGGGGATCACATTTCAACCTGAGTTTTGTCAGGGATAAAACACATCCAAACTGTAGCAAGGGGTATATTATCTGTACTGTTCACCTTGCTTTTTTCTTTTTCTTTTTTTGAGACGGAGTCTCACCCTGGAGTGCCATGGCACAGTGACAGCTCACTGCAGTCTCCACCTCCCAGGCTCAAGCCATCCTCCTACCTCAGCCTCCTGAATAGACTATAAGCAAAGTGCCATTGTGTCTGGCTAATTTTGTTTGTTTGTTTGTTTTGTTTTGAGACAGGGTCTCACTCTACCTCAAAACAAAGAGCTAAAGTGCAGTGATGTGATCTCAGCTCACTGCAACCTCTGATGCCTGGCTAATTTAAAAAACTTTTCTAGAGACAGGGCCTCCCTATGTTGCCCAGGCTGATCTTGAACTCCTGGCCTCAAGTGGTCCTCCTGCCTGGCCTCCCAAAGTGATGGGGTTACAGACATGAGCCATCACAGCCAGCTGGGACATTTTCTTGGAAGTACAGTTTCTGAGTCACAGCATGTATCATTTTGCTAGATTACTGCCAGATTTCCTACCCTAGGGATTGTGCCATTTTGCATTCCTGCCAGCAATGCCCAGAAGTGTTCAGGTCTGATCTTAGAGTATCTTACTCATGAGGCCTTCTCAAACATCACATCTAAAGAAACCCCACACTGGGCCGGGCGCAATGGCTCACGCCTATAATCCCAGCACTTTGGGAGGCCAAGGCGGGTGGATCATGAGGTCGGGAGTTCAAGACCAGCCTGGCCAAGATGGTGAAACCCTGTCTCTACTGAAAATACAAAAGTTAGCTGGGCTTAGTGGCAGGCACTTGTAATCCCAGCTACTCGGGAGGCTGAGGCAGGAGAATCGCTTGAACCCAGGCAGCAGAGGTTGCAGTGAGCTGAGATCACGCCACTGCACTCCAGCCTGGCCGACAGAGTGAGACTGTCTCAAAAAAAAAAAAAAAAGAAAAGGAAACCCCACACTGGACTGGAATTGGAGGTGCCAGTATGATCTCAGATATTTAAAATAAAAAATATATATGTACCAATACATACAGATGTGTGTTTTTGCACACATTAATGTACACACATATATTTCCTAGCTCTGTGCACTGAAAGGGCCTAAAAGTATTGACACTCCAGGACAGTGAGCAACCCAGTGCCCAAATCTTGGTTTCTAAATCTCTCTCCAAAAAGCAAAACAAAACAAAACAGAACTCCTTGCAGAAATGGCTGATTCCAGGGGTGGGGATGGAAACTCCCAGGATGCACCTAGAGCATCTTGTGGTGCCAGTTAGAAGTGCTCAGAAAAGGATGATGGGGGCAGTCAGAAGGACACAGGAGCCAACCTGAAGGAGCTGCCAGTGGCCAAAACTGGAACAATTTG
This sequence comes from Homo sapiens, assembly GCF_000001405.40. NCBI lineage: Eukaryota > Metazoa > Chordata > Mammalia > Primates > Hominidae > Homo > Homo sapiens. The sequence goes on from NC_000001.11 coordinate 39,502,673, forward strand.
AGCAATGAAATAAATAACAATAGTATTGGATATAGCCCATAGAATAAAATAAATACCCTTGAATCCATAATGATATAAATAAATAATTAGGCTGGGCACAGTGGCTCACGCCTGTAATCCCAGCACTTTGGGAGGCCAAGGCGGGCAGATCACCTGAGGTCAGGAGTTCGAGACTAGCCTGACCAATATGGTGAAACCTTGTCTCTACTGAAAAAAGTACAAAATTAGCCATGCGTAGTGGTACACACCTGTAGTCCCAACTACTCAGGAGGCTGAGGCAGGACAATAACTTGAACCCAGGAAGCGGAGGTTGCAGTGAGCCAAGATCATGTCATTGCACTCCAGCCTGGGCAACAGAGCAAGACTCTGTCTTAAAATAAATATTTAAATAAATAAATAACTGTAGAAGAAAGGACAAGTCTTCCTTTCAAAAGAATTCCAGTTAATAAATGTAGAAGGAAAGAAGGAAATAGAAAATCACTATTCCAGCCTGGACAAGATGGCAAGACCCCATCTCTACAAAAAATACAAAAAAAATAGCCAGGTGTGGTGGTACATGACTGTACATGACTGTAGTCCCAGCTACTTGACAGGCTGAGGTGGGAGGATCCCTTGAGCCCTGGGAGGTTGAAGTTGCGTCACTGCACTGCAGCCTAGGTGACCAAGTGAGACCCTGTCTCAAAAAATGAAAAAGAAAGAAAATCACTATTGGCTCATGTCTATGATCCCAGCAAGGTGAGCCAAGAGTTCAAGACCAGTCTGGGCAACATAGTGAGATTTCATCTCTACAAAAAATAAATTAGCCAGGCATAGTGGCATTATGCTTACAGTCTTTCTTTTTTTTTTTTTTTTTTTTTTTTTTGAGATGGAGTCTCGCTCTCTCCCAGGCTGGAGTGCAGTCGTGCAATCTTGGGTCACTGCAACCTCTACCTCCCAGGTTCAAGTGATTCCCCTGCCTCAGCCTCCTGAGTAGCTGGGACTACAGGCACACACCACTATACCTGACTAATTTTTTGTTTTTTGGTAGAGATGAGGTTTCACCATGTTGGCCAGGATGGTCTCGATCTCCTGACCTTGTGATCCACTCACCTCGGCCACCCAAAGTGCTAGGATTATAGGCAGGAGCCACTGCACCTGGCCCATGTATAGTCTTAACTGCTCAGGAGGCTGAGGTGGGAGGATCACTTGAGTTTGGAAGGTTGTGGCTGCAGTAAGCTATAATCACACCACTGGACTCCAGCCTGGGCGGCAGAGTGAGACCCTGTCTCAAAAAACAAAACAAAACAAAAAAAGTATTTTCCTCACGATATTTATTATTTACAAAATGAAAAATCGTGACATTACAGTGGAGAAACCTGGCAGACACCACCGTAACCAGGGAATCAAATTTCACGCCACTAGTAATAAGATAGATTGGTATCATATTGTCCCATTTGATGCTCTGAGAAGGGCATATCACTTTGAAGGGGGCCTGCCCCTCCACGCCTGTGGGTATTTCTCGAAAGGTGGAGATGAGAGACTGAGAAAAGAAATAAGATACAGAGAGACAAAGTATAGAGGAAGAAAAGTGGGCCCAGGGGACCGGCACTCAGCATATGGAGGACCTGCACCGGCACTGGTCTCTGAGTTCCCTCAGTATTTATTGATCACTATCTCTACCATCTCAGCGAGGGGGATGTGGCAGGACTATAGGGTAATGGTGGGGAGAGGGTCAGCAGGAAAACATGTGAGCAAAGGACTCTGTGTCATAAATAAGTTTAAGGAAAGGCGCTGTGCCTCGATGTGCATGTAGGCCAGATTTATGTTTGACTTTACACAAACATCTCAATGCAGTAAAGAGCAGTATTGCCACCAGCATGTCTCAGTCGGTATAGTGTGAGACTCTTAATCTCAGGGTCGTGGGTTCAAGCCCCACATTGGGCGTCAGATGAAGGGGGCCTGCCCCTCCACACCTGTGGGTATTTCTCGAAAGGTGGAGATGAGAGACTGAGAAAAGAAATAAGACACAGAGACAAAGTACAGAGGAAGAAAAGTGGGCCCAGGCAGCACTCAGCATACGGAGGACCCGCACCAGCACTGGTCTCTGAGTTCCTTCAGTATTTATTGATCACTGTCTACCATCTCGGTGAGGGGGATGTGGCAGGACTATAGGGTAATGGTGGGGAGAGGGTCAGCAGGAAAACATGTGAGCAAAGGACTCTGTGTCATAAAAAAGTTTAAGGAAAGTTGCCGTGCCTCGATGTGCATGTAGGCCAGATTTATGTTTGACTTTACACGAACATCTCAATGCAGTAAAGAGCAGTATTGTCGCCAGCATGTCTCACCTCCAGCCATAAGGTGGTTTTCTCCTATCTCAGTAAATAGAATGTCCAATCGGGTTTTACACCACGACATTCCAATCCCAGGGATGAGCAGGAGACAGATGCCTTCCTCTTATCTCAACTGCAAAGAGTCCTTCCTCTTTCACTAGTCCTCCTCAGCACAGACCCTTTACAGGTGTCAGACTGGGGTTGGTCAGGTCTTTCCCTTTCCATGAGGCCATATCTCAGGCTGTCTCAGTGCGGGGAGACCTTGGACAATACCCAGACTTTCTTGGGCAGAGGTCCCTGAAGCTTTCCACAGTGCATTGTGTCCCTGGGTACTCAAGACTGGAGAATGGCAATGACTTTTACCAAACATACTGCCTGCAAACACATTTTTAACAAAACACATCCTGCACAGCCCTAAATCCATTAAACCCTGAGTCAATACAGTACATGTTTCTGCAAGCACAGGGTTGGGGCTAGGGTTACAGATTAACAGCATCTCAAAGCAGAAGAATTTTTCTTAGTACAGATCAAAATGGAGTCTCTTATGTCTTCCTTTTTCTACAGAGACACAGTAACAGTCTGATTTCTCTTTCCCCCACACACTTCTGTGGTATTCTTCAAAATCCATAACTTCATTTTAAACATGAGAAAACATGAGACAAACTCAAATTGAGGGGCATGCTACAAATAACTGACCAGCACTCTTCAAAAGTATCAAGGCCAGGCATGGTGGCTCATGCCTGTAATCTCAGCACTCTGGAAGGCCAAGGCAAGAGGACTGCTTGAGCCCAGGAGTTCAAGACCAGCCTGGACAACACAGTGAGCCCTTGTCTCAATAAACAATTGTTTAAAAAATTAGCTGGGCATGGTGGGGTGTACCAGTGGTCCCTGCTACCCCAGAGGCTGAAGTGGGAGGATCACCTGAGCCCAGGTGGTTGAGGCTGCAGTGAGCTGTGACTGTGCCACTGCACTCCAGCCTGGGTGACAGAGCAAGACCCTGTCTCCAAAAAAAAAAAAAAAAAAAAGTGTCAAGGTTGAAAGGGAAGGAAAGACTGAGGAACAGTCAGATCGGAGGGGCCCCGGGGAAATGACACTAAATGTATTCGTGTATTAATAACATGGGGTCCTAGATTGAATTCTTGACAGAAAAAGGATATTAGTAGGACAGTTAGTAAAATTAGAGAAAAGTCTGGATTTAGTTAACAGTATCAATTTCCTGGTTTTTTTGTTTTTGTTTTTGTTTTTTGAAACGGAGTCTCACTCTGTCATCCAGGCTATAGTGCAGTGGCGCAATCTTGGCTCACTGCAACCTCTGCCTCCCAGGTTCAAGCAGTTCTATGCCTCAGCCTCCTGAGTAGCTGGGATTACAGGCACCTACCACCACGCCCAGCTAATTTTTGTATTTTTAGTAGAGACAGGGTTTCACCATCTTGGCCAGGCTGGTCTTGAACTCCTGACCTCATGATCCACCCGCCTCGGCCTCCCAAAGTGCTGGGATTACAGGTGTGAGCCACCGCGCCCCCCCCAATTTCCTGGTTTTCTTATACTACAGGTTGGTTATGTAAGAAGCTGTCATTAGGGGAAGCTATCAGGGAAAGAATGTATGGGAAGTCTCTGCACTGTTCATGCCACTTCTCTTTAGATCTAAATAATCCTAAAGTATTTCAAAATCAAGTTAAAAACATAAATAAGGCAGCCCCCACACTCCCTGCATTATTCCCAGCCCCCCTTCTTTGTGTACTTCCTAGCACTTAGCACATAGGCTAATCTTGTTTGTTAACTTTCCTGTTTGTTATCTGACTTCCCTGCAAGCCTGTAAACCCCACGGGGGCAGGAGCTGCCCCATCTTGCTTACCTCAGTGTCTCCTGCACCTAAATAATGACTTCTGCACCATTAGTACTGCTTTAAAATGTACTGAATAATGAATTAATTCATATTCCTGGCTGTGACCAGGAAAAATGAATGAGGAAAAGTCAGTATTCTTATAAAGCCTTCAGATCATGAGAAGGTAACAGAGTCAGGAACCTCCTCCTTCATGCCCAAAAGTGAAATTATGGGACCCTCAAAAATAGGATCACTGTCCCAGATTTTGCAGACGGGGGAACTAGATGTACTGCCCAGAAACCTTGCTCCAAACATCAATGGCTCCTTTCAGGGCCACCATAGAGAGAGGATTCCTGGCAGGATGTATCTCAGATGATCGGGATCAGGACACTGGCCGGACAGAGAGCATCTCCCTCATGGGCCCCCCAGCCTATCTGAATCTGACAGGGAGCCCTGGAATTAACTTCCCAACCTTACAACTGGCAGCAGAATTTTACTGGGAAAACCCAAGAAATCACATTGTGCAAACCTGGGCCTTTCCCATGAATTCCCTCCATGGACCCTCAAATCAGCAGCCACTGGGAGGCAGCAGCAGGCATTGCATGCTGTATATTGAGGACCTGTCTAGAGGCCTCGAGCGCTTTTGGCCAGTTCCAGCATGGTTTTAATGCCCCATTTCCCAGCATCAGACGGAGGTGGTCCACGGTAGCAGAAGGAGCCCAGCGAGGAGTCAGGGTTCCGTTTCCACGTGTGGGAACATGGGAGGAGATTGTATTTGGTACTTTCTGTCCGAGCCAGAACTGGGGGACCGTCCCAGTGGCATTGCTGAGGTGCTGCCGCTCAGCCAGGCATCTTTGGGAGATTCCAGACCTTGGTTCTATGGGAAGGTGGGGGCTGGGCATTCACTGACAAGGAAATGCTCCCGAATAGGGTGGGAGAAGCATTCGCTGGACCATAACCAAGTACTGACTACCGTCAACAAACCTGGCTCTTCACAGTTTTCATTTGACCCACTGTTTCAAAGTGTTATTTTGCAGGCGTGGACACTGAGCCCAGAAGGTTAAGTGCCTTGACAAAGATCAGGCAGGTGAAAAGGAGGCACCCAGAAGTTGAACTGATAGATTTCTCTCATTCCATACTTTTATTTAGAAAAAAAGAAAACTAGCCGGGTGCAGTGGCTCACGCTTGTAATCCCAGCACTTTGGGAGGCCGAGGCGGGCAGATCACAAGATCAGGAGATCGAGACCATCCTGGCTAACACGGTGAAACCCTGTCTCTACTAAAAATACAAAAAATTAGCTAGGCGTGGTTGCTGGCGCCTGTAGTCCCAGCTCCTGGGGAGGCTGAGGCAGGAGAATGGCGTGAACCCGGGAGGCGGAGCTTGCAGTGAGCTGAAATCGTGCCACTGCACTGCAGCCTGGGAGACAGAGCAAGACTCCGTCTCAAAAAAAAAAAAAAGAAAAAAGAAAAAAAGAAAACTGAACGTCTCCCTTTCCCCACCATGGCTGCTGAGTTTCAGACGTGGTCTTCTGATGGTCCTGGCTGGGTATTGTCACTTTGATACTTTAAGTTGGAAAAGCAGCTGTTAACCTCCAGAGCCATGGCCGCCACTCCTATCCCACGGCCCCTGCCCTTTCACAGCCCTGGGTGGGAAGGACAGAATCCCCACTTCGCAGATAAGGAGACTGATATCACATAGGTTGCCCACAGGGTCGGGACTGGGACCAGGAGCCCAGTTACTGGCCAGAGAATCTACCCTTTTCAATGCTCTCTTAGCAGCTAAAGCAGGGGCTGTCTGCCCATGAACCTTCACAGGGGAAAATCTGGGTCCCAACAAATGCTCTTCCTCAGCCCCAGCTTTTGAGAAATATCTTTTCTATCCAAAGGCACAACCACTGGCCAGCTCCAGACCCACATGGCTCCAGCAAAGAAAGGGCACTCCCTTTGCCCAGTCACAGTAATGCCTATTTCAGTGCCACACCCCAGGAAGTTTTATCAGTTTCTGATAAAAATCATTATTTTCCTAAAAAATTCCCAACTTCCAGGCTTGCCTGGAACAGCCAGGGGAGGCAGTTTCCTGTGCTGGAATTCCTGGGTGGTTTATCGATTTCACAAGCCCACAGCGCGGAAGTTTGGAACTCAGGTCGGTTCAGTTGAGCAAAACTCTTGAGTCAGCCTGGGTAGACCCACAGGTCAGGCGGGGAGGGAGGCCACAGCACGGGCGTCCCCACAGAGCTGATGGGTTTGTGGGCTGTTCCCTCAGTCCTCAGATCCCACATGAAGTCAGCATGTGGTCTGCCAACAGGGACACCACTGAGCCCCAGGACCCACCCAGCAGCCCTGCTGTGCCCTGGGGCACAAGCACATAGAGCCACGCTTTGAAAGCGGACAGGAGAAGCCGGGACTGAGCTGCTCCATCACTGTCGCATGCCCTGTGACAGCCAACAGCATGGACTGATTTTGTCTTGCAAATGGGGGATTCTTACACAGCCATGTAACACAGGGGGATCTGCAGTTCCTGAACCCACTGAAATTGTCACCCAAGTCGTGTTGTGTGAGTGTGTTAGGGAAGAGAGCACACGTGTGTAGATATTCATGGTAGGAGGTCCAGAACTCTGCCATCAGTGATCTCTGCCTATGGGAAGAGATCGTGGCCTGTGTCACGGCATCTGAGCAGCCCGGCTCTCAGGCGAGCTTTTGCTGCATGCCCAGCACCCTCAGGTGCTGTGGGACAAGACAAGTTCATTTTTCCTCCGCCCTGGCCTGGGATGAGCGGCCACCTCCTCCTGCCCACACACGTCTGGCCCCATCCCCCGCCCCGCACAGCTGTTCGCCTGCCCTTGGCTGGACCAGGTTCCCACCACGAGGACAGGAAGTGCTCCCCACATCCGCCTCGGCCCGCACAGCCTGGTGCTTTTCCAAACCTGACTGTGGTCACTGAGCCCAGTAACCAGAGAGAATTTTTAAAAAGACTCACAAACATATCATTGAAATCTCAGTGTTGGGTTTTGGGGAAGGCACTGGGCGGCTCCCACCCCTGCTTTCCGGAAACACAGATTTCTAGAGTTTGAAAGGGACGGGAGGCTAAAGTGAGACTGCCCTAAATATAGCGTCCTGGGTATTTCCGGATATTTCCGGACACCTGGGGAAATGTGGGCTTTATTCCGCAACTACAGCCTTTGTTTGATTGGCAGGCCAGCCCCTGCCACGGGGCCCTGCTGCCCATCTCACTTCCAGCCTGGCCTCTACCCTCACCTCCACTGTGTCTTCTAATTCCCCTCCACCCACGCCGCCTCCCTGCTGCCCCCGTCCCCTGTGCTTCCCACTGGCCAGAGGCGCAGCCCAGGCTCCTGGCCCGGGATTCGCACCCTCAGCAGGCAGGCCGCAGCAGAGCTCATGTGCCGTCCCCAACATCACTGACCTGTGGGCGCCTCCACCCTGTGCATGCGAGGTCCCCTCTCCCTAGAGCACCCTCCCTGCCACCTTCTCCACCTACCAAGACCCATCCCACCCTTCAAAGCCAGTTCAGATGCCACCTGCTCAGATCCCATCACCCAGTGAGACCCTCCGACTTCCCCAGCACCTGACTGGCCTCTCCGGGAGTTGTCACTCCTGCCCTGGTTTTTCTTGTTCCTTTCCACGTTTCCCTTCTTCCTCTTCCAGCTTGTTCCAGAAAGGAAACGTGGGTCTCCTGCCCTCTGCTGTTTCCTGGTGCTTGCTTTCCCTGCCCTGCCCTCAGACCCCTCTGCTCTGGCCCTCTGCCTTGGCTGGCCGGCCCCTGCAGGGCCCGTCTCCCTGACACCATGGCAGATTCGCACTCATGCCTCAGCCCAGCTCAGCTGTCAGCCCTGAGCCCTCCCCTGCCGCACCTCCCATCCAGGCAGCGGGCAGGCTCTGGATGGCTTATGTCCCCTGAGATGCCGTCGGTTATGTCGGTTATGTCCCTGTCTACCAGGTTTCCCTGCAGGGCTGGGGCCCTTTTCTGCCTTGGGTCCAATGTCCATCTTCCCTTTAGCCTGGAAGCTCCCAGAGGAGGCTCCCTCCTGTCTCATCTCTGGGTCCCAGGACCAGCCGGGCCAAGAAGGGGCGCAACGGGAGTTCAGGATTTGGAGCCTGGGGCCTGCTGAGCACCAGCCAGGTGCAGGGCTCAGGGTGAGCCTGGCTGCAGGGCCTCTTGGCCCTGTCTACACCCCGGGACCAAGCCTGGAACAAACGTTTGCACAAAATGAAGCCGGCCCCACCCAGGCCTCCCTGGGTCCGCTCCACCTTGAGTGGTGGGTGTCTGGGGGCGGTGGCTCACACCAGCTCTGCCCCCTCCAGAGCCCGAGCCATTCTGAGTGCCAGCCCAGCGCTGCTTTGTCTTCTAGTGGAGCGAGACCGTGCCCTGGGCCACCAGGAGCCCCATTGGAAGGAGTTCCGCTTTGACCTGACCCAGATCCCGGCTGGGGAGGCGGTCACAGCTGCGGAGTTCCGGATTTACAAGGTGCCCAGCATCCACCTGCTCAACAGGACCCTCCACGTCAGCATGTTCCAGGTGGTCCAGGAGCAGTCCAACAGGTGCCTTCCCCTTGGCCCGGGTGCCCCACCTAACCCCCCACCTCACAGTCTCATGGTCAAGGCAGCCCAGCAGGGAGTCGTGGTGGGCTGAAAGAGAGCCTCAAAGATGGGAAGGATGCTTGGCCCGAGGCCCCTGCACTGTGGGAAGAGCCCCAGTGACAATCCTGACTTCAAGTCCCTGCCCTGCCATCCTGGCTGTGGGGACTTGGACAGGTCACTGAGACTCAGTTTCCCCATGTGTACACCTCTGTGGGCTGAGGCAATGAGATGAGGCTCAGAAGGGGCGCAGCCAGAGTCAGGTGGGAGACGCTCCGGTGACAGCCCCCAGCGGGCCCTGGAGACACGGAGGCAGCTGTGCCGGCCGCCGGTTAATTGTTCTTTCATGTCCACAGGGAGTCTGACTTGTTCTTTTTGGATCTTCAGACGCTCCGAGCTGGAGACGAGGGCTGGCTGGTGCTGGATGTCACAGCAGCCAGTGACTGCTGGTTGCTGAAGCGTCACAAGGACCTGGGACTCCGCCTCTATGTGGAGACTGAGGACGGTGAGGCTGGGGGCTCTGCAGCCCCTGGGGCTTCTCTGTGCCAGCACAGGCAGCGGTAGTGGCTTCCTGTGGCCCTGGGTGCCCGGCCTCACCAGCTGTGCCCGCTGCAAGGGTCACTGAGGTCCAGGGCACGAGGTCTGGCCTAGTGGGGGTGCTCCCTCCTCTCCCTCTGCTTCCCAGGAAGCAGGCGGCTCTTCCCACGGAGCAGCCTCCACCTTGGGAGTTTCTGTCCTGGGAAGGGAAGGAGGGGAAGTGGCTGTACCCTCAGGCACTGAGGCCAGGAGGCTGGGTTTGAAGCCCAGCTTGGCAGTGCCCTGCCTCAGTGACCTTGGCTGGGACTTACCTTTCCAGACCCCGTCTTCTCTTCCGCAGGATGGGGATTCACGCCCTTGTTCATTCCACAGGTGACACTGGGGAGAGCCTCTTTTATGCCAGGCAGTAGGAATACAGAGGCCAAAGTGGGCACGAGATGGGTGTGTTTGAGGCCCGGCAAGGGGGCGCCATGGAGCAGCGGTGAGGGCGGGGGACCCAGGGGCCATTCTGAGTCAGAGTAAACCAGGGCCAGGTGCTGGGGTTCTTAGCGTCATTTATTTTATTTACTAGCAGTGGAGGACGACAGGATCTGATTCAGGTTTTAAAAGAGAACCCTCTGAGATGCCCCCCTCTCGGGGTGGAGCAGAGCTCCCCACCCCTTCCGTGGGCTGCACCCAGTGACTTGCTTCCCGAAAGTGCGGTGTGGACAGGGCGTGGGGGACCTGACGCGCAGCGCCTCAGCCAGGTGAGGAAGGCTCACTGCAGTGACCGGCACGGTGCTAGCATGTGCCCTGGGTGAAAGGGAAGGAGAAGGCCACTGAGCCTCAGAGGGCCCCCTCCGTGAACCCGAAACCCCAGTCCAGCCACGAGAAAACCGTCAAACAAACCCAAAGAGAAGGGCTTTCCGCAGAATACCTGACAAGCGCTTCTCAAAACCGCCAAGCTCATCAAAAAAAAGGGAAGGTTGGGAAATTGGAGGAGCCCAGAGGCACCTAAGAAGACCAGCTCAGTGCATGTGGGGTCCTGGGTTGAGTCCTGGACCAGCAAAAGGTCATTAGGGAGAAGTTATGAAATCCAGATCGATCATGGTGTTTACTTAATAATAAGGTATCAGTATTGGTTCATTAGTTATGAGAAAGGTACCCTGCTAGTGTAAAATATTAGCATTTCCCAGAGGAAACTGGGTCCAGGTGTATGGGAACTCCTTGTGTAGTTTTTTTTTCTTTGAGACAGGGTTTGGCTCTGTTGCTCAGGCTGGAGTGCAGTGGCGCAATCACAGCTGACGGTAACCTCCAACTCCTGGGCGCGAGCGATCCTCCCACCTTAGCCTCTGTACTATCTTTACAAAGTTTTATGTAACTATCAACTGTTGTAAAATTAAAACTTAATATATGCATAAAATAAAGAACCCCCTGACTTCAGTGGAGAGAGCAGACTGAGATGGACAAGAGTGAAGTCAGAGAGACGTGTGGGGGCCCCACAGTGGTCCAGGTGGGCGCTGTGAGTGACTTGTTGGTAGCAGTGGAGATGGAGAAAGATGAGTCGATTTCAGTGTCAGGACATGCTTATAGCTGGCGAGGAGGTGAGGGAACAGGAGGAAGCCTGAATGATGTGTGGTTGGAGCCAGTGGATTTTTTTCAATAGATTTTTCTTTTTGGGGAAAAGATAGATGAAGGGCAGGTTTGAGGTGGGTGGCCAAGGGTTCTCTTTTGGCTGGAATATTACTGACCCCCCTGGGATGTTACTGAGATCACTGGTCCTCATGGAAATGCCATTACAGGGACCGGTGAGCGTGAAGACCCAGGCGAGGGAGGTGCTGGCATGTAAGTGGATTTAAAGCATGGGATGGGACCAGGTCATCTAGGGAAGGAGGGTAGTGATGGAGAAGAAAGAGGGCCTGGCCCAGAGCCCTGGGACCTCCAACATCCAGAGACCTCACAAGGAGGGGCCACAGAGAGCCCACAGAGACCAGCCAGGGAGGGAGCAGGACACCTGGAGGATGAGGTGATCCAGACGCCAGAGTAAAGTGTTTCCAGAAGCAAGGGTTTGTCATTTGTGTCCTGCTGTGGGCACTGAAGGCAAGAACAGAGAAGTGACCAAGGGTTTTGCCATCACAGAGGTTGTTGATGACCTAAATATCCGTGGAGTGTGGGTCTGACTGAGGAGGTGGAGGGAGACAGGCAGTGGAGGCAGGAGACAGCTCTTTCCAGAACCTTTGCTGGGGAAGGGGAGCAGAGACATGGGCTGGGGCTGGAGAGAACCCGGGACAAGGCAGGTCCTTTCCAGGTGAGGAGACGCCTGCACGCTGCTGTGGTGATGCAGTGATTCTGTGCAGAGGGAAGAAAACTGCAAAATTCCGCACAAGTTGGAGCAGGGAGCTGGAGTGGGGGAGGTGGAGAGGGCGGGGGGATGCAGAGGACAAGACGGGGGGCCTCTTCAGAGCAGGGACCCTTCCTGATGGAGGTGAGGGATAGTGTCCCCACTGTCGCAGTGAGGGGTGAACCTGAGCTCTGGGAGGCTGTAGTGGGGCAGGCACTCACTCTCCGGGTTGTCACAGGATTAAAGGAGGGTGCTTGGCACAGAGTGATGCCCAGTGAAGGTGTTCATGAGCGTCGGTGTCACCCAGCGGCGCCTGCTCATTGGACACTTGGTGTCTTTAATGAGCTGGGGAAGCTGGGGGGAAGCTTGGGCGGGGTGGTTGGAGTTTGTGTCTGAGGCTCCACTGGGGCAGGAGGGGACCTAGCCTGTGCCCTACTCGCGGAGCCTGACCTCAGCTCTGTCCTGCGCCCGGGCCTGTGCGCTGGACACGGAGGACTGACTCGGGGCCCCCAGCCCAGGGCGGAGCCGGCCCCCTCCCTGTTGCGGGTCGCGGGCCTGGCCTAGAGCCTGCGCCTGGCCGGGGAGACCTGCTGGGAGGGAGTGCGTCAGGGCGCGGGCGCCCGCCCTGCTCTGTGACGCGCGGCCCGAGGCGCACGCAGGGCTCACACCACTTGTCCTGGCCTCCGACCCGGGCCGACTATGGCGGCGCTGCGGCTCCTGGCGTCAGTGCTCGGGCGCGGGGTCCCCGCCGGCGGCTCAGGGCTCGCGCTGTCCCAGGGCTGCGCCCGCTGCTTTGCCACCAGTCCCCGGCCCCGTGCCAAGTTCTACGCGGACCCGGTGGAGATGGTGAAGGACATCTCTGACGGGGCGACCGTCATGATCGGGGGCTTCGGGCTCTGCGGGATCCCCGAGAACCTGATCGCCGCGCTGCTCAGGACCCGCGTGAAAGACCTGCAGGTGGTCAGCAGCAACGTGGGCGTGGAGGACTTCGGCCTGGGCCTCCTGCTGGCCGCCAGGCAGGTCCGTCGCATCGTCTGTTCCTACGTGGGCGAGAACACCCTGTGCGAGAGCCAGTACCTGGCAGGAGAGCTGGAGCTGGAGCTCACGCCCCAGGGCACCCTGGCCGAGCGCATCCGCGCGGGGGGCGCCGGGGTGCCCGCCTTCTACACCCCCACGGGCTACGGGACCCTGGTCCAGGAAGGGGGCGCCCCCATCCGCTACACCCCGGACGGCCACCTGGCGCTCATGAGCCAGCCCCGAGAGGTGAGGGAGTTCAACGGCGACCACTTCCTTTTGGAGCGCGCCATCCGGGCAGACTTCGCCCTGGTGAAAGGGTGGAAGGCCGACCGGGCAGGAAACGTGGTCTTCAGGAGAAGCGCCCGCAATTTCAACGTGCCCATGTGCAAAGCTGCAGACGTCACGGCGGTGGAGGTGGGGGCTTCCCCCCAGAAGACATCCACGTTCCTAACATTTATGTAGGTCGCGTGATAAAGGGGCAGAAATACGAGAAACGAATTGAGCGCTTAACGATCCGGAAAGAGGAAGATGGAGACGCTGGAAAGGAAGAGGACGCCAGGACGCGCATCATCAGACGCGCAGCTCTGGAATTTGAGGACGGCATGTACGCCAATCTGGGCATAGGCATCCCCCTGCTGGCCAGCAACTTCATCAGTCCCAGCATGACTGTCCATCTTCACAGTGAGAACGGGATCCTGGGCCTGGGCCCGTTTCCCACGGAAGATGAGGTGGATGCCGACCTCATCAATGCAGGCAAGCAGACGGTCACGGTGCTTCCCGGGGGCTGCTTCTTCGCCAGCGACGACTCCTTCGCCATGATCCGAGGGGGACACATCCAACTAACCATGCTTGGAGCCATGCAGGTTTCCAAATACGGCGACCTGGCGAACTGGATGATCCCTGGCAAGAAGGTGAAAGGCATGGGCGGTGCCATGGACTTGGTGTCCAGTCAGAAGACCAGAGTGGTGGTCACCATGCAGCACTGCACAAAGGACAACACCCCCAAGATCATGGAGAAATGCACCATGCCGCTGACCGGGAAGCGGTGCGTGGACCGCATCATCACCGAGAAGGCCGTGTTTGACGTGCACAGGAAGAAAAGGCTGACGCTGAGGGAGCTCTGGGAGGGCCTGACGGTGGACGACATCAAAAAGAGCACGGGGTGTGCCTTTGCTGTGTCCCCGAACCTCAGGCCCATGCAGCAGGTGGTACCCTGACGGGACCTGGATCTGGGCGGGGTGGTGCGCTCCTCAGGGCGGATGCCACCGGGTTCCCCAGGGGAATACATGTCCCCAGCTCTGGGAGGGGTTTGCTACTGGCCTCCTACTTTCCTCCCTAGGTGGACAGTGCTCCTCTAGAGAGCTGCGACTTTAATTAAAAACAACAGGAAAACAGATCAGTTCCTCACTGTGTTTCTCGAGCACTGCAAGGCGCAGGTCTGCAGTGGTGAGGAATGGATGTCCGCTTTGCTCTGTGATGTTTACACAGAGCGTGCACAGCTCAGCGCATTCACAGCAAGATTTGATTCAAGCGCCTCCCTCGTACTTGAACCATGAAATGGAGATAAAAACTGACGAGGGAGAAAATCACTCAACCCAGAGTACACCTGAAGGGACATTTTACTACTGCAGTGAGAAATAGGCGAGCAAAGATGTGAGTTTGTGATTGGAAGACATGCTATCTTCATGAGCTTGTTTTTTCTTTTTCCTTCTCTTTCTTTTTTCTTTTTTTTTGAGGCAGGGTCTGGCTCTGTCACTCAGGCTGGAATGCAATGGAATGCAGTGATCTCACTGCAACCTCTGCCTCCTGGGCTCAAGCAATCCTAACTCAGCCTCCTGAGTAGCTGGGACTACAGGCGCACATCACAATGCCTGCTTATTTTTTTTTATTTTTTAAATTTATTTATAGAAATGGAGTTTCACCATGTTGCCCAGGCTGGTCTTGAACACTTGAGCTCAAGCGATCCACTTGCCTCAGCCTCCCAAAGTGCTGGGATTACAGACATGAGCCACTGAGTTGGGCCAATTAACCTTAGCTTACTGTAATTTTTTTTTCTTTTTTAGACAGAATCTCACTCTGTTATCTAGGCTAGAGTACAGTGGTCCAGTCTCAGCTCACTGCAACCCCTGCTTCCTGGGTTCAAGCAATTCTCATGTCTCAGCCTCTCAAGTAGCTGGGATTACAGGCATGTGCCACCATGCCTAGCTAATTTTTGTATATATATTTTTAACAGTAGAGATAGGGTTTCTCCATATTGGCCAGGCTGGTCTCAAACTCTGGGCCTCAGGTGATCCACCTGCCTTGGCCTCCCAAAGTACAGGCTTGAGCCATTGCACCCGGCCTTCTTGAACGTTTTTATCCGTTATCTGGTATTTCTTCTGGGGCCTTTGTTGTTAAATTTTGTTTCCCTGAAGCCTCCCCTCCTCCTCCCACATCTCTCCTCCTGGGACCTATGAGATGTTAAGCTTCTAGATGTCCGTAGAAGGAAAGCAGGACCATCTCCAAGGGAAGGGACCGGGTGATGGGAGAGACTGAGAGGGGAGAGGCTGCCGGTCCTGAAATCCACCAGGAAGCTTCCTCTATCTGTGTGTGGCCAAAGGCTACAGCCTAGGACAGGAGGAGTTCTAGAACCCTAACCAAGGGACTAGATGAGTTTTCTCAGCTTCATTTGAATTGTTCCTGCATCATTCACACCAGACACTTAGGCCCTCCTCTCTGGGATGGAGGCCCAAACTGGCCACTTGTGTGATGGTCCGTTGTAACCCAAGAGGCTGCGAGGCATTTCCTCCTGAATCTATAGTCTCAAAAACTAAAATTAAGATTGTGTGTGTGTGTGTGTGCGCATGCACGCGTGCACACGTGCTGTTGACAGCCAAGCCTGGCCTGGTGCATGCACTGCATAAGTGTAGCTCTGGGGGTTCCCAGGCCATTGGGGGCATGTGGTCAGAGTAGTAAGTTCTCACTGGTCAAGGACAGACTTTCCAGGGGCCCATTGGAGCCTCACCCTGCAGGAAAGGCCAGATCCTGGGAAGGAGAGCAGGGCAGGGAGAGTTGGCGCTCATGGAGGGCACAGACTGGGGGTGTGGAAAAGGGGCCAGGGACTATGGCTGGGGTTGGGGGCTTGAAATGAAATGTCATCTAGTGGGCAGTGGGGTGCCTTTTGGGGCTCCTGGAGAGGGGCACCTGATTTGCCCTGGGCGTCAGTTTCCCAGGAGCAGTGTGGAAAAGGCTGAGGTATCTAGAAGCGGACAAGTGACCCTCTGGGCCTCCAACTCCACCTTTCTGGAAGGGGCCTGCCCACAGCTGGGCAGCCTGAGAGCCCCCCACCTTGACTGCTTGGCCTTCCCTGCAGCCAGCTGGAGCCAGGGAGTCCTGCCTAAGAATGGGTGGGTAAGAAGCAGAGCTGATGGAGAAGGGAGGCTCTGGGCTCTGGAAGGAGAGGGCTGGGGATGGGGGAGCTTCTCCAGGCCTGCCAGATGCAGGGCTCTGAACCCAGACCCACTGTTAGTCCCCTTCACCACCCCCCATCTTGCCCAGCCACATCCAGCTGGGCCCTGCAGTTTGCTGGAAAAGTATATGACAATCCTGGCTCCGACCCACCTTGCTCTGGGACCTTGGACAGTTGCTGCTCTCTCTGGGCCTTAGTTTCTGCTTCTGTAAAATGGGAACCTGGGATTAGCTGCTTCCAAGGTTTCAAGGCTCGCCTGGCCTGTGAGACCTACAGAGGGGTTCCCAGCACCCAAGCCAGGCCTGGCTCAGAGGGGCTCTGTGAGGGTCTGTGGTGTAACTGATCTAATGCGACATTCTATCCTGTGTCTGGGAGACCCCCCATAAGACCCTTGAACACAGCTGCACAGAAGCAAATAGTGAGGAAAGCCTGCAGGACTGATGGCCTCTCAGGCCCCATAGCAGGCAGGGCTCCCCAGGGAGTCACAGGACAGAGCTGCAAGTGGAGCCAGGAGGGCTGCCCTGGGCCCCAGGCTGTCCCCATGGGTCAGCCAGTCTGCAGAGTGACACTCCAGTGCCCGGGCTGGTGACCACCACCACCCCACTCAGGCTGCTCTGTTCTCTCTCCGTTGTGACCTCACTTGTCTTTTCCTCTGTGCCCCAGCTCTGTTCCTTGTATTTCTGCTGCTTCCCCATAACCTTGACTCACCGTGACTCAAGCCCTGCCCAGTGGATTCTCTCTGGGCCTCCTTCCCATGTTAGCATCTGCAGCTCACAGCCTCCCTGTCTCAGCAGCTCTTGTCCATGCTCGTGAGAGGGAGGGAGCCTCTCCTGCCAGTGCATTTGTTTGTGGCGGATGATGTCACGGGTCAAAGGTTGGTCTCTGGATTCACTGGTTGTTCAGTCAAGTGGCCAAGGGACACCAGGGCTGAGGCACAGCTGCTTAAGGGCTGACCTTTGAGTGGGACTGAGGGTGGGGCAGGCAGTGTCCTTGACCTGTAGGGTGTACTGGAGAACTACGTAGGAATAAATACATCTGTGTGTGTGATGTCTGTCTGAGCGTATGTGCATCTGTGTGTTTATGCAAACATATGCCTGTGTGTACATACGTGTGTACATCTGTGCTTATAACATGGAGGTGAAATGTACTTTCGTGTAAACTGAACAACTGGCACTGTTTAAAGAGACATGAAAATGAGCTGGTAATCATGCTTCTGCAATTCAGTATCAGGAAATTTCACCCATGCACGGAGTGAAGAGGCTCCATTGCACTCCCATCTTTATCATGAAAGCCGGGAAATAACCTACATGTCTATGATGAGCCAATATCAAGTCAATTACGGTATACTGCTCCAAGGGATTTTATAAATTTGAAATGTTTATTGTGGAGACTTATTTAAACAACCAGAAAAAGTTTTGTGTTTTGTTTTTTTTTCCTTGAAACACACTCTCATTCTGTCGCCCAGCTGGAGTGTGGTGACACAATCACACCTCACTGCAGCCTCAACCTCCCAGGCTCAAGCAGTCCTCCCACCTCAGCTTCCCGGGAAGTTCACCACCATGCCCAGCTCATTTTTGTTTTTATATTTTTGTTGAGACAGGGTCTCACTATGTTGCCCAGGCTGGTCTCAAATGCCTAGGTTCAAGCAATCCTCCCACCTCGGCCTCCCAAAGTGCTGGGATTACAAGCGTGAGCCACCTTGCCTGGCCTCAAAAGTTTCTTTACTTAATTGCTTTTACAATAGAAAGGTTATTGAAATCCAAACAAGTACAGGATGATACACAGTTTTATTGGTGAGGCTTGGCATCTCCAGGGTTAGTTATCATGTTTTCAGCGGCATCCTCAGTCTGGAAGCGGCTGTGGGGGACAATCCCGTTTACAGGCTTCACTCCTCCTGGGGCTGAGGCCCAAGTCAGATCTCTGTTTCAGCCTTTTCTTTCTTTCTTTTCTGTCCATAAGCCCAGCTCGTGCATAAGAACTCGGGCTCTGGAATGAGACTGCCGCAGGCTGCAACCTGGGCTCTGGGACTTGGTTCAATGTTTCTGCTCTGCCTGGCATCTCCCTTGTGGGCATCAGGGAGACAGTTAATGCCCTGCTCTTGGGCTGTGCCCAGCAGAACAAGCACTCGCTCAACCTGGCAGATGCTACCACGAGCTGTCTCGGTGATAAGTTTGACATTCACACCCCAGAAAGTGCGGGACGGAAGACAGAACACAGGTCTCGGCGTCCTTGGACCAAGGTGGGAGCGCTGGTTCTCGGAGTCACTGGCAGTAGGACTCT
The DNA here is from genome assembly GCF_000001405.40 of Homo sapiens. Taxonomy (NCBI): domain Eukaryota; kingdom Metazoa; phylum Chordata; class Mammalia; order Primates; family Hominidae; genus Homo; species Homo sapiens. The sequence goes on from NC_000001.11 coordinate 39,521,002, forward strand.
GGGTCTCCTGTGAAGTAGGAGCTGCAGGGTCACTGTAAGGACCCAATGAGGTGATCCATGGGAAAAATCTTCCAACTTGTAAAACACTTCACAAATGTTATTATTTGTGACGCAGCTGTCACTAATAACACCGCCTGCAGCTCACTGAGCACCCCCTCCCACCTCCTCCAAATCTGTCCCCAGGAGAGACGTGGACTGGCTGGGGCTGGACCAAGGACTCCAGGCTTCAGATGTGGAAACTGAGGCTCAGCAGGACCCCTTGGGTCCTCAGCCTCCACGCTCCTGGACCTGCCCAGGCCCCGGCAGAGAGACCGCTGCTGTGTCTGCTGCAGGGCCGCTGCCCGTGAGTGACCCCTCTCTCCTTTCTGTCTCAGGGCACAGCGTGGATCCTGGCCTGGCCGGCCTGCTGGGTCAACGGGCCCCACGCTCCCAACAGCCTTTCGTGGTCACTTTCTTCAGGGCCAGTCCGAGTCCCATCCGCACCCCTCGGGCAGTGAGGCCACTGAGGAGGAGGCAACCGAAGAAAAGCAACGAGCTGCCGCAGGCCAACCGACTCCCAGGGATCTTTGGTGAGGGTCGGGCAGGCTGGGGCCGAGGCCCTGTGGGCTTCTGGCTGAGAGAGGCAGGGCGAGAACCAAGTGGTGGCCCAGAGCCCTCAGGCTCAGGTCGGTTCAAGCTGACGGCCACTCTCCAGCCACCTTTCCTGACACCATCTTGGCCCTGATGCACCCTGGTGACCGGCACTCCGGAGGCCTGTCCTGGCTGTCCCTGCTGCCCAGAAGTCTCCCTCTCTCCCCCTGGCTCCTCCGGGTCTTTCTCAGGAGCCTCCTTCAGAATCAGCTGCCCCTTCCCTGGGAGCCGCAGCCCCTCATGACCTGCGGTTGTGCCTGGGCACCCTGTGGGATCCTCGGTTGCTTATGCGAGTTTTCTCCCCAACTGGGCCAAGCCCTTCAGGATCAGGGACAGGCCTGACCCAACCCCGTGCCCTCCTTCACCAGGGAGTCGGCCCTTGACTGGCCTGGTCGTGAGCCACTTGAACCTCGGGAATGGGTGTGGCAGGAGAGGGTGGGCTGGAGTCACAGGGGTCTCCAGAGAGGAGGAGGCACAGGATGGCCGAGGGTCCTGCTGGGCTGTTTACTGGAGCATAAAGACGCTCATAGGCTGAAGGACAGGGGAGGACTGGGCACAGTGTCACTCTAGCCATTGGGAGCCATGGCAGGCTTTTGAGCTGGGTCATGGTACAAGCAGCGTTCCAGGGATGGGCTTTATGAGACCAAATGGTTTCCTGTCATTCATTTATTTGACAAATGTGCTCATCAGGGCATCCCCCACCCTGGTACCCCATAGTAGCTGCACACAGCAGGAACCCCAGAAAAGACCTTGCCCCTTCTGTCCCTGCAGATGACGTCCGCGGCTCCCACGGCCGGCAGGTCTGCCGTCGGCACGAGCTCTACGTCAGCTTCCAGGACCTTGGCTGGCTGGTAATTGCTGACTCTCCTTGTTTCTGAAATGACAATCACCACCTGTAGATCAGAAGTGAATCTGCAGGGAGGACATAGAATCATGGTGACTTCAATTTTCTTATGTATTTTTTTCTTCTGTGTTTTCCAAGTTTTCTAAAGTGAGAATATGGTGAGAAAGGGTTTTGTTGTTGTTGTTGTGTTTTTTGTTTTTTTTAAAACCATGAAAATGAAGACTGAATCAACCAACTAAGCTGTCAGCATTGCCGCAGGGTAACTGAGACCTCCCTGCATTGGCTACGACTGCAGCTCTGGGAGGTGTGGGCAGGGGAGGGCCGGCTGGGGAGGGCCGGCTGGGGAGGGGACACAAAGTGAAGATGGGGGTTGTTGGGCCTGAGCTCCTGCCCAGCCTTTTCCGCCGGGGGTTCCTGGGTGGATTCAAGCCTCTTGGGGGAGACGGCCCTGCAGGGCTGGAGGATGGGTTTGGGCCCTGAGGCTCAGGGAGGAGCACATGGATGGGACTCACCTTCTCCCTTGCCCCCCAGGACTGGGTCATCGCCCCCCAAGGCTACTCAGCCTATTACTGTGAGGGGGAGTGCTCCTTCCCGCTGGACTCCTGCATGAACGCCACCAACCACGCCATCCTGCAGTCCCTGGTCAGTACCGTGCCCATCCTGCCCAGCCCCCTGGGGTGGGAGGCCCTGCAGAGAGGGGTCTGGTCCAGCCAGCCGGGAGGGCAGTGAGGCCACCTGCTCCATGTCTCGGGGGCTTTGTCTGCACAGAGTCAGTAACGTCGCTAACTTCCCACAGCTCTGCAGGAACTGGTCCTCATACAGCCACACTACTACACATAGACCCACACCCAAACACGGACACACGTGAACAGTCGCGTATGCATGCCTGTTCTATGCACTGAACAAACTCCTGTGGGACACTTACACACCTGCGTGCGGCGCTCAGAGGCACAGCACATGAAACAGATGTGTACACTGTGTGGGGGCTGTGTGATCTTAACACACGGGCCCCCGAGTACGCTGGCAAGTCTGACCGCCTGTGATATGTGCGCACAGTGTGTGGGGTGTGCGTGTGCACTCACCCACCTGTGCCGCACCACAGGCAGGAAGCTTCTAGATGGTGTGGCTCTCAACCTTTTGGCTTTTTCCCGCAGTTTCTCTCTTGGCTGTCTGTGTTTTCTCTGGATCCCCTGGCTTTTGATGCCTTGGTGTCTGGGGCAACCTTAAAGGACAAAAGCAGGCTTCTGATGGGATCACTGGTGCTGCTCACCACTGAGTGCTCTGTGTGTTTGCGGATTCTGGCACCGAGGCTTCCTTCTAGAAGTTTTTACCTAGAATCCCAGTTCCTGGTATTGCACAGCCTTATGTTTTCCTCTTAGGAGGTTCAACGGTGATGCCTTGATCAGGCGCAGTGGCTCACCCTGTAATCGCAGCACACGAGCCCAGAAGTTCAAGACAAGCCTGAGCAACACAGCAAAACCCTGTCTCTAAAATAAAAATTAAAACACACACACACACACACACACACACACACGTGCGCACACAATGCCTTGGTGTGAGAGGAAAGAAATTACCAAAAGCTGCTCTGAGCCTATGATAATACTTCCTTTCTGGGCAGTCAAATGGTGTTTGCTGGACACCTGGAGCCATCTCCTTGGAAAGGCCCAGGGGTGATGAGGACGCGTGGGGTGGCCTGGCCCAGCCACCCTTTATGCCGTGTGGTTCTCACAGCTGCATGTGTGGGAGGTACATGGGAAGGTGACTGCACCTGCAGCTCCTGGACTCCATCTCCTCTGCCCTTGCCCCTGCCCCTCAGGGGCTCAACTAGAGTGAGTGCTCACAGCCTACAGGGCAGCAAACAGGCACTGTGCTCTAGGGGAGGCTGTCGGTGGGCACAGAAGCAAACCAACCGTGGAGTTGACACCTCCTGTGAGGAAGAGCAGAGCAGCCGTGCCGTCAGTGGAGTGAGACTGGGCCCAGCCTCTCCACACAAGGAGGGGCACGTCAGCAGCTGGAGGAGGAATGTTCCAGAAGGAGCAAGTGCAAGGCCCTAAGACAGGAGCAGGCTGGCCCTAAGTTCAGGGCCAGCAGGGAGGAGAGGGGCTGGGTGCAGTGAAGGGGAGGAGAGTGGAGGGAGGTGATGCCGGGGTGAGCCAGGCCAGCTCCCGTAGGGCCTGGGGTTCCCTGGGAAGGAGGGTGGATTTTATTCCAAGCAACCCCAGAGGCTGTCAGAGGTCTTCAGCAAAGCAGTGTCCTGGTCTGCGTCACCCTCCAGAAGGACCTTTCTGGCTTGGGGAGGCTGATGGTCGCGGGAGTGGAAGGCAGAGGAGCAGGGGATGAGTGAGGGCTGCTGTGGTCACCTGGCAGGTGATGGCAGCTCGACTGGGCAGGTGGTCCGAGGCAGCACGGAGGTGGAGGTTGAGCCAGGGGCTGCTCTCAGGGAAGGGAGGAGGCGAAAGGAGTCATCCAGGAGGCCTCCCAGGCGGGAGCTATGATGTCAGGGCGGGAGGAATTCTATGTTCCACTGAGGCCTCATTAGACCCCCAAGTGCAGAAGTGGGAAGGGGAGCAGGATCCGCAAGTCTGGAGTTCAGAAGAGAGGTCCAAGCTGAGCCAGGGGAGTGGAGAGGTGCGGGCACATGCAGGGCCTTGAAGTGCTGAGGGCGGATGCAGTCCTCTGGGAGAAGGAGCAGCACAGGAGAGGGGGCGAGGCCTGGCCTCCCAGAGCCTGGGGAGGGAGGCCAGGGTGTGGGGAGGCAGAGCCTCTGGGGGGGTCTGAAGGGCTATAAGAAGACAGTGGTCCTTCCAGGTTCCCCCTTGGGGACCTCACTAAGGGCACAAACCTGGCCATGAGGTTCTCCTTCCCATTATCCCCAGGAGGAAGTCTGAGCCCTTGGCCTGGGACTCGAGGCCCCTCATTAGTGCCCTGCCCACCTGCCCCACACCCTGGGGCTGCCATGTATCCCTCCCTGGGCACTGTGGGCCACCACAGCTCCCGCTCCCAGAGCTCTCAGGGCTGCTCTTATTCCTGTTAATAATTCTTATTATTGTGCTGCTCCCATGTGGCTTGGAGATGGCCAGGGCAGGGAGCAGGTGGAGCTGGGGCGGGGCTAGGTGGGTCCTCAGAGGAGGCCACTGGCCTCATGCCCCTGCCTGTGCTCCCTTCCTGGCCAGGTGCACCTGATGAAGCCAAACGCAGTCCCCAAGGCGTGCTGTGCACCCACCAAGCTGAGCGCCACCTCTGTGCTCTACTATGACAGCAGCAACAACGTCATCCTGCGCAAGCACCGCAACATGGTGGTCAAGGCCTGCGGCTGCCACTGAGTCAGCCCGCCCAGCCCTACTGCAGCCACCCTTCTCATCTGGATCGGGCCCTGCAGAGGCAGAAAACCCTTAAATGCTGTCACAGCTCAAGCAGGAGTGTCAGGGGCCCTCACTCTCGGTGCCTACTTCCTGTCAGGCTTCTGGTCCTTTCTCGGTACCTCTGTGCCCCTCCCCTGGGGTTTGTGGCTGTCACTCTGCCCGACACTTTGGTGGCCTAAGGCACACAGCAGCCTCAGAGCCTGTGCTGACTGCACTGTCTGGAGTCAGCACAGAAGTCCTATCTTAGGACCTGTCAGACTGTGGCTGGCCCCGGATGGTCTGAGGTTGGCTGACCCGAGCTTTTCTCCATTCACCAGAGGGTTTAGGTGTGAGGAGAAGGGCTCTGCCTCTTCCCAGGTACAACACTGGCCATTTCTGGGCAAAATTGGACACGCTTATGTTCTCAGCACAGTGTGTTCTGGGATTCTTCTCATTTGGTCCAGGGTGCAGTTAGCATATTAGAAAAAGAATAAGCTGGACATCCCCACGAAGCCACTGGGGATTTTTTTTTTTTTTTTCCAGATAGAGTCTCACTCTGTCACCCAGGCTGGAGTGCAGTGGTGCAATCCTGGCTCACTGCAACCTCTGCCTCCCAGGTTCAAGCAATTCTCGTGCCTCAGCCTCCTGAGTAGCTGGGATTACAGGGGCCCACCACCACGCCCAGCTCATTCTTGTATTTTTAGTAGAGACGGGGTTTCACCATATCGGCCAGGCTGGTCTTGAACTCCTGACCTCAGGTGATCCACCCGCCCGGCCTCCCAAAGTGTTGGGATGACAGGCATGAGCCACCGTGCCTGGCCACTGGGGATATTTTATGTCATGTGTATTCCCTTGCCCTGGGCCTGCCCCTTCTCCTGCCTGGGAAAGAGGTATGACTCCCACAGGAGCAAAGAATCCTGGGGGCTTCCAGTTCCCTCCACCATCTCTACCATGCTGACCCATTTGGGGCTCAGCACTGAGACAGAGGCAAGACCAGCAGCTCCAACATGTAGTGTAGGCTGGCACAGAGCAAATGCCCCCGCAGCCTGCTCCCCTTGCCCATGGCTCATGTCAGTAATCAACCTACGTACCTTTCCCACTGAACCAGGACAGGGCCTCCAGGCCTCAGCACAGAACTGCAGACAGCCACCACCAGGCATTGTCAATAAGACCTCAGTTCCCCCTCCTGCCCCACTGCAGAGCAATCCATTCCATCCAAAGCAGGGTGACTGGCAGTCTCCGGCCAGGCATGGGGCAAGGGTGGGGACTGCCAGTGTTTGCTTGTGTCTAGGAGTTATGAACAAGCTGGCCACCAAAATTGGCGTCACCCTGGGTGCCCACCAGCGCTGTCCTGTGTCTTGGGTCTGTGAGTCAAAGAAAAGGTCCCTGTCCCAGGGAGTGACAGGCAGTAATTAGGCTGAGTTGGGTGGGGAGGTTTGTCTCGGCCTCCACTGTTCCCGGAAACCGCTGTTCTCCTTGGAACAGCCACTGGGAGTTGGAGTGTTTATTTGATTTCTGACTTGCTAAGCCTGTAATTTACCTGCTGGAACAGACAGAGTCCAGCTGCCCAAACCGTGTCATTAAAAGCAGATCCTGGGCCCGCCCCATCCACAGGCACAGCCTGGCAGAGTGGTTCCACCTCCCCATGGGCCCAAGGATGCGCCTCTCTGGAGTTCACGTGCTGCACCCCCAGGGAGGGGCCTGGGGAGAGCTGGTCCAGCAGCAGGGGTGGAGGCTGGGGCCACACTGCGGGACAGCAGCCCCTCCACCTGGACCAGGGAGGGCCTCCATGTGCAAGCGCAGAGGAAGAGACCCTCTCATGTACATAAAGGGTGGGCCCAGGCTGTCTGGAAGATGGTGAGTTCCCCACTAGTCTAAGGCTTCAAGCTCAGCTAGCAGAGATTGGAAGAGGCAATGGCCTGAGTGTTAGGAGACAGGTATTCTGGTTCCAACTCAGCCACTGACTTGGTGTCAGGACAAGTCCCCTTTCTTATTCACGCTTCAGTTTCTCATCTGCAACATGAGGACATAGGACTCTTTAATTCCAAAGGCTCTTCCAACCCAGAGAACCCATCTGCCCCCATGACCTTCTCCCAGAGCTTGAGACATGGCCTGAGCCCCCTGCTGCCATAGGACTTGGGGCCTATCTGCCATTGCAGGACCTGATTTAACAGCTCTCTTCTTCCAATACTGGGCAGTAGAGTTTCGGAAACTGACAAATGTGTGGTCTCTTCAGTGCCCAGTGTGTAACCTGGCATGGTTTGGGTGTGCTAGGAGTTTGTGAAATGAATGTTTTCAAGACGCAAACGCTGCTATGCCCATCAGGTGTGCACAGCAGGCCTGAGGATCATGATGAGACTCCCTTTTTATGCAGCAAAGCACAAAGTGTGACAGTCGTGGCCTTCCTGGTGGCCAGACTTCTAGCAACTTTAGCCACCCACCAAATGACATCACATACAGAAGGCCTCAGAAAGGGAGGAGGTCGTAAGGACACACAGCTGATGAAGGGTCAGTGCTCAGCTATCAAGGTCATCTTCTGGCCTGGTTGCCTCCCACAGCCCAGGATGCATTCAAGGCTGCACATCAGGAGCATAAATAAGGGTGGTCAGCTCAGGCCCACTGGCTGCAACAAGTAGCCACTGACAGGGAGTCTGGGGCCATTTGGTGCAGAACAACCCCCAACCCAGTGGCCATCTTCACAACTGCAGCACAGTGCTGGCCCTAATGCCAGGTGAGCGTGCAAAGTCCTGTTTCTTTGTCTTTACATAGGGACCGGGCGATGCGCTTTAGAGAAATTCCCTATTATTTCACAGGAAAGGAGGCTGTGAAAAGGAGAGGGCAGGTTTTGGAGCCAAGTCGACCTGGCATCAGGTCCTGGCTGCCTTTTTTTTTTTTTTTTTAAAGACATACATGGTCTTGCTTTGTCGCCCAGGCTGGAGTGCAGTGGCAGTGTCATGGCTCACTGCAGCCTCAACCTGCTGGGCTCAAGCAATCCTCCCACTTCAGCCCGAGTTGCTGGGATGACAGGCACACGCCACCATACCCAGCTAATTTTTAAATTTTTTATAGAAACCAGGTCTCACTATGTTGCCCAGGCCGGTCTTAAACTTTGCCCAGGCCAGTCTTGAACTCCTGAGCTCAAGCAATCCTCCTGCCTCAGCCTCCCAAAGTGCTAGGATTACAGGCGTGAGCCACTTACCCGGCCTCTGCCTCTTGTTAATTTGACCACATCATGTACCTGCTGTGCCCGTTCCTTCCTCCGTAGAAGAGGGTGCTGGTCCTGCCCTTTTGAGGCCTCCATGAGGGCCAAATGTGCCATGGGACACTTAGTGCCATGCCTGCGCAGACCTGTGGAATAAACAGCAATTCTGAGCAGGCTCATTTTAAAGGGACTTGCAAATTTGGGCGTTCCTTGTGTGCCTTCCTCATAAAACCCACTCCTCCCAGAATATGCTTAGAGGTGCTGCTGTATTTACCTGAGAGCTATGCTTTTCATCAAAAACCTAAACGTGATCATCTCTTGGATGAGGTGTGGCCCTGCACACTCGCCTGCTCGTGGAAGGAGTCTGGGCCAGCAGTGACCCACGCGCTAGGGTCTCTGCTGAGGAAGTGGCAGGTGTGCGGCCCTGCCCTGGCCCCGTAGTGAGTGTGGGGCCCACCTGTGCCCTCATGGGCAGCTGAAGGGGGAGCTTTCTACCCCAGGTTCCTTTCCTTACTGAAAAGTCTTGAGCAAACAGTTGCCGCTCTCCACCCCCTGCTTTTTAAAAAAAATTTTTTCTCACGTAAGAAAATGTTATCTGTGTGCTGGGGAAAATTTTGAAAATAACAAAAACCAGAATACAAACACCCATAATCAATCACAGAGATAACCACTGTTCATAATTCCTTCCAGTCTTCTTACTTGGCACATATACATTTGTCTTTCTTTATATATGACATATGGATATTTTACAAAGTTAGGATCCTACTCTATGCACTGCTTGGTGATCGGATCTATTCAATGTACAAAATATTTTGAAAGTTTCTGTGATTAAATGTTCTTTGAAAACATAACTTTTAGCAGCCTTCCATCCCTTCAGTTCTGCTTTAGCTTCTCCCTTGTATGTCTGGTCTTGCGTTCCCTTCCTCAGAGGCCGGGATGGGGCTCCTGTGACCAGGGTGGCAGGCAGCCTAGTGCTGAGATCGCATGGCCACGAGGCTGGCCATGGGTCTGGAATCCCTGGGCCAAGAACCTCCTCTCCTTCTCTGTGCAGCAATTGGCACAAGCAGGGGCAGGTGCCTCACCTCTGAGGCTTAGGTGACCTCAGAGTACAAGGGTCACAGATGGACCCACTGGGATAACTTCCGGGGAAACCCTGATGGTTCCTCTCCCACTGGCCTCTGGCTGGTCCCTTGGTCCCTCCTTCCCAGGGTAATCAGGCAAGCACAGCAATAAGGTCCTCCCTTGTTTCACAGGGTTGTGGGACCAGTTCTCCCTCCCGGGGCCTCGGGCCAGCCTGCCTGTCACCCCCAGAACCCACAGTGTTGAGCAATTCACACACATCCTCTTCTCTCCTGGGCTTCATGGCAGCCCTGAGTAGCTGCCTTATCCTGGCCTCAATGCTGCCTGTCCTGACGGCCATGACTGACCACCAGTAATGACACCGACATTGAGGAGTGAGAGTGCCTGCTGGGAAAGCTGCAGGCCCAAGCTGATCAAGCGGGGAGAAGCCCCACCCAGGGTGCCAGAGGTGGAGCTGGCTTGGGGTCACTGGGGCCAGGGCAATAGGCTTCTCCTTTCCCCACCACCCTCACCCTGGTGGATACTCAACATCAAGACTTGATTCAGCCAGCATTCTGGGAGGCCAAGGCAGGTGGATCACCTGAGGTCAGGAGTTTAAGACCAGCCTGGCCAACATGGCGAAACCCCCATCTCTACTGAAAATACAAAAATTAGCTGGGCATGGTGGCGGGTGCCTATAATCCCAGCTACTTGGGAGGCTGAGGCAGAATTGCTTGAACCTGGGAGGCAGAGGTTGTAGTGAGCTGAGATCATGCTCCAGCCTGAGTGACAAAAGCAAAACTCCATCTCAAAAAAAAAAAAAAAAAAAAAAGGCTTGATTCAGACAGAGCTCCTAGGACATGTCATGGGAGCCAGTGGGCAGCCCTGGGGGAGGTTTCTGGAGACTGATAGGGCTCAGTTTCAACACCTGAAAGAGGCCATGAGGTGGCCTGGCTGGCCCAAAATCGGTGCAGGGTGAGAGGCCATCCTAGCACAGGCTGCGCACCATGACACCACACTGCAGTTTCCAGGTAGGCCTGGGGTTGGGGAGGAGGAAGTAGGAGCCACCCCTGGCTTGTTTCTCCCCAGCACCAAGCACATCCGCTGACTAAAGAAGCGCCCTGTGTGCTCCTCGGTAATACAGTTCTGTTGGTTCAGGAAGTGCATAATGAGTGCCAGGTCAGTGAGACTGATTACAAATGTCCATCAGGCACAAGACCAGCTGGTGTGAGAGCAGGAATGGTAACTGACCAGAAAGAAAAGACACAGGCACTTTTACATGGCTTTGACTTCTACTGCCCCACAATGGGCTGCCGAGGGCATCTCCTAAGGGACTTGGCCTAAGAGAGAAGAGCAGCAGCCGAGATGCTATGGCCTGTCCCAGCAGCAACCTCTGAAAACACCTGGGACCTGGCTGGCAGGCAGCAGTATAAGAACTAGAATTTATTTTAGCAAACCAAAGAGAACAAAACATCCAGGAGCCACATTGGTGGGCCCACAGCAGACCCAGCAGCAAATGCCGAGAAAAGTGGTGGTTGGAGAAGGAGCACCTGTGCTGGTTCGTGGGCCCACAGCTGCACTTGGGAACAGTCCAGGCTGTGCCTACAGAGGTGCTCCAAGCTGACCCTAAGGTGGGCCTCATGCCACAAATCCTGCTTGCTTCAAATAGGGCACCCTCGGTGCTGCCTCCTCTGAGGCTGGCAGCTCCTTCCTGGATGTGCAGGGGCAAGAGCAGAGTGGAGAGCAGAGAGAGTGCCGCCTCACACATACTCCCCACAGTTGCCAATGATCACCTTCTGCCTTGGCTTCCCATCCTTGCCTTTGCAGACAGAATAGAAGAGGGGACACTCAGGGGAGTGAAGGAGCAGAATAAAGACAGACTTTAGGGACATCCACCCCTACCTGCCCCCTGGGGACACTGGCCCTAACAGTGGTGGAGCTCACAATCTAGTGAAATACAGCCACCCAAAAAAGATGTGGATTCATCTCAGGAATGCAAAGTTGGTTTAACATCTAAAAATCAATCAATGTAATAGACAATTATCAATAGTATAAAGAACAAAAACCACATAATCATCTCAGATACAGAAAAAGCAGTAGACAAAATCCAACACCTTTTCATAATGAAAACTCAATAAACTAGGAGTGGAAGGGGGAACTTTCTCAATCTGATAAAAGGTATCAACAGAAAACTACATGTGAAAGACAAGATGCTTTCCCCCTAAGGTCAGGAACAAGACGAGGATATCTGCCCTTGACACTTCTATTCAACATTGTACTGAAGGTTCTAGCCAGGGTAATTAGGTGAAAAAAATGAAATGAAAGGCATCCAATCGGCAAGGAAAATGTAAAGCTATTTCTATTTGCAGATGACACACTCTTGCATATAGAAAATCCTAAAAAATCCACAAAAAAAACTATTAGAACTAATAAACAGGCCGGGCATGGTGGCTCACGCCTGTAACCCCAGCACTTTGGGAGGCCAAGGTGCGCGGATCACAAGGTCAGGAAATTGAGACCATCCTGGCTAACACGGTGAAACCCCATCTCTACTAAAAATACAAAAAATTAGCCAGGCGTGGTGGCGGGCGCCTGTAGTCCCAGCTACTCAGGAGGCTGAGGCAGGAAAATGGCGTGAACCTGGGAGGTGGAGGTTGCAGTGAGCTGAGATCGTGCCACCGCACTCCAGCCTGGGCGACAGAGTGAGACTCCATCTCAAAAAAAGAAAAAAAAAAGAACTATTAAACAAGTTTAGCAATGTTGCAGAATACAAAATCAATATACAATTGATTATATATATTTTTGTAGAGATGAGGTCTCATTATGTTGACTCGGGCTGGTCTCAGACTCCTGGACTCAAGTGATTTTCCCACTTCAGTCTCCCAACGTGCTGGGATTATGAGTGTGAACCACCATGCCTGGCCTGTTTTGTGGTTTTCAAAGTATAAGCTGTATACATCTTTTAAACTTATTCCTAAATATTTTATTCTTTTTTATGCTATTGTAAGTATAATTGTTTTTCTTTTTATTCTGTTTTCAGGTTGTTCATTGCTGATGTATAGAAATATAATTGCTATATCTACGGCCAGGCACGGTGGCTCACACCCGTAATCCCAACACTTTGGGAGGCCGAGGCGGGCAGATCACAAGGTCAGGAGATCGAGACCATCCTGGCTAACATGGTGAAACCCTATCTCTACTAAAAATACAAAAAATTAGCTCGGCGTGGTGGCGGGCGCCTGTAGTCCCAGCTACTCAGGAGGCTGAGGCAGGAGAATGGCGTGGACCCGGGAGGTGGAGCTTGCAGTGAGCTGAGATGCTGCCACTGCACTCCAGCCTGGGCGACATAGCAAGACTCTGTCTCAAAAATAAGAAAAGAAATATAATTGCTATATATATATGTGTGTGTATTTTTTTTAGAAGAGTCTTGCTCTGTTGTCCAGGCTGGAGTGCAATGGTGCAGTCACAGCTGTCTACAAAAATATTTTTTAAAATTAGCCAGGTGTGGTGGTGTGTGCCTATAGTTCCAACTAGTTGTAAAGCTGAAACATAAGGACCACTTGGGTACAGGAGTTCCAAGACTGTGGTGAGCTGTGATTGCACCACTGCACTCCAGCCTGGGCAATACAGTGAGACCCTGTCTAAAAAAAAAAAAAAAAGAATGAGAGAAACTATTTGCAAATTATACATCTGATAAGAGACCTGTATCTAAAATATTTAAAGAATTCTGACTCGCTAGGCATGGTGGCTTACATCTATAATCCCAGCATTTTGGGAGGACAAGGTGGCAGGATTGCTTGAGCCCTGGAGTTCGAGACCAGCCTAGATAACATAGCAAGACCCCATCCCAATTAAAAAAAAAAAAAAAAGAAAACCAAAGAACATTACTGAAAAACACTGAAGAAGACCTAAACAAATGAAAAGATATCCTGTGTTCATGGATCAGAAGACTTAATATTGTTAAGATGATGATACTCCTAAATTCTTCACATTCAGTGCAATCTGTATTAAAATCCTAGCTGGCTTTTTTCATACGAGTTGATAAGCTTATCCCAAAATTCTTAAGAAATGTAAGAGACTCAGGATAACCAAAACAATCTTGAAAGGAAAAACAAAGTTGGAGGACTCGCATTTCCAGAATTAAAAATTTACTACAAAGCTATGGAATTTAAGACACAGTAGTAATGGCCTAATAACAGACATACAGATCAACAAAATATAATTTAGAATCCAGAAGAAACCCTTACATTTATGGTCAACTATATTCACCAAGGATACCAAGACAATTAAACAGGAAAAAAACTAGCCTTTTCAACAAATGGTGCTAGGACGACTGAAAATCCACATGTAAAAGAGTAACGCTGGACCACTTTCCTCACACTATACACAAAAATTAACTTCAAATGGAGTAAAGACTTCAGTGTAAGAGAGAAAACCATAAAATACTTAATAGAAAGTGTAGGAGTAAATCTTCATAATCACTACACCAAAAGTACAAGTGACAAAAAAAGATAAATTAGACTTTATCAAAATTAAAATATTTTGTGCTTCAAACGACGCCATCAAAAAAGTGAAAAGACAACCTATAGAATGAAAGAAAAGGCCGGGCGCAGTGGCTCACGCCTGTAATCCCAGTACTTTGGGAGGCTGAGGCGGGTGGATCACTTGAGGCTAGGAGTTTGGGACCAGCCTGGGGAACGAAGTGAGAGCCCCATCTCTACAAAAAATAAGAAAAAATTAGCCAGGCATTGTGGTGCATGCCTGTAGTTCCAGCTACTTAGGAGTCTGAGACAGAGGGATCACTTGAGCCCAGGAATTTGAGGCCACAGCAAGCTGTGACTGTGCCACTGCACTCCAGTCTGGTCAACAGAGCAAGACCCCGTCACTACAAAAATAAAAAAAGAAGGACTCTTGACTATATTTGGTCAGGTGTGGTGACTCATGCCTATAATCCCAGCACTTTGAGAAGTGAAGGCAGGCGGATCACTTGAGGCAAGCCTGGGCAACACAGGGAGACCCTGTCTCTACAAAAAATAAAATTAGCTGGGCCTGGTGGCATGCACCTGTAGTCCCAGCTACTTGAAAGGCTGAGACAGGTGGATCACTTGGGCCCAGAGGGTCAAGGCTGCAGTGAGCTGTGATCACATCACTGCACTCCAGGCTGGGTGACAGAGTGAGAACCTGTCTCAAAAAACAAAAAACAAAAGAATTCTTACTCAACAATAGAAAGACAAATAATCCAATTAAAAATTGGTAAAGGGTCTGAAGAGACATTTTTCCAAAGAAGATATAGAGAAGGCCAATAAACACATGAAAAGATGCTCAACATCATTAACTAGCACGGAAATGCCAATCAAAACCACAATGAGATACCACTTCACATCACTAGGATAGGTCTAATAAAAAAAGAAGGATAATCACAAGTGTTGGTGAGGGTATAGAGGCATCAGAAACATCATACACTGCCGTTAAGAATGCAAAATGGGGCAGTGGCTCATGCCTGTAATCCCAGCACGTTGGGAGGCCAAGGCGGGCGGATCACAAGGTCAGGAGATCAAGACCATCCTGGCTAACACGGTGAAACCATGTCTCTACTAAAAATACAAAAAAATTAGCCAGGCGTGGTGGTAGGCGCCTGTAGTCCCAGCTACTCGGGAGGCTGAGGCAGGAGAATGGCGTGAACCCGGGAGGCGGAGCTTGCAGTGGGCTGAGATTGCGCCACTGCACTCCAGCCTGGGCAACAGAGTGAGACTCCATCTCAAAAAAAAAAAAAGAATGCAAAATGGTACAGCCACTTCAAACAGTCTGGTCGTTTCTCAAAACATTAAAAATAGTTATCAGCCAGACACGGTGGCTCATGCCTGTAATCTCAGCACTTTGTGCAGATCACTTGAGGCCAGGAATTCGAGACCAGCTGGCCATCATGGCAAAGCTCCGTCTCTACTAAAAATACAAAAATTAGCCGAGTATGGAGGTGCATGCCTGTAATCCTAGCTAGGGGAGGCTGAGGCAGGAGAATCTCTTGAACCAGGGAGGTGGAGGTTGCAGTGAGCCGAGATTGTGCCACTGCACTCTAGAGTGAAATTCTGTCTCAAAAAAAAATAAATAAATAGTTATATAACCCAGCATTTCCAATTCTATGGCTACATCTAAGAGAAATGAAAACATATGTCTACACAAAAATTTGTATGTGAATGTTCACAGTGGCATTATTTGTAATAGCCAAAAAGTAGAAACAATCTATCAACTTATGAATGGATAAACAAATGTGGGGTGCAGACAGTGGGTATTAATTGGCAATAAAAAGGAATGATGGGGCCGGAGGCGGTGGCTCACGCCTGTAATCCCAACATTTTGGGAGGCCAAGGTGGGCAGATCACGAGGTCAGGAGATCGAGACCATCCTGGCTAACACGGTGAAACCCCATCTCTACTAAAAATACAAAAAATTAGCCAGGCGTGGTGGCGGGTGCCTGTGGTCCCAGCTGGGAGGCTGAGGCAGGAGAATGGTGTGAACCCAGGAGGCGGAGCTTGCAGTGAGCCGAGACTGCACCACTGCAATCCAGCCTGGGTGACAAAGTGAGACTCCATCTCAAAAAAAAAAAAAAAAAAAAAAACCAAAAACCAAAACAAAAAGAAAAAAAAGGAATGATGTACTGATACATGCTACAACATGGATGAACCTTGAAAACATTATGCTAAGTGAAAGAAGACACTCACAAAAGCCTACATATTGTATGATTCCACTTATATTAAATGCCTAGAATGGGAAAATCCATAAAGACAGAAAGTAAATTCGGGTTTCCCAGGGCAGGGGACCAACAGGATAAGTAGCAACTGCTAAAGGGTATGAAGTTTCCTTTTGGGGGATAAAATGTTCTAAAATTATTTGTGGTGATGGTTGCACAACTCTGTGAATACATTAAAAACCATTAAAATGTGTACTTTAAGTGGGCAAACTGGATGGTATGTAAATAATATCCTACTAAAGCCGTTAAAAAAAAAAGATAATTACACTACAAAATGGCAAAGCCCAGTGACAGAGACATTTGTGCATAGAATGGGAGCACTAGAGTCACCTAAGTGTTTGTGAAAAAGAGAAACAGATACTCACACAAACACTCATCATGAAGGCTTTCTGAAGGAGGTGATGTCTGAGTTCAGTCTAAAAGGCCTGGGGCCAGGCACCGTGGCTCACGCCTGTAATCCCAGCACTTTGGCAGGCCAAGGCAGGAGGATCACTTGAGTCCAGGAATACAAGACCAGCCTGGGCAACAGAGAAAAATCCCATCTCTACAAAAAATTTAAAACTAGCCAGGTGTGGTGGCATGTATCTATAAGTCCCAGCTACTTGGGAGGCTGAGGCAGGAGGATTGCTTGAGCCCAGGAGGTTGAGGCTGCAAGTGAGCCAAGATCATGTCACAGCACTCCAGCTTGGGAGACAGAGCAAGACTCTGCCTCAACAACAACAAAACAAACAAATAAAAAGCCTGGGTTTGCCAGGGGACTAGGGGGCGTAGGATAAGGAGCTACATCTCGTTGTGGCAATAAGAAACCCCCCTCTTCATGGCTGGGCCTCTAGACTGGGTACGCCCTTCATATGAGGACCATGTCCTATTCTACTCTTTTTGTTTGTTTTTTGAGACATGATCTCACTCTGTCATCCAGGCTGGAGTGCTGTGGCCCAATCATAGCTCACTGCAGCCTCAACCTCCCAGGCTCAAGCGATTCTCCCACCTCAGCCTCTCGAGTAGCTGTGACCAGGCACACACCACCATGCCCAGCTAATTTTGTAATTTTTGTAGAGACAGGGTTTTGCCATGTTGCCCAGGCTGGTGTCAAACTCCAGGGCTCAAGCAATCTGCCTGCCTAAGCCTAAAGTGCTGGGATTACAGGCACGAACCACCGCACCTGGCCCCATTCCACTCGATTCCCAGAGTCAATCAGGGAGCCTGGCACATAAAAAAGCAGCCTGTCAATAGCTTTTTTTTTGAGACGGAGTATTGCTCTGTCGCCCAGGCTGGAGTGCAGTGGCGTGATCTTGGCTCACTGTAACCTCTGCCTCCTGGGTTCAAGTAATTCTCCTGCCTCAGCCTCCCAAGTAGCTGAGACTACAGGCACCCGCCACCACGCCTGGCTAATTTTTTTGTATTTTTAGTAGGGACGGAGTTTCACCATGTTGGCCAGGCTGGTTTCTAACTCCTGACCTCAGGTGATCTGCCGGCCTCGGCCTCCCAAAGTGCTGGGATAATAGGCATGAGCCACCACGCACAACCAATAGCTTTTTAAAATAAATATTCAAATATTTATTGCATGCTTGCTGTGTGCCAGACACCGTTCCAGAATACAATGGTGAACAAGAAAGCCTAAGTCCTGCCCTCACGAGGCTGACATGGGAGAAAGGGAGACAGAAAATAAATAAGTAAAATAATAAATGTATAACACAATTTCAGGTAATAAGCGTAAGAAGAAAACTGAAGCTGATTAAAAAGAAGAGTGAGGTGGCAGGAAAGCCTGTTTTAGGGAGAGGTCAGGGTAGGCCTCTCAGCCAAGGGGACACATGGGTGGCATCTGAAGGAAGTGGGTGTGAACCATCTGGACAGTGGAGGAAGAACATTCCATGAGAGAAAAGGGCATGTGCAAAGGCCCTGAGGCAGGAGTGAGCTCAGCATGTCTGAGGAACAGCGAGACTGCCTATGGATGCAGAGGGCGAGGGGCAGCACATCCTAGGGGCACAGAGAGGTGCCAGGACCCAAGGTGGGTTAACCCTGTAGGACAGCGTCCCCACGCACAGCGCAGGATGGGTCAGCAGGAGGATGATGTGATCAGATTTATGATTAAAAACAATCACTCTGACTGCCAAGTGAAGATCAGACTATGAGGGTGAAGAAGCCAGGCTGGAAACAGGACTTGGTGGTCGTGGGGGAAGGGTGAAGAGTAGCTGGGCCAGGAGATGACCTGAAGTCAGATAGATGTGGCCTGCAGGTGATGCAGGAGTCCATGATGACGCCTAAGTTTCTGACCAAGCAGCTAAGTGGATGGTGGAGTCATTTACTGAAACAGGGAAAAGGGGGAGGAAGGGTGTGGGGGAGAAGGCCAAGGCCACATTTTGGACATGTGAAGTGTGAGATGCTCGTGGGATATCCAGCAAAGGTGAAAGGTAGGTGGTTGGACAGGAGTCTGGAGCTCAGGGAGCCATCAGCATGGTGACCCATGTGGACAAGCTTAACTCGGTGATTTCACTGAAAGTCCTGGGACTGGGCGGCGTGATTGCCCAGGGCATGGGTTCTCAGTGGTATCATACTGCCCCCTAGGGGCTACCAGAAACTGCAGTCTATTTTTGGTGGTCAGTAATACGGTGCTACTGGCATTGGAAGGAAGGGATCAGGGAGGGACTCTAGATGTCCTGCAGTCTCCTACGTAATGGAGAGTTACTCTAAATCCTGGACTTTCAAAAGCCCTGAATAACATTCATGTAGATAAGAAAAATCTATTTATAATGATCTGAGCCTACACCCTAACTCCATGTTCCATATAAATCCAAAGAATTATTTTTTTGTATCAAATTTTTCCAGAAATCAACCCATCCTGTCACTTTTCATTTCTTTTTGCTCAGAATTTTACCAAGAGATTTTTACTATTTCAAAACATCATGTTACTTTGATTCTGCCAAAACAACACACCTGAATCAGTCCACACTACTAAGTGCAGCTCTAGGCAGAAGTACACATGTTCAAGTACTTCATACATGTAGTTGCTTCCAAGCATTTGAATACTGAAATGCATATTATGTTATTACAAATTGTTTTCCTTTAATTTCCCTTTATATTACAACTATGAAATAATACTGTGGGGTTTTTCGTTTGAGACAGAGTCTCACTCTGTCACCCAGGCTGGAGTCCAAATGGTGCAATCTTGGCTCATTGCAACCTCTGCCTCCCCAGCTCAAGCCATCCTCCTACCTCAGCCTCCTGAGAAGCTGGGACTATAGGTGTTCACCAAGATGCCTGGCTGGTTTTTGTATTTTTTGTAGAGATGGGGTCTTGCCATGTTGCCCAGGCTGGTCTCAAACTCCTGGGCTCAAGCAATCCTCCCACCTCGGCCTCCCAAAGTGCTGGGATTATAGGCGTGAGCCACTGCACCCAGCCAATACCGTGTTTTTAATTAGGCATTCACTGGAAGGGTGCAGAGCTGTGACTTCCATCTCAGCACACTAGAGCATGAGCTGTAAGAGGCAGGTGCTAGGGTAAAAGGGTGAGAACTATTGAGGTAAAGAGTGAATACAGATACAGAAAAGCCATGGTGAGCACTGGGTCCCTCCAAAAATTTAGAGACTAGGAGGAGGAAGAGACAAGGGAAGAGACTGAGGGAAGACACCATGGGGCAAAAGGTAGGAGAAGAGGGAGGCCACCATTGTCACAGGAAGGCAAGCAGGCCAGGCAGGAGAGAATGATGCAGGCAGGGGAGTAGATCTGGCTGCAGGAAGACTAAATAGTTCTCTTCTGATTGTTTCTATAAATAAGCGACACCATCAGCTGAGAGGGAGAGTGTATGAAGCAATGCTGGAGGGCTGAGGAGTGAAGAAAAGGCGTGTTTTCCAGTCAGACGATGGATGACAAGTACCTCCAGCAATCTGGGAGGACCACTGGGCATTGCTCAAGGTGCCCTTAAGACCTGAGCTCCTCAACTCAAGAGGGACCAGATAGCTCAGGGCTGTGCTTTTCTCTAGCACACAGAGTTCTGCACTACGTAAGAAGGAGCACGAGAGAGGCAGCGGGATCCTTGGCAAGAGGAAGGAGAGTGCATGCAGCGACGGCGCGTGAGATGTGAGTGAGGCAACAGGGCAGTGTGGTGTGGGTGGATGGGCAGCGCATCTATGAGTCTAGGACACGTGCCAACCATGAAAAGCCCCAAAAGGATGACGTGCTGTCACATGAGGAAATCTGAATATGCACTGCAGTTGAGAGAATAGTATTGTAGCAGTGTTTGTTTTCTGATTTTGAGAACTATGTCCTGGTAACATTAAAAATACCCTGTTTCTTATGAAATACATGCTGAAGTATTTAGTGGTAGAGGAACATGAACTCTCCAACTTACTTTCAAATGGCTCTAAAAAAATACGCACTGTCTATAAAAATACACAGAAGGAGAATAAATAGGAAATGATGTTCACCAATATAAACAACTGGTGAACTTGAGTAAATGCCAGCAAAGGTGTATGGGGTTCATCGCACTATTCTTGTAACTCTTCCGTGAGCTTGACATTACATAAAATAAAAAGTTACAAAAACAATAACAAGACACCCCTGTAGGAGCAGACCCAGGCGTCTATGCTTCTTCCTCTTTTAATGAAAGGAGACAAATGGGAACTGAAATAACCCAAAATAAAAAACAGAAAAGCTTTTCAAAGCCCAAAGCTAACTCCACCCTAGCAAGGCTGAACGGTTCTCCTGTGTCTGGTAGCTGGGTCTCCTCCAGATTCCCTGTTTCTCAGCCAGAACCACGGCTCATCCTTCCACCCTGCACGGCCAGCTGCCCTCGCCCAGCCTCCCTTGTCACCACACGATGAGTGGTTCCTACCTGGTCCTGTGTGTTTGAAGATAAAGTTTTCATCATCAAATTTCTTCTTGTAGATGGACTTACCCCTGGTGCCACCGTGGTTTGTGAAATCACTGCCCTGGCAAATGAACTGGGGGATAATGCGGTGGAAGCTGCTTCCCTTGAAGCCGAGTCCTTTAAATGGGTGCACATGTAGAGAAAATTCTCTGGGATTGAGAAAGAGAAAAGTGCTGAGGTAAGAATATCTAACTAGATAATTAAAACTCCAGCTCTCTGTAACATGCCATCTCTACAAAAATAAAAATAATCATTTGGGTCCCAGCCACGGTGGCTCATGCCTGTAATCCCAGCACTTTGGGAGGCCAAGGTGGGTGGATCACCTGAGGTCAGGAGTTCGAGACCAGCCTGGCCAACATGGCAAAACCCCATCTCTACTAAAAATACAGAAACTAGCTAGGCATGGTGGCACACTCCTAGGTGACAAAGTGAGACCCTGTCTCTGAAATAAAATACACACACACCCCCAAACTCCAGCTCTCCAAATCTAAAAAAGTACATAGTACCTTTATTTAAACTAAATGCTTAAGTGTGGAAGTGGCACACAAATAGATAGAACAGACTAGGTGAAAAGAAGAGAAAGTCCCGAATAGACCCAGAAACGTATGAAAATTCAGTATTTCAGCTAGGCATGGTGGCTCACATCTGTAATCTCAGTACTTGGGGAGGCCAAGGCAGGAGGATTGCCTGAGCAGAGGAGTTGGAGACCAGCCTGGGCAACACGGCAAGACCTCATCTCTATTAAAATATATACATAGGCCAGGTGCGGTGGCTCGGGTCTGTAATCCCAGCACTTTGGGAGGCCGAGGTGGGTGGATCACCTGAGGTCAGGAGTTCAAGACCAGCCTGACCAATGTGGTAAAACCCTATCTCTAATAAAAATACAGAAAATTAGCTCGGCATGGTGGCATGTGCCTGTAATCCCAGCTACTCGGGAGGCTGAAGCAGGAGAATCACTTGAACCCGGGAGGCAAAGGTTGCAGTAAGCTGAGATCATGCCATTTTACTCCAGCCTGGGCAACAAGAGTGAAATTCCGTCTCAAAAAAAAAAAAAATATATATATATATACACACACACACACACACACATATACAAAAATGTATATATATGTGTATGTATGTATATGTGTGTGTATATATGCATATATATGTGTGTGTGTGTGTGTGTGCGTGTGTATATATATATATATATATAAAGGAATTAAATATTTCATAAAGCTTGGCATCTTAAATCACTGGGTCAAAGATGGACTTTCTATAAACTGGTCTTAGGACAACTGAATAAACATTTGGACTCCCCCACCCAATTATGCTAGGCAGCGATGACCTGAGAAGGTATATAATGACCAGGAGCTCAAATCCCCACAGACAAAGGTCTAGGTCACCCCACCTGATAAGCCATTTAGATTAGCAGAGGAACCAGCTGAGGTGAGGATGAGAGGTATCTAAAATGGATAGCAGAGGAGGGAGGCCAGGCGCCGTGGCTCACACCTGTAATCTCAGCGCTTTGGGAGGCAGAGGTGGGTGGATCACCTGAGGTCAGGAGTTCAAGACCAGCCTGGCCAACATGGTGAAGCCCTGTCTCTACTAAAAATATAAAAACCAGCTGGGCATGGTGGTGGGCGCCTGTAATCCCAGCTACTCGGGAGGCTGAAGCAGGAGAATCACTTGAACCCGGGAGGCGGAGGTTGCAGTGAGCCAAGATCATGCCATTGTACTCCAGTCTGGGATTACTAATAGTAATATGAGTATATTTTTCAGAGACATAGCAATAAAAGCCCAAATAATTAAAATAGTTAAAAGAAATGAATGTTGCCTCTGGCAGGGCAGAAAAATTATGTTGGGGGAGCAGAAGAATGTTTTATTATAGAACGATTTTCTTTAAACTATGTGCAATTATGACTTTAAGAAACATTTTTAAAAGCTAGATTAAGACAAAAAAGATTATGGGTAAAAAAAGGTCATCATGAATACTTAAGAAAAAAAGGAAAACACAACTGTCAATTGTAGCTACCTCTGGGAGATGGGCTGAATAGTAAGGAGAGAAAGTTTTAGTTTCTGATTGATACCCTTAAAAATAGTACTTTTCTGGCTGGGTGCGGCCGCTCATGTCTGTAATCCCAGCATTTTGGGAGGCCGAGGTAAGAGGATCACTTGAGTCCAGTTCAAGACCAGACTGGACAACATGGCAAAACCCACCATCTCTACAAAAAAAAATACAAAAGGGCTGGGTGCGGTGGCTCATGCCTGTAATCCCAGCACTTTGGGAGGCCGAGACGGGCAGATCACAAGGTCAGGAGATCGAGACCATCCTGGCTAACATGGTGAAACCCCGTCTCTATTAAAAATACAAAAAAATTAGCTGGGCGTGGTGGTGGGCACCTGTAGTCTCAGCTAATTGGGAGGCTGAGGCAGGAGAATGGCGTAAACCTGGGAGGCGGAGCTTGCAGTGAGCCAAGATTGCGCCCCTGCACTCCAGCCTGGGCAACAGAGCAAGACTCCGTCTCAAAAAAAAAAAAAAAAAAATTAGCTGGGAAACATAGTGAAACCTCCATCTGTACAAAAAACAATAAAAAATTGGCTGGGCATGGTGGTGCATGCCTGTGGTCCCAGCTACTTGGGAAGCTGAGCTGGGAGGATCACTTGAGCCTGGAAGGTTGAAGCTGCAGTAAGCCGTGATCACATCACCGCACTCCAGCCTGGGCAACAGAACTAGATCCTGTCTCAAAGAAAAAAAAAATAGCATTTTTTCCAGTGAAGACACTTGGCAAATAACTCCTTAACCAAGTCAACAAAATTAACATTGCAAATATCTGAAATAACATCATGTACTTCCTCAAACGATGCACTAACACACTGCTTCTGTGCTATTGATGCCAAAACACATAACCTCAATCTAATCATGAGGAAGTACTAGGCAAATACAAACTGAGGAGCACCCTTAAACACAACTGGCCTATTCTCTTCAAAGATGTCAAGATCAAAAAAGACAATGAAAAATTAAGAAACGGTTTCAAATAAAAGGAGACTAAAGAGACTTGACAACTAAATCAACATGGGAATCCTTGTCAGGGAAGAAAAATTGCTAAAAATTACTAAAAAGGACAATATTGGGACAAGTGATAAAATTTGAATATAGCTCATCACTCAATGTTACATTTTATAATTTTGATAGTTGTACTCTGATTAGGCAAGGGAATATTCTGGTTCTTAGGAAATATATACTGAAGTATTTGGCAGTAAAGGTGCATGGTCTTCAACTTCTCGACTGGAACAGGGGAAAAATACATATACGCATCTGTGTGTAATGTATGTAAAGAAAATGATAAAGCATACAGGGCAAAAAAAGGAAATTAATGAGTAGGTAAAGGATATATGAGAGTTCCCCTAACTGCTTTTTTTCTTTTTTCTTTTTCTTTTTTTTTAAGACAAGGCCTTGCTCTATTGCCCAGACTGGAGTGTGGTGGTGCAATTATGGCTCACTGCAGCCTCAACCTCCTGGGCTCAAGCAATCCTCTTGTCTCAGCCTCCCAAATAGCTGGAACTATAGGCACATCGCACTATACCCGTCTAACTTTGTATTTTTTGTAGAGATGGAGTCTTTTGCTGTGTTGCCCAGGCTGATCTCAAACTGCTGGACTCAAGTGATCCTCCCACCATGGCCTCCCAAAGTGCTGAGATTACAGGTGTGAACCACTGCACCTGGCCCCTTGAAATATTCTTACAGAATTCTTATTCTATATATCTGTAAGTTTGAAAATATATCCAAATAAAATTACAAAAAAAAAAAAACCCAACAATAAAACCAAACCAGAGGATAATTAAAACTGTTTAGAACTTTTAGTTGCCTACCCTTTCTAATGGCTCTAAGCCTTTATAGAGCTTCAAAAATGCCTGCTGTGCCTCATTTGTTACTAGATGCTGGGATCTGAGACGCCTCAGATGGAAATAGTGTTAAGGGCCCAGGACCCCAGGTAGCTTCCTCCCCATCTTGTTCAGCCACCAGTGTCCCACCGTCCTGACCATGGTGTCCCGCTCACCTGTGGTCATGGGCACGACGTCGGAACGCAGGAGGGTTTGGATGCAGCCAGCCGGCTTGTTCCCAATCTTGATGTCCATGTACACCTGAGGATTTGACTAGGCCTTTTTTAGCAGTGGGCTCTCCCTAGGTGCAGAAGAAATTGCTAGAGAGCTCCCTGATGCCCCAAGTAGGAGTGCGAGTATTCTACACACCCACCCAGAACACAACTCCAGTGAGTAGGCTGGAGCAAGTGCTGATGAGGAAGGCCTTGGGCCCTGACAGGGCTGCAGAAGGCAGGAGCCACGGCCGTAGCACCCAGCTGGATGCCCAGTGACGGGAGACCTCAGCACTGTCTAACCTGAGGCCCACACACAGGCATGTTATCTCATCAGACTCACCCTCAGAAGCATCAGTTTCCTTCTCCTGCCCCGCAGTCCCAGAACAGCGCTTTTCTTGCCCATGATCCACAACTCTCAACATCTTCAAATGCCAGCTCCAATCTACCCACTGTCTTCCAATTAAACGAAACCATCCATGTGCCACCCCCTCCTCCCTCTAGACTTGGCCCTGCACATATGCTGGCTGGCTACATGGAAGCAACCGGGCAGCCCTCTTGCTCAGGCCTGAGGGCAAGTTTTCAGAAGATAGTGGAGGATGCTGGGCCTTTTTGCTTTGTGCTCCAAGACAAGACTGGATAGAGGATAAATATAACATTCAATACAAACCTTCCCATTTGTGTGATAGAGAAAACTCTATTTTTTCATTTGCTTGTTTTTGGAAAGGGAGTCTTGCTCTGTCGCCCAGACTGGAGTGCAGTAGCGCGATCTCAACTCACTGCAACCTCCGCCTCCTGGGTTCAAGCAATTCTCCTGCCTCAGCCTCCTGAGTAGCTGGGATTAAAGGCACGTGCCACCATGCCCGGCTAACTTTTGTATTTTTAGTAGAGACAGGTTTCACCACGTTGGTCAGGCTGGTCTCGAACTCCTGACCTCGTGATCTGCCCGCCTTGGCCTGACAAAATGCTGGGATTACAGGCGTGAGCCACCACGTCCGGCCAACTCTATTGTTTTTTTGGATTAATAGTTCAACATACAGGTATTGAGCTATCAGGCCAAGTACTGGGATTCTTAAATAGATATAGTTGGGTGGGGTGTCTCACACTGTAATCCCAGCACTTTGGGAGGCCAAGGCAAGAGGACTGCTTGAGCCCAGGAGTTCTGAGATCAATCTGGGCAACACAGTGCGACCCTGTCTCTACAAAATAAAAAATGAAAAATGTAGCTGGTTATGGTGGTGTGCCTGTAGTTCCAGCTACTTGGGAGGCTGGGGCAGGAAGACCACTTGAGCCTGGAAGGTCAAAGCTGCAGTGAGCTGTGATGGTACCACTGCACTCCAGCCTGGGCAACAGAGCAAGACCCTGAATCAAAAAATAAAAAATAAATAGATAGGCAGTTAGATAGATATGGCCCCTGCCCTTGAGGAACTGGCTAGCCAGCGGGGGAGGGATACCCACAGTGTAAAAGGCACACAGATCCTGGAGCTCTACAGCCTTAGTTCAGACCTCAGCTCCACCATTATGAACTGTGTAACGCTGAACAAAGTACTGACTTCACTGTGCCCCAGCTTCCTCACCTAGAACTGGGGATAATAATAGTACTTATCTCAAATAATTGTTATTAGGGTTAAATATTAGTAGAGCACTTAGAACAGTGCCTAGCATAGAGTAAGCAATATTTAGACATGTGTTAAATAAGTAATTTCAATATAATGCAGTCACATTTCTATATAATCACATTTCAATATAATGCCAGGACAGAGGGTGCCACAGGAACCCAGAGGCCATGGGAGCCCAGAGTGATACTTGCCTTACTCACTGGAGGATTCAGAAAAGCTTCCTGGAGAAGGCAGTAAATGGGCTGCGCTATGAGAAATGAGCAGGCATTAGCCACATAAAATAAATTGGAAAAGGACACTGCAGGCAGAGGAATGACTTACATCAAAACAGAGATTTACAGGTATCTACAAACTCTTGTTTCCTAGAATATAAAATGGAGATAAAATATGGAGACATAAGCAGGAATCAGAACATAGAGAGGTCTTCTGTCCCTTTTGATGGAGGCTGGACTCAATCCTATAAATCAAGGGAGTCCCTAGAATGCTTAAGGAGAGTGAGATAGTCAGATCTGCCCTTTAGAAAGCTCCCTCTGGCTGCTAAGGATAGGAGGAAAACAGGCCTGGGGCAGGGAGACCAGTTAGGAAGCTACTCCAATTATTCACAGGAGAGAGGATAAGGCCTCAGCCAAGACAACAGTGGCAGAAGAAAACTGGAGAGGAGAAACGCAAGATTTAAAAGATAAAATTAGCAGGGTATGGTAATGCATTAGGTATGAAATACAGTGAGGGATCTAAGCTGGCACCAAGGAATCTGGTTTGGGTGTGACTATGTTGAAGATGGCAAAGTGAACTAAGATTGGGCATAAAAAAAGACCAGAAAGGTGATGAAACCCATTTGGGATATGCTTTATTTATGGTGCCTATAAGACACCCAAACAGAAATATGTGAAAGGTCAGGGCTAGGGATAGAGATCAGAATATCATTCGGACAATGAAAGATCGTTATAACCTTAGGAGATAGAAGGGGCTGACATGGCATAAGGATAATGTGGAGAGAGGTGCTGAGGGCTAAGGAAGGAATTCAGGGAAATATCACTGCTCAAAGGGTGGACTGAGGAGGAGGAGCCCTTAAATTATCCTGGGAAGCAACAGTCAGGATGGCCTGATGGAGAAGCAGGAGCAAGTGGAGAGGGCAGGGAGAGCCTTGTGCCTGTGTACTGACTGAGGGGAAGGGACCTCTACATGATTCTGCCCCCTTGGAATTAGGGCAAGAACAGGAAGACAGTGAGCCTGCTGCCAAAGACTAGGAGGATAGCGGATGCTGGTGATGCAGAGTACTCACCATCCTTTCTCACCTCAGATATCCGCCTTGCTCAGCAGCAATCACAAATACCTGAGCCCACATAAGATATTTCTCACCTAGATAAGAAAGCCAAAACTTCTCCTTTAAATTCACCCAACACCACTCACCTCAGAAATTCCCTATGTGGAAAGCAGCAGCCTCTCCTATGGAAGCATGAACTGTCATTCTTACCTCCTGGCTTTCTGCTTTGGGAAGTCTCAACCACCTTCCTCTTTATCCTCTTCCCAGCAAACTTCTCCACCCAGTCTTCATCTGACCAAACTGAAAGGAAGGAATCAAACGAATGTTAAGAAATTCAAGCCATGAGCCAATAGCTAATTAGCTATGTCCAGTTCTTCACTGCTTTGGTCAGCGAAGTGGACTCAATATGTAGGGTTTCAGTCAGAAGTTCCCTCTTAGGAACTCTCCAAGACAAGAAAAGTTGTCACTGGTAAGTGTCAGGCCCTAAGTCCAGCTCTTAACAGAAGTGAATGAGAATAAGGAGGAGGAACTAAGTCAAGCCAAAAGGAATGTCCCAGCCTGTGCCAAGGCTGATATGGCATAGTCTACGTCTATGTCCAAAAGCTAGACTTTTGGACATAGACTGGGGCCGTACCTCCAGCTTTGCTAAGAATCTCAAAGTGGTTATTTCCATGGAGGTGCTACATTCTCTTCTGCACTATAAACCACTCTACTTGTGTTCATACCATCACTACAAGAGGAAGTAAGGCTGGGATAAAAATGCAGCCAAGGGCCAAGCGCAGTGGCTTATGCCTATAACCTCAACACTTTGGGAGGTCAAGGTGGGTGGGTCATTTGAGGCCAGTATTCGAGACCAGTCTGGCCAACATGGTGAAACCCCATCTCTACTAAAAATACAAAAATTAGCCAGGCATGGTGGCACATGCCTGTAATCCCAGCTACTTGGGAGGCTGAGGCATAAGACTTGCTTGAACCTGGAAGGCAGAGACTGCAGTGAGCTGTGATCACACCACTGCACTCCAGCCTGGGCGACAGAATGAGACTCTATCTCCAAAAAAAAAAAAAGCAGCCAAGGCCACAAGGCCAAAGTTGTGGAGTTGTGGACATGACAGGGAATCTGTGAGTTGCTCCCACTCACCTGGTCTGGAAAAGCCTTCCTTAACTCTCATTGGTTTGGCCAAATTGACAGAAATTGTCCACCCAAAGAGCTCAGATTCATTCTGAAAAGACTGAAATACAACTCAGCTGCTTAAACCTGTTGGGTTAAAAGAATACCTGACAGTCTTCCATTTACTTCCCAGGAGGCTGAGACCTGCTTGTGATTCCAAGCCTGGGAGCCTGCACCCCATAAGCAGGCTAAGCACAAAACTAACCACTAGAATGCCCTTGAGCCACCATGCACTTCCTTTCTTTAATACCAACAAACAGGAAGGTCTGTGCTGGCAAGATCTTTGGATTTGAGCTCAGGACTCTCTGAAACTATAAGGGTAAATGCAGTTACCAAGTACTTGAGTCCACCTTAGAAAGTCAAGATCAGCTTTCAACTGGAGAAAAATGGTATTGTTGACTGTTGAGGGGCATGTTTGATGAAGGCGTAACAAAGAACATGGAATGAAGTGTAGGAATATTTCATTAGCCAAGAACAACTGATACTTCGAGAGAAGTTTGTTTTGGGCCTTTTCATGAGAACTAAAAGTTATATGAAAAAAAGATTCCTTAATTTAGTAAGACTGAGGTTATAATTACAGGTATGTCCTTTGTTCTTAGAAAAAAGATGGATCAGGTACTAATTTTATTCCCAGTAATTAAAAAAAAAATGGAATGCTAGCATTAAATGACATCCTTGTTTCATATTTAGTCATGAATATCAATCACAAAAATAAAAAGCAGGGGGCAGGGGGCATTTAAGGGTTTTGTGGTAGGCAGAATGGCTCTCCAAAGATGTCCACAGCCTATTTCTCAGAACCTGTGACTATGTTATGTTATATGACAGGAAAGAATTAAGGTTGCAGATGTAAGGTTGCAGATGTAAGGTTGCTAGTTAACCTTAAAATAAAATTATTATCTGGGATTATTCAGATGGACCCAATGTAATCACAAGAGTCATCTAAATATGGAAAAGAGAAGTAGAGAGTTTCAAAGTGATGCAGTGTGAGAAAGATTTGAGACGCCATTGCTGGTTTTGAAGTGGAAGGGGCCAAGAGCCAAATAATGTGGGTAGCCTCTAGAAGCTGGGAAAGGCAAGGAAACAGATTCTCCTTGGAGCCCCCAGAAGCAACAGAGCCCTGGCAACACCTTGATTTTAGCCCAGTGAGACCCCTTTTGGGTTTCTGACCTCTAAAATTGTAAGATAAATTTGTGTTGTTTTAAGCCACTAAATTTGTAGTAATTTGTTACAGTGGCAATAAGAATTAAAATCATTTTCTTTTTTAAAAATTATTATTATTTGGCCAGGCACAGTGGCTCACACCTATAATCCCAGCACTTTGGGAGGCTGAGGCTGGCAGATCACCTGAGGTCAAGAGTTCGAGAGCAGCCTGGCCAACATGGCAAAAGCCCGTCTCTACTAAAAATACAAAAATTAGCCAGGTATGGTGGCATGCGCCTGTAATCCCAGCTACCCAGGAGGTTGAGGCAGGGGAATCACTGGAACCCAGGAGGCAGAGGCTGCAGCAAGCCGAGATTGTGCCACTGCACTCCAGCCTGGGCAACAAAGCAAGACTCTGTCTCAAAAAAAAAAAAAAAATTATTATTTTGTAGAAACAGGGCCTCACTATTGCCCAGGTTGGGTCTTGAACTCCTGGCTTCAAGTGATCCTCCTGCCTCCATCTCCCAAAGTGCTGGGATTATAAATGTGAGCCACCACACTCTGCCTCAAATCATTTTCTTTTGAAGCACTCAATTTGTCATAATCCTTGCAGATTTTCTCTTCTTCAGGTGTTAATTGGTTTAAGAGAGCCTAACTCTTCAATGGCTGTTTTTGACTACAGCTAATCACAGCAGTTCTCCATAATCACTTTCATATACTACATGAAACACTGCTCTTACATAAGATTCACAAATTGACCCTGCAGGCTGGGCGTGGTGGCTCATGCCTGTAATCCCGGCACTTTGGGAGGCTGAGGCGGGCAGACCACTTGAAATCAAGAGTTCAAGACCAGCCTGGCCAACATGGTGAAACCCTGTCTCTACTAAAAAGACAAAAATTAGCTGGGCATAGTGGTGTGCGCCTGTAATCCCAGCTACTTGGGTGGCTGAGGCAGGAAAATCACTTGAACCCAAAAGGCAGAGGCTGCAGTGAGCCAAGATTGCGCCAATGCACTCCAGCCTGGGCAACAGAGTGAGACTGTCAAAAATAAATAAATAAATAAATAAACAAACAAACAAACTTTGCAATCAGGTTACATTTTATTTGCAGTACACTGTCCTAGCCTAGGGATTAGCAAATTTTCTGAAAAAGGCTAGATAGTAAAATATTTTTGGTTTTGTAGGCCACATACAGCCTCTCCTGCATATTGGGTTTTTTTCCCCCACACCCTTTAAAAGATAGCAATTATTTAGCTCAAAGGATACAAAAAACAGACTGTGGCACTTTGGAAGCCTAAGGTGGTAGATCGCTTGAGCTCAGGAGTTCAAGACCAGCCTGGGCAACACAGCAAAACCCCGTCTCTACAAAAAAATACTAAAATTAGCTGGGCATGGTAGCACACACCTGTAGTCCCAGCTACTCGGGAGGCAGAGGTGAGAGGATTGCTTGAGCCCAGGAGGTGAAGGTTGTAGTGAGTCGAGATCGTGCATTCCACTCCAGCCTGGGTAATACAGCGAGACTGTATCTCAAAAAAAGACCAAAATCAGACTGTGGAATGATTTGGCCCACAGGCTGTAGTTTGCTGGCCCCTGCAAAATGGTCAAGAGATTGGCCAACAAACGTGGTTGGTATTTAACAAATGTGAAATGAGAAGGATGTCTGGTTAAGAATTAATTTTAGGATGGGTGTGGTGGCTCACACTTGTAATCCCAGCACTTTGGGAGGCCAAGGCAGGCGGGTCACTTGAGGTCAGGAGTTCAAGACCAGACTGGCCAACATGGTAAAACCCCGTCTCTACTAAAAATACAAAAATTAGCTGGGTGTGGTGGCGGGTGCCTGTAATCCCAGCTATTCAGGAGGCTGAGGTAGGAGTATCACGTGAACTGGGAAGGCAGAGGTTGCAGTGAGCTGAGATTGCATCACTGCGCTCCAGCCTGGGTAATAGAGCAGACTCAGTCTCAGAAAAAAAAAAAAAAAAAAAATTAATTTTATTGGTAGCTAGTTCATGGTGAATTATTTCAAATAACGATGACCTGTGCTTGCTACAGAACTTTGAAACTATGGAAATTGGAAACACAATAGGTACATGGGTGTTCCCTATACCAAAAAGTAGCACCAAATAACAGCTTCAGTAAAAAACAAAGATGCTCAGCCATACCATGTTGTTGACAGCTGCTGCAACATCCTGCCAAAAATAAACAAGGAAAAAGTTCATGCCCATAGTTCAACTCTTCTTACAGTGTTCAAATAAAAACTCAGTAGCACAAGCACACAAAAAAAGACACAATCTCCCCTCCTACTTGCCTAGACTGTGTTTTACTAAGAGTGTGTACTGCCTGTTAGAGCTGGTGGTATACAGATGGGTGCCCAGTTGATGGAGGGAGAGAATACACACAATAAAACAGGAATGAGCAATGCCAGGCCGGAGGGCTCAGGCCTCTCCAAGACCTGTCTTCTATACTCTGAATACAGGAGGGGAACTTTGAGCCGGGCCTGGTGGGCCATACTTCAACCAGAACTTCCTGTTTCTCTGCAAAAGCCACTACCAAGCCACTATAGTGGGATGAATAGTGTCGCCCAAAATTCATGTCTGCCTAAACCTCAGAATCGGACTTTATTTAGAAATAGGGTCTTTGGGGTGGTGGGCTGGGTGCAGTAGCTCACATGTAATCTCAGTGCTTTGGAGAACTGAGGTGGGAGGATGACTTGAGGCTAGGAGTTGAAGACGAGCCTGAGCAATATAGTGAGACCCCCATCTCTATAAAAATTTTAAAAATTAGGCAGACATGGTGATGTGCACCTATAGTCCTAGCTACTTGGGAGGCTGAGGTAGCAGGATCATTTGAGCCCAGGAGTTTGAGGCAGCAGTGAGCTGT